>NC_000004.12:58921381-60171381 GCF_000001405.40 Homo sapiens
AATATACATTCTATATATATTCTATATATACTATATATAGAATATACATTCTATATATATTCTATATATAGAATATACATTCTATATATATTCTATATATACTCTATATAGAATATACATTCTATATATATTCTATATATACTCTATATAGAATATACATTCTATATATACTCTATATAGAATATACATTCTATATATACTCTATATAGAATATACATTCTATATATACTCTATATAGAATATACATTCTATATATACTCTATATAGAATATACATTCTATATATACTCTATATAGAACACACATTCTATATATACTCTATATAGAATATGCATTCTATATATACTCTATATAGAACACACATTCTATATATACTCTATATAGAATATATATTCTATATAGAACACACATTCTATATATATTCTATATAGAACACACATTCTATATATATTCTATATAGAACACACATTCTATATATATTCTATATAGAACACACATTCTATATATATTCTATATAGAACACACATTCTATATATATTCTATATAGAACACATATTCTATATATTGTATATAGAACACATATTCTATATATAGTATATAGAACACATATTCTATATATATTGTATATAGAACACATATTCTATATATATTGTATATAGAACATATATTCTATATATAGTCTATATAGAACATATATTCTATATATAGTCTATATATACTCTATATAGTATATATGTAGAATATAGATTCTATATATTCTATATAGATTCTGTATAGAATGTATGTTCTATGTATATTCTATATAGAATGTATATTCTATGTATATTCTATGTATATTCTATATAGTATGTATAGTCTATATAGATTCAATGTAGAATATATATTCTATATATATTCTATATGTATTCTATATAGAATATATATTCTGTAAGTATTGAATAAATATTCTATATATATTCTATATGTATTCTATATATATTCTATATAAAATATAGATTCTATATATTCTATATGGAATATATATTCTATATAGAATATAGATTTTATATGGAATACATACTCTATATATAATATAGATTCTATATATTCTATATGGAATCTATATTCTACATAGAATATGGACTCTATATATTCTGTCTGGAATATATATTCTATATAGAATATATATGGAATATATATTCTATATAGAATATATATGGAATATATATTCTGTATAGTATATATATTCAATATATATTGAATATATATTCTATAGAGAATACAT
Organism: Homo sapiens; assembly: GCF_000001405.40. Taxonomy (NCBI): domain Eukaryota; kingdom Metazoa; phylum Chordata; class Mammalia; order Primates; family Hominidae; genus Homo; species Homo sapiens. Next base: position 58,922,645 of record NC_000004.12, read on the forward strand.
ATGGAATATATATTGAATATATATTCTATAGAGAATATATGGAATATATATTGAATATATATTCTATGTAGAATATATATGGAATATATGTTGAATATATATTCTATATAGAATATATAGTATATATATTCTATATTATATATAGTATATATATTCTATATTCTATATAGAATATTGTATATATATTCTATATTCTATATAGAATATATGTAGAATATATAGAATATAGATATATATTATATATAGAATATATATTCTATGTATGTTGTATATATAGATATATATTCTATGTATGTATAATGTATATATTATATATATGAGATAGTATACTACACAGCCATAAAAAGGAATGATTTAATAGTGTTTGCGGTGACCTCGGTGGGAATGGAGACTATTAAGTGAAGTAACTCAGGAATGGAAAACCAAATATCATACATTCTCATTGATATGTGGGAGCTAAGCTGTGAGGATGTAGAGGCATAAGAATGATACAATGGACTTTGTGTACTTGAGGGGGAAGAGTGGAAGGAGGGTGAGGGATAAAAGACTACAAATACAGTGCAGTGTATACTGCTCAGGTGATGGGTGTCCCAAAATTTCACAAATCACCACTAAAGAATTTACTCATGTAACCAAGTACCACCTGTATGCCAATAACTTATGGAAAATAATAAATAAATAAATAAATAGTATAAGTAAAATGTTACTTTGCTTCAGCGATAAAATTTAAATATTCTTGATCTGAGTGTCTACTGTGTGGATATCTTTACACTCTTTTATGCCACCCAGATGGGCAATGGAGGATATTAGAAAGTTTTGTCACATGTGTACTTGTTACATACCTGTATAATATTTGTCTAATATATAGCAAATATTTGTTCACAGATTTTCTCCTATACAATTTTGTGTTAGTATTTTATTTGGCTAATTTTATACATTTTAATATGTAAAATTATCACATTGCCTGATATGTGAGGGCATGTGTGTTTGTGTGTATTTGTGTCTGTGTTAGCTTGAAATTAATTAAGTAGTCTAAAATCTTTGATTAATTTTCTAACTCTAAAATGGAGTTAACTTATACTTTAAATGGTGGTTTAGGTGGATATATTAATTGTTCATTTTAGAATATGCAATACACATCATATCTGTGGATTCCTTGAGTCATCTATGGAACACATTTATTAACAAATAGAAGTCTCATGTAACTGGTTCTGTGAGAATAAATATAAAATCTTTAATTTACTTTCATAATTGACATTGACAGCATAAAATTAAATCTTAAAATATCAGATTTGCTTGTAATTTTGACATTGTATTTTCATTATAAGACAACTTTCCTTGTACTGTAGGGATAATATTAACCAATTGATTGAAATTGTATTCCTAGCCTGAGGCTTCAAATAGTTAATTAGTAATGGAATTGACTTTATACATATTGGAACAATAGTATCTTCCATTTATTGACCATGTAGCATTTGATGTATGTAGGTAGACATGTAAACTGTACGTATTGCATGCAATTTAAATTTACAAATTAAATAGCTTTGAATGCTCATCCGAATGCTTAGAGAGAGATACTATTATCACTGGTTTATAAATGAAGAAGCAAAGCTTCACGGACTTTATTAGAGATAGTAAGTGGTGGATCTAGGATTAAAGCCCAGGACTGTCTCCAAAGCACACGTATTCAGATATAATGTTGTACCACAACTCTTCAGAGAAAGACAAAAGGAAAAACAAAAACCTTCAAAAAAGAAACTTTCACATCATATGAAAAAAAAAGTTTTAAAACATTTGAAAAATTTAAAACCTGCCATTTAGGACTTTGTTTTAATTAAATGTAGACTTTTAGTAAATCTGTTAATGGTAGACATAGCTTACTTCTGAGATAGACAAAAATAAAACGAATGGTTCAACTTCCAGTGAAAAATTTCTTATTTCAACATATATTTAAATCATTGCTGTTTTAGCAGTTAAAATAAAAGTTCATGTCAATTTATAATAGAAACAAATACATTTGTAGGCTTTTGTAGTGGTGGTTAGAAGTTGGAGGATAGAGATGGAAGTGGATTCAAATAACTATTCTAATAAATTTTTAACTTATTACTTTTTTATTTCAGCTGAAAGTCTTATAAGATTTGTTTTGTCTTAAAATACTCTCCAAATATTTGTTTTTTTATTTTTTTTTATTTTTTTTTTTTGTCATAGCCATGTTCTATAGAAAGCTCATGGTAACAGAAAACATTTTAGGATACTAACTTATTGGACCATTTTTCAGTGTATGTGCATATGTGATCACAGCAATCTAGAACAAAAAGCTGAGATAAATGAAAGCTCTGGATTATTCATAAAAGTCTGTCCTCATAATATCTGGACACACATTAAAAGCATTTCAGATGGATAGAGAAGCAGTATTAAGTCTTTTGTAAAGTACTTTATTATGATAAAATATTCTAAGAAAATTTCATACTGTAAAAATGAAACTTGTCCATTTATAACTATAATATCAGAACTCCATAAATCACAGTGTTATGATTTTAATTTAATGAATGTCAGAGGAATCAACAAATAATGATCAATCAATAGTGCAGAAGAAAATACATCAAAATTTCTGTATTAAATTGTAACATAATATAATTGAACACCATATACAGACATATAATTGAACACTAGTTTTTTTGAAATTTAAACTAAATGAAACATGTTTATACCTCTAACAGAATTATGAAAATATTAAAATTTGTCATTCCATAGTTCTCAATAACTTAGGACACATCTAAAGAAAATTTGAAATATTTGAAATTATTAAGTGAAGCCTTATGCAATTGTCATAGTCAAAAGAATTTGACTTTTAAAAATGTCATTTTTATATGGTCCAGACTAATAGAATCTGAAGTATTGAGAGGAATATCAATGTTTTACAATGAGGTGTTTAACTATTTTTTTGGCCTTGCTCCAGACAAACTAAGATAGAGAATATTGAAAAGATCCTCTGTGTATATAGAAAAAGAAAGAGAATAAGATCCACAAATTTTCAGAATTTACATTCTGAATCTGAGCTTCAGTTATTAAAAATATTCAATTTTATATTCCTGCATATCTGATGTAAAATCTGAACCTAAGGTAGGTAGGACACAATTGCAGAACATCAGAATTTGATCAGAATTTGTTTCTACATACATGCTAAATATTTCTAGAAAGTTATAATCGCAGGTCTACCAAATAGAGAAAAAAAAAGAGTAGGAAAGGTAGTACAAAGAATAAAATTAAGTTTAGTAGTGTACTTGGCATTCGTTGTAAGTCAAAAACTGTTACAAGAAATAAGGAAAGTTATTATATATTGATAAAAGGGCCAATCCACCAGGAAGATACAACAGTTATAATGTATGTGCACACAATATCAAAGATGTTTAATACACAAAGCAAATATTAACAGAACTTAAGTGAGAAATAGATGGAAATACAATAACAGAGGACTTCAATACTCCATTTTCAATAATGGATAGAATATGCAAGCAGAAAATTGATAAAGAAACAGGAGACCCGAATAACGTTATTGATCAAATGCAAATAACATACTTATCCAGAACATTCCACCAAACAGCGGCAGAATATACATTCTTTTTGAGTGCACACAAAACATTCTCCAGGATAGATTACATGTTAAGTCATAAAACAAATCATAACAACTCAAGATGATTAAAATTATGCCAATCTTTTCCAATCACAACGAAGTAAAACTAGAACTCAATAGCAGAAGTAAAACTAAAAAAATTACAAATGTGTAGGAATTTTATAAGATTCTATTGAGCAATATATGGGTTAAAGAAGAATGAAAGAAAGTTAGAAAATACCTTGAGAAAAATAGAAATGAAAAGATATGAAAACTTATATGATGGAACAAAAACAGTACTAAAAAGGAAGCTTATTATGAGAATGCCTACATTAGAAAAAGAAAGATCTCAAACAACCAATCTAAATCTATCCTTCAAATAAATAGAAAAATTAAAGCAAACTCAAATTACCAGAGGAAAAATATAATGAAGATTAGAGAACAAAGCAATTACATCAAACATATAAAAACAATTTTAAAATCTATAAAAAGTTATTTTTTAAAAAATAAACAAGGTAGACAAATGGTTAGCAATAATAGCTAAAAACAAACAAACAAAAAAGATAAGACTCAAAATCAGAAAAGAAAGGAAATACATTACAATTGATGCCACTAAAATATAAAAGAATCACAGGAGACAACTATGAGCACCCATATGACAATGAATTGTATAACCAAGAAAAGTAGAAAAATCCCTAGAAACATAAACCTACCTGAGTCAAAATGAAATAGAAAATTTGAATAGATCTGTAATTAGTGGGGAGATAAAATCAGTAACCAAATGCATCCTTCTAACAAAGAAAAGTCAAGGACCAAATAATTAACTGGTGAATTGTGTGAAACATTTAAAAAAGAATTAACACCAGTTCTTCTAAAACTCTTCTTCCAAAGAGTTGCAGAGAATAAAACACATTCAAACTCATTTTCTGAGTTCAGCAATATCATGATATCAAAACCAGACAGATACCACAAAAAAGAAAAGGCTAGGTCAATATTCGTCATGAATATAAATTCAAAAACTCTCAGCAAAATACTAGCAAACTGAATTCACCAGGAAACTTAAAATATTAAATGTCATGAACAAGTAAGATTTTTTTTTTTTTGGAAAATTTCTTTTTTTTTTTATTATACTTTAAGTTTTAGGGTACATGTGCACATTGTGCAGGTTAGTTACATATGTATACATGTGCCATGCTGGTGCACTGCACCCACTAACTCGTCATCTAGCATTAGGTATATCTCCCGATGCTTTCCCTCCCCCCTCCCCCCACCCCACAACAGTCCCCAGAGTGTGATATTCCCCTTCCTGTGTCCATGTGATCTCATTGTTCAATTCCCACCTATGAGTGAGAATATGCAGTGTTTGGTTTTTTGTTCTTGCGATAGTTTACTGAGAATGATGATTTCCAATTTCATCCATGTCCCTACAAAGGACATGAACTCATCATTTTTTATGGCTGCATAGTATTCCATGGTGTATATGTGCCACATTTTATTAATCCAGTCTATCATTGTTGGACATTTGGGTTGGTTCCAAGTCTTTGCTATTGTGAATAATGCTGCAATAAACATACGTGTGCATGTGTCTTTATAGCAGCATGATTTATAGTCCTTTGTGTATATACCCAGTAATGGGATGGCTGGGTCAAATGGTATTTCCAGTTCTAGATCCCTGAGGAATCGCCACACGGACTTCCACAATGGTTGAACTAGTTTACAGTCCGACCAACAGTGTAAAAGTGTTCCTATTTCTCCACATCCTCTCCAGCACTTGTTGTTTCCTGACTTTTTAATGATTGCCATTCTAACTGGTGTGAGATGGTATCTCATTGTGGTTTTGATTTGCATTCCTCTGATGGCCAGTGATGATGAGCATTTTTTCATGTTTTTTTTTTGGCTGCATAAATGTCTTCTTTTGAGAAGTGTCTGTTCATGTCCTTTGCCTACTTTTTGATGGGGTTGTTTGCTTTTTTCTTGTAAATTTGTTTGAGTTCATTGTAGATTCTGGATATTAGCCCTTTGTCAGATGAGTAGGCTGCGAAAATTTTCTCCCATTTTGTAGGTTGACTGTTCACTCTGATGGTAGTTTCTTTTGCTGTGCAGAAGCTCTTTAGTTTAATTAGATCCCATTTGTCAATTTTGTCTTTTGTTGCCATTGCTTTTGGTGTTTTAGACATGAAGTCCTTGCCCATGCCTATGTCCTGAATGGTAATGCCTAGATTTTCTTCTAGGGTTTTTATGGTTTTAGGTCGAACGTTTAACTCTTTAATGCATCTTGAATTGATTTTTTATAAGGTGTAAGGAAGGGATCCAGTTTCAGCTTTCTACATATGGCTAGCCAGTTTTCCCAGCACCATTTATTAAATAGGGAAGGATCAATTCAACAAGAAGAGCTAATTATCCTAAATATATATGCACCCAATACAGGAGCACCAAGATTCATAAAGCAAGTCCTGAGTGACCTACAAAGAGACTTAGACTCCCACACATTAATAATGGGAGACTTTAACACCCCACTGTCAACATTAGACAGATCAACGAGACAGAAAGTCAACAATGATACCCAGGAATTGAACTCAGCTCTGCACCAAGAGGGCCTAATAGACATCTACAGAACTCTCCACCCCAAATCAACAGAATATACATTTTTTTCAGCATCACACCACACCTATTCCAAAATTGACCACATACTGGGAAGTAAAGCTCTCCTCAGCAAATGTAAAAGAACAGAAATTATAACAAACTGTCTCTCAGACCACAGTGCAATCAAACTAGAACTCAGGATTAAGAATCTCACTCAAAACTGCTCAACTACATGGAAACTGAACAACCTGCTCCTGAATGACTGCTGGGTATATAACGAAGTGAAGGCAGAAATAAAGATGTTCTTTGAAACCAACGAGAACAAAGACATAACATACCAGAATCTCTGGGACACATTCAAAGCAGTGTGTAGAGGGAAATTTATAGCACTAAATGCCCACAAGAGAAAGCAGGAAAGATCCAAAATTGACACCCTAACATCACAATTAAAAGAACTAGAAAAGCAAGAGCAAACACATTCAAAAGCTAGCAGAAGGCAAGAAATAACTAAAATCAGAGCAGAACTGAAGGAAATAGAGCAACAAAAAACCCTTCAAAAAATTAATGAATCCAGGAGCTGGTTTTTTGAAAGGATCAACAAAATTGATAGACCGCTAGCAAGACTAATAAAGAAAAAAAGAGAGAAGAATCAAATAGATGCAATAAAAAATGATAAAGGGGATATCACCACCGATCCCACAGAAATACAAACTACCAACAGGGAATACTACAAACACCTCTATGCAAATAAACTAGAAAATCTAGAAGAAATGGATAAATTCCTTGCACATACACTCTCCCAAGACTAAACCAGGAAGAAGTTGAATCTCTGAATAGACCAATAACAGGAGCTGAAATTGTGGCAATAATCAATAGCTTACCAACCAAAAAGAGTCCAGGACCAGATGGATTCACAGCCAAATTCTACCAGAGGTACAAGGAGGAACTGGTGCCATTCCTTCTGAAACTATTCCAATCAATAGAGAAGGAGGGAATCCTCCCTAACTCATTTTATGAGGCCAGCATCATTCTGATACCAAAGCCAGGCAGAGACACAACCAAAAAAGAGAATTTTAGACCAATATCCTTGATGAACATTGATGCAAAAATCCTCAATAAAATACTGGCAAACCGAATCCAGCAGCACATCAAAAAGCTTATCCACCATGATCAAGTGGGCTTCATCCCTGGAATGCAAGGCTGGTTCAATATACACAAATCAATAAATGTAATCCAGCATATAAACAGAACCAAAGACAAAAACCACATGATTATCTCAATAGATGCAGAAAAAGCCTGTGACAAAATTCAACAACGCTTCATGCTAAAAACTCTCAATGAACTAGGTATTGATGGGACGTATTTCAAAATAATAAGAGCTATCTATGACAAACCCACAGCCAATATCATACTGAATGGGCAAAAACTGGAAGCATTCCCTTTGAAAACTGGCACAAGACAGGGATGCCCTCTCTCACCACTCCTATTCAACATAGTGTTGGAAGTTCTGGCCAGGGCAATTAGGCAGGAGAAGGAAATAAAGGGTATTCAATTAGGAAAAGAGGAAGTCAAATTGTCCCTGTTTGCAGAAGACATGATTGTATATCTAGAAAACCCAATTGTCTCAGCCCCAAATCTCCTTAAGCTGATAAGCAACTTCAGCAAAGTCTCAGGATACAAAATCAATGTACAAAAATCACAAGCATTCTTATACACCAACAACAGACAAACAGAGAGCCAAATCATGAGTGAACTCCCATTCACAATTGCTTCAAAGAGAATAAAATACCTAGGAATCCAACTTACAAGGGATGTGAAGGACCTCTTCAAGAAGAACTACAAACCACTGCTCAAGGAAATAAAAGAGGATACAAACAAATGGAAGACCATTCCATGGTCATGGGTAGGAAGAATCAATATCGTGAAAATGGCCATACTGCCCAAGGTAATTTACAGATTCAATGCCATCCCCATCAAGCTACCAATGGCTTTCTTCAGAGAATTGGAAAAAACTACTTTAAAGTTCATATGGCACCAAAAAAGAGCCCGCATCGCCAAGTCAATCCTAAGCCAAAAGAACAAAGCTGGAGGCATCACACTACCTGACTTCAAACTATACTACAAGGCTACAGTAACCAAAACAGCATGGTACTGGTACCAAAACAGAGATATAGATCAATGGAACAGAACAGAGCCCTCAGAAATAATGCCACATATCTACAACTATCTGATCTTTGACAAACATGAACAAGTAAGATTTAACCCTGGGATGGAAAGACAGTTAAGCAAATACAAATCAAGTAATATAATATAGAGCATTAACAGAATGAAAGATAAAATTTACATGATCTTCTCAATAGATGCCAAAAAGCATTTGACAAATTTTACAAGTTTTCATGATTAAAATGCTCCATAAACTCGGTTTAGAGGGAATGTTCATCAATACAATAAAAATCCACATATGAAAATCCCAGAACTAACATTGTACTCAATGGTGAAAATCCGAATGTTTTCCCTCTATGATCAAAAACAAGGCAAGGATGCCCGCTCTCTCCACATTCATTAAACATAGTATTGGAAGTCTCACTTGGAGCAATTAGACAAGCAAACATGGCATAAATATCAGAAAAAAATGTAAATTACTCCCATTTGCAGATGACATCATCTTACATACATAGAAAATCCTAAAATCTTTATTTAAAACCCCTACAATTAATAAATGAATTCAGCAAAGAAGTAGGATACAAAATCAACATACAAAAATCATTTGTGTTTCTATATACTAATAGTGAACTCTCTGAAAAGAAAATTAGAAAAGCAATCCCATTCACAAAAGCATCAAAAGAATAAAATATTTAGGAATAAACTTAAGGAGGTGAGATACTAAAGACTACAAAACATGATGAAAGAAATTGAAGACACAAACAAATGAAAATAAATCCTATGTTCATAGATTGGAAAAATTAATATTGTATCTACAGATTAAATGCAATTACCATAAAAATGCTAATGGTATTTTTATAAAAACAGAGAAAAATCATTCTAAAATTCATTTGCAATCACAAAAGACACTGAAGAGCCAAAACAATCTTGAGAACTGAGGACAAAGCTGGAGGCATCAACTTTCAGATTTTAAATATATTAAAAACTACTGTACTTAGCCAGTATGTGACTGGGATAAAAACAGTAGACCAAAGGAACATAATAAAGAGCCCAGAAAATAAATCCACACATATATGGTTTAGCTTTGAGGAGGATTCTCAGAATACACAATGGGGAAGTGATTATTTCTGTAGCAAATGGTATTGGGGAAACTGGATATCCACATGCCAAATAATGAAATCAGATCCTTATCTTATACCATGCACAAAAACAACTTAAAATGCATTAAAAACTATAATGTAAGATGTGAAATTGTAAAACTCTTAGAAAAATATATGGGATGATCTTTGTGGCTTGATTTTATGGCAATAGATTCATGAATATAACATCGAAAGCACAGGCAAAGAAAGCAAAAATAGGCCAATGAGTCTACATCAAACTGAAAAGCATACTAAACAACCAACAAAATGAAAAACAAACCTACAAAATGGGAGAAAATATTTGCAAATCATATGTCAGATAAGGGCTTAATTTCAAAAATATATAATAAATTGCTACAACATAACAGCAAGAAAACCTAACAACCCTACTAAAGAATTGACAAAATAACTAAATACATTTTTCCAAAGAAGACATGCAAATGCCTAACAGTTATATTAAAAAAATGCTCAGTGTCAACAATCATCAAGGAAACAGAAACCAAATACACAATGAGATATCACCTCATATCTGTAAGGATAGCTAATATCAAACTTTTTTTAAAAAAAAAGTATTATCAAGGATGTATATAAGTTGGAACACTTGTTCACTCTTAATGAGAATGCAAAATGATGCAGCTGCTTTGAAAAATAGTGTGGAGGTTCCTCAAACCATTAAAAATAGAACTACCAGGCCAGGCATGGTGTCTCACATTTGTAATCTCAGCATTTTGGTAGGCCGAGTCTGGAGGATCACTGGAAGCCAGGAGTTCAAGACTAGTCTGGGCAGCAAATCAAGACCCAGTCTCTCTATTAGAGAAAAAAAAAATAGCCAGGTATGGTGGCACATGCTTGTGGAGGCAAGAGGATTTCTTTAGCCCAAGAGTTCAAGGCTGCAGGAGTTCAAGGCTACAGTGAGCTATCATAATCCCAATCCAGCCTGGGTGACAGACCTCACCACTTAAAAAAATAAAATAAAAAACAGCACTACAAAATGGTCCATCAGTCCCACTTCTGGGGTATTTATACAAAATGACTGAAATCAAGATTTAGAAGAGATATCAGTAGTGTTTACATGTGCATGGCATCATTATTCGCAATAGCCAAGACATGGAAACAACCTAGATGTCTACCAAGAGATGGATGGATAAAGAACATGTTGTATATACATACCATGCAATATTATTCAGCCTTGACAAAGAACTAAATCATGCAATATGTGATGATATGAATCAACAATATTATGCTACATGAAATAAATAAGGCACAGGAAGACAAATACTGCATGATTCCACTTACATGAGGAAACTAAAATAGTTAAGCTCATAACATCAGAAAGCAGGATGATGATTACCAAGGGCAGAAAGATGAGGGGAAAATTAGAACTTGTTAATCAAAGACTATAAAGTTTTGATAATGAAAGATGAATAAGTAATGCTGTACAACATTGTGCCTATAGTAAACAATATTGTGTGGTACACACAAACATCTATTAAAAGGGTTGATATCGATTTAAGGAATCTTACCACAAAAACACAGAGATATTTATAAAATTATATTGTAGCTGTTATTAATTAATATATAGAACAGTATATTTAATTTTTCATAGCAATAAATTGTGCCATAGTACACTTTTTATATATCTAAGCATAAAGTGTTACTTGATTGGTTGAAATTTGAGTCCTCCAATTGTGATATAGTCTAATCAGAAACACTTCTAATTAATGAAAACAAACTACTGTCTCCCCATTGTATTCATTTTAGTCACAGGCAGACTAATTGCTATTATACAGATAAGAATACTCAAGGAAATGTAAATAAAACATATTTGTATTTTCTTGTATTATAGTTTATGATAAAATAACTAGATTTTTATTTTATAATTTTTTTGATTCTTAAAAGGTAATTTCACATTCATGAACACTACAAAATATTTCAAAAGTGAACTTTCCTAGTATACTATCTCAGTATTAAAGCTTGTTATCCATATTTATCAGAGTTAACAAAGCTTTGGGTCATTTATTCCTTTTTCAACAAATGGATCTTGAGTCTTAGATGTGTGCAGCATGTGTCAAGTGCTAGAGATTAAGCGATCAACAAGATGCAGTCTCCACTCTCAAATAATTTAACGTCTAAATCAGCCAGGCATAAAATTTAACAGTGTGGGATACAGATACATGGTAGGCTACTCTGGTAGATTTGGGAGAGTCTCTAAATGAAGTTACATATAATTGAGAGGTCCTGAACACAAATGGATTGCTTCTTTTTACATATATTATTCTCTTTCTTTTGATCCTAAGAATCTTCTGTAGTCTCTTACATCTTATAAAACCCTTTATGTAATCCTAAATTGATTTTTTGTGACTCAACAGTTTCCTTTGTAGCTAAACTAATTCGAAGAGCAGTCTGCATTCAGTTTGAGCATTCCTGATTCAAAAATCTGAAATCCATTGTGCTCCATAATCTAAAACCTTTTGAGTGCCAACATAACATTAGAAGTTAAAAATTTTACACCTGACCTCATGTGACAGGTTACCATACAAATGCAGGCACAAAAACATATAGCATATTCAGTGTCCTTAAGGAGAAAAAAAAAGACCCTACCATCCTCTTTCAGCTGCAATATCACTTTTTATTCCATGCTTATATTCCCCTGAACTAGCACACTGAACAAGGATAGAAAATTGTACGTGACAGGCCAGATGAATCTACATCTACAGGTTCCCTACAATATCCCACATGGGTCCAAGACCTGCATGCATTACTCACTGTGATTTTTCTTATTCTCTGTTCAGTGGTGTAAATATATGGTTAAAAATATCGAAAAGGCCTACAGATGTTGGAGAAACTGGGCAGCAGTGTAAGTCTGAAATATCTTACATAAAAGTATATTGTTGGAATTACCACCATATATGACAAAAAGAAACAGAAGTATAAGAGTCTATGATGGAAGTTCATGGAAAATAGAAAAACACTGTATAAAGCTAAAAATGAATATCTCAATTGTGTATTAAAAGAGTGGATCTACTGGCATCAACGTGAGCACAAGTCAGTTAATGGTATGCTGATCATAAAACAAAGATTTATTATAATAAACTAAAAATCAAATAAACCTCTGAATGTTCAGTAGGCTGACTGTAAAAATTTAAGAAAAGACATGGGATTAAACTTTTTAAACTTTGTGGTGATAAAGCATTTCCTGATCGAAGATAAGCAGAGAAATTCATCAATTAGTTTGCCAAGGTCACCGGTGATGAAAATTTGATGATGCCAGAACAAGTCTATAATACTAATGAAACATCATTATTTTGGTAGTATTTCTCCAGAAAGACACTGAATACAGCTGATGAGTCAGGCCTTACAGGAATTAAGTATGCCAAGGACAGAATAACTCTGCTGGAAGATGCTAATGTAGCAGGAACTCATAAGTATAAACCTGACTCACTGTTATAGGCAAAAGCTTGTGTCTTCTGCTTTCAAGCAGTGAATTTCTTACTAGTCTATTATTATTCTAACAATAAGGCATAAGTCATCAGGCATATCTTTTTGGATTGGTGTCACAAACATTTTGTACCAGTGACTGGTACTCACTGCGGGGAAGCTAGACTGAATGAAGAGCGCAAGATTGTGCTATTTCTTCAAACTCTTCTGCTTATTCTCCAACTGACATTTTTATTAAAATAATGTTCATGCCATGCACTTTCCCCAAACAGTGACTTCATTAATTCAGACATGTGACCAAGGGATTCTTAGATCAATGAAGGGTAAATAGAAAAATACTTTCTTGAACAGCGTGCTAGCAGCAATGAACAGAGCCATGAGTGTAGACGTTTTCGGAAGAACTCTAATATAAAGGATGCTGTATTTGTTTTTGCCAATGCTTGGAACACAGTGACTAAAGACACAGTCCTGCATGCCTGGCACAACCTCTGTGTTGCGGCTATGTTCAGGGATAATGATGAACAAGGAAATAAAAATGATGTCTGACCTCCCTACACATGCAAAAAAATAAAATTTTCGATGACATGGTGAAAAAGTGTAATGGGCTTGTTAAAGAAATACAGTATCATGCACTCATGACAGAAAAAGAAATCGTGTCAGTTTATAAAATCAAAGATAGACTTCTGAGACAAAAAAAAAAAGTTGTTAATGATGCAGATAACTCTAGAAGTAACATTTCAAAAGCCCATCAGCAGAGTGCTTTCTACTCCAAGGGTCCGAGAGGACCCACTTCCTGGCCCCTCAACTCTTTCTGATGTTTCTTATCACCTAAAAAGATAAAATACAGAGTCCAGTAACCTTTTAAACAAAACACAGAATCATAGGTAGAAATGTTAGTAAAAGTCTCATTGCTTTTCTTAGATATATATGTACTCATTTCTAATTTTTCTGTGACAGTTTGACAGATTCCCAAAGCTATCATTCTCAGGCTTCCCTTTGTAATCTTCTGAAGTACTAAGATTTTATATTTCCTGTGTTTATTACGCTGTGTCTGGGAAACAATACCTCCCTCTTTTCTTGGTCATTCCTCCATGTTTACAGAGTGAATCATTCAGTAACTTTTTATTTAATGTCTGAAAGTATTTGTAGTCTATCTTCATATTTTACATATAGTATATCTGGGTATAAAACTCCAGTTTAGATATCAATTTTACTGAAAATATTGATGTCTTTACTCTATTGTCTCTAACCCTCAATACTTTGGTTGAGAAGTTTACTTTTAATATATGGTGAACTTATTGGTTGAGACAATTTTTCTTCTTTAGGAAGGTCTGAGGAAAGAGAAAGAAGTAGGTGAGAAACATATCTTTCTAGAAACTTCTTTGTTAAGTTCTTCGGTGATATCCTAGTTCTACAGCACATCCTTGTCTTCTATAGTATTTGTTGTTTTTAGCACCCTGTATTTGCTCAAGTTCTTTGCAGTCATATAAGCTTATTTCAGTAAGGATCTGCACCACTCTTAGGCAATTATTACTCATTTAACTGTAGCCTATCTGCCAAAAGTATATTAAAAATTAAAATCTCTTTTTATACAATGATATTTTTGAGGTATATGATTTAAATTCATTGAAATACATACATTAAAGTGTATAGTTTAATAACTTTTGAAAATATATGCGTCTTATAACCACCATTGAAACACTGCATAGACTATTTCAATCACAAAAGATGTTTCCTTTGATGTAATCACCTTCCAACTTAAGCAATCACTGATGAGTTTTATATTTGTATATACTTACTCTGTCTGTCTTAGAAAATAATATAAATTAAATTTTATACTATGATTTTTTTCAAGTTTTTTGGAAAGCTAAATATTTTGTGAGATGTCTATGTTGTGAGATGTCTATGCTACATATAGCCTTTGTATTTATCAAAATGGGGTAGATACTGGATAAGTTTTACTCCTGATAACCCATAAAAACAATTTCCAAGATCATAAAAGAAGTAATCATCTGGGACAATAGAGAATGCATTATATAATGTTACCTTTCATGATTCTTCTCACTAGATTTCTTTCAATATGACATAAAAATTAAAAAATAAAACTATGGCTAAAACATTGCATTATTTAAGCATAGTTATGACTTATTTATATCAAAGGTATGCTTTTGACTGGGTGTAAAACATATCTTTACATCACTGTAAATTTATTGTTATCTTATTCTGACCAAATATTGAAAACTATGCAATGTACAATATTCTACATATGAGAAAAACAACTTAGTAAGAAATCGGATCCTACCAGATTTCAAAAGTCAAATCCTGGCTGGGGTGATGTGATGACATTTCTTCTAGCAATAGCTAAGACAACAGTGGGTTAATGTATTTGCACTGGGCACAATGTTAGGGGAACACTAATTTAATTACTGTCTTAAAGTATGGGGTATCCCATGATTTTATTTGCATTGGCCTAGAACATGAGTGACTTGTATTCTAGACCCAGTGCTTACATTTATTAACTAGGGAAAAAACCCAGGTTGCCTCTTCAGTGAGGCATTGATTATAATCCTCTAAAGTTTTCATTTTTATTTTCAAGATTTTGATCAAGTTCATGGCTGAAGAAATGTATACATAAGGAAATTTTAAAGACATTCTCTTGACAGAAAAATAGTGGTAGATGATAAGGAGAAGACAAATGGAAACAGAAATCAAGGATAATGATGTTACATTTTAAATATGATGGCTACTAACAAAATACCCTAGAAAACATAGAAATAAGAGAAAGTCTTGTGTAACCTGGCAGAATTGCTAGGAAATGATTTAAATAAAGTACAGTTTTCAAACTGCATTAAATATGAACACATATTTACCTGTTTTAGACGAATGAGGTTGTAAACTCACTAGGCATTTTCTTTACCATTAATTTTTAAACTTAATAATCAACCATAATTGGTTTAAAATACAAGGGAATAAATTTGATGTTCCTCAGTTGGCACCAGTTTTGTAGTATGGTATCCGACTAATAGACTAAAACAATAGATTAAATTTTTAATGAAGTTAAAAACAAGTGAAAGACTATCATCTGTGTCAATGGCAGATTTTCTGAAATTTTGATATTTTTGTGGTTACAGCATACCTAACAGCTAAGTTGAGCATGACTTAGTGGGAAGGGAAGTTAAAAAAATTACTCTGTAAATTTATTTTATTTTGAAGACAATTTATTTGAGTGGGACTCAATGAATATTTTCCATATAAAGTTCTTTTTCTTAATAGAGAAGAAGAAAGTATCTCACTCCACTTCAATTGCCATAGGGCCACTTGTTTACATATTGACTTTCACATTTTTGTTACATTACTTTGTTTTTTTAATTGTTAGTATATTATGAATAAGTAATGAAATTCAGCTCATAAGGTTTACATATAAAGTTATTACTCCTAAGTAGGCTAAATTTGCATTTTTTAATTATTCAGGTTGCTTACCAATGTAAATGACATTTTAAGTATTAATGATATTGATGTGCTACAGTGCTTTTAATTTTGTTTTTAATTTTTTTGTTTTACAAAAAAAAATCCCACTTATTTACAGGATAAGAAATGAAGGCTCTCAGAGTACTTGTGGGTGTTTAGAACGTAAAGATCTCAAGTGTGCATATGAAAGAATCAAGTATATTTTACATAAGACATATGCATAAACACTTCATACAGAATTATTTACTTGAATAATTGCTTTATTTCTTTAGTTCAATAAATTTAAGCTCTTTTCCCTCTTGATGACATCCCCTTAGAAAGACAATTTGGTCATTGAAGGGATATTTGCATAACAAAAGAATCTCTCTATTAAAGTAAATTAAAATGCTCCCAGATGTAATTTTCTCATATCAGATTTGTAATGTAACATTTTACTCCAGCTGCGTATGTGAAGTAGATATTACATAAAGTAAGATCATCTGAGTGAGTATTAGGAAACGATTACAGTAGTTCAGTTAGGAGATGACAATAAATTGAACTATGGTTGTGGCAATAGAAATGGCCAGAGGTGTCCAGATTAAAAAGATGATTGGAGAATAAATTCATAGTACTTTCCACATAAGGAGAGAGTGAAAAAGAGTGGTAGATGTCAAAGAATACATTCAGATTTCTGGCTTGCACAACAAGCTTGTATCATTCCCTGGAATAGAAAACATGGAGAAATGTTAGGTTTGGGGGAGAAACCTAAAGTGTTTTTAATTTTAAGACTTGTTGAATTTGAAGTATTATCGAAACATGGAGGAAATAGGTTGTTTCTAAAGTGTTTGAAGCTAATGATGTAAATGTGAGAAATATGTGGATATGTCAAGTCACCTAAGAAACGAGTATATAACATATTGACAACTAGGTCCTAGGAAAGTATTCTGAAGAAACAACTGCGATGTTTGTCAGAGCCTAGTGGGGAAAGATTAACAGGCAAAGGAGATTGAGAACAACAACAACAACAACAAAGGAGAAGAGGCACTTCAAGAATTCAAAACCGTATGTGGTAAAAATATAGATGCATGCAAAATAAAAACGCAAATCTAATAAAGGTATGGTTGACTCATTGATCATTGAATCAATTGAATCCATTGATCATTGAATCAATTGAAATACGTGTACCTCTGAAGAGAGAGAAGCCTCTGATGAGATTATGTGGTGTTTATGTTTGAAAATCAGCAGGATTTGCCTGTATGACAAGGTGGGAAAGTAATTAAAGAAGAATGAGCAGTGCATGCAAGGGCACAGACTAGACAAGGACGAGACTCAGATCAAGGAAACAGAGAGGTAGTTTCACTTTTGTTTGTGAAGAATTTTGAAGCCAGAGGGAGTATGGTAGAAACTGTAAAGCTCTTTACTACCAAGGTGACCAAAATATTAGCATCTAAATTCATGATTTCCTTCTTCATCTCCTTATAATATATGCAGTTAAAAGAGTGATGAATCCCACCTTTGTATGTACTTTTAAACACAACGTTGATACTACATTCAAGATACAGCTCTGGAAAATGTAAATAAATAGGTATATAAAAAACAGGCAATACGTAAAGCCCAGCTGGATTGCTGTCTGTGATCAACTATCATTGCAAAACTTAGTATCTTTACATATGTAAAGAAGGCCAGATATAGGCTTTGAAAACCTCATCTTCATTGTATTATATTAGGGACCATTAATTTAGCTTCTAGCTTGCAGAGTAGATTAAGTCTTCAATCCATTGTTTCCCACTTAGCATGAAACCAAGAAGTTTAAATGCGTTTCTGCAAATTATTTTCAAATGCGCGGACAAGAAATATAGACGAAATCCATAGCTTATGGATATTAAAAATACATACAAAATATATGTAATAATTAGTTACCAATATATGAAGAAATAGCTCATTGAAGAGCTGCTAGAAAAAAAACCTGCTCAGAAATAATTTATTTTAATATATTACATATTTTAAAAAATGTTTTCCTCTCTCATTCTTTATTAATAGCGATATTTGCATTCAAATAGAGATCATTTGATTTTAGGAATTCATCTGCTCCTGCTGTTTGTTCTCCACCTACTATTTAATCCTCAGTTTACAGCACAACTATTGGTTGCAGTGAAAATGATTAGGATGTCACTAAAGTTTATGCCTTCAGGTAAGAAATATGCTACATTTTAAGGGCAGTACAACTGGGAAACTAATGTTTTATACTTATTCAAATTGTTTCAAATTAAAATAAGCAAGGGCTGAGAAATTTAAGAAAAATGATACATTGCTTTATTCTAACTAAAATATCTCTGTATAATATATAGCTTTTTACAACGTGCCACCTGCTCTCCAGAAACATAATAGCAATATGATAGACATGCTAAAATAATTGCCTTAGAAACCCCACAAATTGCAGAGCTATGAGATCAGCATGTTGACAATACCTTTCTATTGCTCTACTGAACATGTAAATCCCTGTTTATGGGACTGGGAATTACTATTTACTAGAAGTGAATATAAATTAATCAGAGTAATTCTGCACAGGATTGATATATGGAGGCTTTACATATTACATATTTGCCAGAATGCAGACTATTATACTTCTTGTGTCTGTAATCAGCAGAGATTTAGTTCAGGGAGAGAAACTGTGACTAGAGCTCTATGTTGTATTGCCTTGTGACAAAGTCAAATGTTACAATGTGCTCCATTTCAAGTGCAAAGCTACCAATGTAATAACAATGTTACTGTTCTAAACAATATGTTCTTAGAGTTATTGTAGAACAATGGAAATGCCTGCCTTAATAGTATTTGGCAAAATAAATGACAGCTAGACAATTTAAAATTCTGATTGAGTGTGACACTCAGAAAAGAAATCAAGAACAAAATGTGTTTCTGTTAGTTTGAATATAAAGAAAGTGCTGGTGGGTGGAGAGCATTTGAAAGAGGATAGATTTTAGAATAGAATAGGTAGGTCTCCAGGTTTAGATAAAGGGTATTTCTGAAGATAAGGGGGAAAAAGGAGTGCTGTTCACAATCAGTTATGACAATTTTTGTAAAACTTATTGAAGGTAGGAAAAAGGTAGGGAAAAAAAACCTTTTACTTTGGGTTGATAAAGGGCTGAACATCAAATAGATTCGTTATCATTATTGATATGTTTTTTGGAGACAGAATCTCACTCTGTCACCCAGGCTGGAGTGCAGTGGTGCAATCTCAACTCACTGCAACCTCCGCCTCCTAGGTTCAAGCGATTCTCCTGCCTCAGCTTCCCGAGTAAATGGGATTACAGGTTTCCACCGCCATGCCCGGCTAATTTTTTGCGTTTTTGATAGAGACAGGGTTTCTTCATGTTGGACAGGCTGGTCTCAAACTGGCTTCAAGTGATCTGCACGCCTCAGCCTCCCAAAGTGATGGGATTACAGATGTGAGCCATTATGCCCAGCCTCTCTCTGTCTCTTTCTTTCTGTGGCAATAACTGGGTTACTTTTGGTAACAATATTTTTTACCTTACAATGGAAGAATTTGTAAATATATTTATTTTATTTCTATGTACAGTTCAAGAACTGGGAGTCTTGTCTAAGTTTATTCTTAGATAAATATTTTACAAACTATGAATTATAACTCCATTAATGGGTTATAAATCAAATTACTGGTATTGACAAGTATATTAGGTAATCAGATTGAATGAAATAAAGTACAAAAGAATATGTCAAGATATAAAACAAGGAATAAGTATAATTTCATTTCATCAATATTTTGTTTCAGTTTTTGCATATGAGTATGTTTGGATATGATAGGGGTGGAAAGATCATAAATAGTATGAATTTTTAAATTATATGTTATGGCCAAAAGATAGGAGGTCATTGGTAAAGAAAATCATATGAATGTGTACAACAAGAAGTATTGAAATGACAATAATTATAAACAATTTAAATATTTATAAACAGAATGTTAGATACATATATATGAGTTACATATTAATATAATTGAGCATATACAATGCATAAAATTGATAAGCTACGTATGCATGTTTCAAAGAAAATAACACTATAATATAAAATTAAATGAGGAAAGATGAAAATATATTTATTTTAACACTATTAAACATTTATATATACTGCAATTTTATATATTGTGTACACGTACATACACATAGTAATATAAATATAAATGATGGATTGGAAATTTTAAATGCTAATTCCCAATAGAGTTTACTTGGTAAAAATGGTCAGCTATGGTATTGGAAAGAGTGCAAAGAAAGCTTTGACTGATATTGTCATCTATTATTTCTATAAAACATAAAGAAGTCTAAAAATGTAAAATATTAAAGTTTTACAGAGATGGGTGCTACGTACATTGTTTCTGTTACATTGTATATTTTTTCACTTGAAATATTTCATAAGAAAAGATGTTAGAAAATAGGAATGCAGCAGAGACACAGAGAAGACTAATAGCTTTTGGCAAACTTACGAGGCACTCACTACTTAAGTTATGCCCTTCAACACACAATCTTAACTCTTACTGACTTCAAGAGGGAGCATATGGTCACATCTCAAGAAAAGTTTTATTTGTAAGGAGTAAGATACTTGTGCCAAATAATAGAAAATTATTCTACTAGAGAATAGCATAGAAGTCAATGTGACAGCTGAATGGCCTACTATTTGGTAACTTTTTTTGAGATTACACTAGGCATCTATATTTTTAGCAAGAGAGAATTTAGTGATCCTGTGTGTTACTGCCTAGAGAATAATCAGCAGTAGAGGTGATGTATGGGGCACATTTAAGGAGGTGGGCTGTGACTGCAATTAGGTTGAAATAGTTTTATTTCAGGCCAAATGTGAAGATAACAGATATTCATACATTGTTTCACACTTTTCAAGTTTTACACTTTACAATTTAAATAAGTAGAGTTCTGTGGGGAAAAGAATAAAAGAGTTACTTGCCAATTTTTTTTTAAATAAAAGTCATTCTGCAAATACGGCAAATTACAAAAAAAAGAATATTATTTGTAAAAATATAAGACTCTAGGAAGGAAAGTGTATTAGTTTGTTTTCACAGTGCTCTTAAAGATATACCCGAGACTGGGTAATTTATTAAGGAAAGAGGTTTAACTGACTCACAGTTTAGCATGGCTGAGGAAGCCTCAGGAAATTTACAACCATGGCAGAAAGGGAAGCAAACATGTCTTTCTTCACAGGGCAGCAGGAAGGAGAAGTATGAAAGCCAAGCAAGGAGGAAACCCCTTATAAAACCATCAGGTCTCATGAGAACTCACTCACTGTTATGAGAACAGTATGAGCAGCATGAGAGTAACCACCACGATGATTAAATTACCTCCCACCAGGTCCCTTCCATGACACTTGGGTATTACAATTCGGGTTACAATTCAAGATGAGATTTGGGGAGGGCCATAGAGTCAAACCATGTCAGAAACATTATAATAAAGTACCTTGGAGATTTTATCTAATGTCCAATGAATTTATAAATTGAAAGTGTGTGTGTATGCATATACACACATGTATGCTCAAACACACACACCTTTTTATAAGTGTGGTTTTACATAACTTCTTAAAGTGGTCATCTCTAATTTTAGTAAAGTGAGAGTTTGAAAATGGAGCCCTTCAAAAACTTCCCTACTCAAGATACTCAAGATCTTTTATATAATTTATATATTAAACATCTTTATTTGTCCTAAACCTGTCTTATTGATCAATGTGAGAAAATTTTCTTATCAAAAAATTTAGAAATATGTTTTAAGTGGGATATAGATTTTTTAATTAAAAAAAATTCACAACCCCAGATGGGTCATCTAGCTTGGAAATAAGATAGCCCCGTTAGTCCTATACTGTAAATCTGCATTTGTTAAGGTACAACCTCATATATTTTACTAAAAATTTGTGAAAAATGCTTGATGTTGGTAGGAGATACTGATTCTGATATTTGAAATCATTCTGTTTAAATTGTTTTCTATATAAATCTAGTGATCAGCAAAGATTATAAATAAGATCCACACCTTTATGTTAAAATGAAAAAAATTGCTATAAGACATTTTTGTTTTAAATATTAATAGACATAATGATTAACAGAAATAATTCATTCTTAAATATAAAATACCTTTTAACAGGAATATTAAAGAATTAAAAACCGTTATGAACATTAAATACCTAAAAAGGTATTTTAAAATATTTAAGTGAAAAACAAATTTATAATATCTAAATTAATTCTCAACTGATACATAATTTGTTATTAATGTTTTTACTTTAGATAAATTAATAAACACACAAAAATTAGTTCATTATTATTATTATGTGATTCATTTTAATTTTGTTTTTGAAAGATTTTCAGTTATATATGGACAAAAGATGCATTTCAGCATGTGTGTACTTTTCAGCATATGTGTACATTTCAGCATGTGTACATGTACTAAAAGTTTATTAATGGAGGAATGTCTGGGCTAACACTTTGGATACATATTTTGTACGTAGTGTTTGTTCCCTTAAACTCTACACTAAATCAGAATGGAATGATAAGGGTTTTAGGAAGCATGGAAGCTTGTGTATTCATGAGAAAGTGTGAAGAGATTGTTTTAATCAATAAATAGTAATTGTACATGGCAAACTGGGATAAAATATTGCACTTTGTCTTTATATAGTGATTGGCTTTAAAACAAAACAAAATAGAAAATTTCTTATGTATTCACTTTGTCAACTGTCCTTGTAGGTGAACTCGTCCATGCTCATAATATCATCCTGAATGTGACTATTCTAAAGTATTTGTGCCTAGCCAAGGATTATCTGAATGCCAAAAATTCACCTTCAGTTGTTAACTTGCTATCTCTATTTAGAGATCTGATAAAAGTCAAAACGTATGCCCAAATTGAGACTCCTAATTCTTTAAGTAAACCCACATGGCACAAAATGCACATTGATAATGGCATATGCGTTTATCCTCATGCCTTCCTCGACTCAGTGAATGACTTTACTACCACCTCAGTGCTTAGGCTGCAAACCTAGGAGTCCTTGGCTCTCATTCTGCACATCCAACTCATTGGGTAGCTTAAGTAGGGTCTCCCTTTAAAAAAAATTTCAACTTTATAACTGCCCATTCCCATTTCACAGAATCAGAAGTCAATATGAACCCCAGAAATAAAGTAATAACTTCCTAACTAATCTTTGATTGGATTTTACACATCCTTTAATGCACTTTTGACATAGAGCCAGAATTATTTTCTTAAAAAATAAATCAGATCAAATCAATCCCTTCTTTAAATCTTTAAATATCTGCTTATTCTACTTACAGTAAATTATAAAACTTTTACTTTGGCTTACAATGCCTTGTAGTATGTAGTCCTTGAATCTCTATCTTGATATAAGAAAAAAATTCGCACCTTTTTCTCTGTTCCAAATTCATTGTTTTTTTTTTAAGGTTTAAAGATAGAAAGCCCATTAGCAACCCAGAGCTTTTGCATATTATCTTTACCTTTCCCTGATCATTATGGCTCCATCTCATCCTTTTGTTCCCAGCTTCCATAATACCTTCTCAAACAGGATTTCCCTAATCACTTTATCCAAAACAAATCCTACATTTTTCTCAAATTCTTTTCAAGTATATTTCCTATAATGTACTTATCATAATTTGTAATTACTGCATGTTTCTATTTATATGGTTTGTTATTGTTGCCATCTCTTCCAGTATAATTTAACTAATTAAAGGCTGAAGTTATATGTCTCTTATTTATCTTCATGACTGTGACTTGTTACACTGTATTAGTCTATTCTCATGCTGCTAATAAAGACCTACCTGAGAATGGGTAATTAATAAAAGAAAGATGTTTAATTGACTCACAGTTCCACGTGGCTGGGGAGGCCTCACAATCATGGCTGAAGGTGAATGAGGAGCAATGTCACATCTTACATGGTTGCAGGCAAGAGAGCTTGCATAGAGGAACTTCCCTTCATAAAACCATCAGATCTCATGAGACTTATTCACTCTCTCAAAAGATCCGCCCACATGATTCTATTACCTCCCACAAGGTCCCTCCCTTGACATGTGGGAATTATGGGAGCTACAATTCAAGATGAGATTTGGATGGGGATGCAGCCATACCATATCATTCTGCCCCTTGCCCCTCCCAAATCTTTTGTCCCCACATTTCAAAACCAATCATGCCTTTCCAACAGTCTCCCAAAGTCTTCACTCATTTCAGCATTAACTCAAAAGCCCACAGTCCAAAGTCTCATCTGAGACAAAGCGAGTCTTTTCTGCCTATGAGCCTCTAAAATCAAAAGAAAGTTAGTTACTTCCTAGATACAATTGGGGTACAGGCATTGGGTAAAAACACCCTTTCCAAATGTTATAAATTGGCCAAAACAAAGGAGCTACAGGCCCATGCAAGTTCAAAATCCAGTGGGTCAGTCAAATCTTAAAGCTCCAAAATGATCTTCTTTGACTTCATGTCTCACACCCAGGTCATGCTGATTCAAGAGGTTGGTGCTCATGGTCTTGGGCAGTTCTACTCCTGTGGCTTTGCAGAGTACAGCTGCCGTAATGGCTGCTTTCACAGGCTGGCATTGAGTTTCCACAGCTTTTTCAGGTGCAGAGTGCAAGCTATCAGTGAATCAATCATTCTGGGGTCTGCAGGACGCTGGTCCTTTACTCACAGTTTCACTAGGCAGTGTACCAGTGGGGCTGGTACACTGTACTGTGTGGGGGCTCCCACCCCATATTTCTCTTCTACAACACCCTAGCAGAGGTTCTCTATAAGGGCTCTGCCCCTGCAGCACACCTTTGCCTGGACATCTGTGTCTTTCCACACACCCTCCAAAACCTAGGTGGAGGTTCCCAAACCTCAGTTGTTGACCTCTGTGCACCCACAGGCCCAACCCCGCTGGTAAGCTGCCAAGGCTTGGAGCTTGCACCTTCCGAAGCCTTGGCCTGAGCTCTGTATTGGCCTCTTTTAGCCAAGGCTGGATGCAGGGCATCAAGTCCTGAGACTGCACAAAGCATCAAGGCCTTGGGCCGAATCTGTGAAATCATTTTTTCCTCCTAGGCCTCCTGGCTTGTGATGGGAAGGGATGCCATGAAGACCTCTCACATGCCCTGAAAACATTTTCCCCAATGTCTTGGCAATTAACCTTTGGCTCCTAGTTACTTATGCAAATTTCTGCAGCCAGCTTGAATTTCTTCTCAGAAAATGGGTTTTTATTTCCTATCATACATTTTCTGAACTTTTATACTCTGCTTCCTTTTTAAACATATGTTCAAATTCCAAACCATATCTTTGTGAATACGTAAAGCTGATTGCTTTAACAGCACACACATGACGTTTTGTATAGTTTGATGCTTAGAAACTTCTTCTACCAGATGCCCTAAATCATATCATCTCTCTCAAGTTCAAACTTCCACAAATCTCTAGGGCAGGGGCAAAATGCTGCCAGTCTCTTTGCTAAAACATAGCAAGAGTCACTTTTGCTCCAGTTTTCAACAAGTTCCTCATCCCCATCTGAGACCACCTCACCTGGACTTTATTGTCTATGTTAGTATCAGCATTTTGATCAAAGCCATTCAACAAGTCTCTAGAAAGTTCCAAACTTTCCCACATCTTCCTGTATTCTTTTGAGCCCTACAAACTGTTCCAACCTCTGCCTGTTACCCAGTTTCAAAGTTGCTTCCACATTTTTGGGTATCTTTACAGCAGCACCCCACTTAACTGGTACTAATTTACTGTATTCATCTGTTCTCATGCTGGTAATAAAGACACACCTAAGACTGGGTAATTTATAAAGGAAAGAGGGTTAATGCACTCACAATTCCACATGACTGGGGAGGCCTCACAGTCATAGCTGAAGGCAAATGAAGAGCAAAGTCATATCCTACATGGCAGCAGACAAGACAGCATTATGTAGGGTAACTCCCCTTTATGAAATCATCAGACCTTGTGAGACTTATTCACTATCATGAGAACAGTATGGGAAAGACCCACCTGCATGATTCAATACCTCCCACCAGGCCTCTCTCATGACACATGGGAATTATGGGAGCTGCAATTGAAGATGAGATCTTGGTGGGGACACAGCCAAACCATATCAAACCCATTCTAGCAACAGAGTCGAAAGATGATAAACATTTGTTGACTAGATCAATAAATGTCTTCTTTGATGTATGTTTCAATAACTTAAACCCATTAAAAATTTTAATAAAAAACATTTAAAACTTTATTTCTGGCTAGCAGAAGTCTTACATATTACATACTATTTATAATTATATTTTATATGTTATTATAGCATATATGGTAAACAAAGAAGGGATTCTAAGATGAGTTATTTCAACTGGAGACTACATAGAGAAAGTAAGAATACACACAAGTGCAATCACCTAGAAATTCAGAAGTTCATAACTTAATCCTATAAATCAATAATATAATATATTTCATCTTTATACAGGGTAAATTCTATCTACAGAATGCTTAAAGAATGCAAACATATTATGTTAATGTATAGAGGGGTACATCAATGATTAGACAGCATCTCATTAGTGTTGATTATAATTTCCCTCTTCTTTCTTTTTACCTACTTCCTGCTTCCCTTTCCCTACCCTCATCAATTGCAAACATGGTTCAGCCCAAAAGTATTGGACCACATGGCTGGCAAACAGCAGTAATCAACAGACACTTCGTGATTGTTCTAGAATCAACTACCTGCTGGGGATTAACCAATTAATCTTTCCTCTAATAATCAAGAGATTAGTGCAGTTTTCCTTTAACTATGATTTGGGCTTTTATCTGTTTTTTTTTTTTTTTCCCCATGCCATCTCATTATGCCCACTTATCAAGGGCTATTTGTAGCTAATGGTCTGCTAAATCTCACATACACAGGCTCCCCAGACTTGCCTCCTTTCTTTGGTAAATTTTTATAACACTGATTATTATTTCACAGTGGTATAGACCCTGAGAGCTTTAGCAGCTGTTCAGATGAATAACACATAACCTGATTCATCCCTATTTTCCTTCACCTCTCATCCCAAATCTAAACATAGCTGATTCAAGATCTTTAGAAATTCATCAAGTGTTACTTTCACTGATGTGGAAATTATAATTCCATAGATTATAGAAAACCGGTAAGCATAAATTTTCTTATATTCCAAATAGTACATTTTCAAGTATTGTCCCTAGATTTTTTTTTTTTACTAAGAATTGCTTATGCTAGGAAGAATAATTGGAACACTTATCATGAAGCAATTGCTTTTTAAGGGTGTTACATATATTAACTTAGGATACAGCTTTAAGTGTCAAAGCTGGATTTCAAACTTAGGCAGGTGAGTTCCACAGCCCATTCTCTTAGCCAAAGCCACTAGGCTTGGCACTTTTATTCTGTAATTAGTAGTTGTTAGTCTTTGAGTTTCCTGTCATATAAATCTACTATGTATTACTATGAATTTTCTATTCCATGATTAGATGGTCATTCATGACCGTACGTTCTGTTCAGTTATGTAATTAATTGAATGGTATATAATAGGAGAATAGTCAATTCTCAGAAAACAGAATTAGACTTGTGTTGGAATCACAGCTATGCTTGGAATATTTAGCTTGGAATATTTACCTGTGATATGTTTAGCAAGATATTGAACCTTTCTAATACTCTTTATTTTTCATTAGTAAAACTGAAAGAATAATATTTGTTTTCAGGGTTGTGACACAATTAGAGTACATTGGTAATGTGTACTGCTTGGTATTTGAAAAGAGCTTAAGAAGTGAGAATTACTAATCTATCACTTATAGTAATAAGTGATATGAGTAATTTAATAATACAATTAAATCAGTGTTCAGATATTTTAGCCTCAGATATTGTTAAAATAAAATATTTTATCCTCACCCTCAGGAGGTCCAGGATTTATAAGACATCTACACTAGGGTTCTCCCTGAGTACAATTTTAAAAGGATGGGATTGTATAAGCTCCCTTATCCTCCAAAGATTGCATATTATACTGAGATAATTATTCCACCCCAAATTAATTCATGGTCATGCATATATGGTCTCTAACTGTCATTGTCCTGTATTAGCAGAACATTCAAAACTCAAAGGGTTTATATAAAAGTTTTCTTATTCCATATGTATTACATTTAAAAGTGACTAGCCAGAGGCTAAGTGTTCTGACATTAACACTGTATCACTAAACACTGAGATACCAATGATAAGGTTAAGTAAATCAATATTTATATTAAAGTACAAAAAGATAAAGCACAAATATTGCATTATCTTACTATATGACACAATGTAAGCCAGCTTTCTCCCAACTTTCACTGTTATTGCCAGAAAAGTGTTAAAATTTGAAAAAATAATCATACAAGTATTAGAATACTTTGAAAATGTATCTCCAAAGGTAGACAACCCAATTCCATTCCTACACATTAATAACAATATTGGTTGACTAATATACAAAATACATTTATATTTATTTGTCAAGTTTTACAGTTCCTATTTGCTAAAGATATCAACACTTTTACAAGTTCTCTTAGCCACAAGCTAAGAAAATCTGACAAAAACAATTTCATAACATTTCTACAACTAACACTGAGCCCCATAAAAGCAATAAAATGAAGAAAATAGCTGTGCATATGTGTATGTATTGAGTGTGTATATTTTAAGGACTACTTGCCTTAGTTTATTGCCATATGCTCCATACTTCTATTTAGAATTGACTATATAATCTTTGATATATAATCATAAGGGAAACAATGTCATATCATGATGACTTCACGACAAATAGACTTTTATGGACACAAAGACATAACCTGAGATAGATTGCATGTTAGTTCATCTTTTAGGGTAAAAAAAGTATGACTATCATAGTGGACCTATTTTCCTAAATCTGGTAAAGTATCAGACTATGAGGCTTAGCCTCTGAAATCATTATATGTGGAATTGAAGTAACTTCCAGTAGCGACAGATAATAAAAACTATAGAACGTTCGTTCTATTATCTGCTAGATGGCTTTTCTAGTCAGGACATTCTCAGGTACAGCACATTAGATTAGTTATTTTGAAAAGAACAAGGGCTGTATGATTCTACTGATACCTCCTGAGAGAATAAGATATAATTGAGAAGTATATCAGAGGCTTTTTGAGTATTCAAGAACAACAATGAATATCATTAAAACATCAAAACAATTAATTAATTAAAGGGATCACTCTTTGATTTTTCAATACTAATATTATTACAGGGATAGCCTATATGTGTTTCTTATATAAATTACACTAGTCAATTAAAGGAGTAATTTATTTTTAATTGTTTATTGAAATTATATATGTAGATGTTTAGTTTTTGCTTTTTGTTGTTTTAGTTTTTGTTGTTTTTATTCCTCCTAATTTCACTAGAATGGCAACATCTTGTAGTATCCAATTCTAGGTTGTCATTTGACCTTGTTATCACAGCTCCTGGTGTTGGTACATTTTATTTTTATAAATAAATACTTAGCTGTATGAACATCCCGATTAAACTTTATTAGTCCTGAAATCTCAGTATTGAAAGAAGTGGTATGATAACTTCAATTGTTGAAAACTTATAAAAACTGAACATTTGACTTGGATGACAAGCTTATTTAACCAATATGCTGTACTTTATTTGGACTTGCACAGCTCAGAAATTATAGAATTCAGTGGGCATATGTGTGAAGCCTTCTACTCTACCTATTAACTGTCATTTTATGATCCTTGGTTTCTTTACCTGCAAAATGTTGCTTTATTACCTACTTCCCTATATTATTGAAGGATTAATTGTGGCCACTCATATATTTAAAGTAAATAAATCTTAGTTTTCTATTCTTGATAGCTTTTATTAAAATTTGTCCCTAAATCAAACTTTTAAGAATTTAGAAACTTCTACAATGTATTTTGTATTTAATATTAAGTATCTACCTCAGAAGGATCAGGTATCAATAGACACTGTGAAATGTAATTCCATATAATAGATCTATATCACAGACTTGAGCATTCATGTGCATTATATGTTCCATGTTACTATCACCATATAAGGATTTCAGCACACAAATGTTAAATATTTTTGTTTCTGTTCAGTGGTCTATGTTACAACACAATAAAATATAAATCAGTTGGCTGATGATGTTAATTTCCTTTAATACCAGAATTGCATATCAAGGTCTCTTAATTCCTGCTCTGAAGTAGTTTTTCATTAAAAGATGAAAAGTGGAGATGTTCTATCCTCCAAGCAGAAGGTGTATCCAAAACAATGTTAGCCTCCACAGACAGCGTATCCAGCGTATCCAGATGAATTAGATTGTGGGCTAAAATTAGATTCCTTTGGAATCAGTTCATTCATCCTGACCTATCAAGTGTTTGCAAAAATTGTGGCTAATATTTCACACTATTATCAAAACGTTGCATTTGATTTGGAATTTCAGAATTTTCACTCATGAGAGCATTAATCACATAAAAAATCTATTCCCCACATGCATAATTTGAGTAAAGTCTAAGTATAAACTAATCTGGCATGTGTGCTAACTTGGTGACAACTACAGCACAGTTTGACTCAGCAATCACTCTGATATATTTTGCAATTATTTTAAATCATAGATATTCAACCATTCTTGTAAATGCCTGACTGAAAACCTGGGGCATCTTTCTCTGATTTGATAATTATCTCCTTGAGATGCTCAGTCTAGGATAGAACACTGCCGAGCTGAAAGTGCCTGTGAGTGAATAAAGACCTCTGCTAAACACGTGTAGAGCTTTCTGCACTTGCTATGTTTCCTTCTTATTCTGATAACCATTTTGAATACAAGGGTTGTTGATGACAGAGAAGAGGGAGAAAAAAGTAAATCTTCTCATGCTATTATGGCAGAAAACTCCTTGAATCTTGTACTTTATTGGCATTATGCCATCACCTATAAATGGCAGTCAAAAAACATTTATATCTCTCTGTATATATAAGGAGATAGAATACAAGATTTCTCAAGGCAACTGTGATTCTTTCTTTTTTATAATTTTATAATGTATGTCATCGTTGGAAAAATATATCAATTTTAAGCCATATGGCAGTTTTTCTTAGCCCAGAGATTGTGTTTGTTTACCAAAACATGCTGATATGCCATTTTAGTTGTTTGATCCTAGCTTGGTAGACCATAAAATGAATTATGTTATAAAAAAGAAAGGAAGAATTTCATATTTCCACCAACTTCTGGTGATGAAAGAAAGAGGTGAACATAGATGAGAAAGAAATGACCTCAATAAACTGATGAGAGTTTGAAGATTCAAGACAGTAGCTCAGCGTTTTCAGACTCAGTACCTCAAAAGAAATAAAATTAATTTATATAAAGAAACATATGTATCACAATATGTAAGACTACAGGTATGTGCAATACAATAACAGTCTGATACTTGTAGTTGTGGTAGAAATGATGAATAAACCCCTTTGTTATTATTAAATATCTCTCTATCTCTGGAATATTATTTGCTTTAAAAATTTGGCAATATTATTTCCTTTAAAATCTAGTGTGTGGGGTTTTTTGATATTATTTATAGCTATCCCAGCTTTAATATGATTACAGGAATCATGGGACACATTATATTTTATCATTTTACTATAACCTATATGTGTCTTCATATTTCAAATGTGTTTCTTATATGCAGAGTATAGAGATGGGTGCTGTATTTGTACACAACCTGACTTTTGATTCTGTTGTTCAGATCATTTAGAATTCATGCGATTATTGATAAAGTTAGGTTGAAGTATTTTATCTTGCTATTTGTTTTCTTTTTGCCCCGTGTTTCTTGTTCCCTTTTTCCTTTTTTTTTTTTTTTACTTTAGATTGAGGTATTTTTTGCAAATAATTCCAATTGATCTCAATTTTTGATTTATAAAGTATAAATGCCTTTTTTAACAAAAATGCTATTGATTACTTTAGCAGTCATTGTATACCGCTAACTTACCACATCATCTCAAGTGATGGGCTTTCAGTTTCATTGTGCTTAGGATCTCCTGAATTATTATTTTCATCAAATTTGGCTAATCATTGGATAATCATAATTTATTTTTCATTAAATTTTTATGTCTCCTTTCTCTATCCTCTCCTTAGGAATCCAACCACCCATGTTTTAGACCAACTGAAGTTGTCCTACAGTTCACTGATACTCTTCGTTTTACATTTGTTTGCTCTCTGTATCATTTCAATAGTCTCTATGGCTTTTTCATCAAGTTCACTATTTTTTTCTTCTGAAATTATCTGAATTTAATTCATTCAGTGTATTTTTTTCTTCTTAGTCATCACAGATTTTATCTTTAAAAGTTTTCTTTTGTGTTTTTAAAAACGTTTTCATGCTCTCTGCTTAACTTTTTCATGTGCTGAATATGGTTATGATATCTGTTCAAATATCCTTGCTTGCTAGAGTCCACCATCTGCATCAGTTCTTGGTCAACCTTGATTGATTTATTTTTCTTCTAATTTAGGATATCATTGTGTTGTTTCCTCTATAGCCTAGTAATCTTTGATTATATTGTAAATTTTACCCTGTTGGGTTTTAAACATTTTTATATTCTTGTGTCTGGTTCTGGGACACAATCAGTTTACTTAATTAGTTTGATCCTTTCAGGTCTTGCTTTTAAGATTTGTTTGGCAGAAGTAAAGCCATGTTTGGTCTTGACCTAATTCTTCCCCACAACTTAAGGCCCTTCTCTGTTTTCTACCCTATGTCTAATGAATTATGAGATTTTTTCCCATCTGACTGAGGAAAATGGACACCCACACCGTATGAGTGCCTGATATCTCTCTTGTCATCCTTTCTGACTCTTCTTTTTTATTTTTATTTTTTTGATACTGTGACATGCACACGCTAATAAATTTTCCACTGAATACCTGAGGAGGATCCTCGGCAAATCTTTCACGTTCTTTATCTGTGAACTTTCTCTTTTCTTGTACTCTGTGCAGCAACCTCTGGTTACCTTGGTTTCTCTGAACATTCAGCTCTGTCTTCTGCTAACTCTGCCATGTGCTCCCCTCCACACACGGCAGCATGGAGATTTCCTCAAAGCAGTGAGCTGGGACAATCACAGGGGTGAACTTATTGGTTTCCTGTCTCTCTGGGATCACTTTCCTTTGTTGCTTGATGTCCAATAACTTGAAAGCTCTGTTGTTTCATATATTTGGTTTGATTTTTGCTTGTTTCAAATGAAAGAGAAATTCCAGGTCATGTTACTCCATTTTAGCTGGAAGCAGAATTCAAGTTTTCATAAAAATATGTCATATATATATATATATATATATATATATATATATATATATATATTTCCACTGGGCATGGCATCCTAGGATAGCAGTTTTTTTCCTCTTGTGAAGATAGCCCTTTTAAAAAAATCTCCTGAAATTGCATTATTTCTTGTGAAGCTAGCTGTCAGTCTTATTGTATCTTCTCTGTAGAACATATTTTCCTCTGGCTGTATTTAAGATTTTTTTCTTTTTATTTAAAATTTTTTTACTGTAACATATCTAAATATGGTTTTATTGTTATTTATACTTCTTGGGTGTGCAATAATTCTTGATTTTATTTGTGTGTGTATGTGTTTCTTGAGAAATCTGAGCCATCATATCTTTATATACTGTACTTTACATTTTTTTCTCCTTGCTGTACTTTGAGAACTCAGATTATCAGTATGCTATAATATATTATGAATTGTATTTCCTGCATCTCTTTCACTTTTCTCTCTTTGTCAAACTTTTGCTTTCCTGTATTTTGTGTACTTTTTTACTTATTTTTTAGTTGCCAGACTATCTTTTCTGTTGTGTTTAATCTTTGTTAAACCCATTCATTAAAAGTGTACTTTCACCTATAAATTTTTCAAATCTATAATTTTCATGAAAAAATTTTGTAGTTTGCATAGAGCTGTAAGAATACACTATCTTGTCGTTAGTAATCTCTAAGATAGCAAGCATACTATTTTTTAGAACCCGCACCTGATAACTCTGTTTATTCTTCCTCTCCACATCAATTATGATACCATGCCTTTAATTATTCATGTTTATTTTGAAATGTGGCCTGACAAGGCATAAAATAGAGATAACTTGAGGCCTAGGATATTGTTATATTTTTCAAGAATGTATTTTTGTGATTATAAAATAGGTCATTTGCAAACCAAAACCACCTTTATGTAATCAAAGCCTGAAATATTTTGAAACAAAGCCATCAATTCTAATGATGCATCACCTGTGAACTGACACGAATCTGTCTTTTTAACTCCAAAATCTTTAATTCTGTAGCTATTTATATAATTAGGCTTCCATATAATTTTTAGTCCTCCTGGATGATGTTGCTTCACCATGCAATTTCATATCTCTCTGCTATGGCATGTACTGCTCCCTTTAACTGAAATGGCATTTCCCACTCCTGTACATGCTCATGTTTTACAACCCAGATTAAATGGTGCCTACTCTGTAATACCTTCCCTCTCCCACATTGCCTGGGCAAATAGCTTATTTCCCTAGATTCTCATAGACTTTTTAGTAAAATTGCTAGGCTGGTACTTTCACATTCTATTATTAGGTACCTCTTGTACCTTTAAAACATGAAGTGTTTGAGGAAAGAACTAGGTCAAAGTTGTAATTGTAATAGGAGACTAAAACCTCAAAATCCTTATGTCCCAAATGTGTAGTGAATTAGCTGAAATATAGTAGGCTACCTATAATGTTTGCTGAATAGTGGTTGTGGGGTTGCATTGCTGTATTCATTAGGATATTTCATGCCTCGTAGCATTCTCTGGAAATGTACTTCTGTGATCTCTGACCAAATCTAACTGGAACACTTCTGTATTAAAGGGCTGTGAATCCCTAGGCAGTGATTTCAGCATGCTTCCATTCTTCTGCCAAATCTAAACGGAATGCTGTCAAAAGCATTGCCCTCGGGTTAAAATCAGATACAGAAAATTTAAGTGTTTCCAAGAATTCAGGCTAATTCCCAGTAGTTGTTCTCGTTCCAATTTCTGCTTTCAAATGATTAGAAAAGATACAGTAAAATAAGTTAAAATGTCTATTTCCATATAGTATACATTGAAAAAAAATCCTTATACAGGAACTAAATCCTTATATAGGAACTAAATCTGAGATAAAATTTATATAGGAAAGTAGGCACTTAAATTTGAGCTCAGATTTAGTTGACTTTTCAATATGCCAAAATGAATCTAAGAAGCTAAGTGAGTGGTGGGATAGCTGGGTTGAAATCAGAAATATGAACATAAAAAGTTAAACCAATTCATTTGGGCCAGGACCCAATAAAATGATTAGAAAAAGTATGAGGAGACAGCAACTGGCATGTTTCTGGAATGAATAATAGCAAAGGCTAAGTGAAAACACTTTCAAAGATGCTGTCATGGACATCCAGCATGAGAAGGTATGTCTGCTATGTAGGGATAAATAATACATTTAGGAATTTCATGGCACTCTTTTCATTCAGAGAAGTAAAAGATGCCAAAGAGGAATATTAGCAGGTGGAAGTCCTTAATGTTCTTGGAGAGATCTGACAAGAAAAATAGAAGGCTGTAATATTGTAGGAATTGGATATTGAGCTCTTCAAAATTTAAATTTGATTTTGTTATTGATTCCACTCCAGACATCCGTAAGTGTATATATATATATATATATATATATATATGTATATATATACACACACACATATATACATATATATACATACATATATATATATACACACACACACACGCTGTATTTCAATAATTCTTTAGAACTCTCGTAGTTTTAAAAAAGAAAAAACAATAATAAATAAAATCTAAAAATCTTAACATTTCTGACAAGGCCCTGACCGACCTCTTCCACCTTATCTAATGGTAGTCTCTCCGTGGTTTGCTAACTCCAGGTACAATGACTTTGGTTTAAATCTTTGACCTTTTCATACTCCCTCTTCCCTTTACCTAGCAAACCATGTCCACCTGTTATAGATTGTAATATTATCTGCATTGCTTTTTAATATATATTACCAAATTATTGACATCATGAACTACGTGTTAAACTCATTGGGAGGGACACTGTAGATCTTTGCTTATTATTGTATCTTCAGAACCTAGTACAATATATGGCTCATCTGGGTTCATAACGGTAAAAACTCAAGACAAAAGGACCACCAGAGAAAAACTTATTAGGACAGAGTACAAGTCAAACTTTTGGATATAGGATCAGAATTGTGTTACCAATAACTAACGGAGAGAAGGGCACAACAAAACTGGCAGAAAGATGGCTGAACTGCCTGTCTAGGACGCTAGATAGGAGCTAACAATTGCAACCTTTAGCAAAATGATATTTTTATTTGATAATAATATAAAACAAATAAATAAGTTAACATTTACTGAGACTAAACCATATGTCAGAAGCTTGTCTACACATGTTAGCTATCTTATGTGAGACAGGCATCATTATTATCCTTAGTTTTGAAATAAGAACACTAAAGAACACCATTGTTTTCTTATCTGGAAATAATCTTGCAGCTACATCTATGAAGTAATGGAGCTTAAATATGAACCCACGCATTAGTGCATAGCATATATTCTTTGCTTGGATTGATATTCTATTTTTATGAAAGTGTACTCACACTTTATAAAGAACACAAGCAACAACTTCTTGGTGAAGGATGGTTATTATAACACAAATGCAGGGTAGTTCTGACTACAGTCTATTGTAATCACTTACCAACATACATGTCTTCCCCATTAGGCATTCCTTTTATAAAGAGCAGTAACTATACATTATTCGTCTCTATTTCCTAGAAACTTACTACACCTTTCCCAAAGCAAATATTCAATAAACAATGGCTTGCTAGGTATTTGAGATTTTGTTCCAATGTAAGGTTATTTCAATCAGATCTGTTCACTTTCAAAAACACTTGAAATTATTTCACATGAAAAAAAGAAAAATGTATGTGTGTTCATTTGTGTATGTGTATGAGCCAAATATACAAATATAATCTCTGCTATGTGATTATGTCTTAAATGTGTATGTAATAGATATGTCAAGTATTCCCTTAAAAACCTGTAGAAACCTCATTCAAAAGAAGAAGACAAACCAACCAATTTCCTCCTACTTTTTGCTAGCTTAGCAAATTAACAATCAAAACAGGAATGCACACACACAAAAAACTAGATATTGAAAAAAGCAAATTATTAATGAATTACATATTAAATTATCTTGAAGGTAATCATTAAACAATGTTATTAGAATCCTGTGTCCTTGTGCTTTGAAAAGAGAATATTATTTTAATTTTTGAAACTCCAAATTGGAAAAGGATCACATCCATCAACTGAGAAAACTAATCAAGATTATTTCACCTGTTTTTCACATGTTCATGATTTTTCATAAGAATATACAGAATGGATAGAAACTCTAATACAATTCACCATTTTATATTCTGTGTATTAATGGGGCATCTCAATGCATTTTATGTTTTAAAATTTTATGCAAACACCAATTATTCTTTCTATGTTTTATCTTCCAATAGTACCAAATACTTGGTATTTGAAAAAGTTCAAAGTTTTAATTGATATTAGCCAATATTTGTCCAGGTATTTGGTACTATAAATGGTATGTGTAATAGATGTGGAGATCAGTACTGCCAAGAAAGCATACTTACTTAGACCCACACATAAATAACCCCAATTTTTTAGGATGTATTGTTATTTTGAGTCAGAAGCATAAAGCTGAGAGCTTCACATAATTACTCAAATACCAATCTGCAAATCAAAGAATGAGAGACAATATATTTAATTACCTAATATTTCTGCATGCAGTAGGAAAAAATTCTGGGGAAATTATGGGAGTCAAAGAATCTGGGTTGTCTAGTAGAAGACTGTGGACAAAATTTCAAACCAGAAATTCAGATCCACTCCATATTGTGAATCAAACTGGCAAGCTATTTGTGTATAGATTCCACAATAAAGTAAGTCCCTCATTGGTGGTTAGGATCTCTTGAATATGTAAACTCTTATGGGTAACAAAGGCTTCTTTTAGGAAATGTATCCATTAGGGGCTGGATTTTAAATTATACTCTGGAAAATGTGTCACACTAGAACACTCTTCCCTTCTTTATAAATCACAAACAAATTTTTAAGAAATAAAATGCTGTTCCCTCCAGTTAATTCTATAGAAGAATCTCCAAGTGAGGACAGGGAAAATCTGGTCCCTGAAGTTTCCTTTTATTTTGGATACCTCTCTTTTTTGTTATAAAAACATCAGTAATCCCAGAAAAGGAATGTGAACGGTGTAGGGCCTGTTATTTTTTAGCACTTAGACCTAAAACTTTCTCTCCCTCCAGCCCTCCCATAGCACTGTAAGCTGGTCAATACTATGAGAAAATATACATTATAAAGCATTGTGAGAAGTAAATCTTCTCACTTCCACATTATGACTTCATTTCTAGAATTTGTTGGTCTCACTCCGTACATGTTTTTGGCTTTCTTCTTTGGGTAAGTGATCTCTTATTGCCTAGCACAGTAAAGCCCATACTATCATGTCTGTTATGAAAATCTGGGTCCCAGAGAAGGATACAAAGAAAAATACAGAAGTATATAAAGCTGTCACAAACACTCATGAGAAGGTCTTTGTATGGAAATAAGTTCAAATTATTTGGGTAAATACTAAAGAGAATTATTCCTTGATTGTGTGGGCTAAAGGGCCCATTTTCTAAATTGGGTTGCTATCTTGTTTTTGAATTTTAAGAGCTATTTGTATATTTTTCAATCAAGACCTATACTATATTAATGTTTTGCAAATATTTTCTCTTTGTGGCTTGCCCTTTCATTCTTTTTAACAATGTCTGACAGAGCAAAAATAAATGAATTTTAGTAAGTTTACTGAGTTCTGCAACTACTACTATCATTTTTATCACAAGCAGATATCACATATTTCAATACAACTTAGACCACTGAGTCTTTAGAAATTTTACCAAGATGGAAGTCTCTGAATTTGGTGAGGTGTACTTCATTTTCTGCCATGTTTATGGTATATGATGGCCTTTTGCTACTTCCTCCTTTCTAGGTCCATTAGCCGTGATGCTAGCCATTAAACCAAGATGTCCTGCGAGAGCATAAAACAATCAGTATCACTTCCTTTTAGGAAGAATTGCCATGGGCCTGAGAAAGACAGTGATATGTTTCTGCTGTCCATTGAAATTGCTTCTGGTGGTCTTTGCTAAATGACATGGAGGCAAAAGCAATGACAGCTCATTAGTTTCATACCATATTCTGGGGCTGTGTTAACTTGCTCTATAAAAGAGACAAAATTTGGAACAGCAGCTGTAATTGGAGTCACCCCCTGTTTATGACAATGTACTGTCGTTGACCAAGGCTATCCAATTTCTGCATAAGCCTAATTAGTGAACTCAATAAAGTGAGAGGGAGGACTGAACACCTCTCCTTTTATCATATATTTAATACTGCCCCTAGGCATGTCATATTGTTTTAGATTCCTAGTTTTATGTGAGTTACCAATTTCAGGCCACCTGTACTACTCTGAAGCTCTTGTTACAGATTTCAGCATTTGCACCTGGGTGAAGTCCCAAATGGAGTGTTTGCTGCTCACCCCACTCTCAGTTTGACTCATTAGTTCTCCTCCTATTCAACCCTTTTCTCTTCCACCCTCTTTCCTCCCCTCCTCCTTGCCCTAGTTTTGCTTCTTTTTCTTCTTTCTGTATTTATTTTCTGCCTCTTCTTTCATCTCACCCTCCTTCTTTTTTCTTGAAAACATTTTGCACTTTTCTATGTCACAACAGTATCTAAGTGTGTTGTGGGATGACCACATTCTAATTGCATTGCAACAGGAGACCTTGATATAATATCTTGTACAGCCTCCTGCCAGAAGTGTAATTAAAAATATGAAGTCATTGCTCATTAAAATATGATACATGATTTAAAAATCACAAGAAACTCAAGCTGTGGTAACATCCTCTGCAACTTTAGAACTTCTTCTTTCATTTTGAAACAAACTTTATAGCAACAGTTTCTTAGATTAGACATATCCTTTACTCTTGTCATTTTTAACATCGATTTAGATATCGAAATTTTAAATCTCTCTTCAGACTTTACTTGAAGTGGTTGTTTTTCTTTATGTGGCTTTCCCTATGTGTGTGGTTATTTTATATACAAAAGTAATTAATATGACAGTCTTTAATAAACAAAAATAAACTATTTTTTTCTTATTTACAGCACTTAGACTTTCCAGGTATCAATGGCAAGTTGAATTTATCCAGCGTTTTCTGACTGACCCTATGTTTAGCTATGAACAACAATCATTCTCACTCTTAGGTGTTTTAATCAGGATTACAGAGGCATACTTTTCCAAACAGTAAAATTTACTAATTTCAAGTACATAATTGAATGAGTTTTGACAAATGTATGCATGCTGTTGTATAAACACCCTTTGATTCATGAGGTAGAACACATCCTCCCCACCATGAAGTTTTCTCATGTCCACTTACAGTCAATTCTCTCCCCACATATTCAGATCCCAACTACAGTTCTGCATTATTTCAAAATAACTTTAGTGTCTTTAAAAATGTTATATAAATGAATCATATAAATGCAGTCTTATGTGTTCAACTTCTGAAATTGTGTTTTTCAAGTTCATGTATGTTTCAGTGGTATCTTCCTTTTTTAATACGTATTACTCTATAGAACCAACTATCTGTTCATAAGTTGATAGACATTTGGTTGATTCCAGGATTTGGCTATTGTAAATAAAGACGCTATATACAATAATGTGCAAATCTTTGTGTGATCATATGCTTTCTTTTCTATTGAAAGGATTTTTGAGATTACTGGATTGAAATATGTTTAGTGTATTGGTCGGTTCTATTAAGTTGGTGCAAAAGTAATTGGTGTTTTGCCATTACTTTTAATGGCAAATTACTTTTGCACCAACCTAATGGCACTGCTATAAAGAACTACCTGATACTGGGTAATTTATAAAGAAAAGAGGTTTAATTGGCTCACAGTTCCACAGGCTGTACAGGGAGCATG
Source organism: Homo sapiens (assembly GCF_000001405.40). Taxonomy (NCBI): domain Eukaryota; kingdom Metazoa; phylum Chordata; class Mammalia; order Primates; family Hominidae; genus Homo; species Homo sapiens. The sequence goes on from NC_000004.12 coordinate 58,964,069, forward strand.
GCTGGGAGGCCTCAGGAAACTTACAATTACGGCAGAACACCAAGGGGAAGTAAGCATCTCTTCACATGGCAGCAAGAGAGAGAGATTATGAAGTGGAAAGTGCAACACACTTTCAAACAACCAGATCTTGTGAGAACTCACTATCACGAGAACAGCAAGGAGGAAATCTGCCTTTGTGATCCAATCACCTCCCACTACACCTCTTCTCCAACATTGAAGATCACAATTCAACATGGAATTTGGGTGGGGAAACAGAGTCAAACCATATCATTTCACTTTATAGGAAACTGCTACATTATTTTCCAAAAGTAGCTGTACAATTTTGAATTCTTAAAAGAAATATGTAAGAGTTCCAGAAGCTCCACCTTCTGTTTAATACTTGGTATTGTCAATAAAAAAAAATCACCATAGTAGATATGAAGTAGTAACCCATATGGTTTTAGTTTGCATGTTTCTAATGGCAATTGATGTAAAGCATCTTTCCATATGCTTATTGTCTTTTTGCATACGTAAGGTAAAGTTTGTATGCAATTATTTTGTCCACTGTATTTATTTGATGGTTTATCTGTGCATTAGTATTAAAATGCTTCTTTTATAACTGGGAAGAATCATTTATCATTTATGTTTTGCAAATATTCTCTCTTAATTTGTGTCTTTATTTTTTTATTTTGTTAAGGAACATTTAAGAAGGAAATGTTTTCATTTGATAAAGTCTAGTTTAACATTTTTATGCTTCATAATTTTCATATTAATCTATGAAATTTTCTTCCAATCTAAGATCTTGAATATTTTCTCCTGTATTATCTTTCAGAAGTTTTATAATTTAGGCTCTTGGATTAGATGTATGATTAACTTTAAGACATTTGTGGTGTGAGTAGATGTAGGTCAGAAGATACAAAGTGGTATTTATGTAGGATGAACAAATCTAGAGGTATAATGTACAACAGGAGGACTATAGGTAATAGTTGTCCTATATTTGCGATTCATGCTAAATGAATAGATTTTAGCTTTTCTTGTCACAAAAACAAAAACAAAATTGGGTAAATATGTGAGATGATAGATGTGTTAATTTGCTTCATTGTAGTAACCTTTTTATACATATGTATCACATAACTTCATAGCTTATATCTTAAATATATACAGTATAATTTATTTTTAAAAAGTGTCCATTTTATTGCTCATAGATACCAAATTTTTCAGCACTCATTGTTGCAACGACAATCTTTTCCTCTTAAATTGACTGCTTTGTTTAAATGAATAGACCATATATGCAATTTATTTCTGAACTCTTCTTTCTAGTATATTGATCTATCTGTCCACCCTTAGATCAATACACTGATGTCTAACCGTAGGCCAGATTAGTGTGTTCTTGATGGGGAAAATTCACATTGTGTATTGGGGGAAAAAAAGTGAAATTTGTGGCCAGAAAGACAATGGTTTAGCACCTCCAATCTATCAATTCCTCTCTGAGTGATGTTCAAATTGTAACTTTTCTTCTCTTAAGACCAATTACTTATTGTAAGATTGTTGTATGAAATAAATAACATTTGATTATATAAAGTGTGTTCCAACACCTAGTAAATTAGAAAACACTTCATATATATTACCTCTTTATCCTCTGTTCAGGATAATTTAATAGAAAAAAGATTAGCTACAGTGTTTGTGGTGGTAACATCCACATTATGAATTCATGAAAAGGAAAATCAGAGCTCAGTTTTTCAGCTAAACATGTACTTCTACTTTGCTACAATAAATTCTACTCTATTTCAAGCAAGATTGGCATATATGACCATGCTTAATTGATATAATAAATTAGAATCATAATTTACTATAGCTTCAGGTGGCATCTTTTTCTAAGGAATTATCTATTTCTTGAGTCATAGCAAGATATACAAAATATAGTAACAATGTTCTTTTCAGAATACTGAATAAAATACAGGTTTGTTCAACATTTTTATGTTTGCATTAGAGAATAGTGGCCTAATTTAGAAAACATTTGCTATTTTGTGGTTGACATAAGTAACAAACTAACTTATACATTGTATTTTATCCCACTATAAAACTCATTTCATGAATACTGGGAAGACACTTAACTAACAAAAACAGCACTAAGTATTTGAATGGATGTTTTTGAAATATGGTAGAGAATGAAAATTCAAAGGAAGTCTGGGTATTAGAGTTTAGTAAAATGATTGTTTATGTTTGTTCTGTAACTTCAAGACCCAGAATGCTGTATAATTGTAAAATTCGTAGTAACTACGGTCTACATCTTACTGCCCAAGACCTCACAGGTTAAATGGGCACGTACGTATTGTCTGAAACATACAAAGCTGTTCTTTTACTCTGGTTACATAATATTTTTATATTTTTTAAGTGAAAATGGTTTTTATTATTTTATTTTGTTAAGAAGCATTTAAAAAGGAGACATTTTCATTTGATAAAGTATAGTTTACCTCTTTTATGCTTCATAATTTTCATATCAATTTATGAAATTTTTTCCCAAACCAAGATCCTGAATATTTTCTTCTATATTATCTTTCAGAAGTTTTATAATTTTAGGTCTTAGATTAGGTGTATGATTAACTACATGGTTAATGGTAAAACTACCATTTGGTAAAACTACCAATGGCAAAACTAACTACATGGAAAATGGCAAAGACTAACTTTCCTTGAATTGATAAATGCTGTGTTCTGCTAAGTAAAGGTAAGTCCATATAGATATAGGACAATTTGAGGAAACAAAAATAATTGGTCATTATAATATTCAGAAAATCTTCAGCTTATCATTTTTTTCACAAGATTACAGAATAGGGTAGTATTTAGAAAAGTCCTTAAATCATATCTAAGTTTATGATACACCTATATCCCATGATTATGGGGCAACTTAATTACAAAGTCATAAAAATATATCGTAATTATTAAAATAATTCCATTCTTCTATATGTTTTGTTTTCCCTAAATTGCTTAATTTCAAATATGGTTAGGAGACACCTCATAAGTATTCAACTCTCTACCATTTGAATTTTAAAGTGGGTAATTAATTTTATTTTATATGGTTTTTAAAAATTTACAAATGACAGCTGGATTACACTATCATTTCTATTTTTTTATCAAATAATGCTTTATTTTTATCTTAACTTCTCTTCTTGTATAGTTTGTCAGTATTAGATTGACTCGGAGTTTTCTTACTCAGATAATTTTATTATAAAATATGAATAAATGATTGTGCACAAATTATAATGTCACAGTTTAATGAGTTTCAAAAGTGAATATGCCCGTGAAACCACTGGGATTAGGATACACACACACACACACACACACACACACACACACACACACAGAGACAGAGAGAGAAAAGGAGAGAGAGAGAACATGAAATCACTGGCATTTCAGAGGTGGCCATTGTTTACTTCCCTAGTCGCTAGTCTCCCCAAAGGAAACCCCTATTTTTACATCCATAGTCAAATATTATATTATTCGGTTTTTTAATTTTATATAAATGAAACGAAACAGTACTCATGTCCTTATCTTTTAATGAATATATTTATAAATGTTGTACACACAGTATTAAAACTGTTTATCCTCAATACTTTATAACAATGTATTTATATGGTATAATAATACCACAATTACTTTATCATTTTGTTGTAAATTAGTATTTATAAATTTTCCAGTTTGGGGCTGTTACACATTATACTGCTATGCCATTCTTGTGCATGTATTTTAATGAATTTAAATATTTATTTGGGTATTTGCACAGGATTGGAATTACTTGTTTATAGTAGATAATTCCAAGCATTTTTCTAAAGGGTTGAATCCAATTTGTACTACTATCAGAAGTGTGTTAACATTCCAGTTGCTCCTCTGTTTTATAAAAACTTTGCAATTATATGTTTTATGTTATTAATGCTAGTGCATGTGTAGAGATATCTTACATAATTTTAATTTTCATTTTCTTGATGTCTAATGATGTTGAGGACCTCTACATGTGTGTATTGGCTATTGGTTATTCTTTTTATGTACAACTTCTATCTATTCAAGTCATTGAACCAGTTTTCTTTTGGTTTCTCATTTTTTTCCTTACCTGCTTTTTATCCTGATTAATTATTCATAAGATTAATTAATAAGCCTACTGCAAATTCTTTTTTTTTTAATGCATGGGTTTTGTTTATTTAAAGCCTGGAAGGAAGCGTACTAAACCACAAACAATGGCTGTCTCTGCAGTGTAGGATGGAGGGGCTTGGGGGAGCACAGGAAGATTTTCATTTCTATTTTAAATATTTCAGCATCATCTCAATAATGGGTACATACTCAAAGGAAAATAAACCGTTCTACCACAAGACACATGCAGCCGCATATTCACTGCAGCATTATTCACAATAGCACCAGACATGGAATCAACCCAGGTGGCCAACTACAGTGGATTTGATAAAGAAAATATGGTACATACACACCATAGAACACCATGCAGCCACACAAAAGAATGAAATCATGTCCTTTGCAGCAATATGGTTGCAGCCGGAGGCCACCACTTCAAGCAAACTAACACAGAAACAGGAAACCAAATCCTGCACTTTCCCACTTATAAGTGGGAGCTAAACAGCAAGTACACATGGTCATAAAAATGGGAACAACAGACACTGGTGAATATAAGAAGGGGTAGGAAAGGGACTAAGAGCTGAAAAAAACTACTTATTGGACATTATTCTCACCCTTCTGTGATTAATTCACTCATAATCCAAACCTCAGCATCCAACAATATACCTATGTAACAAACCTGCACATGTATCCTGATTCTAAAATAAAAGTTGAAAAAAAAAATTCAGCATCACTTGTTTCATCTTATAGGGACATTGTAAAATAACAGAAATAAAACTAAGAGATTGGAAAGGAAAAAAGGGGAAAAAGAAAAGAACTCTCATCAGAATTCTGTCCTGCCCACTTCTGGAGTAAATAAGCCCAGGTTTATACTTTAAAGCCCCCAAAACAGCATCATCCACACCACCTTATCAGATCCGCAAAGCAATTCTAACTTGGCAGAAAGGGGTAGTTATTGCAGGTAGTTATCCTGCAAATGGGGAAACTGAGACTCAGAGAGTGCAGTGACTTGCCCAAGGGCCCACAAGAAGTGGTGTCCCCGCAGAGATGGAGAGGGAACCCAGCTCTCTGGAATCTCAGGCCTCTGCTCCTTCTGCTGCAACTCTTCAAGTAAGAGGAGCAGGTGCGGCGATAAGTGTTTATAATCACGGGCCAAACATGCAGCCCTGTTCAAGTTTGTGCCTCAACTCCTTCAATTCCTCTTCATGTTTCATTTTTTCAAAGTTGGTATTCATCTTTCTAAGTAATTTTCATCCTTCTAGCTCTTCTTTTCTGAAGGCAACATGTTTTAGAAAAAGCAGGGACTTGAGATCTGACTGTCACTCCCCAGCTCAAGTGCCTTCACCTCTCTGAGCCTCATCTGACAGAGAGGACAAAGCAGACACACCCCAAAAGCAGGTTCAGAGCAAACCCATGCCACTGGGGGGAGGCAAACTGAAAAATAGTGGGAAAGTCTAAATGCATATTTCTTTTAATAGTTTTTTTAAACTATAGTTAGATTGTAGTCTAATTATTGATTTTATGCCTTGATGATTTTCACTTATGGAGTCCTTGTTAAAAATCTGTTCCTGCCAGATTCATAAAGATTTAATTCTACATTTATATATTTATATCATTGATTTGTATCTACAGTGTGAGGTAGGGGTAAAGATAAATATTTTCTTTTTCTTTCTTCCTTTTTTTTTTTTTTGAGACAGAGTATTGCTCTGTTGCCCAGGCTGGAGTGTAATGGCACTATCTTGGCTCACTGCAACCTCTGCTTCCTGGGTTCAAGGGATTCTCCTAACTCAGCCTCCCAAGTAGCTGGGATTACAGGCATGCACCACCATGCCCAGCTAACTTTGTATTTTTAGTAGAGATGGGGTTTCACCATGTTAGTCAGGCTGGTCTCCAACTCCTGACCTCAAGTGATCCACCCACCTTGGTCTCCCAAAGTGTTGGGATTACATGCATGAGCCACCACACCCAGCAATTTTCAAAAATTTATTCAATCAGCATCAAATTTGAAAACACTTACCTTTTCTTTATATAGTACTATCCTTTTTATCATAATCATGAAATCATTTATATGTCATCTGTCCCTAATCTACAAATAATTTTCCATTGGTCTCTTTGCATATTCTTATAGCAATAGCACATTCTCATTTTTTTTAAATCTGGTAATATACATTCCTTAGATTTGTTGTTTTACATAATTGCCTTGGCTATTTTGCCCATTTTATTCCATGCATATTTGAGAATCAGTTTATCAGTTTCAAATAAAAACAAGCAATTATAAAAGGAATTAAATTTACTCTGTAGAGGCACTTAAGAAAAACTATTAACAAAATTTAATCTTTTAATCTATGAAAATATTTTCCTCAATTTGCTTAGTTATTGTTTAATTTCTAGTTATAGATGTTTTGTGTGTATATGTGTGTTGTAGGTTCTAAACATCTTTTATTAGATTCATTTCCAAGTATTTGATATATTCAATGCTACTACAAATAATTTCTTTAAAATTTCATTTTCTAAATATTTATGGTATAAAGCAAAACAATATGTTTTTTTAAAGTATTCTTTTACATCTAGTAACTTAAAAAAATCTATTTCACATATCTGACCGTTTACTGTATTAGTCTGGGTTCTCTGGAGGGACAGAACTAATAGGATAGATGTATATATAAAGGGGCATTCATTAAGGAGTATTGATCACACAGTCACAGGGTAAGGTCCCACAAAAGGCTGTTTGCAAGCTGAGGAGCAAGGAGGGCACTCTGAGTCCCAAAGCTGAAGAACTTGGATTCTGATATTTGAGGGCAGGAAGCATCTAGCATGGGAGAAAGAGGTAGGCTGGGATGCTTAGCCAGTCTAGCCTTTTCACGTTCTTCTGTCTGCTTTTAATCTGGCTGTGCTGGCAGCTAATTAGATTGTATCCACCTAGATTGAGGGTGGGTCTGCCTTTCTCAGTCTACTGACTCAAATGTTAATCTCCTTTGGCAACACCCTCACAGACACACCCAGGAACAATACTTTGCATCCTTCAATTTAATCAAGTTGACACTCAATATTCACTGTCACGTTTACGTTTACTTAAAGAAAAAAAAAGCTTCTTGAGCTCATCTACTCTGAAACCTTATTTTAAAAATAATTCTAATGAGTTCCAGAAAAAAAACAACTTTTCTAAAGAAAATATCAGAACTGTGGTGAGAAAAATCTAGTCTCTTGATATCCAGAGTATTTGGCTTTCCACTACAAGCACACAGAATGTATATTCTATTTGAAAATAAAGTAAAATATACAGAAGATAATATTGTTTTAATTTATCAGAGATGTTAGATAACAATCTCGTAGATAGCCAAAGACTCATTGCTCAGTCTAGAAGTAAAACTTAATCACCTACCTAAATATTAGCATATTAAAAAAATCTCAATAATACTTTATGTCATTCTGAAAATTTATTTGATTTTACTGAGATGAATCATCTTTGTAGTCATAAGTATTACAAGTATTAGTAGGCAATATCATCATAAAAAGAAACTAATAAAACATTTTATTTATAGTCACTAATTTTTTAAATGTAATAGATAACCAGAACTGTAATTTACCCCTTGTTTATATATAGCCATGCATTCTTCTCAAAAGGTTTAATGTGTACATGATTTTTTCCCCCTGGAGTGTTACATTTTCTTTTAGCATACAGATAATATACAGCCCAGTGTATTGTATTAAGCACTCAGTATTTGCTTATAAATTCACTTTGGTGGCTTAAGGCTTTTGCTATTCCTGTCCTTGTGATGAATTGGAAAATCTAATATGACTTGACATATTCAGCTCAACAAAATGGGACTTCAGTAGTTTTTGAAATATCCAATTTATGTTTATATGCTAATTTTCAATCTTCCAGAATTAAAAGTATCATATTCTTCAGTTTCCTTTAAGGTATCAAGTGGTGCCTACTGTTTGGGTAAATGATAACCTATTCTTTCAAAATTCCTCATCAATTTAATACATATTTATTAAACTCTAGTTTAATATTATTAATAAAATTACATATTTATTAAACAATAGTCATATAGAGAGATATTTATGTAGATTATAGATATATATGATTTAATGTACATGCAAGCAAATATTGGGACAACCATTTGATACTTTTCCTTAGAATCAAGAGTAAGCAGAGGGAGCACATTTTAATTTTCTGCAACATTTTTTAATGTGTGTGATTGGCTTATTTAGTAAATTTAACTTATTACATTCACTTTAATTTAAATGAAGCTGTTCTTAAGTTTAGTCAATCAAAGCAAAACCTATTTGACAATGCCTTTCGGGTTAGAAAGTCAGTACTGACATTTGAAATGAGTACACATACAAAGCTGCCAAAGTATTATCTGCCTTTAAATAACACTCTTGGAAACTTCAAAGTCATAATAGGAATTAATCAGAAATGATCAAATCTTATGTTTTATAGAGGGTACATATTTACAGTGATTTAAGTTTGTATTCATATTTACATGAATTTAGTCATTTTTTTAAAAACGTGTATTTTAGGTCCGGGGTACATGTCAAGTTGTGTTACATAGGTAAACTTGTGTCTCTGGTCCTAGCCTAATACCCAACAGTTAATTTTTTTGCTCTTGTTGCTCCTCCCACTCTCCACCCTCAATTAGGCCCCAGTGTCTGTCATTTCCTTTTTTGTGTTAATGAGTTCTCATCATTTAGCTCCCACTTATAAGTCAGAACGTGTGGTATTTGATTTTCTCTTCCTGTGTTAGTTTGCAAAGGGTAATGACCTCCAGCTCTATCTATGTTACTGCAAAGTACATGATCTCCTTCTTTTTTATGGCTGCATGGTATTTCATGATGTATATGTACCATATTTTCTTTATCCAATCTGTTGTTAATGGGCATTTAGGTTGATTCAATGTTTTTGCTTTTGTGAATAGTTCTGCAATGAACATTCATGTGCATGTGTCTTCATGGTACAATGATTTATATTCTTCTGGGTATATACCCAGTAATGAGATTGCTGGGTCACATAGTAGTTCTGTTTTTAGCCATTTGAGGAATCACCACATTGCTTTCTGTGATGGTTAAACTAATTTACACTCCCCAAAACAGTGTATAAGTGTTTCCTTTTCTCTGCAGCCTCACCAGCATCTCTTACTTTTCATCTTTTTAATAATAGCCATTTTCTCCCATTCTGTAGTTTGTCTGTTTACTTTGTTGATAGAGTATTTTGCAGTGCAGTCACTTTTTAGATGTCATTTGTCAATTTTTGCTTTTGTGGAGATTGCTTTTGGCATCGTCATCATGAAATCTTTCCCTGTTCCTGTGCCCAGGATGGTATTGCCTTTGTTGTCTTTCAGAGATTTTATAGTTTTAGGTTTTATGTTTTAAGTCATAAACTATCTTGAGTTGATTTTTGTATGTGGTGCAAGGAAGTAGGCCAGTTTAAATCTTCTGTATGTGGCTAGCCAGTTAGCCCAGCACCATTTATTTAATAAGGAGTCTTTTCCCTCTGGCTTGTTTTTGTAAACTTTGTTGAACCTCAGATGGTTGTAGGTGTTTGGTCTTATTTCTGGGATCTCTATTCTCCTCCACTGGGGTATGTGTCTTTTTTTGTACCAGTACTATGCTGTTTTGGTTACTGTAGCCCTGTAGTATATAGTTTTAAGTCAGGTAACATGATGCCTTCAGCTTTGTTCTTTTTGCTTAGGATTGCTTTGTCTATTTGGGCTCTTTCTGGGTTACATATGAATTTTACAATAGTTGTCTAGTTCTGAGAAGTATGTCATTGGTAGTTTAGTAGGAATAGCACTGAATCTATAAATTACTTTGGGCATTATGGACATTTTAATGATATTGATTCTTCCTATCCATGAGCATGGAATGCTTTTCCCCTTTTCTGTTGTCTCTAATTTCTTGGAGCAGTGTTTTGTAATTCTCATTGCAGAGATCTTTCATTTCCCTGTTTGGTATGTTCCTATGTATTTTGTTCACTCTTTGGCAATTGTGAATGTCATTGCATTCCTGATTTGGCTCTCAGCTTAGCTGTTGTTGGTGTATACGAATGCTAGTGATTTTGTATATTTATATCCTGAAAGATTGCTTCAGTTATGCATCAGCTGAAGGAGCTTTTGGCCAAGACTACGGGTTTTTCTACATGTAGAATAACGTCATCCGCCAATAGGGATAGTTTGACTTCCTCTCTTCCTATTTCAATGCACTTTATTTCTCTCTCTTGCCTCATTGCTCTAGCCAGGACTTCCAACACTATGTTGACTAGGAGAGGTGTTGGGTCATTTCATACTCATAAGAACTCTATTATATAGTTATCCTCACTTTACATATAAAGAAATCAAGCCAGAGAGTTTAGAACTTGATTTGCCTACCAATCTGTCTCCACAGCCACTACACTAAATCAACATGATATCTCATATTGCCTTTGTATTCACAACTAGGAAAATGTGATCATATGGCCATCCTACAGCTAAATGAAAACATCTGCTTAATGTACAGTGATGGATGCTAAATATTTGAAAATATAACTCTGTTAATGGTATTCGATATTTTAGGGACATATTACTTTAATTCTAAGATAATGTTAATTCTGAAGCATGGTTTTGTTTAATAAAATATATTCAGGTAAAAAATAATTACACATTGATTATAAGATGGCTCTTATTTATAGAAGCATGAAATATGAGTAAAAATAAATATCTTTACATTTTCATAGATAAAAACTACAGCTGAAATACATCAATAGGAGTTTATTATTTTATCAAGTATTATTTAATATTTTTATATATTTATGCAGATATCAGTATTTCACAAAACAAATTTAGGTTAAGTTAGTTAAAATTTTATGGGTAAATTATTTAAAAAAAAAGAATATCAGAGCAGGATTATTATTTGTGAGTTAAAATCCCACTACTCTTTGTTTGATTGTATTTCTATGTTATTTCTTTAATGATTGATAATGTCAAAAATTGACATTATCAATAACATTTATTGACACTATTGATAATGTCAATTATTCTCATTATCAATCATTAAGAAAATAACATAAAATGTAAAATAAAAATTATATATAAGGCCTGTATAAAAAAATAAAGAAAAATGAACTTTGATAAGAAATTAGAAATGCAATTAAATATAGGACACCTAAAAAGAAAGACCAGAAATACTCCATTATTCTGTTTACTAAACATGTTTTAAAGAGTCCAAAAGCAATCTCAGTAATTGCTTTGGAGACTGTCAAATACATCTGTGGAAGTTTATCAGATTGTGTCTAAAATAAAGTGAAATGAATTAAAACATGTTGAGAATCAGAGAATACAGATAAAGCATAAATATCATTCTTAAGGATAATTCTTCATGCTGTATCTCTGCTAGAGTCTTTTCTAAAATTGTTATTTACAGCCTATAACATAAACTCTTTACTACTTTATGGAGAGAATTTTGGTTGTGTTAAAAGTATTTTGGAAGTTCCAACTTGAAAATGTAAAACCAAAAGCAAGTAGTAGTCATGTTTTCAAGCTTCAAAGAATGATTTGTTTATATGACTCTAGAATTACACTAAATATATATCTTGAGAGCAACATTATATTCTATTGGTTAAAAAATGCTTTTTGTAGATGTACAGGTGATATTTTCTTTTCTTTTCTTTTCTTTTTTGAAACGATGTCTCGCTCTGTCACCCAAGCTGGAGTGCAGTGGTGCGATCTCGACTCACTGCAAGCTCCGCCTCCTGGGTTCACGCCGTACTCCTGCTTCAGCCTCCCTAGTAGCTGGGACTACAGGCGCCCACCACCACGCTCGGCTAATTTTTTGTGTTTTTAGTAGAGACGGGGTTTCACCATGGTCTCGATCTCCTGGCTTCGTGATCCGCACACCTCGGCCTCCCAAAGTGCTGGGATTACAAGCGTGAACCACCGCACCCGGCCTTATTTTCTTGTATACTATTAAACACACACAAATAGAGTTCAAATTTTGTTTACATTTATCTGTTTAAAATGTAATTATTGATTTTAATGATGCAATCTATTTAAAATTCAAATAATGATTTTGAAAATTAAAATATTAAGCTTTAGCTAAAAATATTTTGTGCACATACTACTATGCTATAAAAGTTTAGAAAAACTGTGACTTAGGTATAAAAACTCAATACTAGGTTTCATGAAAAAACATACAATGATATTTATTTTTGGCCCATGCCTCTGAAATTTGTTTCACCATAGCCAGTTACATACACACACCTCATTAAAGGTAAAGAATGTATAATTACCACACGGAATTCATAATTTGTACCTTTTGAACTAAATTATTTAACTGTTTACTTTTATGGGATCATAGATAGTAAGTTCAGAAAATGAAAATGCATTTTCTAGCTAAGAGGAAAACTTTGGCATCTCTAATACTTTCTAGGGAGACAAAATGTGAACCTGTGGTTATTACCTTAGTATTTAAGAAGGAGAGCAAGTGACTAGATATCTCTCATATGTCCTGAAGTCAAACAAAACCTCTTTGGTAGGAAGATGTCTGAAGAAAATAACACAGGCTTTCTGTCTTTGCTTATGTATTGGACAGTACTAGGATACTTCAAGGGTAACTTTGAGGAATCCTTTGCATAACCTCAAAATGAAGTGGGGCAAAATATCTCAGCTCTAGGAATTCTTTTAACATTCTTAGATATGTGGGAATATGGCTTGGAGAGGAAATGAAAGGACAAAACTATCTCAACAAATGCTTCCCCAGCCTTCAACTCCACAGATCAGCCTGCAACAACAGATTATCATATACTGGATATTAAACACACACACACACACACACACACACACACACACACACACATTTATTTCTCACAATTCTGGAGGCTGGGAAGTCCAAGATCAGTGTGTTGGCAGAGCTCAGTTTGATGAGGGTCCTTTTCCTGGTTTACAGATGGGCCTCTTCTTTCTGTGTCCTTATCGTAGGGTGCAGAGAGAGTTAGCCCATGTCTACTCCTTTTTTTATAAGAATATTAATTATGAACTACTACTTTGCAAGACCTCACCTTTAAATATCATCACATTGGGAATTAGCCTTTCAACATATGAATTTTGGGGATATACAAATATTTAGTCCACAGAAAGCCTGAAGGACAGACTTTCCTTTTTTTTCTAGAACATCTGTTGACTTACTTTTCCATTTTTGACACACAGTAAAACTACCATAGCTAATTTAAGAAAAATATAGATAAACAGAAGGGTTATTTATGGATTAATAAAATTTACTTATAGTTAAAATGCTTCCTTAAAAATTTCCAAGGCAAGATAAAAATTTACTACTGCCAAAATCTATCTATCACTGCTAAAAATCTACTACATATGTAAGAAAGAAATAATATCAATTCTATACAAGTTAAGAAGATGCACTTTGCAGCTCATTTTACAGGGTCGGCATTACTCTGTTACCAAACCAGAAAAAATACATAAAAGGAAAGAAACCTAAAGGATAATATCCCTAAGGAAATATACACCAAAATCTTCAACAAAATCTTAGCTAGTCATATACAGCAATATTAAATATAGGTAGTAAATTACAAAAAGTGAGCTTTGTTTAAATATTAGAAAATCACTTAATATAATTCAGTGTGCAGATAGGCTACTAAAGAAAATCCAAAGAATCATTTCAATAGATACAGAGAAAAAGCATTTGACAAAAATGCAGCAATCATTCATAAACATAGTCTTATAATTGTATTAACTTAATAAAGGTGTCATTATGGGCTAAATTGCTTCCCTCTCCTGAATTCCATATGTTGAAATTCAAATCCTCAGTGCCCCCAAATGTAATCATATTTGGAGATCGGGTCTTTACAGAGATAATTAAGCTATAATGAGTTCATTCAAGTGGGCCATATTCCAATATGATTTATGTCCTCATGAGAAGAGAAAATTGAAACACAGACACGTACAGAAGGAAAACCTTGTGAAGACACAAAGAGGATAAAGCCACTTGGAAACCAAAGAGAGAAGCCTGGAACTGATCCTTCCCTCACAGCTGTAACCAAATGTGGTGACATCTAGAGTTCAGCTTCTTCGCCTCCAGAACTGTGAGGAAATAAATTTCTGTGATACTTTTTGGCAGCAACCTTAGCAAACCAATACAGGGATTTGCACACAACCAGCAATTATCATTAAACTTAATGGTGAAAAACTGAATAAGTTTCCTGTAATACCTGGAAAAAGCAAGAACGTTTATTCTTACCACCTGTAACATTTTACTAGAGCCCCCAGCCAGTGTAATAAAGCTGAAAAAAAGATACAAAAAGCACGCAGATAAGGAGAGATGAAATAATACTCTCTTTACAGATAAATTATGACACAACTGAGTGTACAGGCAATGTTGAAGAATATACAAAATGGCTATTGGAACAAATAAATAAATTTAATAAAACTACAGGACACAAGATTATTAAAGAAAATCAATGATATTTGCTTATACTAGCAATAAGCATTTGGAAATTGTATCATTTATGATAACATCCAACACATGTAGTATGTATGGCTAAATTTACCAAAATATAGATTGTTGAGATATTCTATGAAACATTATTGACAGCTAAAGAAGGCCTATATAAATGGAAATATATGTTAAGGAAACTAAAGATACAATAATGTTAAGATTTCAATTATCCAGAAATTTATACATGTTTAACTAAAGCCTTATTAAAAAGATTAGTAGCTAGCTTTATTAAATTCCAATGATGTCTCACTATGCTACATATTTTTAAGTTTTTAAAACAGATACATGTATAATATGAAATAATATTGGTAATTGCTACATCATCACCTCAAATACTTATCACTTATTTCTCCTATCTAACTAAAACACTGTACCCTTTGATATCTCCCAATTCTCCCCAGTCCCCAGCCTCTGATCATAATCATTCTAGTCACTGCCTTTATGAGTTCAATTGTTTAAGATTCCTCATATAAGTAAAAACAGGTACTATTTGTCTTTCTGTGCCTGGCTTATTTCACTTAGCATAATGTCCTCAGGTTCATCAATGTTGTCACAAATGATAGGATTTCCCTCTTTTTAAAGATTTAATGGTATTCCATTGGGTGTGTTGTGTGTGTGCGTGTGTGTGCACGTGTGTGTATATATATATATATATACTACATATAAAGAGTGTGTGAGTGTGTATCACATTTTGTTTATCCATTGATTTGTTTATGGACACTTGGTTTGATTCCATAACTTGGCTATTGTAACCTATCCTGCAATGAATATAGAAGTGCAGATAGCTCTTCAACGTATTTATGTTTATAAAATACATCGGATATAGACCCCGAAGTAGAGTTGCTAGATCATATAGTAATTCTATTTTTAGGTTTTTAAGGAACCTCCCTACAGTTTTCTGTGGAACAAATCAAGAGCAAGACAACAAATGACTCAATTAAAAGTAGTCAATGCACCTAAATAGATGTTTCTCAAAAGAAACTGCTCCTAAATGCAAACGGCAAACAGATATATGAAAAAATAATCAACATCACTAAATATTGGTGAAATACAAATTAAACTACAATGAGATAGTCACACAAGTCAGAACGGCTACTATCCAAAATGATGAAAGATAAAAAGTGTTGATGAGAATGTGAAGAAAACCAAATCAGACTGTTGGTGAGATTGTAAATTACTCCAATTATACTTGGCAGGGGTATTCTAAACTGATTTTGAAACTATAAAGAAAGTAGAAAAGCTTTTAATTTATTTTTTATTTACTAAAGAGAAGTACATAGAGGACTTACTTTTCCTGCTTCAAGACTCACTATAAAGTATAGTCATAAAGACAGTGTGGTATTGGAGGACAGACATACAGAAGCATGGGACGAAATAGAAAGTACAAAAATTAATAAACACATATACAGTCAATTGATTTTTGCCAAAGATCCCAAGGAAATGAATGAGAAAATGATAGTTTTCTACAAATAATATTGAAGTAATTGGAGTCCACATCAAAAACAGAAAAAGTTTTACGTCTTAAAAGTTAAATCATAAACCCAAATGTAAGTGGTCAACTTCAAAAGTTGAGGAAGAACACAGGCACAAAATGGACCAACGAATGTTGTGACATTGAATCAGGAAAGCTTAAAATAATGCTCAAAGGGCATGAGCTGTAATTTAGAATGAAGATAAATTCAATGTATAAATATTTTTTAAAAATTCATTTTCAAAAGAGGCTCAATGCATTGAAGAACCAAGCAAAACTGTGAGAGGATGTTTTCAAATATAAATGGGTAAAGAAATTGTGTACAGAACTTCTAAGTTACACTTAAAACTCAGTGAAGAAGAAAACTCAACAATAAAATAAATGTTTGAACCCTTTAACAAAGATACATGAATGATAAATAAGAACATAAATATATAAGAAAAATGGTTAAAAAGTAAAAAAATTCAAATTAAATTGGCAATCATATACCCCTACCTACCTAAAATATTAGTTAAAATTAAAAATCTGATTATACTACGTTATATAAAATTTCAGAAAAGTAAAAATTCTTTATCTTTGGGGATTTGGATTATTTACTGTTATATCAAAACATATTATACACATGCAACATTTTAATAATGTATTATTTGCTTGTCTTAATATTCTAGAATGCTCAAGGATGATTCCATCTATTAATGAAACAGGATATATGGTAGAGAAACAATTGTTTCACAAGACGGTTTATCAACATAAAATTATAATAAATCACTGGAGATAATATGTTTATGGGACATTTGAAGTCCTATCTGGGGAAACATAATGCTAGATCAGTGCCTAACTTATTGTCTCAATTAAATAGAAAGTATATTAAAGAGTTGAACAGTAATAAAAAAAGGAGATAAAGCAGGAGGAAGAGAAACAATAAATTCTAGGTGAAAATACATGTGATTGTTTGACTTTAGTCTATAAACAGATTCCTACACAAGCAATATAATAAATTCAATGAGAAGAATTTAGAGACTTGATAAAATACAAAAATATGTATGATCAGCTTCCCAAAATTTATCTTAAAAAGGAATGTAAAAATGAGAAAAAATATTTTATCATGTGTATCAAACCTAGAATATCATTTTTAAAACATGCATACAGTTGAACACAAAAAGTAGAAAAATAAAATAGACAAGCCAAACAAAGAATATCAATAGCCTTTTACACAAATAATAAATTGAAACAGTAAATGATTTAACATATTTAAAGGGGGGTGGTGCATCAAACAATTCAAGAAATACAAACAAAAATAACAATAATGAAAAAACAAAAAAATTGGACAATTTATTTTTTGATTTTGTTAAATATTAATAGCATGGAACATTGAAATAATAACTTGAATTCTGCTGGTATGTGCATAAATTGCTTTAAAATATAGTTCTGTATAGCTATTTGGCTATAGGATGACAATGCTTTAAAATATTATCTTAAACCCATTAATTCCCTTTCTAGGAATGCATCCAAGAAAAATTTCAGAGGTTTAGACAAAAATTATGAACAAAGATACATATAGCTCTTTATAATAATGAAAAAAATTTAACTGCAATCTCTTCTCAATGAGGCCAACTTAGGGGCTTATTTCAGCTTCTTTTTAAATCCTTTTTGTGTAGTTCTATATTTTCCCATGAAAATTATCACCTTCTATCATAATGTTACAATTATTTATTATTATTTATTATCATTTATCAGTTACTTCCTGCCACAGAACATAAGTTTTATGTGTGCAGCCATTCTTTTCCTAGTTGTGTTAACTGATGTATTCTAAGTGCAAAGAAGAGGCCCTGTCTATATTAAGTACTCAGTAAATAATTGGTGATTAAAATAATTAATAATATTATTATTATATATGTATTTTATTATTTATTAAATAATAAAATTACGTTTTAAAACATAATGAGTATTTAGGCATATTTAAGCATATATAAATTTTCCTGTGTGTGCAAAAATCAGACAACAATCTACTTTTATAGTGACCATAATCATACACATATATACATGTATGTATTCAAAACAAAAGAATGCAAAGGTTCAAATGGTAGACTTAAAGGTGATCTTCATTTGCCCTCATCTCTAAATATTCTATAATTATTATATAATAATCGAACACTTAGAAATATAATTAAAAATATAGTCTAAATATATATTGATATATAAAGTAGTTCATAAAGATAATGTACCTCAATATCATATATTTAAGAGAAACAAAAATATCTTAATATATGGATTTAAAATGGGGAATTGAGGAAACACGCATGATGTGAAATAACAGCTTACAGCACAAGACTGTGCCATGAAGAATTGAGACTTTTATAAAGATATGAAAAATTCATAAAGCTGCCACCTTCCCCAAGCCACTGGCATCCCTGGGCTAGTGCATTTATTACAGGGGTCCCCAACTGCTTTCTCCGTTTGCTCATTTACCTCTATAATCTTTTCTCTTCATTGCAGCAGAAGGCTTTTCATTATACATAAGATGAATTGCCTGTTTCTTCTCAAACTCTACAATGGTTTTCTGTATCATTCAAGGCAAAAGTCAAAGCACCTAACTGTCCACACTGCCCTAATGGACGTGAAACATCTACCAAATTTTGGTATCAGATTATGTCATATCAAGATTTATCTGTCTATTCTAAATAAACCTAGCAAACCCTCAACCCACAGCAACTTATTCCTCACTATCCGGGTTCAAGCAATTCTCCTATCTCAGCCTCCCGAGGAGCTGGGACTACAGGCGCCTGCCAACACGTCTGGCTAATTTTTGTATGTTTAGTAGAGACAGGGTTTCACCATGTTGGTCAGGCTGGTCTCGAACTCCTAACCTCAGGTGATCCACCCACTTCGGCCTCCCAAAGTGCTGAAATGACAGGCGTGAGCCACCATGCCTGGCCCTCTGGTATTATTTTTCTTCACTGGAATTGTCACTATCTGATAGAAACCATGACATAGGTAGAAAATACCATGTACTGTACATATATATTAAATATTTATACATGCATACAGACAGACATATGCTCAAACACATACACACACAGAATATACATTACATATACTTAATACAATTATTTAGTTCACACCCTAGTATGCCTAGTATATTATATATTTAATATTTTTATTTCACCAATTAATGCACGTCTGCACAGGCACACACTTGTGCTATTTCTCTAAGTCCTTTGTCTTGAAAATGCAGTTTTCTAGACATAAATGCAATGAGTTCTAGAAATAAGTCTATTATCTTCTGTAGTCAGTATTGGATAATTGAAATAAATGTATTTTTTAATTTTTTTTATATTATATTATATAAGAGAATGAATTTTAATTATTTGAATCAACATTGTATTTTTTTAAAATCTAGCTGAAGACCTGGCACATGCATGGAAGCTGATGAGTATTTATTTACTGAATTAGACATTAAATAAATCGGTGCATCTTTTGTGGTCACTCTTTCTACATAACAAGGATTTGATGGTTAATATCTGCATGTAATGTGAAAGACATTGTAAATCTACTTATGTATATATATATATATGTATAAATATATATATAATTGATTTGATCAATTTATTGGTCTTCCTATCTGTCTATATCTATGCCCTATATTTATGCTTAAATTGCTCAGCAATTTTAAGTGAGGTGCCCCTGTATAAGTGATTTCTTCTCAAGTTCCTGTTATTTCTTTAAGTTCTCTCCCCAGTCCTAAACAACTACAAAACTTCCTAAGAAGATAAAGTTGAAGAAATAGTTCACAGCAACATTCTAATTTAACTCTATTCATATATCCTAGGTGGCACAACAAGAGGTTGAAAAAATCTGTGCAGATTGTTTTACATACCTCAATAGAGCCTTTTATATAATTCTGAGTGACTAATTTCTTTCAGCCTGTTTAGACAGGATTAGATTGAACTGAGAATCTCTCCTAACATAATTACGTGATTATCTTGGGATTCTTCTTTTGTTGCTCATCTTGCTACATCACATCAGTTGGAAGAGAAAATCTGTCGAATTATACATGTCGAGTTCTAGAATTTTGTGAATGTAAGCACACAGTCTTTGAGATGTAAGAACTTTATGACATAATTATGAAGATAAACATTGATCCTCACATCTGCTCTGTCAAACTAAGCGTAAGTGGTTCACAGTCTGTACCACAGCTAAATTTAAAGTGAGTGATCATTTTGATAAATATTGTGACTGACATTTATATGGTCTAGAAAATATCTGACTGACTTTTATAAACCAGATCTATGAGTTGAGAATGGGAACACTGTTAGGCCCAGCACGCATTGTGTCTCACGCTTGTAATCCCAGCACTCTGGGAGGCCGAGAAGGGTGGATCACATTAAGTCAGGAGTTTGAGACCAGCCTGGCCAACATCGTGAAACCCCGCCTCTACTTAAAAAAATGCAAAAATTAGTCAGGTGTGGTGGCACGTGCCAGTAGTCTCAGCTACTTGGGAGGCTGAGGCATGAGAATCACTTGAACGTGGGAGACGGAGGTTGCAGTGAGCCGAGATGGAGCCATTGCACTCCAGCCTGGGTGACAGACCAAGACTCTGCCTAATAAAATAAAGTAAAATATAAAGAATGGCAACATTGTTGACCAGTGAAACTTAAAGAAACAGTCCCAGAAAAAGTTATTTTTAATTTAATTTACCAAGTCCTTGGAATGTATGTTTTTCTTAGGGAGCTAAGGAAAGAAATTTGATAATTTTACAAGAATTATCTAGAGATTATTTCTTATTTATTGAAGTTTTCAAAACTAGTTCAGAATACTCTTACATCAGGAATTATCTTTTAACTAGATAAGTAGAATTCTCATGACATTAAGTGTAGCTTAAGTTAATGGTCATTTATAATTTAGAATGTCATCTATGTCAATAAAAGTAACAAATAACTGCATGAGTATTGTAAAATGAAATAAAATATCTGGATTTTTCAGTTTATTTCTCTTATAATGTATTCAGACAAAGAACTGTGGCCTGAGATATTTCCTATAGAAGTACAATAATTTTTTTACTTAGTTTGTTTTTTAAAATTCTTTCAATTGAATATTTGTTTTGAGCTTATGTCAATTTCAATTAAGCTATTTTTGTAAAGTAAGTAGATTTGGGTGGCACTTCCTCTTTGATAGGCAGCTCTATTCTTCAAAAATCTCTCTATTCTTTCCTACATTGAAAATTAGAATGTTGGTTAAGTAAATGACAATGAGGTAGATAATTGAAAAGTATATTCATTTCATAGAAATAGAAACATCATTTTTATTAGGCACTGTGTAAAACCAAAGTACACCCCAAACTTCTAACATATTTGGTTTCAGAATATTTATAACTCTTTTTATTTACCTTGTGTGGCAGACATGTAAGTAATAGTGTGGCAGCAACCATTAATGTTTTCCAGCGTAATTTATTTTTCTTTAGTAAGACTGAGAAGTTGGGTGAAGTAACTGGTAGTGATTAAAGAGAGTTGTGAACTCAAAGAATCTATTGATGAAAGAGTTGTTGAGATATTTCGAGGGAAAAGAAGACCAAATAATTCTGGTAAAGTAAAATTATAGGAATATCTGTAGGGAACTGTGGGGTAAAATAAGATGTTAGAGTTATGTAAAAAAAAAAAAAAAAAAAAAAAAAGCCAGTAAGGGTATGTTTAGTAGATATATGGATAATTCAGGAAAACGAAATCCTAAAGATATTCTGGAAAGTTCAGGAAAATCAGCTTATAATCAAAGTACCAATGAAGATACAGAGAATATTCAGCAGAAGATACTGTGGGAGAAGGGTGCTGTGTCTTTGTGTGTGTGTGTGTGTGTGTGTGTGTGTGTCTTATATGTGTGTGTGTGTAAGTTTAAATTCTATGTATCTTTAGCCATCACGAGTGGGCATTAGTAGAGATATTATCAGTGAATAACTTACTACTCTCTGCCCACCCACTTCTTTGGAATTTTTTTAAAGAACCTATAGGTCTAGCCGGGCGCGGTGGCTCACGCCTGTAATCCCAGCACTTTGGGAGGCCAAGGCGGGCGGATCACGAGGTCAGGAGATTGAGACCATCCTGGCTAACACGGTGAAACCCCGTCTGTACCAAAAGAATACAAAAAATTAGCCAGGCATGGTGGCGAGCTACTCAGGAGGCTGAAGCAGGAGAATGGCGTGCACCCGGGAGGCGGAGCTTGCAGTGAGCCGAGATCCCACCACTGCACTTCAACCTGGGCAACAGAGCGAGACTCTGTCTCAAAAAAGTAAACAAATAAAAACAAAAAAAAGAACCTATAAGTCTACATATTTTTTATACCGGCTAACTGTGACCAGATGACACAGCCTGGACACCAAAACATAAAAGTCTTCTATAAGATTTCTAAGAGTATACTCATGAGTTCTAGAAATAAGTCTATTATCTTCTGTAGTCAGTATTGGATACTTGAAATAAATATATATTTTTAATTTTGTTATTATAGAGTCTTCAAATGCTTTAGCATCTCTCTTTTGCAAGTCTGTTTTAGTATAGAGTCCTTAATCAGTTTTTCCCTAATTGGACTGCTAAGAAAATCACCTAGAGACTTTTAAAAAGTACAGATTTTGTCTCACATCTTTTGCTATCACTATCAGAATCTTCAGGGTGCATGTTTTAAAATTACAATTTTGAAAAATACCCCAAAAGATAGGTGACAGGGAAATAAAAACTTGAGAACTCAATTCACTATGTCAAAGAAAAATAATAATAATAAGCTGAAAGCTGAGTCATGCAAGAAACTACCTTTCCTGCTGTTCTTAAGCAGACAGCTACAGATGAAAGGTAAAATATCTCCATAGGCAGCTATGCCATGTTCACATGATCTTATGTAAAGTGCCAATTTACTGAGAACAAGACAAAAATATAATTGATTATTCTCCTACCTGCTCCTTTTGTCTTACAACATGTGGATTACCGTACCCTCTCTTTCCCCTCCAGATTACTTTTCCCCTTTAAATACTGGAGTCCTCAAAATCATCTTTGGAGAAATGCACAGACCAGGGACTGTTTCTGTGATTGCATGTTTATTTCTTCTGGGCATATCCTTAACCTTGGCCAAATAAACTTCAAAACTGATTGAGACTTGTCTCAGATACTTTCTGTTTTACACATATTTACTTACAGTAGTAATGAAACTAGCATTTTACATGAGATATTGAAGGCATAAGAATTTAAATCAAATGTTTCTTAGAAAGTGATAAAAGTATCAGCTTGTTTTCTTTTTTTAACCAAAAAATGGAATTCAGAAAATTGTAAAGATCATATGAATAGCTGACTAGCCCATGAACAAATCAGTTTAGCATACACATTAATATCCAAATAGTGACTTAGTTGTAAATTTTATATTTGCTTAAGTTGGGTTCTTGCTACATAACTCAAATAAAATGATTTCTGTAGATGCTGTCATATTTGCTGTTTGGGCAATTTAGTTGTTCCAGCCTTCAGGCTTCAGAGTGTCTGAGGTGACCATGAGCTGAAGTGGTCCGCCAGCACAGCACGGCTTGTCTATGAAAACACGGTCAAAGCACTTTTTAAAGCAGGTTCCTGGTCTCATTCCTCCTGACAAGGGCAAGACCTCCCAACCAGGGTCTCCAGCCACCTCCTACAGTGCATTTGAGCCAGCAATATGTCCATACCTCCCTGTGACAGAGCTCCTAGAAGACGGGGCAGACTGCCATCTTTGCTGCTTCGCAGGCTTCACTGGTGATACCTGCAGGTACAGGAAAATCTGAGGTGACTAGGCATTGAAGCGGAACCCCAGCATACCACAGCAACCCTACAGAAAAATGCACAGACTGTTAAAGGAAGAAAAACATACAAAAGTCAACAAAAGTCAGCAACTTCAAATACTGAAGTTAAATAAGCCCACCAAGATGAGAAAGAATCAGCACAAGAATGCTGAAAACTCAAAAAGCAAGAGTAACCTCTTTCCTCCAAATGACTGTATCACCTCTCCAGCAAGGGTTTGGAACCGGGCTGAGGCTGAGGCAGTTAAACTGACAGAATTAGAATTCAGAATTTGGATAGAAATGAAGTACACTGAGCTAAAGGAGTGCACTGTAAACCAATGCAAGAAAGCTAAAAGTCATAATAAAACATTGCAGGAGCTGTCAGACAAAATAGTCAATAGAGAAAAGAGCGTAACCAACCTGATAGAGCTCAAAAACACACTACATAATTTCATAATGTGAACACAAGTATTAATAGCAGAAGAGACCAAGTGGAGAAAAGAATCACTGAGCTTGAAGTCTAGATTTCTGAAATAAGACAATGAGACAAAAACAGGAAAAAAAAAAAAAGAAAAGGAATGAACAAAACCTCCACAAAATATGGGATTATGTAATGAGACCAAATCTGTGACTGACTGTGTTCCTGAATGATATGGGGACATTGGAAACAATTTGGAAAACATATTTTAGGATATCATTTATGAGAACTTCCCAAACCCAGTTACAAAGACAAACATTCAAATTCAGGAAATGCAAAAAACTCCAGTAAGGTACACCATGAGAAAAACATCCCCAAGACACATAATTATAAGATTCTTCAAAGTCAAAACGAAAGAAAAAATGTTAAAGGCAACTAGAGAGAAAGGCCAGGCCACCTACAAAGGGAAGCACATCAGACTAACAGCGAATCTCTCAGCTGAAACCCCACAAGCAAGAAGAGATTAGTGGCCAATATTCAATATTTTATAAAGAAAAGAATTCCAACCAAAAATTTCAAATCCAGCCAAACCAAGCTTTATAAGCAAAGAAGAAATAAGTTATTTATCAGACAAGCAAATGCTGAGGGAATTTCTTACCACCAGACGTGCCTTAAAAGAGCTCCTGAAACAAGGATTAAATGTGGAAAGGAAAGACTATTACCAACCACTACAAAAACACACTGAAGTATACAGACCAGTGACATTATAAAGCAACCACATAAACTAAGTTTGCAAAATAACCAGCCAACATCATGATAACAGAATCAAATCCACACATATCAACACTAACTTTAAATGTAAAAGCGCTAAAAGCCCCAGCTAAAATACAGAGTGACAAGCTGGATAAAGAACCAAGGCCTTGCTATGCTGTCTTTAAGAGACCCAAATCATATGCAATGAACAGATAGGCTCAAAATACAGGGATGGAGGAAAATTTACCAAGACAATAGAAAACATGAAAAAGATGGGGTTGCAATCTTAGTTTCTGACAAAAAAGACTTTAAACCACCAAAGATCAAAAAAGACAAAAAAGGGCATTACATAATGGTAAAAGGTTCAATTCAACAAGAAGCGCTAACTATCTTAAATATATATGTACCCAACATAGTAGGACACAGATTTATAAAGCAAGTTGTTAGAGACCTTCAAAGAGACTTAGACTCCCACTCAATAATAGTGGGAGATTTTAATACCCCACTGACAATATTAGACAGGTCATTGAAACAGAAAATTAGCAAAAATATTCAAGACCTGAAGTCAGCACTTGATCAAATGGACCTGTTAGATAACTACAGAACTCTTCACTCAAAAGCAACAGCATATACACTCTTCTCATTTTCACATGGCACTTACTCTAAAATTAATTACATAATTGGAAATAAAACACTCCTGAGAAAATGAAAAATAACTGAAATCATAACAAAGAACCTCTCAAACCACAGCACAATCAAATTAAAAATCAAGACTAAGAAATTCACTCAAAACCATACAATTACACAGAAATTGAATGACTTCTAAATGACTTTTGGGTAAATAATGATATTAAGACATATATTTGGAAGTTCTTTGAAACTAATGAGAACAAAGATAAAACATAGCAGAAGCTCTGGGACCCAGCTAAGGCAATGTTTATATAAAAGGTTATAGCACTAAATGCCCATAACAAAAAGTCAGAAATATCTTAAGTCAACATACTAACATCATAACCAAAAGGACTAGAAAACCAAGAGCAAACAAATCCCAAAGCTAGTAGAAGATAGGAAATGACTAAAATTAGAGCTGAATTGAAGGAATTGGAGACAGAAAAAAAAAAAATTCAAAAGATGAACTAATTCAGGAGTTGGCTTTATTTTAAAAAATAATAAAAAGATAGACTCTAACTAGACTAATAAAGAAAAAAGAGAGAGAAAATTAAAAAAAAAAACACAGTTAGAAACAATGAGGATATTGCCACTGACCCCACAGAACTACAAACAAAACTCAGAGATTACGAACACCTCTATGCACATAAACTAGAAAATATAGAAGAAATAAATAAATTCCTAGTCACATACACTTTCCCACAATTGAACCAGCAAGGAATTGAATCTCTAGACCAATAATGAGTTCTGAAATAGAGTCAGTAATAAATAGCCTACTAACTAAAAAAAGCACAGGACCAGATGGATTCATAGTTGATTCTACCAGATGAACAAAGAAGAGCTGGTACCATTCCTGATGAAACTATTTCAAAAATTCAAGGAGGAGGGACTTTTTTCCTATCAGAATCTTCAGGGTGCGTGTTTTAAAATTACAATTTTGAAAAATACTCCAAAAGATAGGTGACAAGGAAATGAAAACTTGAGAACTCAATTCACTATGCCAAAGAAAAATAATAATAATAAGCTGAAAGCTGAGTCATGCAAGAAATTACTTTCCTTCTGTTCTTAAGCAGACAACTACAGATGAAAGGTAAAATATCTCCATAGGCAGCTATGCCATGTTCACATGCTCTTATATAAAGTGCCAATTTGCTGAGAACAAGACAAAAATATAATTGATTATTCTCCTACCTGCTCCTTTTCTCTTACAACATGTGGATTACCATACCCTCTCTCTTTCCCCTCCTGATTACTTTTGAAATTGAGTCAGTAATAAATAGCCTACTAACTAACTGGTATCAGCATTATCCTGATACCAAAACCTGGCTGATACAACAACAACAAAAAAGAAAATTTTAGGCCAATATTCTTGATGAACATCAATGTCAAAATCCTCAATAAAATACTGGCAAATCAAATCCAGCAGCACATTAAAAAGCTAATCCTCCACAATCCAGTAGGTTTTACCCCTGGGATTCCATGTTGGTTCAAAATATGAAAATTCATAAATGTGGTTATTCACATAAACATAAATAAAGGCAAAAACCTCATAATTATCTCAATATATTTAGAAAAATATTTCAATAAAACTCAACATCAACTTACGTTAAAATCTCTCAATAAACTAGGTATTGAAGGAACATACCTCCAAATAATAACAGCCATCTATGACAAACCCACAGTCAACATCGTAATGAATGGGTGAAAGCTGGAAGCATTCTCCTTGAAAACTGGCATAAGACAAGGATGCCCTCTTCCACCACTTCTGTTAAAGATAGTATTGGAAGTTCTGGCCAGAGCAATCAGGCAAAGGGAAGAAAGAAAGAAAGAAAAACAAGAAAGCAAGAAATCAGGAAAGAAGGAAAGAAGGAAAGAAAGAAAGAAAGAAAGAAAGAAAGAAAGGCAATAAAGAAAAAAGAAAAGAAAGAAAGGCAATAAAGAAAAAAAGAAAAGAAAGGAAGGAAAGAAAGAAGGGAGAGTGAGAAAGAAAGAAGAAAGAAAGAGAAGGAAGGAAAGAATGAAGGAAGGAAGAAAGAAGGAAAGAAAGAAAGAAAGAAGGAAAGAAGGAATGAAGGAAGGTAGGAAGAAAGAAGGAAAGAAAGAAAGAAGGAAAAGGAATGAAGGAAAGAAAGAAAGAAAGAAAGAAAGAAAGAAAGAAAGAAAGAAAGGCAATAAAGAAAAAAGAAAAGAAAGAAAGGCAATAAAGAAAAAATAAAAGAAAGGAAGGAAAGAAAGAAGGGAGAGTGAGAAAGAAGAAAAGAAAGAAAGAGAAAGAAAGAAAGAAAGGGAGAAAAGGAGGAAGGAAGGAAAGAATGAAGGAAGGAAGGAAGGAAGAAAGAAAGAAAGAAAGAAAGAAAGAAAGAAAGAAAGAAAGAAAGAAAGAATTCAAATAGGAAAAGAGAAAGTCAAGGTATCCTTCTTTGCAGATGACATAAACTTATATCTAGAAAACTCCATAGTCTCAGCCCAATATCTTCTTAAGCTGATAAACAACTTCAGCAACAACTCAAGATACAAAATCAATGTGCAAAAATCACTAACATTTCTATACACCAACAATAGTCAAGCTGTGAGCCAAATCACAAACGAACGCTCATGCACAATTACCACAAAAAAAAAAATAAATGAATAAATAAAACACCTAGGAATACAGCTAACAAGGGAACTGAAAGATCTCCACAAGGAGAACAAACCACCACTCAAAGAAATCAGAGCTGACACAAACAAATTGAAAAACATTTTATGCTTATTGGTAGGAAGAATCAATGTCATTAAAATGGCCACAATATGCAAAACAATTTATAGATTCAATGCTACTCCCATTAAACTACCACTGACATTCTTCACAGAACTAGAAAAAAAAATTTAAATTCATATGGAACACAAAAAGAGTCTAAACAGCCAGTGCAATCCTAAGCAAAACACAAATTTGGAGGCATCATGCTATCTGGCTTCAAACTATACTACAGTGCTACAGTAACCAAACAGCATGGTACTGGTACAGAAACAGACACATGGACCAATGGAACAGAATAGAGAACCCAGAAATAAGACTGCACACCTACAAATAACTGATCTTCAAAAAACCTGGCAAAAACAAGCAACGGGGAAACAATTGCCTATTCAATAAATGGTGCTGGGATAACTGGCTAGCCACATGCAGAAAACTGAAACTGGACCCCTTCCTTACATCATATACAAAAATTAACTCAAGATGGATTAAACACTTAAATGTAAAACTCAAAACTAAAAAAGCCTGGAAAACAATTTAGACAATCCCATTTAGGACATAAAAGCACAGGGAAAGATTTCATGACGAAGATGTCAAAAGCAATATTAACAAAAGCAAAAATTGACAAATAGGATCTAATTGAACTAAAGAGCTTCTGCACAGCAAAATAAACTATCAACGGAGTAACCAGACAACCTACAGAATGGTAGAAAGTTTGGCAAACTATGCATCTGACTAAGGTGAAATATTCAGCATTTTTAATGAACTTAAATTTACAAGAAAAAAAAAAACACCATTAAAAAGTGGGCAAAGGACGTGAACAAATAGTCTTCAAAAAAAGACATACATGTGGCCAACAAGAATATGAAAGAAAGCTCATCACTGATCCTTAGAGAAATGGAAATCAAAACTACAATGAAATACCATCTCACACCAGTCAGAATGGCTATTATCAAAAAGTTAAAAAATAACAGATGCTGGCGAAGTTGTGGAGAAAAGGGTCACTTACACACTGCTGGTGGGAGTGTTAATTAGTTCAACCATTGTGGAAGACCTGGGCGATTCCTCAAAGACCTAAAGACAGCCATACCACTCGACCCAGCAATCTCATTACTGGGTATGTACCCAAATGAATATGTCATTCTATTATAAAGAAACATGAATGCGTATGTTCAGTGCAGCACTATTCCCAATAGCAAAGACTTGGAATCAACCCAAATACCCGTCAGTGATAGACTGGATTAAAAAAATGTGGTACATATACACCATGGAATACCAAGTAAAAAAAAAAGTGTACCTGACACATCATAAGCACTATGTAAAGTGCTTATTAAATAAAGATTAAGACTATGTTCAAAAAAAACTTAGAATATTTAGATAAAACTACAGATGTTTTACATTACCTCGTAATCACACCAAGCCTCTTGTCAAGGAAGTTGTAAAGCTAATGATGGGGACCTATTTGTAAAGAATTTGTGATTTATTTATTTCAGAACTTGCTGCAGTAGCTAATATATTTATCACAGTGTAGACTTCAGAATGATGTTATTTAAAATGTCATGGTTAAAAATGGAAGTTTATGTTTTTTTATTGTGGTTAAATTCTGTTAATTTTTTTCTTATGTTGATACTTGTATTAAAATATTTTAAATTTTTATCAAAGGTACTTTAGCTGAAGTTTTTACATTAGTATAAAAAACTGATAAATTACTTACAATTTTGTGTGATAGGTTTCTCTAGGTTTTAAGCTACCAGATGCTGAGCACCCATGTGTTATAATCACTAAAACATTCTTACGTGGCCCAGCATACGTGAAGAACAAATGGGTATATGATTGAATCCATTAAGGAACAGTTATAAGTTGGTTTCTATTTAAAATTCTGAAAAAGGGCAGTGGTCAGTAAACTATCGGAATGCTTTATTTTTTCTAGTCTCTGACATTAATTATATCAAATTAAAATAGTTTCTTGACAAGAGAGAATTAAAAGGATATTTTGCAAATATTATTCAATTTGTAATTGTCACACTTTAATCCAATTATTTACACATTAAAGTATAAACAATAATTGGCCTTATGCCAACCATAAAAATGAAAACAAAAATTGTCATATTTGTAAAGAAAAATTGTTTTTCAACTGTCTATGGCATAAAATATGCTGCCATTAATTGCTTCGTCTTTAATGTTAGGCTTGTCAACATAGTTATTTGTTATTTTTAGGATATTTTATAAGTTGATGACTCCTGAGCCTGTTTGAACCATAAACCAGACTAGAATTCTATTAATCTAAAAAGGACACTCCTCAATTTCATACGAGTAGCATTCTTTCTTATTCTGATAAATACAAGTTTAAAAAATTCTAAGTGAGGAATCCAAAAGAAAAATACAGCAAGTAGTTTTTGCTAATTTTGTTATTACCTTTCATAATTCTAGGCACTTTCTTTAAGATGAACTAAAGCTTTGTGTGTGTTCTGACATATTGACATTGCCTGGAAACCTACAAATGCAGGTTCTAATAGAGATATGCAAATGATGAATGAAGATGCCATTTGTTTTTTATCTGTTTTGGCATTTGAAGTCACCGGGTCACATTATATTTTGGGCACATGTAAGTGAGATTGCCCTCATATAAACATCACTGAATGGGAAGTGACATGGAGATAATGTAATAATCTTCACATATCCCAAATGAAAAGATTTAATCAGTTATACAAAATTCTTAAAAACCGAAATATAATCTAATTTTGCTATGATAAATTGGCCCATTTCCATGGAAACATCTTCATCTTTGTGGAGAAAAAAAAATAAAACTTTTCATCTAAGCAGCTGGAGATAGAGATCGTTGTAATGGGCCACTAAGGATTTTAAAAATCAATGAGAAATGATTAATTCAGTAGAATCAGTACAATTTACCATCCTACTCTTCAAGTCAATCCTCACTTAATCTCTGTTGCTATTTTACTGCTTGACTATATTTTTAACTCCTCTGGCAGACTGTTCAGAGATAAGCTTGAGCTAAATTTTATCAAGTGTTGAAATCCATTGGTGCTTAAGATGATAAGCATTGTTACATTTGCATTATACAAGTTTGAAATGTTAATAGTTTTTGAAAATACATAAAGATAGAGTGCAAGCTGTAGTTTGGAATGTTTTCTTCAACTAGTCAGAAAAAAAATTGTTTTCTTTTGTTTTGTATTCAGAGGCAGGGTTTCTTCTGTACAGGCTAAAGTGGCATGATCATAGTTCACTGTAACCGCTAATTCCTGGGCTCAAGCAATCCTCCTGCATCAGGCTCCCAAGTAGCTGGGACTACAGGCATGTGCCACCATGCCCAGCTGATTTTTTAAATTTTTATTTATTAATTTATACAAGGTCTCACAATGTTTTCCAGGCTGGTCTTGAACTCCTGTCCTCAAGCAACCTACCCACCTCGGCCTCCCAAAATGCTAGAATTACAGGCAGGAGCCACTATGCTCAGCCAGAAATCATGTTTTAAAATGAATATTTTGCTAACAGTTTTTTGGCTATATGGGTTCTCACCTTTTTTTCAATTTATATCCATTATATTCACTGGGAAACGAAAAGAAACATAAATGTTGAAATACTGGTATTTTTGTTGGACTTCAGGTTAGTAAATTTCCTGTGATTATGGACGGTGCTTTAAAGGCTTTACTTCCATTGTAAAATGAGGGAAATAATATATATCTCAAATGTATTATAGAGATGTAATAAAAGTCTATAAGGGATTTCTTTTTTACAATTTCCATTAACAAATTTACATTGCTATAAATGTATAGGAATGTTTTATCATCTCTTGGTCAACATTGAAGCCCAAGAAAACTGGTGATATTTCTATGAAACTGTCAGAAGATGTGTCGAATCTAAATAAGCTATTGAATTGGCTTCTTGTTGGGTAGAATTTTCTTTCATTTGGGAGACCAGTTGAAGGTCAATTATGTAATATCATGAGTATGCTACCATTTTAGCAGCAGATGGGCCATATCAGGGCAGGGGACAGAGAGTGTAACTGAAGACATCCACTAACAGTCAGTATCAACTTCCCAGCCTGTGAGTAACCTTGGAAGTAGCTCCTGCTCCAATCAAGTTTCTGACGACTGTAGCCTTGGATGATACTTTGTCTGAACTCTATGAGAGACCCTGAACCAAAATCACCTAGCTTAGTCATTCCAAAATTCCTGTCCCACAGACATTGTGAAGATAATACATTTTGTTTCAAATTATCTTTAAAAAGTAAATAAGCAAGTTGAAGATATACAGGAAGCATAAGGATTTGTAAAATTGGGGAAAAAAAAGTGGCAATAATATCAAAATTAGCTACTCTGGCCTTCAAATTTAAGATGAGTTAATAGGTTTGGGTTTATTATTAACCATATCCCTTGATTTTTTACTTCTCATCTCCCATCCAATCACCTCCAATTTTATTAGAGATGAGAGAAGAGGCTGTTGGTTTGAATTGCATAGAATGGGAAAATTGGGTTATTTATTATACTCATTCTTTTTCACGTCTTCCGAGGATCTTAAATTAGGTAGAATCACATTTAAATGCATTTTCTTGGGTTTATGGTTTTGCTGGAGTTGGCCCAAATTTGCTTTCTCTAAGGTCTCTATAATATTTGGAACCATATGTGTTTCTAGATTACTGGTTAATATCTGGTTTTATGTGCCTCAGGATGAAATAATCTTATTATACATTCCTTACATTTGTTCTTCAGATTTGAGTACAGTGAAAGAATTTGCTCTCCAAAGTACTAAAATGCTGTGTTATCCAGGATCTGGGAAGGTTTTTCCATGAATAATGATCTAGAATGGTCACTGATACCTTGGTTACTAGCTGCCAAATGCTTTACAACATCTTTCTGCCTACTCATACCAGCTCTGTCCTCACCCCTTTATCTGGCCTCTGTATCTTTCTAGCATGGGACTCTCTTTTGAGCCTAGCTTCTAAGGTATACCTTAAGCAAGTAGTACACAACTTTGCAGTGTTCTTACACAATTCTTCAGGACATTTTGCCACAAAAAAAGGCACAGTTTATGAGCTATGAAGATAAATTGAGAAAAACCTTCTTGAGGGATGGTTAGGTGGAATACTTTATAGTAATTTTGCAAGTAATATTTTCTGTAAGCATCTAAAGGACTCATGGGGTCCTGAACTTTTTGTCTTTATTTGTTCCCCAACCTATGGCAGCCTTGTTCTCCTTAATGAAGATGTGTTAGAGGTTATAAGAGGTTAACCAGATAAACTGATTGTTGTGATAGATGCAGGAGGCAGATAAGGAGGGAGGGGTGGTCCTGGGAGAATCTCCAACCCATCCTACAAGTGTTTACATCAGATGCTTTTGTGCAGATAAGGGAACCTGCCCAGGGTTTTGTCTGCTCATGCCAGCAGCTGGGAGATTGGGTGGAGCTAACGGGAAGTTTGTGCCTTGTGAAGGGAGGAGGAGCCTGACCTCTTCAGCTCCTTTGTGATGAGCTGGTATTCAATCTGTGAAGTGGGAGCCTGTTGGGACCCCTCCTTTTTTCACTGAGAGCTTTCTTTTAATAAATTCTGCTCTCCTCACCTTTTAATATGTCCACGTGCCTAATCTTTCTTGGTCAAGTGACAAGAACTTGGTTTGATCTGAAATAAGGAGCAAATATCCCGCACCAGTAAAAAGCGACTGTCACTAAATAGGGAAACTAGTGTATCCCTTTTGGTCCATAAAGTACTGCTATTTTAATGTTAGCCATCTGCTGCTACTGTTTTGGTATTTTGATAAATGCTAGGACTAAAAATTAGTGTCTTAGTATATATTTTATTACAAGGAAAGGGTTAATGAGTATGAAAAACAATGACTTATAAATTATACCATAACTAAGTGTTAGAGACTTCATAGAATGCCCTACAAGGAAAATACGTCTTCTAGAAGGTCTTCCTGAGTGAAGAATAATACACTAACAATGGAATAGCAGATCATGAGAAATCATTTTAGGGGGCTATTTGGAGATGGAATACTCTACCAATTTTGCTGAATTGGCAACTCCCTTCTCTATTTTTAAAACGATCCCCATCATTACTATATTATGATTAAAGATAAATATGGACAACTGTTGTCAAATTATAGTCATTAGCATATTGACATATTTTTGTTTCTCAGCATGACATTTACAATTCTATTGTGACTTATTGTGGTAAATATATTTTTTAAAAAAACATGAATCTGGCTTCTACTTAAGATATGTAAGTATGGATAAATCACTTAACCTGCCTAACATGAAGTTTCTTTCTAAGTAAATGGCATCTCATTGGATATCTGATAAGATTAATTAATAAGACATACCTGAGATATTATAAATATTGTAGGTACATTATATTTATTATTGCCTTGCATATTTGAAAGTAAAGCCCATTTTTATACCTCCTAAAATGCATTCATATCTTTATAGTTTTTGTTTTCCTAAAAGAAAAGAAGAAATTCAAGTTCTTTCTTCAATGGTAAATATTTACAATTTTAACTCATCTTATAAAAGTGGGTGATTTTCTTTAGGTCACAAAGTGTCAATAAAAATTAATAACATTTAAGTAACACTTCTTAATATTGTATTTTTGCCTGTGTTGATTCATTAGATCTCATATCTTGTATTTGAAATATAAACCTTTTTGTGTGCAATTTTTGTAGTTCTTCCTTAATTAAAACTAGTAAAGTCTACAAAACAGGAATAAGTAAGTGTTCTCATTTTAGAAATATGGCCCTGTTACATGAAGTTTTGGGGGGCTATTGTTTTGAATGAGGCTCCTAAACTAGGATCCAGCTGAAGAGACCAAACTAGAATGGAGTAACTAATGCTAGGTGCCGTGAAATCAAACTGAATTCAGAAATTTGCCAGTTTTCCAAAAGCTGGAGACTCACAGCAACCAATCAGAAGGTGCCTCCAGTTTATCCAAACCAGCATGAAAGAATGTCCCTCTACTTTAACCTTATAAGGAAAGCAGCTTTGAAAAGATGAATCTGTTTCTTGTTTTCTATTTCTGCTTTGTTCAGCCCTTTTTTATTTGTAAAGCCAAAATATTATGCTCAACTCATTGGAACACTCATTCTCTTTTATAAAACAAGATAGTGCTGGATTCTAGAATTTCAAATAAAATCCAATTAGATCTTTAATCAAAATTTGTGGTAATTTTGTCTTTTGGCAACCCCATATACACATAACTGTTCATGTTTTCTGTTAAAAAAATAAAAAGTCAATCACCTTATCAGAATTTTACCCAAAGAGTATTCTTTAGGTGGCAGTATTTTCTGTACAGGTGATCTAAAGCATTGTGTTTTCCTCTTCTCCGATTACCTGATGAATATAATTGAAAAGAAATGCAGCTTAGAAGAAAGCAAAAAAAATGGCAAAAATACATGTGTTACTTTTCATAGAATGCAATGTTTTATAAGTGTACTCTTATCCGGCAATGCCATTAAATATACTTCAATATCCTGGCTAGTACCTCATAATAAGATAATCTGTTTTTATGATTACAACAAAAAATATTGTATAACAGATGCCTTTCTCTGTTTCTAGAGGAACAAATCTTTATAAGAAAGATGCTATTTTGATAATTACTGTTTGGAATATAAATAATTTAAATATCTATTCTGTCCCTATTTTATAGCACAATTGTCTACATACGAATACTTTGAACATGAATTTAAACTTAATACAAAATGCTCCCAGACATAAGAAAATATGATATTGATGGTAAAAAAACCTCTTTTTTTTTTTTGGTATTTCACTCTCTTTGAATATTGACTAATTTAAGCACAAATGCAAAAAAATACAGAAATATTTTTTAAAATTACAAAAAGTAAAATAAACAAGTAGGGAAAAAATAAGAGATGAGTAGAAGTTAAAGATAAAAGATGGGATTAATGCAGAGAATTCATAGAAACTGGAGATTGCAGATCACACTAGGGTAGATAAGAGTTAAATAAAATGGTGAAATGAAGTGGTTACTAAGAGGTTGAAAAGGAAATATTCTTTAAGCATCTGTAGAGACAGTATGAGGTGAGCTGAATCTCTTGTTTTTGCTTGCTAAAAGATGGCAGAGAACATTTGATATTTTTCATGGACATTTTGGTCAATAGTATATCTTCACAGTATTACTTCAGGAAAATGCTAATTTTCCTGCTCTTTGCCATAATATGATCTGAAGAAATATTGATTTGTCTTGAAATTCCTTAAGACATCACAAAATTTACTACAGTAACATTGGGCAGACTGTATATGATAATCAGGAATGGGCACATATTTTAAATGAAAACTTGAAGGTAAGAGATTTTAAAATCCATACAAATTTATAGACCTGTCATCTCAGTAAATTTTCTGATGGTTCATTTCTCTGGAGCATATCAACATAGTCTGTTCATGGTGAAAAACAAGTTTCTATAGCTCACATGACCTGCCAGAAAAAACAAATTAGCATAGTGCCTGTAGTTGGCCTTTTTGGATTTTGGAGATACTACATCTGAGTGTGTTACTCTGACCAATCTACAGAGTCACCAATAAGGCTTAAAGTTTCAAATGGAGACAGATCAGAAGAAGGTCTGCAGCATGTTCAGGATGTAGTAAAAAACCACTCTTCAACTTGGCCCTTATGATCCAGCTGATCTAATGAGAACTGAAATGTCCGTGGAAAATACAGATGCTCTCTGCAGTCTCTGGCAAGGACAAATAGATTCACAGCACTAACTTCTGTGATGTTGGAGAAAATCTATGCCTTCATTTTCATAAAACAATTCTTTAAGTAAATGATTTTAGTTTGAGTTTGTATCAAATTTCTCAAGCCATAAGGTTTTCCCTTTGCCCATGGACCAGCATATAGGTTGGGAAGCATACTCGATTCTTACTCTCAATTCTCCACCGGTTTTTACTTTCTACCAGGCTCTCACTGGCATTCCCTACACTTGACATAGTTTTCCACCTGGGAAAATATATGTGGAGAATTACCTAACCATACATCTGCCTCTAATTTCCAGGATTTTCCTGTCACAAGAGTGGCTTAACTTTCCCTTCGGCTTGACTAAACTTCAGCTTCTTCCTGATTCCAGGCTTTTGACCTCTTTTTCTCATAGAGTATTTATTTCAGAAAACTTTTCATTATAATTTTTTTTTGTTCCTTTGAGATGTAAATATTTTAAAAAGCCTCTTCCAGCTCTTAAAAACCAGGATTGTCTTCTCAAAGACTTGGGGAGCTATCCGTTAAAAATGTAAGCACCAAGGAAGATAATGCTCCTATATCCCAATTTCTGTGCAGGAATGGAAGCCTAATTTGGAGTAGGCACCTTGCTCCAAGTTGTAAATCTTCTTCATGTCGTAAAGTTATGAGAAGTTTAGTTTTTCTTTTTACAAATTTAATTAGCAAACACAGATGGCCTACAATCTCCACATGCCAGCTCATAAAATCTCTCTAACACTTTGTTTCAGCAGAGTTGAGTTCAGATTGAGTTTTGGCCTCTCTGTTGGTTATGGGCTGAATTGTAGTCTCCTCAAATTTATATGATAAAACCCTGACCTCCCAGAACCAAAGAATATGACTGTATTTGGAGATAAGGTCTTCAAAAATAATTAGGTTAAAATAAGGCCATTTCTGTGAGTCCTAACAAAATCTCACTATTGTCCTTACAAAGAGAGGACATTTGGATAGAAAAAGAGACACATGGGGAGCAGGAAAAACTGAAAACACAAGAAAGCAGCCACCTGCAAGCCAGGGAGAGATGCGTCAGAAAAAGTAAAACAAACCAACACCTTTATCTTGGATTTCTAGCCTCCAGACTGAGAAAATAAGTGCCTGTTCTTTAAGCCACCTCATCTGTGATATCTTGGCATGGCAGCCCTAGCAAATTAACACACTCCCTCATTATAATGGCCTTGAATAGGGTCTGCCCTGCCTGTTTAACTTTGATAAAATTTTTGCTTTGACACCTGCTGGATTTCTTGCTGGATCACCTCTTGCTTTAACTAGGATCACAACTTCAAGCTAACAAAAGGATGGTTTTTCTCCATTTTTTTTTTCTACTTAAGGCTTCATTTAATTTTCAGATTTGTGGTTTTACACCCATCCTCCCACTCCAAATTGAGAACACCTTCTTTTGTAATCGGGAGCAAGAATAGTCATACCCCAGGCATTGTGGGACCCTCATGGTGAGTCTGACAATACCTGCTCTCTGCCCTTCCATCCTCTCTCCCCTGTTTTTCAAGCAACAGTGAAACATGGGTCCACTGTTGCCTGTGCTACCCAGTCATCTACCCAGGCACAATACGGCAGTGTTTGATTTGCATGATGGGGACAAGAAAAGGGCAATCGAGCAAGATATAGGAAGCCAGGAGATGAGAATCCATCCCAAGAAGAAGAGAGATAGTGGAAGCATATTCTTCATTTTCTTATTGCAGTTACTTACAAAGCAGAAATGAAGATACAATCAAGAATTTTAAAACAGCAACCACAGAGCATCAAGTCCCAACAATTAGGGAATCTGAGTTTATAGCCCCGTTAATAAAGGAGTTAAAAAGGACTTATTTAGGCAGATAGTGAGGGTACAGGAGTCCTCGGTAAAGCTTTTCTTTTAATAAAAAGCATCCCCCAAACTACTTCTTTTCTAACAGAAAGCAGCCTGAAAAGCCAAGCTGCAAGTATAGATAAACAAGCTGGAAGCTTGCAGAGGGGAATGCCAGCAGCTATACTAAAAGCCAGGTACACCCAATATGGTGACTCCCCCGCCCTTCTCTTGGTTGCCACCTGTGCAGGTGTCATGGGGCCAGCCAGGTAAACAACCCCATTTACCAAATAAAAGATTAAGGTGGGATGGCCAGTTTCTTCATGGACTATGTAAATGGCACACCTAGTCAAACCAATCCCTTGGGCTTTATGTAAATCAAACACCTTCTCCTCAAGCTTCTTTATATTACCTGCTGCTTCCAGCCATGAGTGGAGATTCCATTCCAAGCCCTCCTCCCTCTGCATGGGGGAGCTGTTCTCTTCTTTCCCACCTATTAAACTTTTCGCTCCTTAACCCACTCCATGGGCGTGTGTCCATGTAGTTAATTTTCTCACCGCCAAATGATGAATCTCAGGTATTTCCCCACGCAACAAAGCCACTTCACTGTGTGATTACACCAGTCACAATGCTTTATCCTATTCTTCAATACTGACTTAGAGAGCATGGATTACTCTCTCTGATTTACGCTTAAGACAGTTGCTAAAACAAGAGTATCAGTTAATAATCTTACGTATTCCTAGAAAGATCTTGGCCCAGCAGATGTTATGGTGTGCACCTGTAGTCCTAGCTATTTGAGAGGTGGAAGGATGGCTTCAACCCAGGAGTTCTAGACTGCAGTGAACTATGATAGTGTCTGTGAATATCCACTGCACTCCAGGATGAGCAACATAGTGAGACATCATCTCTAAAAAAAAATATTTTTTTTAAATGAAAGACCATGTCCCATATACATGCAGTAGAAGTAGTGGTAGTGGTTATATTTTAGTAAAGTTTGAAAAGACTATTGACAGGATTTTCTGGTAGATCAGATGGGGACCTGGGAGAAACAGAGAGTTCAAGAATATTTCTAAGGTCTTTGGTTAAAGTAGCTAGACAAAAAGAAGTTAGTAGTATTGAGAATTGGGATGGTTATGGAAAAAGCAAGTTTGGATAAAAAGTAGAAATCAAGAGATTTGTTTTGAACATTTTAAGACTGAGGTGTGTAAGAACTCAAGAGATGTTTTTGGATGTATGGACAATGAGGAAAGATGTGAATTAGGGAGTTGGGTATATAAATTTGGAGTTCAGGAAAGATGGCTCAATTGAAAATATAAATATCTGTGACCTCAACATATAGATTGCATTTACATGTTTATAATTGATTGAGATCACCAAGAAAGTGCATGTTCAGAGGGAAAAGAACTTATCCAAAGAACAAAACAAAACAAAACAAAACTCAGAGTATAAAATAAAGATTTCAGGGAGATGAAGAGATAAATAAAGAGCTGGAGCATAAAGCCACTAGGTCAAAGAAAAAGCAGAAAAGTACACACCCTAAAAAACAAACTAGAAAAGTTTTTTAAGCAAAAATGAGTGAGCAAATCTTGCTGTTTGGTTGATTAAAATCAGGATTAGAAATAACTGCCAGATTAACAAAATGCAAACACTGGTAATTTTGACAGGACAATTTTGAGAGGAGGTTAAACTCTATTGGAATAGAATGAGATAAAAATGTTGACACTGATGCATATAAAGCATTTTTCTGTCCTGGGAAGGAACAAAATGGAAAGGCACCTATATGTGACTACAAAAGCAATAATTCTTTTATCTCAAAATAAGAAAAATGATATGTGTTTATGTCATTGGGAATTTGAGGAGGAGAACACTGGGATGCAAGAGAAAGAGAAGAATTTCTGGAAGTGGAAGGAGAGGGTGCCTAGTTAGAGGGGATGATCTTTATTAGAAGCATGAAAATTGCTGTAGTAACAAAAGAGAAGATAGTGCATATAAGATACAGTAGATGAACACAGGTAAAGTTAGGTGGTAGAAATTTAGTTCTTTCTTTTAGTTCAGCACTGTTTAGGAGTGTTGAAGACAGGCACAAAAGCATGAATTTAAGCAGATTTAGTTTGCTAAGAAAATATGAAGAGGCAAGAGAGGAATAAAGGAGCTGAGGGCTTAGGTAAGGGCAAAATTGTAGGAAAGACCTATCGCATTTAAGTGAGTAAGAACAGAAAGAAGCGCCACTGCACTCCAACCTGGGCGACAGAGTGAGACTCCATCTCAAAAAAAAAAAAAAAAAAAAAAAAAACAAAGAATAGAAGCCCTGAAAGATAGAGAAGAGTAGGATCAACAGACTGTAGGTCCTGATGAGACTGAGTTTGTGTAATCAAGATATCTGGGTGAGGAAATGAACCAAAAATCAACAACAAAAACAAAAATAGTTGGAGGTAACAAGTGAGATAATTGAAATTTCTAGTTTTGCTTCTTTGGACACTAACGTCTACATTAAAATTTTGGATTTTTTTCAGAAATACTCTGATTTAATAAGTATATTCAAATATTTTATTACACAGTATAATCATTGAAAAGTACACACATAGTTGTTATATAATAAACGCTTGAACTATTCTCCCAAAATGTTAAGCGTGTGTGTGTTTGTGTGTGTGTGTATCAGATCAGATAATAACCATGTTAAGCTTTGTGGATCATATGGCTTCTGTTACCGATGCTGCTGTTCAGTGTTGCCAATGTAGCAGGAAAAAACAGCCATAAATAGTAAGTAAATAAATGACAATAGCTGTTTCAATAAAACCTTATTTATAAAAAAGCAAGAGATGGAAAAGTCTTGGCCCAAGGGTTTTTCACTTGTGACTGTCTTTACTTCTCAGGAAATTGTTAAAGTAAAATAAAATAATGTAAGTTGAATAGCTTAGCATGCTACATTTTTATGTTTGAAAACTGATCTTATCCCTCCCTTCCTTCCTTCCTTGTGTTTGTCCTTCCTACTCCTTTCTTTATTTTTTATATTCTACATTTCTTCTTATTCTTCCATGTCTGAAAATTTAATATATATGAAAGTGCATTTAGTTCAACGTATCTGTTTTGCTACTCTTAGCATATTTTTAAAACTCATTATATCAGTCTTCACCTCTTCGCATCAAATAATGACACAGATTTATTTTGACAATATCATGTATTATCAATTTTATTGCTTAATAAATAAAAGGCAAATTTGTAGTAATAATTGCATTTTTACTCTGGAAATATTATGAGGGTATTTTGATCCCATCCATCTCAAATGAGAGACATGTAAAGAATAAAAAGTAAAATGTTTTCAAAAGTGCATTTTCAAAGAAAAAATGTATTAAGCACTGAACAACATGCGGAATTTGAGGAAATATACATAATATGATAGTAATTATTTTTATTTTGGAAAGTCTCTCTAAAATATAGGAGGTCCTATGGT
This sequence comes from Homo sapiens, assembly GCF_000001405.40. Classification (NCBI taxonomy): domain Eukaryota; kingdom Metazoa; phylum Chordata; class Mammalia; order Primates; family Hominidae; genus Homo; species Homo sapiens. Next base: position 59,006,466 of record NC_000004.12, read on the forward strand.
ATCTAAGGTAAAAGAAAATCATAGTTAAAAGGTCCATACAAAAATATATTCAGTTGTGAAAATGAAAAATGCAGCTCTATTTGTGCTAATATAGATGTATTTAGAAAAATCTTAAATGAAAAAAACAGTACAGAGCAAGCATATAGAGTATTGCAATTTGTAAATATATAAGGCCAGGCATGGTGGCTCATGCCTGTAATCCCAGCACTTTGGGAGTCCAGGTCAGGAGGATTATTTGGGGCCAAGAGTTCAACACTAGCCGGGACAACATATGAAGATTCAGTCTCTATGAAATATTTAAAAATTAGCTGTACATAGTGGCACGTACCTGTACTTCCAGCTACTTGGGAGGCTGAGGCAGGAGGATCTCTTGAGTCCAGAAGTTTGTGATTACAGTGAGTTGTGATTGTGCCACTGCACTCAGCCCAGGTGACAGTGTTACACTCTGTCCCTAAATAAATATATATCTATATATATGTATATAAGTATATACGTTTATCTAAATATACACATATATACAATCTTTCATATAGATATAACTGCAAATATAGATATATGTATAATTGTGTCAATGTACAGACTGTCCCTGCTGAGATCTACAATAAATTGGCCATGGCAGCCACTGCCTCTAGAAAGACAGGTCTTAAGTGTGTGTAGATAAAGGACAGCAGAAAATTTTTTTACTGTTTTTTTGTTCGTTTGTTTTTTTTTTTGAAATCTTAAAGCTGGGTGTCTGGGGGAGACATCACATGTCGGCAGGTTCCCTGATGCCACCCGAGCCGTAAAACCAGCAAGTTTTATTAGTGATTTTCAAAAGGGGAGGGAGTGTACGAATAGGGTGTTAACTTCTTTGCATTTTTAACATCTTAGATGTTTTGCTATTGCCTTTTACAAAAGAAGGCATTTAAAGATATTTTAATATTTGCCTAAGTAGTTAATTAATTGAAGAGTTCATGTTATTGATTTTATGTTACCATTACAACCAACTCATTGAAAGGTAATTTACTCACACAAAAGTAGTAAAACATAAGTCATATGATGCTTTTACGAATTGATGCCCGCATAATTGGGTACAAATAAGAAGCAATCCCCGTATGAAGCTTGTTAATCGTGGCAGAGCTACATGATGACGTAACAAGGTTACTGGTTGTTATATGTTTCTGATGTTCAACAAAGAACTACTTTTTAATGAACTATAAAAGGAACTATTTCATACAAATAAATTAGTAGTTAATTTTAGGCATAATACCAATATGGACATCACAACGGCTTTTTATGGGTGTCACTTTTGTTATTTATAGGCAATTCACTAAAAGAAAAAGAATAGAGAGAAATAAGTTTGACCACTCATTATTAGAATTTAATTTTCTTTGAAAAGAATATGTTTCTGTACTACATATTAACAGTCATTTTAGAAATTTTATAGATGGTAGTATATATTATAACAGAGCTGAGGGGTTTGAGGAAATTTTTAAATTATATTTTATTAAACTTAGTTTATAAAATGAATGAAATACATATTTGATATATATAGAGAAGGTAAAATCAATGAGAATTGCTAAAAGAGCTCGCTATCTCATAGAAGTTTTTTCATTAGCTTTACTCATAATTTATATGTAATATAAATAAAATGCATAAAATAGTAATTTTAGCCCAAGACTTACTAAAATAATTCATATGTCACAAATATCTTGGAATATGCTAGCTGTATTTTCTTCCATGACACTGTTTTCTATCTTTTGAGATATTTAAGTGATATTTATTGTCACATTGGTTATTTTATTGCATTATAAATTTAATATAAATATATTCTGCAAAATTTAGAAAATATTCAGTTGGTTCTTAAAAAGTCAATTTAAAAAAAACAAACCATGTTTTGGTTAAAATTAATGAAATATATATTTCTATTCAGTGCATTTATATGAACGTTCACGTGCAGTCATAAAAAACTGTTGCAACTTTCTGCAGTCTAGGACATCATCATGTTGACATTCATAAAATATACATTTATTCCTCTAAATTTATTGAATTCATGCCTAGAGAATGGTCTAAAAACTGGACAATGTCATTCTCAATACCTTGGAATTTTTAAATTTTTCATAGTTTTACATTAAAGTACTAGACATATAATGAGGTACTAAATTGAAAAAATACATTTTGAATCTAAAGATAATATTTATTCATCTTTTATTTTGGAGAAATTAATCAGTGTATTAAACTTTAACTTACTGACCTCATAACCAGACTAAAATTCTAAGTCAATTTTTATCATAAATAGGACATTTTCAGAAAAAAACTACTTAAATTCTGCCTTGATATTATTACTATATTTCAAAAATTTACTTTAGATATCAGTTTGCCTTTATTCAAGAACTCTCAGTTTAGGACATATATGAAATCAAATTATGACTGTTTTACTATTTTTATTACCATATGTGTCCCATTCTGTTTGCTATTCTCAGAAAAATAACACAAGGGTATTATCCCTACTTCTCACCAGTGAGTTCCCCACACATTTCAAAATAATATGGACATTGCAGGCCCCAGTGTGTGATGTTCCCCTTCCGGTGTCCATGTGTTCTCATTGTTCAATTCCCACCTATGAGTGAGAACATGCGGTGTTTGGTTTTTTGTCCTTGCGATAGTTTGCTGAGCATGATGGTTTCCAGCTTCATCCATGTCCCTACAAAGGACATGAACTCATCATTTTTTATTGTGGGGTGGGGGGAGGGGGGAGGGATAGCATTAGGAGATATACCTAATGTTAAATGACGAATTAATGGGTGCAGCACACCAACATGGCACATGTATACATATGTAACAAACCTGCATGTTGTGCACATGTACCCTAAAAAAGTATAATTAAAAAAATAAAAAATAATAATATGGACATTGCATTATTTATTGGTAAATTGGCTTTCCATGTTGCTAAGTTTATAATCAGTATTTTCTACCTTTTCCCCCTTATTTATTTATACCAATATTGCATATTATCATTGTCTAAGACATCCAAGGTCATTTACTGCTAGCTTCATTTCTCTCAGGCTTACGAGCCTCCTTACAAGCCCACACATTTTATGGAGCCTTTTCTCACATTATCACTCTAATCCAGATCTTCTTTTTATTTCCCAGTATTGCCAATTAGTTCAGTATCTTTCCACTGTGTGATTGTGCTATAGCAATAGACATATGACCTGGCTCTATCTGCTAAGAAAAAAATATATTACTTTTGTTCAGTTCTGAAGGTTGTAGCTTGGAAAGTATCAAACAAAACACCAAACAAAAGTAGCCTTGGGAGAATATGTCTTCTAGTATAATAATTTTCTGTTCATTTTTAATATATGTAAATCTCAGTATAAAATTTGGTTTTCATATTTCTAGCAACACATAAAGATAATTTAATACATAATTTTGATATATGGTATCAGCTGGAGTCTAGAACTCTGACCTAGTGCCCAAACAGTCTAATTACTCTATGGGAGGTATTGACCTAGTCCTAAAAACTCAATTTTAATTCAAAGGGAGATCTAATGAGGAATGCAGTAGAGGCTTTGCAACACTTTAAATTACACATGTGGTTTAGCTTTTTAAATAGAAATTCCTATGGCCCATTTCTCAAAAATCAATGACAAAATCTATAATAAATTTGAAGTGTGGCACACACACAAAATGCTCATTAAGACCTAAGCATAACTTCACAATAGAAAAACTGTGCTATACTACCTCAGCTGAAAGTGAAATCTCAGCACAGCAAAAACACAGTGACAAACCAAAACTGCCTACATTTTTCTACTGATGGGAATAAAGAAAAAAATATCTTTATGCGCAACAAGTTCCTTACCTCTTCGACTACTTTTATTTCAACAAATATTTACAAATGACATATTATATGCATGACAGTATGATAGTTGTTCGATGTTAATGTTGAAGGACTGAACAGAGCCCTTGATAAGAAGCTAATTATGTAAAATATAAATTTGCTCTCATATAGAAATTTATATTGCTTATTCAAAATTTGCATACAGTGTATAATAAGTGATGTCTATTTCTCTGTTAGTCTGTAAGCTCCATGATGAACTGAAGCTCTTTTGCTTACTCTTCATCCCCATAGTCTGGCTTAATTCTCATCAGATGTCAAGGTTTCATAAACATTTGTTGAATAAGTGGATGACCCAATGCTTGCAATACAGGGCTGAATAAGATAAATATTCTAAAAATATGCTAATCAAAGAACTAGTGTTAATATCCAGTGACGAAATGAGGGAAATCACACGTGAGAATGGCTTTAAAAAACAGGTAGAATTGAGGCAGACTGACATGTGTAGAAGTATTCAAGAAGAAATATTCAAAGCATGCCAAAAAATTGGGCACACAACTGAGGAGGCAAATTTTGGTACTGAAGTGCTATTTGCTTTATGGATATGTACATCATCTGTGTACAGCTTTTAATATCTGGGTCAAGGGAGAATGACTGACTTCTGAGCCTCTTTCTCCTAAGCTTTTTATTGTTTCCACATATAAATCTAATACATTCACTTGTGTTTGTTTGGGGGTGGGAGAGTGTGTATGTTGAATGAGAGTACTTTTCTGGAAATTGATATCATATGGGAACAAGGAATATGGATATGAAATTTGCTGTGATTCTGTAATGTAGGCAAGCTTGCAATCTTTATTTCCAAGATTGAAATAATTTCTGTTGATATTGTATAGGTGGAATAATCTCAAGGGAAAAATATAACAACTGAGAAAGAGTAGAAGTATCTGGGTGTTAATAGGAAATGTTGCTAGCACAATGTCACTGTCGATGTATACTATGGAAGAATGTGGCCTAGAAAAAAAGGATGAACATGAGACAGCCAGGGAACAAAGCGCATGCAGTAATAAGTGACAAATATCAAAAGCGTTCTTTTAATAAACTTTAGTTTTAGAACATTTTAGGTTCACAACAAAATTGATTGGAAGGTACAGTGGCTTCTCATATACTCCCTACCTGTACACATACATAGACTCCCCCATTATCAACACCTCACACAAGAGCAATACATTTGTTACAATTGATGAGTCTACACTGACACGTTCTTATCACCCAAAGTTCATAATTTACATGAAGGAACACACTGGTGTAATGGAACCTAGGTTTGGCTGCTTGCTCTTTGAAAACCAAACTCAAGGGACAAGAGTGAAGAGGAAAAGCAGGTTTATACAGGAGCCAGGCACTCAAGAGGATGGTGAACAAGTATTACCAAGACCATCTCAAGTCAGAACAAATTTCAGCTTCTTTTTATATTGAAGGTGGGGTGAAGAAGCAGGGGTTGGGATGAAGAGGTGACCAACAAACACAAACATTAAGAGTACTAACAAGAGTTGTAGGAGGTTGGGAACATTTTGACTGTGGTCGGGTCAAAATTTCCCTATAAATTTTTTCTTTTATTAATTTTTAATTATTAAGGGTACATAGTAGTATTATTAGATGTGTTCCTATTTGTTAGTTTGAGCTCCTTATATATTTTAGTTATTAAACCCTTGTCAAATAGGGAGTTTGCAAGTATTTTCTTCCTTTCTGTGGGTTGTATCTTCACTTTATGTATTGTTTCATTTGGTGTGGCAAAGCTTTTTGACTTGATGTGATTCCACTTGTCCATTTTTTGCTTTGGTTTCCTGTGCTTTTGGAGTATTACTCAAGAAATTGTTGCCCAAAACAACGTACTGGCAGGTTTTCCCGATGTTTTCCCTTAGGGAGTAGCTTTAGGTCTTCAATTTAAATCTTTAACCCATTTTGATTTGATTTTAGAATATGTTGAGAGATAAGGGTCTAATTTTACTCTTTTGCATACGGATATTCAACTTTCCCAGCACAATTTTTTTTTTTTGGAGAGACTCTTCTTTCTCCAGTATATGTTCTTGCCACCTGTGCTGAGCCTACTGTAGATGTATGGATTTATTTCTGGGTTCTCTATTTTTTCCATTAGTCTATATGCCTGTTTTTATGCCAGAACCATGCTGTTTTGATTACAGTAGCTCTGTAGTATAATTTGAACTCTGGTAATGTGATTCCTCAAGTTTTGTTCTTTTGCTCAACATGGCTTTGGCTATTGTGGGTCTTTAGTGGTTCCTTACATATTTTAGGTTTACTTTCTTCATTTCTGTGAAGAATGTCATTGGTATTTTGATAAGAATTGTATTAAACAATTCTTATTTTGGGCATTTTAACAATATTGATTATTCTAACTCATGAACATGAAATATCTTCCCATTTTATTATGTCTTCTTTAGTTTCTTGCATAAGTGTTTTTGTTTCATAGTTTACATTGTAGAGATCTTTCTCTTCTTTGGTTAAGATTAAACCTAGGTATTTTATTTTACTTGTTGCTATTGTAAATGGGATTATGTTCTTGATTTTTTTTCAAATTGTTCACTGTTTGTATATAGAGATGTTACTGATTTTTGTATTTTGACTTTATATTCTGCAATTTTACTGAGTTTCTTTATGAGTTCTACTAGTTTTTGTATGTGTGGAGTCTTTTGGTTTTTCCAAATAATATTATATCATCTGAAAACAAGGATGATTTGACTTCTCCCTTTTAAGTTTGGATGCTATTTATTTCTTTATCTTGTGCAATTACAAGGGCTAGCACATCCAGTACTGTGTTGAGGAACAATGATGAAAGTGGACAGACTTGTTGTGTTTCAAATCTTAGAAGAAAGTCTTTCAGTTTTTTCAAATTAAGTATGATATTAGTTGTATGCCTATTATACTTGTCTTTTATTATGTTGAGATATGTTTCTCCTACATCCAGTTTTTTTAGGGTGTTTATTAGGATGAGTTGTTAAATTTTATTTTCTTAAGTATCAATTAAAATGATATATAATTTTTGCCTATCATTCTGTTGATAATGCTGTATCATATAGATTGATTTGCATATATTAAACCATTCTTGAATTACTGGGATGGATTCCACTTGGTCGTGATGAATGATGTCTTTAATGTATTGTTAAATTCAATTTGCTAGTATTTTGTTGAGAATTTGTGCATTGATATTCATCAGGGATATTGACCTATAGTTTTTTAAAATTTTTTTTTTTCTGATTTAGGTATCAGGGTACTATTGGCCTCATAGAAAGATTTTGGAAGTATTTTCTCCTGCATTTTTCAGAAAAGTGTGAGTAGGATTGGTATTATTTTTTAAAAAATGTTTGGCAATATTCATCAGTGAAACCAATGCATCTCAGGTCTTCTTTGTTGGGAGACACACATATATATATATATATTTATGGCTTTGATCTCATTACTTATTACTGGTCTATTTAGGTTTTGAATTTGTTCTAGGTTTAATCTTGGTAGGTTTTATTTGTCTAGTAATTTAGTCATTTCTTCTAGCTTTTCCTATTTATTGGTGTATAGTTGCTTATTGTAGTCTCTGCGATAGTTAATATTGAGTGTCAACTTGATTGGATTGAACGATTGAAGGATACAAAGTATAGATCCTGGGTGTGTCTGTGAGGGTGCTGCCAAAGGAGATTAACATTTAAGTCAGTGGGCTGGGAAAGACAGACCCATACTTAATCTGGGTGGGCACAATCTAATCAGCTGCCAGCATGTCTAGAATATAAGCAGGCAGAAAAATGTGGAAAGAGGAACTGGCCTAGCCTCCCAACCTACATCTTTCTCCCATGCTGGGTGCTTCCTGCTCTCAAAATTGGACTCAAAGTTCTTCAGTTTTGGAACTCAGACTGGCTCTCCTTGCTCCTCAGCCTACAGATGGTCTATTGTGGGACCCTGTGATTGTTTGGGTTAAAACTTAATAAACTCACCTGTATATAAGTGTGTACATATGCATATGTATGTATGTGTATATATATATATGTTATATATGTATATATATAAGTTATATATGTATTTATATATGTAAATGGAATATATGTATTAGTTCTGTTCTTGTAAGAGAACCCTGCCTAATACAATCTCTAATGATCCTTTGAATTTCTGTGGTATCAGTTGTAATGTATCCTTTTTTATCTCTGACTCTTTTTATTTTAATCTTCTGTTTATTATTAGCTAGTCTCGCTAAATGTTGGTTGATTTTGTTTATTTTTTCGGAAAGTCGACTTCTTATTTCATTTTTGTTTTGTTATTTTGGGGGGATTAATACATTTATTTCTGCTCTTATCATTGTTGTTTCTTTTCTTCTAATTTGGAGTTTGATTTGTTTTGCTTTTCTAGTTATTTAGGATGCATCATTAGTTTGTTTATTTAAATTTTTCCTCATATATATATATATATAGAGAGAGAGAGAGAGAGAGACAGAGGGAGCACTTATTGCTAGAAATTTTTCTCTTAGTACTGCTTTTGGTGTGTCACGTAGGATTTGATATGCTGTATTTGCATTTTCACTTGTTTCCAGGATTTTAAAAACATTCTTGTGAATTTCTTCATTGACCTCACTGGCCATTGAGAAACATATTGGTTAATTTCCATGTGTTTCTGTTATTTCCAAAGTTCCTCACATTGTGCATTTCTAGTTTTATCCTATTTTAGTCAGAAAAGATGCTTGATATGATTTTAATTTTTTGAATGTTTTAAGACATGTTTTGTGATCCAATATAGGGTCTATCTCTGAGAATGTTCCATCTACTGAAGAGAAGACTGTGTATTACAGCCACTGGAAGAAATGTGCTGTAAATATCCATTAGGTCCATTTGTCTATAGTGCACATTATTCCTATGTTTCTTTGTTGATTTTCTGTCTGGATGATCTATTTAATGCTGAAAGTGGGGAGTTGAAATATCCAGTTATTATTTTATTAGGGTCTATCTCTCTCTTTAATATTTGCTTTTCTATCTGGGTGCTCCAGTGTTGGGTGCATATATATTTACAATTTTTATATTCTCTTCCTGAATTGACCTCTTTATCATTATATAATGATCTTCTTTGTCTCTTTTTATAGTTTAATCTTGAAATCTATTTTATCAGATATAAATGTGGCTATTCCTGCTCTATTTTATTTCCATTTTCATAAAATATATTTTTTCATCCTTTTATTTTATTAAATAAAGATGTATATCTTTATATGGAAATCATGCTTTTTTGCAGGCAATAAATCATTGTGTCTTGTTTTCATTTTTTAAATCCATTCAGACACTCTGTTTTTTGGAGAGTTTAGTGCATTTATATTCAGTGTTATTATTGAAAGTAAAGACTAACTACTGGTATTTTGTTATTTATTTTCTGGTTGTTTTACAGTCTTCTCTTACTTTTTTTCTCCTTTCTATCTTCTATTTTGTTAAGAGGATTTTCTCTGCTGCTGTGTTTTAATTTCCTGCTTTTTATTTTTTGTTCATGTGTTGTAGGTTTTTTTAGTTTGAAATTACCATGAATTTTTATAATAACATCTTATACTTATTGTTTTAAGCTGATTACAACTTAACACTGAATGCAAAAACTAACAAGCAAAGAGAAAACTAATAAAACACTCTGCACTTTAAATACATCTCCTTAACTTTTTGTTGTTTCTATTAATGTTATACTGTTTATTTCTTGAGAAGTTGTTATAGTTATTATTTTTGGTAGGTTTGTCTTTTAGTCTTTCTACTAAAGATACAGGTATCTTACACACCACAATTGATTGCACTGTTATAATATTTTGTCTGTGTCTTTATTATTACCAGTGGAACCAGTGAGGTTTTTTGATTTGTTTGTTTGTTTGTTTGTTTGTTTGTTTGTTTGTTTTGAGATGAAGTCTCATTCTGTTGCCCTGGCTGGAGTGCAGTGGCATGATCTTGGCTCATTGCAACCTCTTCCTCCTGGGTTCAAGTGATTCTCCTGCCTCAGGCTCCCAAGTAGCTGGGATTACAGGTGTTCGCCACCATACCCAGCTAATTTTTGTATTTTTAATGGAGACGGGGTTTCGCCATGTTGGCCTGGCTGGTCTTGAACTCCTGACCTCAGGTGATCCACTGCCTCGGCCTCCCAAAGTGCTGGGATTACAAGTTTGAGCCACTGTGCCTGGCTTACCAGTCAGTTTTATACCTTCAGATGATTTCTTCTTGCTCACTAACGTCCTTTTCTTTCAGATTGAGGAACTCTCTTTAGCATTTCCTATAGAACAAGTCTGGTGCTGATGAATTCCCTCAGCATTTGTTTGTCTAAGAAAGTGTTTATTTTTTTCACGATTAAATATATTTTCACTATATATACTATTAAAGTTTAGAAGTTGTTTTTGTTTGTTTGTTTGTTTTTTCCTGCGGCACTTTAAATATTTCATGCCACTCTCTCCTGACCTGTAAGGTTTCTACTGAAAAGTCAGCTGTCAGATGTATTGGAGCTGATTTGCATGTTATTTGTTTCTTTTCTCTTACTGCTTCTGGATCCTTTTTTCTTTCCTTTTCTTTACTTTCTTTTTTTTTTTTTTTTTATCCTTGACCTTTAGGAGTTTAATTATTAAAGGTCTTAAGATACTCCTCCTTTGGCTAAGTCTTGGTGTCCTATAACTCTCTCATACTTAGATATTGTTGTCTTTCTAGGTTTGGAAAATTCTCTATAGTTATCACTTCGAATAAACTTCCTGCTGCTATTTTTCTCACATCTCCAGTAAGGCCAAGAACACTTACATTTGCCTTTTGGGGGCTATTTTTTAAATCTTGTATGCATGCTTTATTCTTTTTTAAGATTTTTGTTTGTCTTCTCTGACTATGTATTTTCAAATAGCCTATCTCCAAACTCACTAATTCTTTCTTCTGCTTGATCAGTTCTTCTATCGAGGGACTCTGATTGATGCTTTATTCATTATGTCAACTAAATTTTTCAGCTTCATAATTTTTCCTTGATTATTTTTAACTATTTCAATCTTTTTGTGAAATGTATCTGATAGGATTCTGAATTTCTTCTCTATGTTATCTTAAATTTGTTTGAGTTTCCTCAAAATGGCTATTTTGAATTCTCTTTCTGAAATGTCACATATCTCTGTTTCTCTAGGACTGGTCGCTGGTACCATATTTAGCTTGTTTGGTGAGGTCATGTTTTTTTAAATGATCTTGATGCTGATATATGTTTATTAATGTCCAGGCCTTGAAGAGTTAGGAATTTATTGTAGTATTCACAAGGTGGGCTTGTTAGTTTCTGTCTTTCTTGGGAAGACTTTCCAAGTATTCAAAGAGAATTGAATGTTGTGATCTAAGTGTTTGCTCACTGCAGCCATATCTGCATTAGGTGGTATCCTAAGCATAATAATGCTATGATTTTTGCAGAATTATAGAGCTACCACCGTAAGATCTGGGAGAAGTACCTAAATTATCAGGCAGAGACTCTTGTTCTTTTGTGTTACTTACCCCCAAATAAACAGAAACTCTTCTTTTTAAGTTGTCTGGAATTGGTGGGAAAGTGACACAAGCAGCTTTGTGTCATCCATGACTGGGGCTGCACTGGGTCAGATCCAAAGCCAGCACAACACTGGTTCTTGCCCAAAGCCCATGGTGACCACTACTTGGTTACTGCTGCTGTTTCCTCAAGGATCAAGGACCCTACAATCATCAGGTGAAGAATCAATACAGGGTTGTGGCCTTCCCTTAATAGCCAAGGTGAGTCCAGAGATGCCATCTGGGATCCAGGGCCTGGAATTAGAAACCTTAGGAATGTACTTTGTGCTCTGTTCTATTGTTGCTGAGCTGGCACCCAAGCTGCAAAAGAAAGTTCTTCTCACTCTTCTCTCTTTTTTGGTCAAGCAGATGGAGTCTTTCATGACAGCCTCCCTTTCCCTGAGTCCATGTTGTGTACTACCTGGCTGTCACCAGCATTCACTCAAGATCCAAGGGCTCTTCAGTCAGCTTGTGGTGAATGCTGCTAGCCCTAGGTCTTGCCATTGAGGGCAGAAGGCTCCCTCCTGGCCCAGGGCAGGCCCAAAAATACCATCTAAGAGCCATTGTCTGGAATGGAGCTCCTGGAGCCTGTTTGGTGCTCTACTTCACTATGGTCTAGGTGGTACCCAAGCTGCAAGACAGAGCTTCCTTTACCCTTCCCTCTCCTTTCTTCAAGCAGAAGGAGTCTCTCCTCATGGCCACCACAGCTGAGAATGTGCTGGGTCACACCTGAAGCCACTGTGGCACTGGGTCTCACCCAAACCCCATGGCAAGTGCTGGTATTTATTCAAGGCCTAAGAGATCTTTAGTCAGAAGGCAATGAATCCTACCAGGACTGGGTATTTTCCTTCAAGACAATGGGTTACCTTCTGGCCCAGGGTGTGTCTAGAAATGTCCTTGGGGAGCTAGTACCATAAATGAGGGCCTCATGACTCTGTCTGTTTTCCTATTCTACTGTGGCTGAGCTGATAGTCAAGATACCAGAGAAAGTCTTCTTTCTTCTCCCGTATACCTTCCCCAAGTGGAAGAGAGGAGTTGCTCCTAGAGCTGTGAGCTGTGCTGCCTGTGGTTGGGGAAGGAGTGATGCAATTACTCCCTCGGCCACCCCAGTTGGTATCTTGCTAAGTCATGTGCATGCTAAGTTCACTGGCTCTGAGCCCAGCACAGAACCAGGACCTGCTGAATAATTGAAGTTCTTGTGGCCTAGACTACCTTTCAAGTTTATTTAGGCCCCCAGAGCAGTTTGGCACACATAGGTGCAGCTTGCCAGAACTCAAATTCCAACCGGTGAGATGGACAATTTACCTATGGCTACAGCTGGTCTAAATGTGCCCCGAATGGGTACTGGGTGATTTCTCTACTGTGTTGCTTTTTGCTTTGCAGGGTAGCACTGAATTTCAAAGCAAACTCCGACAATCACTGTGCTTTCTCTCCCCCAAGCACACAGATTCTCTCTGTGTGTCTTATGGCCACTGCTAATGTCAGAGCATGGAGAAGAGGTGTAACAACAATTCAAGATTGCCTTTTCTTCCTTACACAGTGCCTCGTTCCTTGACATGATGTTAAAATTATGTACTGTGATCACGCAACTGATTTTTGGTTCTTTTAAAGATGCTTTCTTGTGTGAATATGTTCAGTTTGGTGTGTCTACAGGGGATGTGAATGATTGCTGGAGGATTCTATTTTGCCATCTTGCCCCACCTCCTCCTTGCTTCTTATACTTATGTAACAAAACTTAGGTGTTTACCTACTTACACTTCAATCCCAGATTTAGTTTCAAAAATTATATGATTGCTGTTTTTATTATACTTTAAGTTCTAGGGTACAGGTGCACAACGTGCAGGTTTGTTACATATGTATACATGTGCCATGTTGGTGTGCTGCACCCATTAACTCCTCATTTACACTAGGTATATCTCCTAATGCTATCCCTCCCCCCTCCCCCGCTCTCAATGTATCCTAGTCTACATACAGGAATAGATAAAGACACTTTAAATAAAAATGAAGTCATTTATGTTAGTTACTTTGTTGTTCCACTGTTATATTGTTAATGCACATTCTATGAATTTGTTGAAATGTATAAAGAACATGTATTGACCATTATCATATTGTATAGAACATTTTCAGTAACTTAAAATTTCTCTGTGTTCTGTCTATTCATCCCTTCCTTTTCCCAAAACCACTGACAACCACTTCAGATCAATAATATTTTAGGCATACACTGGAATTTCCTTTTGAGAGATTGCTCATATTCTGGGAATTGAGTTAAAATGTCTTGATGAATTAACTTAAGCATTAAAACTGTCTTATAAGATCTATTATACTATTTCACTGATATAGTTTGGATATTATTCCTGCCCAAATCTCATGTTGAAATGATACCCCCAATGTTGGAGGTGCAACCTTGTGGGAGGTGACTGCATCATAGGGGAGGTTTTTAATGAATGGTTTAGTGCCATCCCAGTGGTACTACCCTTGTGATAGTGAATTCTTATAATATCTCAGTCATTTAAAAGTGTGTTGCACCTCCCACATTGCTCTTTTGCTTCTGCTATGCTATGTGAGGTGGGTGCTCCCTCTTTACTTCCTTGATTGGAAGCTTCCTGAGATCTCCTCAGAAGCAGAGGCTGCTATGCTTCCTGTACAGCCTGCAGAACTGTGAGTCAATGAAACCTATTTTCTTTATAAATTACCAAGTCTCAGGTATTTCATTATAGCAATGTGAGAATGGACTAATACATTTGCCAGTTTATACATATGGATATTTAGTAGCCAATTATTTTCCAAAATTAAAATATGTAACAAACCAGGATTTGAACTTGCTCCAGGGTCATCCTTAGGATGTTGCTACAGTATTATTTGTAACAGTCAACTACTAGACAAGACTAAATTTCAGTACTGGAGGATTAGCTAAATAATTTATGTTATATTCAAAGAATAAAACTCTATGCTTCCAATAAAATTGTGTTTTGTAGAATGCTTAATTATGTGGCAAAATGTTTAAAGTTAAATTAAAAAGGAGAATACTAAAAGTTTATATTTACTACCATCATACTAACAAGTATGGATATAACATTTGGAAGATAATCTATCAAATGATTATCCCTGCAGGGTTAGTTTATGACTATTTTAAAAAATTATAATTTTCAGTATGTTTTCTGTAATTTTAAATTTTATATGAAATCATGCCTAATTATTCAAATTATATATGAAATATATGTCATATATAAAAACATAACTATCCCTGGGCTCTTAGATTCATATTTTACTGAGTTACATAGACATATAACATATAATATTAATCTAATAAGCAAATTTGTGGATTTTCACAGGCCAAAAACTTTTTCACCCTTAATATTTACTTAAGCAAATAGTAAAAATCAAGAAAACTAGGGAAGAACAACATTAACAGTCTCAGTATACTCCTTATATTAGTTTCCTGGGGCTGCTGTAACAAATTACCACAAATTTGGTGACTTAGATCAGTAGGAATTCTCTCCCAGTGTTAGAGGTGGAAATTAAATAGCGAGGTGTCAGCAGAACTTTGATCACTCAAGGCTGTAGAGAAAAATCCTGCCTTGCCTTTTTCAGCGTCTGGTGACTCTAGGCATACTTTTTGGTTTGGGGCTACATGACTTCTGTCTCTGCCTCTATCTTCTCATGGCTTTGTTCCCTGCATGTCTCTGAGTCCCAACTCTCCTTTTGCTTTCTCTTACAAGAACACTAGTTGTTAAATTAGGGCCTACTCTAAATCCAAATAATCTCACTTAGAGATTCTCAGTTACATCTGTAAAGACCCTGTTTTCAAATAATGTCACATTTATTGGTACTGGGAGTTAGGATTTTGACATAGTTTTTTGGAGCCACTATTCTACTCACTGCATTAGTGTCTCTGCTCTGGGTATTCTACTACTGAACACTCCCTTACCATACCACCTTTCTCCCAACACAACATGGCTAATTCCCTCATTTCTTTCAAGTATTTGCTCAAACATTGTCCACTCAATGAGCCTCTTCCTAATTATCCCATTTAAAACTGCAACTCCCAGCTTATATTTATTCCCTTTTATCTCTATCTTGAATCTTGTAGCAAACTATAATTTACATTTGTATTATATTATGGTCAACACTCTTAAGAGGCCTACAGGTGTTTTACTGGTGACAATTTCTTTACTCTTTCCTGGAGATCACAACTATTCTAGAATTTATGATAATCACTTCCTCACTTTTCTTGATACTTTTTGCACATGCGTAATGATGCATAAATAAACAATAAAGTTTAGTGTTGTTTTTCAGAAGTGTATGTAAATAGTTCATACTACGTACAGTTTTGTGTTTCTTTGTTTCTGGCTTTTGGTGCCAACATTATGTGAAATTTTACCCATACTTTTTGGATATACATATATATTTTTCATTTTTCTCACCATAACATTGTATAGATATAACACAATTTATTGGTCCACACTTCTTCTAAACACTTGCTTTGTTTACAGTTGGGATAATTATGAATAAGGCTATTATAAAAATTCTGTACGTTTAAACTGACACACATAAGCACAAAATTCTGTAAGTTGCATAACAGTGTAAAATTAGTAGAACACGATATTCAACTTCAGCAGACAGGCCACACTATTTTGCAAATAAATATTATCAATTTCTACTCCAACAGCACTATATTACTACACATTCCCTTCAATATTTAGTTTTGTCAGACATTTAGTGTTTGTGAGTATGAAGTGGTACCTAACATTATGATTCCCTCAATTAGTAGCAAAGTTTTAATGCCCTCAATTTTTATTCCCCTAGTTAATCATAAAGTTAAGCATTTTTAATACATTCTTGGATATTTGGATTTTCTCTATTGTGAAGTGCTTATTTAAGTATTTTTTCCCATTTTTCTACTGGGTGACTGCCATTTTCTAATTAATTTGCAGTAGTGTTTGCCTGTTCTAAATATGAGCCTTTGTTGGTTTATGCTTCACAATTATCAGACTCACCACCTTACATATCCATTATTTTAGTGGTCTCTTGATGAATACAAGTATTTAATTTTAACTGAGTCAAACTTGTCAATCACTGACTGACTTTATAATTAGTGCCTTTTCTGTTATGTTTAAGAAAACGTTTGCCATACTGACATCATAAAGAAAATCGACTGTATTTTCTGTTAACTATGCCCTTGCAAACTTAGATGTTTCATATACATGAAATTGACTCAGAGTTATGGAGTATAATATGATTGACTTTCATTTTGATTTCCCATAGAATTCCCAAAGACTCTTTTCCATGTATTGTAATATACATGTTTCCCACTGTTCTTTAGCATTATCATCATAATAAATCTAAAATACATTTTACTAGTTGTACCTCTGCTGAGATTTAGTCATGTGAGTAACTGAGAAAATAATATCTCATTTAATTAACTATATCACTTCTTAATTTAGTCATTCATTCAATTAATATTGATTGTATATTAAAAATGTACCATGCATTGTGCTAGGCAAATAGGTAATAATAATGCACCTGGAAAAATTTCTTTCCTCATTGAGTTTGCATGTGAAAAGATAAACAATAAAGTTTCCTTAGATATTTAGGACTATCTCTTATCTTTGTCCAGTTAACATTTCCTCATGCAGGTCTTCCTTAGCCACTTTATTCAAAATGGCAATCTTCTATTAGTAAGAATCCCCTCATAAATGTTCTTTTTCTTCTCAGTATTAATTAGTACTAGAAATTATAGTATGCATGTTATTTGGTAAGCAGTTTATTGTTTATTTCCCCACATGTGAGCTCAATGGGGAATCAATTAATTAAAGAGGAGATACTATCCTGATACAATATCCATATAATTAATATTTAAATACTACTGTTACAATATCAATATATGATAATAAAAAAGCATAAAATACAAACAAAGGAATAAAATATTCAGATGTATCAGTTAGAAAAACAATTCAGGCAACAATTCAGAGAAAACATTTGGGAAGAAGGGATAGTCAGGGACCAAAGTTAAGTGGTTATAAAGAATGTTAGTTATTTCAGTCAAGATCTCCCAGAAAAATAGGACCAATAGGATGTCCATGTATACAGAGAACTATTTATTAAAAGGAACTGGATCACATGATTTTGGAGGCTAAGTACCAAGTTCTGTAATTAGCACATTGGAGACCCAGGAGATCTGGTGGTTTAGCTCCAGTCTGATTCAAAGTCTTGAGAATCAGGAGAGTCAATGGTGTAAGTTCCAGTCCCATGGCCAGCAGTCACAAGACCTTAAAAGAGTTAATATTTAAGTTCAAGTCCAATGTGAGGAAAAGACTGATGTCCCAGGCCAAGATAATCAGGCAGGAGAAATTCCATTTTATGTGAGGGAGGATTAGCCTTTATGCTCTGGTCAGACCTTCAACTGGTTAGATGAGGCTCACTCATATTTGTGAAAAGAGTCTGCTTCACTCAGTCTACCCATTCACATGTTAACCTCATCTAAAATACTCTCATAGACACACACTGGATAATGTTGCAAGAAATATCTAGGTATCTCATGGTCCAGTCAAGCTGACATGTAAAATTAACCATCACCTTACTAGTAAGGATAATGGCTGGAAATCATGGCAATGGAGGGGCAATTAGAAAAGAGAGAGTCAGCATTTTCTAAAGAGGATCAAGAAAAATGTGTTGATCAATTAAATAAAGAGTTTTGGAGATAATAATTCATTTTCAATGAAACAGAAATTTAGGAAAGAAGTGTAAGTTTAGAAGGGTGATCATGAAATTTTTTAACAATGGGAAATTGTTTAAATGATTTGAGACATAAATTATGGCAGTTTTATAAAGGGATATGTATTGAAGAAGAAATATTTGAATTAATGATAAGGATAAACACATAGTAATTGCTAATGGAAGTCAAGAAAATAAATCTGATTAAAACTTTACCTTTAGATTGAAAAAAGAACCTAAATTGAGGCCATCAGATATTAAACAATGCCACATATAGCCTTTGGGTAAGCAATTCCAGGCTATTGAAAAAGCCATCGTGAGACAGCTATTTGCATAAAAATCTTGCAAGAATATCTCCCTTATTTATTATTAATTATTGTTCTATAGAATATTAACGATGGAGCAAATTAAAGATAAGTACAATATTATGACTCATAGAACCTTATAAATATTTGTAAATGTAATTATTTATAGAAATAAGAGTTGTTCTTTTTCTTTTTTAAAAATGGAGTATATCTCTAGTTATCAGTAAATAGGACTAATGCTCAGTCTACTAAAGGTAATTCATTTATTACAATAGCTATTTTTCCTTGTTTGATTTGAAAAGCTTACTTAGGATCTGGTCTAGTAAAAATATTGCCGGGTTGTGTTTAGTATGCATATTAAAGTAAAACTAAACTGACAAATTCAGCTTCATGTTTGTAAAGATCTCACAGAGGAGAACAACAACAAAAACTAATGGAATTTTTAGAAAAAAATTCAATGCCTTGTTCTGTGCCTGTTTCTCTGACAGAATCTATGTGAGATTACCATTAGAAAAGTAGCTTCCTATTGGTTGAAAACCCCAACGTGAAAGACGTATAACACCAACTGTGATCAATGTCATTGTTGACCAAAATGCTGCTGGATGCCTTTAAAATTACTGCTCAAATTTTTTTTTTCTTAAGGATCACATCTGTAAATAGTAGACTACATCAATGTAAAATTCTCAAATAATTAAAATTTTGAATATAAAAACTTTATTTGACTGTTTAAGTATAGTAATCCCTACTGTGAATACTAAAGTGTGATATTCCATGTGTAGTATACTATGAACATATAAAAACACATTTTAAATTTTGATTAAATAGTAGTAAAATGTAAGTTTAATTGGTGTTGATATTCGGACTGTTGCTGATACTTTAAGCTTTCAGTAAATCAGCCGATCTTATAAGTGACAGACAAAATGAGCTATACAAATTTTTAGAGTCAAGTTTGCTATTTTAGAGATTCTTATATAAAATCACATATATGTTTTAGAGATTTTTATATATGTCTGTAAATCTGTTAACACCTTGTAATTTGTTTTCACAGGTTTAAAGTAATCAATGCATACTCTGTTTTTAAGATGCTCAAAATTAAGAAAACAGCTTTCGAGTGATATTGAAGATCCTCTTATTCTTTCTCTCCTTCTAAACTCTAATCTCCAATTTAGGCAATTGTTCTATGTGGATGATAAGAAAATCTCTTAGATTCTTATCCTTATCTCAGCTGAGACATAGTATTTGCAACTATGACTGAGGGTTTTTCTTTTTTCCCAGGTAATAGAGAATTTACTGAATAACTATTCATCAGCATGATGGGCTCTTACAACGTAGAAGAATAATACACCTGCTGATAATCGTGTTTCTTCCAATAGTTTATACTAATGGAATTTAGAGCAAAAGTAGATTCTTTGTCTTGCTTATGAAAGTAAGCCAATTAACTTGATCCTTACAATACATTAAATTGTGTGCCATTAATCCTTTTTTCACACCAATTTCTATCATTCGTCTCATTTTTATCTACTTGAATTCTGAAAAAAATGAAATATAAACGTTTGATAAACATTGATTAACCATAAGTATCATTTAAATATAACAGTTATAGCTATAAATGAAGTAGACTAATTTTACATGTGTACATCTTTATTCTAATTAGACGTTTGCTCATTTCTGAAAATGGATGTCCTACTTACACTGTTTCAAAATGAATATATTACCATATTGATAAAGAAAATGATTTTGATGGGGGGCTTTAAAGAGTATTCATTTGATAGAGTTTTGATTTAGAAAACAATATATTTAGATTTTGCTCTAAAAGTCCTTTTATTGAGTCTTAATGGAACATTAATGCCCATATCTAAGTATCTTTCTCATCTAGCTCAATGTACCAGAGACAAAAATAAGTCCATTATATTTTGTAGTGTGTGTGTGTGTGTGTGTGTGTGTGTGTGTGTGCATATGCTCAGCAAGGTAGTAGTTCTTTAAGGGAAAAACAGGAAATGTAAGTCTATAAGCCTGCTTTTTCAGACTTCAGGGCATCTTAACTGCTTTTCTCTGAAATCTGACCTTAGTAGTTTAAGAAAATTCTAACTTTAAACAGCCCTTTTTTTCAGGCTTTTAAATGTGACTCGCTATTCTACTAAAATTTTATTTTTTCATTGCAGTTGAGCCTGTAAACAACACTTATAAAGAAAAATTATTTGCTTTTTAAAATACCATGAACCAAGAACAATTATTTCACACTGTATATGAGAGAAGTATGATTTCCATGTTAGATGAGGTTTTAACAGTATTTTCCTACATGTTAAGGTATATCCTAAAGAAGTTGTAATACAATATATACATTTAGAGAAAAAATGTGGAGACTTGACTTCTATAATAACTATTCATTGCAACTAATTGGCACTTCTCTTAACAGAGTTGTCAAAATATTTGATTGATCATGATTAATTGATATTTATATAAAATTATAAATTACCACTTTTTAAATTTTGAATCCTTGATGATCATTTTCAAGCAATGTGATGTTTAGAAAATGGATGTACAATGGTTGAACTAATTTACACTTCCACCAATAGTGTAAAAATGTTCCTATTTCTCCAAATCCTCTCTAGCCTCTGTTGTTTCCTGACTTTTTAATGATCACCATTCTAACTGGCATGAGATGGTATCTCATTGTGGTTTTGATTTGCATTTCTCTAATGACCAGTGATGATGAGCTTTTTTTCATATATTTGTTGGCCACATAAATGTCTTCTTTTGAGAACTGTCTGTTCATATTCTTCACACATTTTGATACGGTTGTTTTTTTCTTGTAAATTTGTTTTGGTTACTTGTAGATTCTGGATATTAGCCCTTTGTCAGATAGATAGATTCCAAAATTTTTCTTCCATTCTGTAGGTTTCCTGTTCACTCTGATGATAGTTTCTTTTGTGGTGCAGAAGCTCTTTAGTTTAGTTAGATCCCATTTGTAGCTATTCCTCAAGGATCTAGAACCAGAAATACCATTTGACCCAGCAATCCCATTACTGGGTATATACCCAAAGGATTATAAATCATTCTACTATAAAGACACATGCACACATATGTTTATTGCAGCAGTATTCATAATAGCAGACTTGGAACCAACCCAAATGCCTATCAATGATAGACTAGATAAAGAAAATGTGGCACATATACACCATGGAATACTATGCAGCTATAAAAAGGATGAGTTAATGTCCTTTTCAGGGACAGGGATAAAGCTGGAAACCATTATTCTCTGCAAACTAATACAGGAACAGAAAACCAAATACCACATGTTCTTACTCATAAGTGGGAGTTGAACAATGAGAACACATGGACACAGGAGGGGAACATCACACTCCAGGGCCTGTCGGGAGTTGGGGGTTTAGGGGAAGGAAGCATTAGGAGAAATACCTAATGTAGATGACAGGTTGATGGCTGCAGCAAACCACCACAGCGCTTGTATACCTATGTAACAAACCTGCACATTCTGCATGTGTGTCCCAGAACTTAAAATATAATAATAATAAAATAAGTATTTCAAATGCTAAGCAATTTTGGTTATAGTAAAAAGTTCAATTAATTAAAAAAAAAACCTAAAATTAGAAAAAAACATAAAACTAAAGTGTTTTACTTTTCATGAAAACTTATCAAAAGTAGTTTAAACCATCCTTGCCTACTTGTCACCTAACAATGTGGAGCACTATCTTTTTTTACGCACTGGTGAATTGTCATATGCTTTTTAAAGTTTGGATCGGCTTCCTGCATTGTGTTCTTTATTCTTTCAGTGTCTTGAAGCACCTTCAAGGGTTTTTTTCTAATGTGAAAATTTTCTGCCAGCATTACTTCCTCTAGGACATGTTCATTCTGTTCATCACAACTACCTTTCTCATTTATGCTAAGTTCTCTTCCAGTAAGTTTCCGTGGCCTCATACCTAGAGACTCAAATGACAGCTGTGTCAATATCCCATGGTCAGCTGTCTTCTTATTGTATCTAATTTCACATCCAGCATTACTCCTTTTTATTTCTTTTCTGCACTTTTATCCATTGCACATTTCCTTCTTTTAATCATCCGTTTTGTAAAATGTCATGTGAGTTTATCATAGGAAGACATGGAGGTGACATAATTAAAAAAAAATGGACGTAGGACCTTCTCCCAACTTCTCATTTCTAAATAAAAAGATATAAATAATATAAACTAAAGAGACATGTACATCAACAATGGAAACCTAGGATGGTTTTCTAATTTGTGAAAACTGGAAATATTTCTGCATGAGATAGAATGCTCATTGCTAAATTGCAGAGTAGCGTATTGACGCATAAATCCATCTGCAAAACTAAAATCAAGACATCTACTCCAAAGTAAAGACGTATATATTATACAGACAGGGCAATTACATTTGATGTGCAGTTGTGATAGGGTGCTGGATCAGAGGGACAAATTAATACAAAGGACATTATTTAAACAACTGGCAAAAAATAACCTATAGCCTGTAATAGATAATAATATTATATCAATGTTAATTTGTCTGAAGTAGCTAGCTGTAGTGTAATTATGTAAGAATATTTTTGTTCTTAAGAATTATACACTGAAATATTTAGGGATACAGAAGCATGATGTCTACAACGTACTTTCAAGTTTAGAAAAAGACTAATAAGGATTACATACCTATATGTAGATGCAAAACCATATCACTATGATTATGTAAATCTACCTATATCAACATTTATATCAATTCCTATACATGTATTATATCTATATATCTCTCTATATCTTTCTATATCTATATATAGAGAGAGAGCATATGGGGGAAGAAAGAGAGAATTATAAAGCAAAAATCTCACCACTTGTATGTTGGTTAAGAGTTTATAGGAGATTTTTTTTTTTTTATTCTTGAAATTCTTCTACAAGTTGAAGTTATTTTATAATGAATAGTAAAAACAAATTGTTTTTGTGGTTCTGTCATTAACCCATATACAGCCAGGAACATATGTTTCATTCTGTTTTTGATCTTTCAGGATGGTTTTAAATAATTCTTTAAATTAATGTGAAATATATCTATGGTTCTGAAGTCAAAACTTTAAAAGCAAATTTATTCAAGGAAGTTTAGCTTTGATTTATCCCAGTCTGTTCTACCCTTTGCCTTCATTTCCCCCTTAAAACAGTTTTTTTTAATTTTTATAATTTATATATTGAATTAATATTTATATAGTATATTTGATTATATATAAATATATAATATGTACTTATACTTACATATATGTCATTTACAATTACACACATATAAATATACACACAAAGCTTGCTTTTTATTTAAAAATATATTCTGGTATTACACCAGTAACAGAGAATTCTTCCTCATTCACTTTTACAGCTATGTAGTTATCATGTAGGTTTATCAGTTTATAAAATCAGTACCTTATTCATGGGAATTTAAATTATTTCCAAATTTTCTTATGTATTTGTTTTCTACTAATTATAATTAATAATTAATTGAATTCAATATATATTTCTAAACTGTAATAGTTTCAGTGATTCCGTGAATATGTATATATACATATATATAGTGTGTGTGTGTATGTATGTGTATATATGTGTGTGTGTGTGTATATATATACACACATACCAGTAGTGTGTGTATGTATGTGTGTGTATATGTGTGTGTGTATATGTGTGTGTGTGTATATATATGTACATATATATATATATGAAATATATATACTGGCAAAATATATATAACCTGATAAACATGTGTTTTTGTATTTTATCATTAATTCTTTGAGAATGATTCTTAGAAGTCATCTTAAAAGTATAAATGTATATGCAATTTTGCTAGATATTGCTAATTTACCTTCTGCAGGTGTTGTGCCATTTTGCATTTTCAGCAAAAAATTTTGAGAGAATCTGTTTCTCTACTTCGACAACAGCAGTTCTTCAAACTATTGAATTTTTTTGCCAATTGATAATAAATAGTGTCTGTATCCATATGTAATTTGAATTCAACTTATTATGTTTACAATTATTTATTCAAATAGTATCATTTTAATTATTTTTCTACATATTCTAGTCCATTTTTATTGTTATCACTTTATCTCTTCTCTATTTTTGAAGCTTTTTAAATATTATTTAAATTTACCTTTTGTTGCCTTATGTGTATATGGCTGTATGTGTGTATTACCAGTTTGCCATTTTTAAAAAAGTATATATTTTCATAAAACTTTTGGATTTTTGTAAGAGAATACATTTTTCTTTTTAGATAATATAAAGAAAGTCATGTTTTCTCCTAATACATGTGTTTTTATCCTTACATTTTAATTTTGAATCTACTTGGAAGATTTGCCATATGGTATGAAAAATGATCCAATTTTACCACTTCCATTTTTTTCTCAGTTGATTGTAGATGACAGATTTTTTTCCTATATTCAGTTCCATTGGCCTTTCAAATTTTTAATATACAAATACCACATTCTTTAGAATTTTAGTATGTAGTAATATCTGGTAGAGTTAGTACCCTTCCCCCCACTATTGATCTTCTTATTTACACTATTCCTACATACTTGGTTTTCTGTTATGCCATTTTCTCTTAACCCTATTCCAAATAATGTTTTATCTTTACCACTCTACCAAATCCGCTCTTTTCAATGCCATCAATGTCATCTGTATTTTGTTAAATCCAGTGCCTAATTACCATATTCTCATTTTACCATACCCTTCTGCAGTTCTTTAAAGAGTCGCTATTCCCTCCTGCTAAAGCTTTGCTTGCTTTCTTGTACACCACAGGTGTCTGGTGTTCTGCCCACATCATTGGCTACTCCCCCTCATGCAGTTTTTTTGCAAAAATCCCTCTTCCTAGCTCAGCTTCTAACTGCAGAAATATCAAAGAAGTTATCCCTCTAACATTGTCTGTTCTTTATTTATTCTCACATCTAAGTCTCTGATGCAATTCCATGTTGTTAAAATTTGCTATAAGCCAAATTCACATCTTCACCCACTCCTGATTGCTAGATTTATATATAGCTCTACATTTCCACCTGACTATATAAGAAATACTTGAAACTTAACATATCAAAAATTGAATTATTTATTTAATCCAAAATTTTGCTTCTCCTTTTCAACCCTATCCCAGTAAACGATATCCATTTCCTTCCCAGTTGCTTAAGAAAAACATTAACTTCATCCTTGAGTCTGCTCTCTTATGCCTTACATTTAATCAATTATCAAATATTATTGGATATAAATTCAAAATATATCCAGAATTTGTCCAATTATCTTCATCTCTATCACTACCATACTCAACCAAGCTGCTACCATTTGTTATCTATTCTTTAAAAATATAATATTTAAAGTGATATCCTGCTTCTGCCCTCAGTCCTCTAGAGTCTATTTCCAACACAGGAGAAAAATACAATATTTTAACAGGCAAACCAATACTTCAGAGTCATCATAATTAATAGAGCTTGGTACTGGCATAGGAGATACCTATGGTTCAATGGAAGAAAATTGAAAGTTTGTTAATAAAAAGTTATACGTATGGTTAATTCATTTATTTTAAAATTTTAATTTTCATGGGTACATGGTAAGTATATATTCATATGGGATACTTAGACATTTTTATTTAGGTATGCAATGTGTAATAATCACATGAAGGTAAATGGAGTATCCATCACCTCAAACATTTATCATTTCTTTGTTATAGAAACATTCTAATTAAAAATACTCTTTTAATTATTTTTAAATACACAATAATTTTTTTTTACTGTAGTCACCCTATTGTGCTAGCAAATACTATATCTTATTTATTCTACCTATGTTTTTGTACCCACTAACCATCTCCACTTTCCCTGTCCCCCCACTATCTTTCTCAGCCTCTGGTAACCATCATTCTACTTTCTATCTCCGTGAGTTCAATTGTTTTAAATTTTAGCTCCCGCAAATGAGTGAGAACGTGCAAAATTTGTCTTTCTGAATCTGGCTTATTTCACTTAACATAGTGTCCTCTAGTTCCATTCATGTTGTTGCAAAAGACGGGATCTCTATTTTTTCATGGCTGAATAGTATTCCATTAGGTATATGTATCACATTTTCCTTATTGATTTGTCTGTTGATGAACACTTACGCTGCTTCCAAATCTTGGCTATTGTGAATAGCACTGCAATAAACATAGGAGTGCTGATACTCTTTGATACATGAATTTCCTTTCTTCTGGTTATATATGTAGCAGTGGAAATGTTGGATAATATAGTAATTCTATGTTTAGTTTTCTGAGGAATGTCCATACTGTTCTCCATAATGCCTGCATTAATTTAAATTCCCACCAAGTGTTTCCTTTTTTCTTAATCCTCTCCAGCATTCTTATTGCTTGCCTTTTGGATAAAAGCCATCTTAACTGGGGTAAGATAATATATCATTGTAGTTTTGATTTGCATTTCTCTGATTATCAATGATGTTGAGCACCTTTTCATATACCTGTTTGCCATTTGTATATCTTTTGTTGAGAAATATCTATGCAAATATTTTGCCCATTTTTAAATTGCATAATTAGATTTTTCCTATTGAGTAGCTGGAGCTATATATTCTGGTTATTAATCCTTTCACAGATTGGTAGTTTGCAAATATTTTCTCTCATTCTATGGGTTGTATTTTCATTTTGTTAATTGTTTCATTTGTGTGCAGAAGCTTTTAACAGGATGTGGTCCCACTTGCCCATTTTTGCTTAGGTTGCCTGTGCTTTGGGGTGTTACTCAAGAAATCTTTGCCCACTCCATTATCCTGGAGAACATCCCCAATGTTTTTTCGTAGGACTTTCATAATTTGTGGTCTTAGATTTAAGTCTTTAATCCATTTTGAATTGATTTTTGTATATGGTGAAAAAAAGTGGACTAGAAACTATATCTCTCCCTCATTTTATATTGAAAAAGTAATTTAAAATTGATCATATCTAAGTTTAAGACCTAAAGTTAGAAAACTCTCAGAAGAGAACTTGGGAGTAAGTTTTTGTGATTTTGAATTAGGCATTGTTTTTCTTTTACATGTGACACCCAATATACAAACAAACAAACAAACAATAAATAAATTGGACTTAAAATTAAAAAATGCTTTGAAAAATATCATGAAGAAAGTGAATAGACAGCCCACATATTAGAATATATTTGCAAATTCAATATGTTCTGATAAGGGACTTGTATCCACAGTATATAAAAAACAATTACAATGAAATAACTGAAAACCAAAGAAAAGTAAAAAGTGGCAAAGAATTTAAGTAGTTATTTATCCAAAAAAGACACAAAAATAATTAACAAGTGCATGAGAAATGTGTTCAATTATGTTTAATCATTAGGGAGCTACAAATCGAAACCAAAAAAGCGATGCCACGTGATATCCAAAAGATGACTCATACTGAAACAAAACAGAAAATAGTAAGTTTTATGGAGAAAATGAAAACCCCATGATTGGTCATGGCATTGTAAAATGATACAGATTCTTTGGGAAACAGTTTGGCTGTTCCTTTAAAAGTTAAATATGGAGTGACCATATGATTCAGCAATTCTATTCATAGATATATACTCAAGAGAAATGAAAACATATGTTTACACAATATACACATATTCTATAGCAACACACTTGTCCCATGTTGGAAACAACCTAAAAGACCATCAACTAAATAGTGGATAAACAAATGTGGTTTTCAAACATTAATAAAATTAAATATTACTCATTAGTGAATAATATTAAAACTTTTAATATTGCTTTGAAAACATTATGCTTAATGAGGGAAGGTAGTCACAAAAGGCAACATATTACATAATTTAATTTATATGAAATGTCCAGAATGGGCAAATTCTTAGAAACAGAAAGTAGATTAGTGCTAGCCAGGAACTAGAAGAAGGAAGCAGTGGAGATTGAGAGATAATGAGTACAGGGCTTCTTTTTGTGAACATGAAAACGTCCTAAAATTAAATAGCGGTGATGGCTCCAAACTATGTAAATATACTAAAAAAGCAAAAGTAAAAAACCCTCAGTGAATTGTATGTTTTAAAATGGTGACTTTATTGCTAAGTGGATTTTATTTAAGTAAAACTCTTATTAAGAAAAGGTGTTTCAAATCATGTAAATCTTTTCAATATCTTCACATCTTATTCTGAGTAATAGCTAGCTTAAAACTTGTTATTTAATGAATATATGAAAAATATAAAATGTATAATATTACAGTGTGGGTGGTATTTTGCTAAATTATACAAAATTTTTATTAAGAGCCCATTCAGTAAATGACAGGCAATGTTCACCCTACATGGCAAGAAAGAGACACCTGTTCAAAAAGATCCCAGGAGACTACAAGAGCAATTTCATAGTCAAATTTGGAAAATAGCTAGGTCTTTTAAAGGAACTTTAAGGAACGATAAGATTCCCTATACAAATGGAACATAATGAGCAACAGGGACAGGAGTGTCTACAGGTAGCTGGAGAATTCTGCTTATAATTGTTTTTCTTAAGCTGGGAGTTTGGAAACACAGTCCAAGAAAAGTATATTTTGTAATCATAATTAACTGGAAAATATATATCGTGACTTATCACTGGTTTTATATTCATCCTAGAACTTAGAGAATATACACAATTTACGGAAAATGAAATAAGCTTTACTATCCAGTGTTACAAAATCTTACCCAGACTAGGATGATCCTTGTTCATGTCTGTTTTGAAGAGTTTCACTTTTAACCAACTGTTAAATCAGAAAGAGAATTAGCTTATTTTTAAAACATCTTTTTTAAAAAAAATCAATTTAATCTACACTCTCCATTCAAGAACAGAAATCTGGATACAAAATGATTTAAAATTAATAAAAAATTTTTTTTGGATACAAAATATTTAAAATAAAATAAGTGCATATAATGTTTTGGACAGGAGCAGCCTGAAACAGTTAAATACTGCCACTGCTGATCATTTAATGAGAAAACTAGTTGTGTTACTCTGAGTTGTGCCATACTTGATTACATCTCTGCAAATTTCAGGAAGCTGATATACCAGCGTTTGGTGGGATTAATAGAAGATTTGGAAAATGATAGAAGATGCATGCATAAATTGTGTGTGGGTACAAAGCTCGGTGTTCATTGTTGTTTCTCAGAAAAAGATACGTGTTTTCATTGTGATATGTTTGCTTGATATGTAGTACGTAAATAAAAACAATTTAGATACTATATTTAGCCATCACTATGCTTTTGCGGCAGTCTTTGGGAGGGGCACATCTCAGAGCTTCCTTCTAGTGAACCTACTGCAAGAAAGAAGGTAGCCCATATCCTCCACCTGTGGCTGGCCCATTTTCACAGAATTTCTGTCCAATAAATGACTTCTTCATGGGCAATCTATGCTGGAGTTCTCTGTTGGACTGGCTGAAACTTTTTCAAAACTCTACTACTGGCTAAGGCTCTTTCTAGTCTTCTTCTCCCTTTTCTTTCTGTGTTAACTGGAGTCACATATTATTTTAGGCAGATAACTACCAATTTAATTTATGAATCAGTATGTATCAATGTGTTGATTTGTAGAGGTGTGGAGATAATAGCTCTAAGATGTATTTAATGACTTCCTTAGCAGTAAGAGTTTAGACAGTAATACAGAAAATTCTCTAGTTATATCCAGAGAAGAGTGATTTATGGAAGCACAAACAATTAGATTCTTACATTACTGTGGGAAATGACAGATTAATAAAGGATAGAGAAATACACAGGCAACTCTACATTTCTTCATTATCTAAGATCCCATATCAACCCTACCATCTTTAATTTTTATATCCCTACAACTGTAAGACCATGTTAGTGGGGAATACAAATTCAGAGGTGGCCTTGCATATTTGCCTTAATTAAAGAATTGTATTTTGACTGGGGTAGGTAGTCAAGAAAATAAGTCATAAAGATCAGCATTTTGAAATGTGAACTAATATATTAAGGTTTCTTAGGTGTTTCCAGTTTTCTAAGATTACTGAGCTATTTCTAATTTTAGTGCTTAGTTATAAATTCACACACAACTATAATAAGAAAATAATTGGTAAAAACATGTATAGCTTCCTTTTAAGTATTTATGCATATTATAGCTTAACTAGCTCCCATTGACAGATTAGTACGCAGTAGAATATGATTCAGAATGTCACCGCCATTTCGGAATAAAACATAAACATATGTGTGACAAAATTGTTACACACAATCGTTACAAAATCAAAAACCCATGTGTATGTTTTTTATTCCCAAGTGACAGTAACATTCTGATTTATATTTTACTGTCTAATAATCTCATAACAATAAATAATAAGATCTGAAGAATTATAATAAGGTAAGTTTGAATGTGTTGTATTCTTTTTCACATTTAAAATGGTTATTAACTTTGAAGGCTATTTGTGTGCATTTCCCATTTTAGAATTGGAGTTGGTCTGTATTAGTAGATTTTTCTGATAAATTTTAACACTGTGCAATTTTGAACTTGAGGACTTTTGCTATGCTAAAAAATTGTCCTAGTCTTTGCATCATTATGGAGTATGATTTCCACAGATTTTTATTTTATTTTTTAAAATTTAGTCTTATTCAATAGGACCAATCATCATATAATTAACATTGGTGCCCTCTTATTTACTATTTTTGTATTCATAATTTCCAGGATTAAACTTATCGTCCTTCTTTTAAGAACTGAGTAACTAAAGGTAAATCATCCTGGTACCTGCAACAATTCTGTTTTCCTTAAAAAAACATACTAAAGATGTTTTTCTCTCAAACTTTCACCTAACATTTTTTACTACCTAATGTCCAATTGACACTCCAGGAATACTCTTTATTCTTCTCCATTCTACTGTCTTCCCCTAGGAGACTGACATGTATAAACCAGATCATTAAGTGTCTGGGTTACATTTATGTTCTACTAATATAGAACCTGTAAAGAAATCTGAAGGAATACAAAACTTTACATGAGGATAATTATTCCCCTACTTCCTCTCTCAAAGTTGCTTTGAACTGGCTGTTTTCTGACATCAAAAGTTACCTTTCCTGTTGTTAGCTTCCTTTGCAAGACATTGACCAATTCTAGGTTTTAGTAACCTCCACTTTTTTCATGCCTTAATGGCTTGGGATTCTAACAGTGCTGGAGCTATTGGACACACCATTCCTTGTGGTTTCCCTTAGAAATCTGGATTCCCTTTCCCTCACTTATTTGCAGTTATCCCTTTGTAAATAAACCCTTCTTGACTTACATTTGAATGTGTCTTCTGTTCCCTTTTGTGATACTGACGGACACAGCTACATTTGAGCACTAAATCATACTCAGTGTGCTAAAAGCATTACATACCTTTTTAAAATAAATCTTTGCAATAACATTTGCAGCTTGTATAATATCAACTGCATTTTAGAGATGATAAAATTGAGACACCAAACTGTCCTCCTGCCAATTTCATATGTGTAAATTCTAAACTCCAGTGCCTCAGAATGACAGAAATTTAAAGACAGTCTTTAATGAGACAATTAGGTAAATGAAGTCCTATGTGTGAGTCCTAATCCAATATGGCTGGTGTATTTCTAGGAAGAGGAGATTAAAACACAACGGCACAGACTTAGGGATGGCCATACCTGACATAATAAGAAATATATGTCTGGTTTCTTCACCAAGTTTCTGGCACAGAGGTTCTAAAATACTTGTAAATTCCTAAATAATAATGGTGATAGGAGCATCTTGTGTTATAATATTTGTTCTTAGTCTCCAGTTTCTGACACAAAAACTTCTAACACCCTTGGAATCTCTGAGGTCATAAGTGTCTTTTTGTATGTTAATGAGTTGAACACTGGTTGGGGCCCCAAGTTACCTTCTGGATGGGGGCTGGTTGCCAGAGCAATCAATCATATAATTAGAGGGTTGGAACTTTTGGTCCTACTACTTCACCTCCAGGGAAGGGAGAGGGATTGGAAACGGAGTCCAATAATTGATAAAAAAATTTTATTAATTGTTCCTACATAAAGGATTATAAAAAACTTTAAATAGCATTTTGAGGGCTTTTGTATTGGTGAATGCATCCACAGCAATTGACTGTTCAATTATATCTTTTGTAGTAACCTGATTAGGGGCTGGGCACAGTGGCTCATGCCTGTAATCACAACACTTTGGGAGGCCGAGGTGGGCAGACCACTTGAGGTCAGGAGTTCAAGAACAGCCTGGCCAACAAGGTAAAATCCTGTCTCTGCTAAAAACACAAAAATTATCCAGGTGTGGTGACACATGCCTGTAGTCCAAGTTACTAGGGAGGCTGGGGCAGGATCCCTCGAACCCGGAAGGCGGAGTTTACAGTGAGCCGAGACCATGCCGCTGCACTCCAGCCTGGGGGACAGTGCAACACTCCATCTCAAAATTAAATAAATAAAAAAATAAATAAATATAAAATAAAATAAAATAAAATAAAAATAAATAAAATAATATGATTAGGGTAAATCAAGCATTTCCTTGAATTCTGTGAGCTGTTAAGGCAAATTACCAAACAAGAAGGGAGTTGTGAAACCCCTAATTTGTATCCATGTCAGACAGAAGTGCAGATAATGTGGGGACTTACTACTTATGACTGGTGTCTGAAGTGGGGGCGGTCTTTTCAGGCTAAGCCTGTAACCTGGGGGTTTGCACTAACTCCAACTATTTAGTGTCAAAATTGAATTAAATTATAAGACATTCAGTTGGTGTCTACAAAGAGTTGGATAATTGCTATGTGTAGAAAACCCACACATTTGGTGTGAGAAATACTGAGAGTAGAGGAAAATGAATATTCCTTTTTCCATCTGTGAACACATTAATAAGGTGGCCACTTCCAACTAAGGAGAGAGGCTTCAAGAAACCAAACATGCCAATACCTTGATCTTGGACTTCCTAGCCTCCAGAAGTATGAGAAAATAAATTTCTGTTGTTTAAGCCGCCCAGTCTGTGGTAGTTTATCATGGCAGCCCTAGCAAATTAATGTGTATGCTTAAGCCTTACCTAAAATAACCACACCTAAAAAAGTGCAAGTATTAATCACGGTTCTGTCAATCCAGTGCACAGTTCTGTCAATCCAGTACTATATTAACCACATAATTTTTCTCTTTAATATATTCTGGCAATTATCATTTGCTGATTGCTTCATGTCATTCATATTATTTTCTCAATTATATTATAAACCCATTAAAAACAGTTTAATAATTTTATATCTTCTAGTGATAAGAACTGCCAATAATCATTTAAGATTTGACAAGTACCAAGCTAATTGTAATTGCATCACCTGTATTATGTCACTTAATTCTCCAAAACTTCTTTTTTTATTTTAATTTAACTAATTGTATCTGTATTTTGTAGATGGGAAAAGTGTAGTCAATAGAACTTAAAGAAGTTGCCTATGTTCACACAACTGGTAAAACTGCAGAGCCTGGATTCTTACTCAGTCATACTCCGGAACTCGTCTATAGAGCCTATGCTACTAATTATAATTCCTACCCAAAGCGCAGCACAATAATGACCTAGCATGTGGCAAGTCATATAAAATAGGTGCTTAGAAAATCTTGGGGCTATGAGAAACAATTTCAAATACAAAAATGTAATCTAAAATAATTAGAGTTATGTTTAAAATTAGGATACCTTACTTATAACTTGTGAAATATAGTCAGTATTTCTTCTCAAATTATAATGATTAAAATCTTGTGAATATTTTTAGCTAAAATAAAAAACTAAGAGTGATAACGCATTTTAATAAATATTCTTTCAGAGCTGAGAACCCACTCTATCAACATTAAACAGCGGCAGTTCCTGTAAGTTTTTAAGGGTTATTGGAAGATGACTTTACTTGTCTTCATACAGTTTCACCTAAATTGTGAGTTCCAAAATAGCAAGAGTGTTTTCTATTTCATTTACTATTACTTATCTAAGACCTAAAATAGCACTTGACAGACTGTAGTTACCAGTAGATAATAGTGAAATGCATAATCAATAATTAATATAAATCAATAAATAATATAAATGAATTCTAACTATATCAGCTATTATTAAAGTAAGGGACAAGATGGATAAGAAACACTGAAAATATAGTAAAAAAAAAGCAACTGCTAAGTAAACTGCCTGGTGGGAAACAGAGATAACAGAAAATAACAATAGAAACGTTAAATCACTTTGTTGATATTTGGGTCACATCAAATTAAACGTGCTTCTTAGTTTCAAATTAAATGTCTTCATCTCTGTCCTTCACAATAATTTATAAACATAGACATATATGTATCCAAAAAAATCTCACAAACTTTTCCAGAATACTCATCCCGATTCTCATCTAACTTAATGTACTGCATATTTTACCTGTCTCATATCCGGGCCTGTTTCACAGAATTTAAACACCACAAAGTTATGGATTTTTGTCAATTTTCTTGCCATAGTTCTTGGCTTATAATCTTATGCTTATGAATTGGTAACTTATCTATGAAAGATGAGTTAAGCGAGTATCCCTTATCCAAAATGTTTAGGACCAAAAGTGTTTCAGATTTCAGATTTTTTGGGGGGTGGGGGTGGAATATTTGCATATATGTGATGAAATATCTTGGGGAAGGGGTGCGATTCTAACACAAAATTCATTTATGCTTTATATTCATCTTATACAAATAGCCTGAGGTAACTTTATTACAGATTTTTAATAATTTTGTGCATGAGACAAAGTTTTTGTACCCTGAGCCATCAGAAAGCAAAGACATCATGTGTAGAATTTTCCACTTGTGACATCATGTCAACACTCAAAAAGTTTAAGATTTTGGAGCAGGAATACTCAATCTGCAGCACATTTTTTTACAGTCTTTTCTCTCAAAGAAAGCATGTCAAGGGGGAGGACAGACATAGGCCTATGAATTATATAGTAGGTATTTTCTTGTTGCTATTCTGATGTGTAAAACAGATTATTACCAGTACAAATACCAACTCTCAAAATATTACTTTTATTTATGCACAATTGTTGTCTAAAGGACCACATTCCCAGATGTTTCAGGAAGATAATATTAGAATTTATGTTATTTATTGAGTAATGAATCATGGATTATTTAATAGGGCTCAGAAAAATTCAAAAATTTCATTCAGTAAAAAACAAATCCTAACTAAAATGATACATGATAGTCTTTCAGTGTCCTACAAATTTTTAAAAAGTTTGCATAAAATCAAAAATTTAACTATATAATTAATCCAAATTTTTGCAAACCACATATATATGAAATATCTTTTATGTCTAATATTTGTGTAAAGCTTTATTTGCATAGTCTACATAACAGTTCTCTCATCAGCCTCACTCTATATAAGCATGAGTTAATATAGTACAGTTTTATATCACTATTAGAAATGTATAAAATAATAAGCTACTTTGGATATGGAGATTTTCCAAGGTGACTCTATTTTCTTGAATTATTTCTTTTATTAAATATTAATGATATGTAACATACAGAGTAAAGTCATGATAAGTTAGACAATTCACCTTGTGGCAAACCTTTACTCATTTCAAGATTAATCATCAAAAGCTCAGCAATACATTGAAAATATCTTATCACTAATTTGTAAATAAACACAAACATATCCTGTCAGTTAACAAATGAGCCATCAGTCATAGAAAATGTACTACCTACATCTTTTTGTTTGTTTGGTTTTTACTTCTTACTTTAACTTTCAATATACTATTTTTTCAGTAAAATTTGTACTATAAAATATATAACTTATTTTTACATGGGATCATTTTTGTTACTATTTTTAAGATTCCCCAGAGACTATAGCTATATACTCACATACGCATTTTTCTCTAACCGTGTAACTGAATCCACCTGGTATTTTTTATGAGGTTAAACTCATATGTAAAACTCATACATACATAAAAATGGTTAAACTCATACATACATAAAAATATGTATTTTTCTAAATAGTAATTTTTCCTAGCTTTTGATTTCAATTATTGCTAAAGATTCTTTATATTTTAAATATAAAGGCAAAAATTTTACTAGGGATTATTTCTTGGTTGTCCATTACTATTCTAGTAACATACTCTTTTCTCAACTGGAGGTTATTGTTTATTTTACTATATGTCAAGGTGAGTTCAGAAGGTGGATATTGATTTGAGATAAGGATGCTTTGGTCATATTTATAAACTGAAATATATATGAAGAAAAGAGAAATTTTAGATACATGAGAGAGGATAAATTATATCAAAAAATATTAAATTAGGTTTAAAAATTGTTAGAACAAGGCTGACTCTTCCATTGAGACAAGTTGGAAAAAGGACATAGAGATGGTTTTAAGTGTATATATGTTTACACATGCATATAACAAAAAATTCAGACTTTAAATTTGATTATCTCACTTTCTGTGTAAATCAGGCAAAATAATTGTTGTTAGTTGTAAACAATCAAAATAGCAAGATTTAAAGAAGTATTAAATTGATGTTTTATAGTGATTTGGGCTTTAGAGAAGGAAGTATTATAGTGTTTAGCAAAAAACCAAAATCAATATATAATATTCATTTTTCTCTCTTGGCCTGAACAAAGTTCAAATTTGGTTGCTTATCAGTTGACAATTGCAAAATTGTGCTTTGTCATAGTTAATTCCCTCTGTAATTAGCAAAACGGGCTAGAAAAATCAATATTACTAGAAATGAACATTTATGTCACAATAGTGGAATAGACTCTGTAGAACAATATAACAAGCCACAAGGGAATATTTTGCTCTGGTTTTTTGTGTTCACTAGATAAGTAGAAACTTCAATTCTATATTCAATGGAATCAGAGAAGAAATCATTCCACATATTACCCAATTTAGTTGGAAAATCTTAGAAGGCTTTTTTTTTGGTGTCATATTCTGTGTAAAGAGAGAATCAATTTCTATCTATATTTTTGACAAGGAAATTAAAGATATAACAATGTGCTCTACAGTGTGTAAGGTAGAGACAGAATCTGTACTTGCATTTGGAATTTGTTTTAGATGATGGTGAAGATGATGATAATGATGTTGTCTTTAGTCCTTCAAATCAGTGTGATTTGAGTTACTTTCATTTTACTGGATATTTTTCCAGTTGTTGAACTTAAAGCTTGAGAGTACTATACTAAATCTTGTATTAATACAAGATTAAATCTTGTAGAAGATTAAATATAATCTTCTAAGCTTTAATCTCACCAACAGAAGCAGTTATTTACATGACAATTCAGTTAATATACCTGCAAATATCTATTGATGTTTTTGTCTTTGACTTTTGTTAACTAATCTTAAGAAAAATTTAAATGGTTGATGTGTATATTTTGCTCAGAGCATAGTGAAAAAATTCCTACAACAATTCGGAAGGTATGTATAAGGGATATTGGGATAAACAGGGACGGTGCAGATCTTCGGGGTTATGTTATTTTACTAACATCTAAATTTATTTTAGATACTTAACAAGGAGTTAGAGTGAGGCATTTGAGCTTTATTCATTGAGTACCAGGGAGGGAAAAACTTCAGTTCCGAAGATGTAAAACAGGTGTTGTGCAGTGACTCTTTTATTAGTATATTCTTAGTCTTTCTCTATCTATGTGGTTTAAAACTTCCAGATAGTAATTCTTCCCACATGACTTGCGTCTAATGTCTTGCTGCTGCAGCAGCAGTGAAGCTTAGCAATCTGCCTGTGTTCCTCACTGGTGTTGCTCTCACCATGTCGGCTCTGCTGCCTTCCCTGCCTGACTTTAATTTTTCCTACTTATATGATTCTCCATCTGCTTCCTTTTCTGGCGGCAAAGTGGCCCTGCCTATGTGCTCCTTTGCATTCTGCCATCTTTCTAGTTTTGCTGTTGCTTTAACTATATTTTAAACATGTAGCACAGTTGATTGAAAACTGAAGAAATGTCTAGTGCTTGTTTAGATTTTTTGCAGAGAACAGTTAGTCTTTGCCACCAGCTAAACTGTGCTTTAAACCTAGGTGCAGAATCTTCTTGCAATATGTTTTAAGTAACCAAAATGGAAAATCCAAGCAAACTGTTGCCTGTGTTTAGCCTTGCGATTTAAAGACAGCTGGTAGAGATAAGCACTAACATAAATCTTGTCTGAATTCCCCAAACCCAGTAAATGAATTGTGAATTCTTTATTGCTTTTTCTAGATATTTAAACATAGGTTATTGTGATATAAAGGAAAGCACAATGAATCTGAATTTAGAAAATCTAGGTTCATAGTCTTTACCCACTTATGTGATATATGACCTAGGAGATATAACCTAATCTGTCTATATCTTCCCCCATCTCTACCTTCACTTTGGAGATAAGAACAATGAGGTTGAGAGAAAACATGCAATTTCCTAAAGTTTTCGAAGCAAGAAAGTGTCAGAGATATACATCAAATTAGGTTTTTTTGACTTCGAAACCTATACTCAATCAGGACACAAAGTACTCAAGTCTGTTTTTTCAAAACTTATAGTAATGCTCCTTAAAAGTGATGCTTTTTGCTAGAGTTCACCCATATGTGAACACTTGCATGACTTGTGACCAATTGCTATCTACCATTTATGATGCAATTTCTCTTTAGCCTGTAACTGAATTCATGAGCCTCATTGTTATACTTCCCACCACAAAAAAAATCCTGAATTATTTTTGCCCTGTGACCTTACATTTCTACTTCTTTTCTGAATTTCTTGCTGAACTTATGCCCATTCCAAATCACATGAAATTTATGTGGATCGGTATTTTATCGATTTATTTTACTGTCCCCACAGTTCTTCTGATACACTCACCATGATGTTGTCACTCACTCTCTTGCCAAAATTTCAAATTCACTTGCCCTTTTTTCCTTTCACTACATTACATAACAAAACGCTAAGCCTGGATAATCCAACTATCTACATTGTCTTGCCCACAATTGGCCGGCTGAGCATTTATGATATAATATAAATACTGTAAGAATATTTAACATATATTATTATTTAACATCTATATACTTAATTGAGCATATTTACAACTCTAGATTCTTAACAGTCTTAACTAGACCGTCGATCCCACTGAACAAGTATATTTGCCTGAATGTTTTTATTTTTCACTTTTTGCAAGTGTTAAATCCTCCTAAAGTATCATCAAACCTCCAATAAATCTTATTTCTTTCTCAAAAAATGATTTTATATACTACTTCACAGTAAAAAGCAAAAATAAAAACTAAACAAATAGATGTGAACTATTTCAATATCCAAAAGATATAACACAAATCTATCGATATTTGTATTTTTTGTCTTATCCTTCCTTCTCTTTTCTTCCTGTTAAAATGTAGGAGGATTAATACAGATTATGTAAATTGCCAAAAGTCACACAAATAGTGGAATAGGAATTTGAACTTGACCTTGAGATGGTGAAGTTTGTATGTCAACATGACCGAGCTTAGTATGCTTGGATAGTTGGTAAAACATTATTCCAGGTGTGTTTGTGAGGGTGTTTTTGGAAGAGAGAAATATTTGAATTGATAGATTGAATAAAGAAGATTACCCTCACCAGTGGTGGCAGGCATAATACAATCATTTGAGGGCCTGAATAGTGCAAAATTGCTTCCTACTTGAACTGGGATGTCCATTTTGTCTTGTTTTCAGATGTTGGTGCTGTTGCTTTAGGACCTTCAGACCTGGATGGGGACGTATGATAAGGATCCTGGTTCTCAGGCCTTCTGGTCTGCACTGTAGCTATACCTCCAGCTTTCCTGTGCTGTCAGTTTGGAGACAGCAGGTCATGAGACTTCACTGCATTCATAATTATGTGAGCCAGTTTGTCATGGTAAATATGTATGTATGCATGTATGTATCCATCCATCCATCCTGTTGATTCTGTTTCTCTGGAGAACGCTGATTAAAACACCTCTCTGCCTTCAGAACCCTTTTTCTTTCCTCTGACGTATTAATACTTTGAATTTTATAGAGAGATATTACATGAGCAGATGTGGCAACATTATTGAATATAAAATGGTTAATTTTGCTGCATCACCCAATTTTCTTACTCTGATAAAAACTATAATGTAAGAAATGAGATAATAATTATAAGTGATTATGACAAGTGTAATAATAACATCACTTTTATGGGGAAATAAGGAAAAGCAATAATTTATAATGAAATAAAAACTAATGATCAACATACCTTTGCTGTGGTCAATAATTTAACTTGATGTTTAAGAAAGCCAGTTTTATTTTTTTGAAGCTCCAAAGGATCTACTGCAATGTGATTTATTTCTGAAACACTGTGAAATTAATGAAAATATTATTTGTAGGGAAAAATGAGTTTACTTGCATTTGTAATAGGCTTTGCCAGAAGCAGCAGCTGTGCCTGTGTCAAGAATATTTCATGCTGAAAAATGGAAGGTTGATTTCTGCTGTTTTTCCTTTCTTTCCCCTTATTTTTGTCATTTATCATTTTGATGAAAAAGGGAATAATTTTAATTATTTAATTATAACATGGGGGAAGAATAATAGTGTGCCTAGAAATGCAGCTATGTCCAACTCAGTTTTAATATAATTTAGGTTGATTATCCCAGTCACTTGAGTTTGCCCCAATACTGTTAATTGTAAAAGATCAATCAATCCTAACTATTAAATTCATATGAAAATCAGTTTCTGCTCTTCAGAAAAATGTCAGAATCTTATTAAGGAGGTAAGTTATGCTCTGATGTGTTCCAGACTTAAGAAATAGGTGCAGAAATTGATACTTCAGGCATTTTCTATGAGCGCTTTCTACAGATTGCCTTTGTTTCATTGCTCAGTACACCTTAGGAATGAATGTTTAACCTGTTTCGTATTATCCACAAAATTTTGAGTAAAATGATTAAATGTCCTCCAACAGTCATGTGATCTGTGATATCCCTGCCCCATGCAGAAAAAAAATATGTATATAAAATTACAAAAATGAAAGACAATATTGAGTTTATGTTATATTATACTTATATTACACCAGCATTAGGTAATTTTGCTTGAACATTCTTTTCTAATGCCCTCCAAGCAAGTATTTACCCGTGCTTTTTGAATTTTAGAAGGATTCGACATCAAACTTCCCAGTTTCAGTTGCTTAATTTCATCACATACCAGTTTATCTTTTTGAACATTAGTACACAAACTGACTCAAGTATACTTGCCTCCCTCCCATTTTTTATTATTTCTCAAAGAGCTATTATTTCTCAAAAGTGTTTCTTAAAATATACTTGTAGGTTCTCTTTTCCTGGAGAAAGAGCTCTGAATTCAAAAGATCTGTCTTTAAGTCCTGGGTCTGCTTCTTAACTCATCCAGGTCTTTAGGTAAGTCAGGTACAGTTGCTGTTTTCATCTGTAGAATGGAAATAAGAATACATTTCTCAGACAATTATTTAACAGTTATATGGAAAAAGGTCTGGGCTATGGCATAGTATTTGAAAAAAAATACAGGATATGGATAATAGTAAATCACTATATATATGTAAATCATTGTGTTAATGAGGATCTGTTAGTATCCTTGAACACCAAATGTCTAGACTAAGTGTTTTGGCATTGTTTTATTTTATCTTATTATTATTATTATTATTATTTTGAGACAGAGTCTCACTCTGTTGCCCAGGCTGGAGGGCAGTAGCACACAATCTTGGCTCACTGAAACCTCCACCTCCTGGGTTCAAGCAATTCTCCTGCCTTAGCCTCCCTAGTAGCTGGGACTATAGGCACACACCACTACATCCAGCTAATTTTTAGAGTTTTAGTAGAGATGGGGTTTCCCCATGTTGGCCAGATTGGTCTTGAACTCCTGACCTCGTGATCCACCCACCTCAGCCTCCCAAAGTCCTGGATTACAGACATAAGCCACTGCGCCCGGCCATGTTTTGGCCTTATTTTATTAGAGTCAGTGGTTTTTTAAGTGTCTGTATTTATCTTGGGCTCAAATTTCCTTTATTTAATGATTTAATTTTTCAGTTTGAAGGTGATTCTCTCCTTCTCCCAACTCCTGTCTCTCTTTCTTGCCACTGATGATAGAAAATACATAAGAATAGATTTTTTCTATCTTTTCTGAATTCCCTGCTAACCTTGCCTAAAGCTTTAAGATGAGCCATTATTAGCTAATCTTAGCCTCAAATCTGTATGTAAACGAATACCATGTGCAACACTCATTTCATTGTGATATTTTAAACTTTTTTAAACATATTTTTAAATACTTGATTCTTACTTAGAAAGCCTTTATGTCCCAATGTTTGTGCTGGTTAATAGCAAAGATACATAAACAGAGAGATTCACTCTTATGCATTTGCAATGGTCTCATTAAAAATTCAAGTATGTTCTTTTAAATTTAGACTACTACAAATTATTTGTCTTTCATTCAAAAAGTGAACTATTATGTACCCAGTATTAGTAATGTAAAGATGAAGCATACAATTTTTAAAGTATATCCAGTAGATAACGGTCTCATGGGAAAGAGAAATTGACTATTATGATTTATGATATAGAAGCAGAGAAAATAACAGCTCTGATTGAGTAAGTCTGATGGATTGAGAGGAGTTTTCCCAGCGGAAGAGACATTTGAGCAGGGTTGAAGAGGATGAACAAAAGGAAAAGCAACAAAAGTATTAGAGATCCCGAGGTAAAGGAAACAATGCAAATATGAGAAACAAATCTACATGAGCATAAGCAGCGGAGATGAGGCAATAGAAAGCCATACACTTTTGATATGTCTCCCACCCCCAACCTCCAGCTTTTGCATCAGTATTGGCAAGAGTGAAGAGGAAGCTGAAGGCTTCATTTCAGCAATCCCTTTATCCCTTCTGGGTCAGTCATCAAGAAAAGCCTGTGACTCTCATATGCATTACTAAATCTTATCTTTCTTCTGGGCCTTATCCCCTGCCCTTTTTTTTTGAGAATGTGTGGTCTGTTACTGTCAAATGTTTTATATCCCAATGCTTTCTCAGAAAATTCCTTTTACTGTCTTGCTCTTATGGAAATATGATTCTCCCTTGAAGACATTGTTGTCCTGGATTCTCATACAAGTTGGTGACTATTTTATCTTAACATTTGTAAGCAATACCTGGCACAGAATATTAACGATGATGGATCTACTTGGAACATATAATTGGGATTATCAATTATTCTTTCTTGAAACACTTTATCTGCCTAATTTTCCCTGTGCTCACTGATTCTATTACTCAGTCTCTTATGTGAGCTGCTTCACATCTGCCAGTCCTTTGATTTGAGTGTATCAGTGGCATCTTGAAACCCCTATGTATCTCATATCTCCCCTTGAACTTTCTCTCTCTCTCTTTTTATTTATTTATTTTTTTTTTGAGGCAGAATTTCACTCTTGTTGCCCAGGCTGGAGTGCAATGGCGCCATCTCAGCTCACCACAACCTCCACCTCCTGAGTTCAAGGAATTCTCCTACCCCAGCCTCCCGAGTAACTGTGAT
This sequence comes from Homo sapiens, assembly GCF_000001405.40. Lineage (NCBI taxonomy): Eukaryota > Metazoa > Chordata > Mammalia > Primates > Hominidae > Homo > Homo sapiens. The sequence goes on from NC_000004.12 coordinate 59,050,232, forward strand.
TACAGGCATGATCCACCGCGCCCAGCTAATTTTTTGTATTTTTAGTAGACAGGGGGTTTCTCCATGGTGGTCAGGCTGGTCTTGAACTGCTGACCTCAGGTGACATGCCCACCTCGGCTTCCCAAAAGACTGAGATTACAGGCATGAGCCACCGCGCCCGGCCACTTTCTCTTTTTGATATGGCTCTTATTTCATTAATGACAGCAAATCCAGTTGATGAGGTATTAATGTATGGGTTTATCCCTGACTCTTCTTTTACTTTCACACCCCAAATCCAATTTTTTGGCAAATATTTCCAGCTTGGCCTTCAAAATAAACCCAGAATTTGACTATTTGTATCTATCCACCTTCCATCTTCCTGGTCTAAGTCAGCATCCCCTCTCTTATGGATTATTGTAATAGTCCTCAGGACTTCGTGCTTCTGTCCTTGCCTTTTTCATCCTTGAATCAATTCTCAGCAGGGGAGCAAGAGTGATGTTTTTCAATGATGGATAGATCATATCAGCCTTTAAAACTCTCAAGTGGTTTTCCACATCATCCAAAGAAAAACCCAGAGTCTTCAATGCCTTGCCTGTACTGGCCATCCATTATAACTCTGACTTCACCATCTAACATTATCCCCCTTGTCATTCTCATTTAGCCACAGTGGCTTGCTTTCTGGTCCTCAAATGCTCACATTCCACGTTGGTTCTCAGCTTTGCAGTTGATGTTCCATCTGCCTGGCCTCTCTTGTCCAGATATCTGTAAGTTCATTCCCTTGATCACTTCTGGTCTTTGCCCAGACATGTCAGTAAAGTCTTTTGGAATCATCTTATTAATTGTACAAACACCCTCCCAAGAGGCACATAATCCCTCTAGCTCTATTCTATTGTGTTTGTCACTAAACAATTCCTTATTTTGATTTTGTTTTTATTTGTTGACTAGCATGTGAGCTCTATGATGGCAATTATTTTTGTCTGTTTAATCACAACAGAAGTTCAAAATATTTTTAACTATTAAAAATAAAAGGGATAAAATACATATTTTTAAAAACAGTAAACATCAAAACTATGAAAAATGACTAGAAAATTTAACAAAAAATACATACGTAATTTGCAGAAATTAAAAATCATTGAATTTAAAATGTAATGAGAAATGGAAAGTTGCCCACATTGCTGTAGATCCCCCTTGTTTTGCCTTCTAATCACTCCCCATTGTTTCTTCCCCAAAGGCAACGGTTATCCTGATATTTAACATCAAAGTTATTTTTGCTTTTCTTGCTTAATTTTATATAAATGAGACCATATATTATGCATTTTTACACTGCTGCCATTTTCTTCCCAAGATTAATTTGTGGGATACATCTACTTTGTTGTATGCAGTTATAGTTTATATAATTTTATTGTTATATAATATTTTATTTATTAAATATGCAGCTGCCTCTCTATTCTAATGTTAATGAATAATGCTATGGTTTCAAATTATTTGACTATTGTTAATAATATTATGGGCATTCTTGTGCATGTCTTTGGTCACTGCATAGGAAGACAGTATCTTGAGGCACACTAAGAAGAGCCTCTGCTGGAAAGGTAATCTACATTTTTGTAACCTATGGGGTATTTAAAGGTACCCTCCCTAAATTCTTATTCCACTTGGCCTCAATTATAACAAATCTCAGTTTATGGGAAGAGTTGAGGATTCTTTCAGTGACTATAGCCTGTAATCTTTCATTATAATGAGTTGTTTCTTATCCTTCAAATTTGAATTGATTCAAGCCTCTCTTTTATGAGTATCTCTTTATAAAAAGCATGAAGTGTTAACAGAATATGCAAGGTTATGATAAAATGAACCCTACATACCTTAAATTAAAATAAAATAGAAAACTAGCCATATTCTAATATAAGAGCAGCCATTTTATAAAAAATCATACTCATAAAACCAAGAACATAGTGTTGTTACAGATCATTGCAAAGAAACATGAATAACTCAGGGTCAGAGAGACAGAAAACATTTTCCCAGTGTCCCCTTGCCACTATTCCATGTAATCTGTGATAGAGTCCATAGCATGTGAAACTAAACTCAGCTGAAAAGAAAATCAGAAGGTTAATATTGGCATTATACCTTTTTACAGATGCAGGAAAATTTCAACAATGCAAATATCTCTCAGAGAATATCAATGATTAAGATACTTTATATTCGTACAGTGATTGTACACACATTTAACAATATGTTACACTAAACAAACTATGCATCCACCCATACTCCATGTAATCCTTAATACTGTACTTGGATAAAGGTATTCTTATTTTTATTCAATGTAAGAGAGAACCTTACATCTGTAACACATTTTCCACTCCCACTCCATCCTCCACAGAGGAGGGATCTGAGCAAACAGAGAGGCTATCCCACTTGTGAAAAGTGACATAATTTTCTCTGGTAAGATTTCTGAATGTAATTGAGAAAAAAGAATTTAAGGGCAATAAGACCTATGAAGGTGGGGCATGGTGTCTCAGGCCTGTAATCTCAGCACTTTGTGGGGTGAGGTGAAAGTATTACCTGAGGTTAGGAGTTTGAGACCAGCCTGGCCAACATGGTGAAACCCCGTCTCTACCAGAAATACAAAAATTAGCCAGGCCTGGTGTCGCATGCGTAGTCCCAGCTACTTAGGAGGCTGAAGCAGGAGAATCGCTTGAACCCGGGGGCGGGGGCGGGGGGTGTTGCAGTGAGCCAAGATCCCACCACTGCACTCCAGAGCAAGACTCCATCTCAAATTAAAAAAAAAAAAAACAGGCATATGAAGCAAATAAATATTGATCCAATTGTGACAGATAAGAACCTTGAGAAGCTAGAATAATATTCCCTTATTATTTTCTTCACTATTTATTCACCCAATATTTTCAAAACACTATGGTGTATCAGGCACTGTTCTTGGTGCTAGAACTATAAGAAGAACAAGATAAAATACTTGCCTAATAAAAATTGTGTGCAGTTACTGAAGACAGGTAATATATTTGATAGCATTGGTTACATAAGAAATCATTCCAAAATTTAAGGACTTAAAAAGTCAACTATTATTTAGCTTATAGTTCTCCAGGTTGACAATTTGGCTCAGGCCCAGCTAGTTGTTCATCCTGCTCTTGATCTGGTTCACCTAATCTCAACTGTGTTTGTTCATGGATCCTCTGAGCTGGTGGGGCTGCTGGTTAATGATGGTCTTGCCTAGGAGGGCTGGGGTAAATGGACATCACTTCACCTAGTCTCTAAGCACATGGCAGGCTAGGCTGCAATTGTTTATTTACATGTTGTCAAGATTTCCAGAGTAGCATCAGAGCAAGCATCAGTGTTAAAGCACTTCCTAGGTCACTATTTATCTCATATTGCCTGCTAGCCTATTGGCCCAAGCAAGCAAAAGTGTTAGTTTATGAAAGTCCTTGTGTCAGGGGCTATTCAAGGGGGTTAGTATAGGGAAATATAAACAAACAAGAGAGTTATCATTGCAGCAATGTTACATGGATAGTAAATAGGTACATAAGTAAATAAAAATATACCTTTAGCTGAGAAATATCAGGGTTTCTAGAAGAGTTAACCATTTGATGACCTTAAAATGGCCAAGTATAAACTTGAAGTTATAAGGCATTCTGTTTCCTCAGTTTTGCAACAAGAGATAATTTAAAAAGTAATAGAATATATATACATATATATACACACTCACACACAACTGCTTGTGCAATGATCATTAAAGATGCTTTTAAAACTCCATGAAATACAATTATACTGGTAGAGAAGCAAATTTAAATATAGTATTAGAAAACAATAAGACTAGTTATCATATAAGTCATCAGAATTATCAATTTCACCACAATAAGTTGAGTCTTTCCTACTATGTAGCAAAAAACAATTCAACCCCACCCTTATGAAATATAGAAGCACCTGGTCTCTTTCAAAATGAAATACTTAAAGATGCTATGAGAAAACTTTCATTTCTTAGCTTGTCACTGAGATGAAACAGACACTGCAGTTGATGCAAGCACAACTTATTACAAATGTCATAGACATTTTTCTTACAAATTTTATCGTTCATTCAAAAATCCCTCAAGCATAAATTATGTATGTAATAATGGAAAGTGGAGAAGAGTTTATTCTCTGTGCTTAGTAGAGAGGCTTTATAATCTCCATGTCTATTCCACTGATAAATGATGCTTTTTTCAATTCACTGATAAGAATACTTTCATTTTTTTCAAGAATGAGCAGGAAATAATAATGGCAAATACAAAGCAGATAGTTCTTTTTATTCATATTGACTGAACATGTGTAAGAGAGTTGACAACAGCTTAGGTAAAGTGGAAAGCCCTCGGTGTAGTTCATAAAAACATTCCACTAGAATATAAAGGTTGTTTCCTAAATAATTAATGTTGAGAAAGTCTTTTAAGCTTCCAGGGTCTAATCTTCCTCATTTCTTAAAAAAAGTGATTATAATAATCAAATATAATACTGTATAATCTGAGAAGTTACCAAGTAACTTCTTTATTATTTTTAAATTAGTTTATAAATTTATACCACATTCAACCTTACTTTACTAAGTATAAGCAAATCACATTGAGAATTACAAAAATTCCAGATGCATAGATTCTTCACAGACTTTATATACTCCAGTGGGAAATATGAAAGACTTAAGTTGTTAACCATAATATCAACATAAGGACAATATGAATGGGAATATTCAGTGAATTAATTATGTCACAGAAATATGTGACATAATTAATAATTATAATTATATGTAACATAATGTGTCACAGGAATATGTGACATAATTAATAATTATAATTATAATTAATTGTAATAATTATAATCAATAATTATAATTAATTGTAATAATTATAATCAATAGTTATTATAATAATAATCCCAAACTATTTTCCTAGTACTATGTATCTAGGTATTAGAAAAAGAGTACTGAATTGAGAATGAGAAGGTTGGAATTCTGACATAAGGTCTGGTAACAATATATGTCATTAGGAAAATCATCAATTTTATCAAACATACTCTTTTTGGTTTCTTTCTCAGAGTGCTGTTTTTCATACTTGCAAAGTGAACATGTTGATTTAAATGAAGTTACAGTTAACCTTCTATTTTCTCTTTCTGTGATTCCGAGTCTCTTCAATTTTCTTCTACATGAAGAAACATGTCATCCCTAGCTTTGGAAAATTTATTTGACTGAAGTTTGTTTATTTAGATAAATTATTATCCCAGCTTAGATATAACCAAATGCATAAAAAGTATGAAAAATTGAAAAATAAAAAATAGGCTCATAATAATTCAACAAAGCTTGGGGTATTTTCTTAGTGTTCTTTAGGAGAATAGATATTCAATACCTGTTTCCAGGTGAGTAATTATCAAAGAGTTTTTGTTGTACAATATTTTACTTAATGGATATATAGAACAGAGATATGCAATTGCTTGTGTTCTTTCTCAGGGTTGGGAATTACATAAAACAAAAGGTATTAGATTGTTCTGCCAGTAGTTCTTCTAGCATGCTATCCCAATGCAGGTGCCAACTGTATGGGAATTGGGCGAATCTGCATCTGATTACATACATTGAAATAAATGATGTGTTTTAAGTCAACATATAGCCACTTGATAATTCAGATTGAGAGCTCCTTTCTTTTTGCTCCTTATTTTATTCCAGTTACTGCTTCCACAGTCCTTCATTTTACAGTTTTAATAAACTTTATTGAGAGATAATTTGCATACAATAAGTGCACCTATTTTTAAGTATATAGTTCAACTAGTTTTGACAATTGTAATCCACAATGTAGTCTCAATAATAATCAAGATATAAAATATTTGTACCACCATATATTCAATAAATTCTACCTGACTCTGGACCCTGGCAACCACTGATTTTCTTTCTGTCACTATAAATTAGTTTTGTATGTCCTATACTTTGATATAAATGGAACTACAGAAGTCTTACTCTTATGTGTTAATTTATTTCACTCAGTATAATGTTTTAGAAATTCAGTGATATTTTTGCATGCATTGGTATATTGTTATTTAAGTTAATGAGCAGTATCACATCCTTTTGCTATACCATAAGTTATTTACCAATTTATCTGTTGATGGACATTTGGACTGTGCTGAGTTCTGGAGTTTTAATAAAGCTACAAGAAAAATCCATGAAAAAGTATTTGTGTAGACATGTTTTCAGTTATTTAAAATAAAAAGCCACAGAATAGACTCGCTGGGTGGAATGGCAAGGATAGTTTTAAATAAAAAGAATGTGCCAAACTATTTTCCAAGGTAGTTGCATCATTTTATAGTTCCACCAGTAACGCTTGAGACTTCTAGTCAGTCCACATGTTTGTCGATGTAAAGACTGTCATTCCTTTTATGTTAGCTGATTTTGTAGATATATAATAGCCTAAATTTGCATTCTCCTAATGAATAATAGTGTTAAGAAATATTTATGTGTATGGATATTTTATTTTTTGTTTTGTAATGCAGCTGTAAAGATTTCTTTTTCTATATTTGATGTTGTGTTCTCATTACTTATTTGCATATCTTTGCTTCTTTATATATACTTAATATGCTGGATACAAGTTTTTTGTCATATATGATTTATAAATAATGTCAATAATAGGTATCTTAACTAATTTCAATGTATATAATAATTTAGAAATAAAATTTTATTCTAGTATATGGCTTGCCTTTATCTTGAATATATCTACAAAGAACAGAATGTTTTAATTTCAATACATTCAAATTTATTAATTTTCTTTTTTCATATGAGTGCTTACTCTATGCGAGTTAAGCAACCTTTACTTATGCCAAAGCCACAAAGATTTTCTGTTTGCAGAAGTGTTTTATAGAGCAAATTATTCCATTAGGTTTATTATTAATTTCAAGTTAATTGTTGGTATGGTTTGAGGAAAGGAAGAGGGTAATACTTTTTTCCCCTACAGAAGCTCAGTTGCTTTAACAGCATTTGTTGAAGAGATTACCTTTTAGACATTACATTTCCTCAACTATTTGGTGAAAATAAGGTAACAGTGAATGTGTGCATCTGTTTATGGTTCTCTATTTTATTCCATTCTTCTACATGTCTATCCTCACAAATGCCACAAGGTCTTGGTTACAGTGCCTTTATATAAAACTTCGATTCAGGTATTGTAGTCCTTCAACTTTATCCTTTACTCCATCATTTTGACTACTCTGTTTTCTTTGCATTCTCATATGAATTTTGGAAACAGCTTGCCATTATTTATTTATTTTTTTTGAGACGGAGTCTGTCGCCCAGGCTGGAGTGCAATGGCGGGATCTAGGTTCACTGCAAGCTCCGCCTCCCGGGTTCACGCCATTCTCCTACCTCAGTCTCCTGAGTAGCTGGGACTACAGACGCCCGCCAACACGCCCGGCTAATTTTTTGCATTTTTAATAGAGACGGGGTTTCACCGTGTTTGCCAGCATGGTCTCAATTTTCTGACCTCGTGATCCACCCACCTTGGACTCCCAAAGTGCTGGGATTACAGGCGCAAGCCACCGCACCCGGCCAACAGCTTGCCAATTTATTAAACAAAACTTGCTGAGATTTTTGTTCAGATTAATTTGAATCTATAGGATAAAACCAGAAAGACAGTGATAATCTCACTAGAAATTACTTCTTCAGATATTTAGAAAATCGCCCAGTCCAGAGGTTGCTAAATCTGGAACAGGCTCATTTGACATGTAAGGTATGATATCATGGGTTAGAGTATGACCCTGACTGGGCTTGCCTAAGTTTGTTCTTGAATTACTTATTGTTTACATAAACTTGAGCAATCAAGTTCTTCAACCTCTGAGTGCCTTCATTTCCCATTTGTCCAATGGGGTTAATAATAGTGACTATCTCGCAGAGATGTTTTAAGGCTTAAATGAGTCAATATTTGTAAAGTAGTTTTAATGGAACTTGGCAAATATTGTTTCATTTCATTTTTTTCTGTTGAAATTATTCCTGTACTCTTTGCCATTCTTCCATAAAGGATAAGAAAAATATTAATTATTAATTAAAAATATTAACTTATTAATTGAGAAGTTTGTGGCATCAGATATATTGTTAAAACTTTTTAATATAAAGTCATACCATTTAAAACTCTACATCCTACTGAGGGATTTAAAAGTAGTAAAATAAAACATAAGAGAAGAAGTACTACATAGAAATACAAAATGCGGTTAATAATGCTGGAATACATAGAACCAATATAAAGACACAATAAGATTAGAATCAATTAAAATTATATTCCTTTGAGAAGTGAGAAAGTCAACCACCTATTCTTGAAATACATATCTATATTTGTATTGACCATCCCTCTACATCTTATTCTTTTTTTCCTTATATTCAAACAACACATAATAATAGCAGAGCCTTTGGTAAGAAAGAAATTAATGAAATTCAAGAATCTAGAAAGATTTATTTTGTTGTTTAGTGAGAAGGGTCTTCAGAGCCGCCACAAACCTGTGAGATAAAGAGTGCCTTCGGTCACATGTGCAGGCATGCACTTAGCTCTCCTGGTTAAAAATTGCTTGTGCCTAGAGATCATCACAATTCCTCATTAGGAATCTAGGAGGCAGTTTTAGAATTGCATAGCTTGTTTAAAGGCTCTAGAAATAAGACACAAAGGACCTTTGTTTTTCTTTTCTTTTTGGTTTTGTTAGTATTTAGCTAAAGGAGAAACACAGGTAGTTCTTACAATTTTCTGTGTGTCTCAGTCCCAGGGAGAATTTTTTCAGGAGGAGAAACCTATACATAATTCTGATTCATCAGAGAAAGAATGAACTGAAAGTTGCCACTAATCTTTAGCATCAAAATATTAAATAGTTTATTAAGAGAAATAATGGGTGAAATAACTTAGAAGTTTATCTGCAAGGCAAACAAGTAGCTGGCCTTTTGCAGCATTATGCTTTTTTCTGAAATCACAGGTTAACAAAATAGAGTGTCATCTATTATAATCTGAAAGAACAAGAACTGTATGAGATATAGCTGTCACATTCAGATATGGGAATGTTCTTTATTAACAGCTTCTTTGCATTAGATGTCTCATTAGGAGCCTGCTTATCTGTGATGGCCATATAAATAAGATGGATGGCAAAGAAATAGCTGTAAATATAATGGAAATTTCAGTTATAGCAGTAGGACATTTGTGACATGCACTCTGATGTCACATAGCAAAGTTGTATGGTGTTTGTTAACCATAGTAAAGGCAAAGAAGTACACAGAAAATGAATTTAGAATGGGCTCAGAATTGAGGTTTATATTTCAATTACATTATTTGCTTTTTGAGAAAAAACTGAAGACTTAAACCTCATCTGTTGAGATCTGGTTTCCATAATTTTGAAGTAGAAATAATGAAGGTTTTGCTTTCTATGCCCAAAATACTATATTAAAGTGTAAAGAAGATAATGTGTGTGAAATATTTCTGTAACCCATTATAAGGCCAGAGTAGTTTCCATCCTCAAGGATGGCATGTGTTTCTCCTTTAGCTAACTAGTATAGAAAGAGCTAATTTAACCCTATGTTTGAGGGTTAAATTAACTCTTCATCTGAGGATCAGTCCAGTCTGCCAAAACCAACAGATTCATGTGTGAATAGCAAGATAGTAACTAGTGATCTGGCTACCCAATTGCTACATAAAGGAAAGATGGCTGGCCCTATTGTAACGTGCTCTGTTGTCCTTGCTCTTCTGCCAATGGTGGATCTCTGAACCCTGTATGAAATTATGTAAGTTATTTGGAATTTCAAATGTGTCAAGAGTTGTGCGTGTGCCCATCATGTTAATTTGCATTCAGCGAAACTACTTAGTAATATTATTTCATCATTAATTGTCTAGAGATAGCTTAATTATTCACAACCCTGGGTTTGACACAGGATTTTTTTGGTGCCACTTTGCCAGCTGGAGACTTCTGTGGCTGCTGGTGCCACTGCCCGGGGTCTTGCTTGGCCCCAGGCTCCCCGCAGGAGGTACTCCACCCACTTGGCCTGGCTGGCTGCACATGGCTTGTTTTCTGGCCCAGATCCCATGCTCACCTTGGGATCTGCACTCAGCCTGCAGCTGGGCTGGTTATCCTGTGACCTGCTTCCACCTTGGGCGCTGGTGTCTGGACAAGGGGAATGGGGTGGTGCTGGAGAAACTCAGACACCAGTGACCGCAGAGCCCCAGAGTGCATGTTATTCCCACCATCTGCTTGGTGGATGGGGGTGTGTTAACAACTCTTTCAGTTCCATTGCTCCGACCTGGCCCGCGACTCCTGGGCTGGGTCCTGAGGCTGTTTCCCATCATGTGGGGCAACCGCCTGGTGGTAGCAGAGAGGGAGGAGGGCTACAATGTTACAACCTTTTTCATACCTGCATTCCGTGGTTCCCGAGTTCTAGTTCCCTGACCAAGAAGAATGAGGTTATGCTGACAACTGGAGGGTGAGCAGAGCAGAGAGTTGTATTGAGCAATGGAACAGTTTTCTGCAGAGAGGGGACCTGAAGGAGACGGCCCCCTACCCAAAGTCAGGTAGCTCCCCAAAGTGTGGCTGAGTCCAGGGCTTTTATTGGCTCCAAATGGAGGAGTGAGTGATAATTGTTTTGTGAGTATGAAAAAAAGATGAAAAAAAAAGGCTAAAAAAAGCCAGCACTCAAAGATGGGCACAACAATGTAAGAAACTAATTAAATAAGGGTAGGTATATGTAAAATAGTGAAGAGAGGGGATCAATAAAAGGAAACTGCACCAAACAAGAAGAGAGGTTCTCAGTCTGGTCCACGGATTTATTTGAGACTTGTAGCTTGCTTGTCAGGGTTTAAACTGTCTGTGGCTTGAAGGCTGGGTTTCACTGGGGACCCACCTACATCTGCTTAGGGATTTGACTGCCTCCTGCTGTATCAGGTTGGCTATTTTTCCATTTGTGACTCACAAGATAGTCAATAGTCTCATAATATGTTGATTGTCACCAATGCTAGGCTGCTAGTTTGCAAGCAAGAACGTTTCCTTAGGGAATATATAAAGCAGTGTGTGTATTTGCTTCTGTGTGCTTTTTCTTCTAAATTAAATTTATTAGATTACATATGCTTGCATTTCATTATGCGATCATAAAATGCAATATACTCTATAAATATTGGTGTGATGCAGTACCTAAATTACATTTAGACTATTCCAAAGACAGGAACCACAGAGCCGTGAAAAATTAAAACTTTTATGGTAACAGAGGTAATCAGAGCAGGAAAATAACTTCCTTTGAATGCAGCGTAAGTAAGATGCTTGCCTGTCAATGGTAAACTTAATAAGTATACTTAATTTGAAAGAAGTGTATTGAAATCTTGTTACATTAAAATAAAAGTAATAAAATTACACTAATACTACAATCACATTAAGCTCCATCCAATGAAGAGGGTGTGTTTAAATGCTGTTTCCTAAGTGTAACATCCTTACCATAGTCTACCATTTATTGAGTTTTCTATATAACAGCCATAATTTAAAATGATCTACACAGAATATTTTATTTAATTCCTACAATGAATCCATAATATAGTAGTCTTCATATTTAATACTTAAGACAAACACACACACACATGTACACACACACACACAGACACACAGACACACACACGGAGAATAAAATAACTTGACTGAGATTAAGAGGAAGAAGTTCAGTCTGAATTCTATCCAGGTCAAAACCATAGAACTACATTGATGCATGAGTGTACTAGATGTTATGGATTCCTTCTTGGCCTTGAGGGATAATTCTTGCCCTCCTAGTGAAGCCCTGTGTAGGTTTCAATTTAGCTTATCAGAAAAGACGCTTCCACATATCTCTCATCCCAAGTGACTTCTGCTTCTCTGTGTCATGCAATGTCTTGGACCTAGGCTTTATTGTAATGAGTTCATCCCCTTTTCTCATTTAAAAAATAGCACTTTGTCCTTATCAGCTTCCTTATCTGTGATCTCTCTGTGAGGAGATCAGAACTCCACTAGATATTTCCGAGCCTCACTTAATTTTGTTTGAATTCACATTATTCATAGAACATTTATTTGTTACACTGTTTTGCTCATGTGACTAGAATTGTGATTTTCTATATGTGAATTATTTTTACTAAAACATGAAATTAGAATGTGTTGCTCAGAGTCTGGGCATTAAACTTTAAATATTCAAATATATTTTAAGTATCAAGAAATGTTCGATTACCTTTCTGGAGTTGGTAATTTATCTGGTTATTCAATATCTCAGAAGCTCACAAAAGTTTTCAAGGAGTGGGATGGGTTACTAGGTAGCTATCTATAATCAGACACAATATCTATATGATAGAAAACAAATGTATGGACATATGAACATATGAACAGGTATGAACCATACCAGCTATAGAAGATAGAAAAATAATTAATATAAAAATTTTAGGACAAATACCCAATGTAGATGATGGGTTTCATTTTATAACTGTTCATATTTTTATCAAATCATGAATCAAATATTACTAGGGTAAAATGATTTTACTAAATTTGTATATTTAAGCTTTGTGCATATGTTACAACTATTGTTCCCTAAATTCTAAATCATAACAGAATATTTAAAATTTGAGTAATCTGAGCATATTGTGTATTGTTAAATTTAGCTTCACTTTTATAGCTATCCTCTAAACATTTTACTTAATTTGCTGTGGCTTATTAGCTAACTGAATAAATATTTTGTGAAAGTTAACTGTGGATAAAATTCAGTTGTCTGGAAAACTCAAGTGACACAGAAAAGCTAACTCCTCATCTTAAAACAATTCTCTCTCTTTCTGTCTCTCTTTCTGTGTGTGTGTGTGTGCGTGTGTGTGTGTGTGTAAAGTATGCTAAACTTCATATCATTAAGATCAAGACTGCAAAGTGCTTATTTTCCAGATGATTTCATGCTACTAAATACCAAAGGGATGAATTCCAGTTTGGGGTTTCCAGTACTCCCTGCAACACCACTCATAGTGAATCCATCATTTTTCTTTGAAAATTTATGTTATCTTTACCCTGGCTATGCAGTTAGATGAGTGAGGTCATGTGTCTTACCAAGGAGACTCATGCTTGGAAGACAGAGATTTGTGGTGTTCCTAAAAAAAAACATCCTCTCTGCTACCCACAGTAGACATTATTAGCGATGGTATCTGTTGTCATTTTGTAAGAGCAGTTCTTGGCAGCTGCTTAAAATCTGATGAAATGTTAATGACTAAAGCAACTTAAGCACTCTGAATAGAAAAGAGATAATAACAATATTGCTGAGTCTACTAATAACTTGACACAAGCAACTCAGTAATTCTCTATTTTCATTTACTGGTCTCTAATATCAACTATGGCCATCTCTTGATGTGTCCAGCTGCTTCAAGCTGTGCTTGTTGCAGCAGAGTGGGAAATTTAGAATCAGTTACACAGACATGCTAAATCACGAACGATGCTTTATTTCTAACTAGAGCTGGCATTTACTGCTCATTATTTTAAAAACAAAAATTAAAAATTACCCTAGAGTAATACTATGATAAAGCCTGCATAAACAGTATGCAGCCTCGCACTCTTGCACTCTTAGATGGGATTTTTGCTCTCTGCAGGGCATAGCCTTTTCTCTACCCCACGTTGACTTGAAGTGAGTTGCTGTTCTATAAGACTGTCTTTCCTCCTAAAGGATTATGGTATTGAGCAAAGTATTCTCTCTTGCCAGCGATGCAACACAGATAACTGAAACCCCCAGCAAACATGCCTAATTTCTCATTTCATTTTGTTTTCTCTAGCCTCCTTGCCGTCAGTATTCACCATGATTGACAATACAACCATACAGATCAAGTTCTAGGAAAGGCTTTGGCTCATCTATAATCTCTCATGGCTGATGAACATTACAACTCATAAATGTGATTCAGTATTAGAATCAGATTGATATTCCAGTATAATGTGTTATGGAGACGAAGAGGTTTAATGGTTAATGGTAGGGTTCAGTGAGGAGCCATTCTTGACTACAACAGGGAAATAATTATAATCTCATAATTAGTAGTCACTGAATGTCTAATTCATTTATTCAACATTTTTTTGGTAAGTTACTATGTGAAAGATATTCTTCCAGTTTCTAAGGATACAACAATGAGCAAAACAAAGAGATGTGCTTATATAGACTAAGTAAATGCTGCCCTATTAAATAACCCCCAACTCTTAGAATCTTAAAACAATTAAGGTTTATTTACTGTACAAGCTGAATGTTTATTAAAGGTTGGCTTGAGGCTCCGCTCTATAAGACCTATGGTACAGCCATTGTTTTTTCCACCAATCACAAATGAAGTGGAATAGAGACTATGGAGGGCCTCATACCAGTAGTCAAATATTCCAGAACAGAAATGACACATATTTCTAGTTCTATTGCTCAACACCTCATTTACCAGAACTAGTAACCTGGTCCCACCCAAACATAAAAGGGCCAAAGATGTAATTCTTCCATGTACCCAGGAGATGGAGGGCTGGATCTTCTTCATGAGCAGCACAAATTAAACATACAATAAGAAATAAAATAAATAGAATATATAGACTATATAGGAGTTACGGGGTAAAATAGAACAGAAATATTGAAGAGAAAGCTTAGCTTCAGGAGTTGTAATTTAAAATAGCAAGTTAGGGAAGGTCTAGCTGACATGTTGACACTACATTAAGATATGAAGTAAGTGGAAGGGTAAGGCAGAGGGGGAAGAGAATTCTAGCAGAGGATAGAGAATGCAAAAATTTCCTGAGGTAGAGATTTGTGGCATGTGCTGCTGCAACAGCAAGGAGTCTAGCATTGAAAGGGAGTGAGATGAGAGAGTACAGGAGGGAATAAAAGGCGTAGCAATAAACCACATCAATTAAAGCCACTTCAAATGTTTGAGCAGAAAAAGTAAATGGTCCTTCCTATAGTTTAACAGTATCTTCCTGGTTACTGTATTGACAATAGATGACATGGAGTTAGGGAAAATGACATAGCCTGTTAGGAGATATTTATCCTGGCTAGAGACACCATGGGCTTGAACCAAGTTGATACTAATGAAGCAAGTGATATGGTTAGATTCTGTTTGTATTTTGAATAATGAACTAATATATTTTGCCGATAGATAGTGTAGGGGGAGTAAGAGAGACAGAAAAAATTCAAAGATCACAGTCTTATCCTAGGAAACTAAGGGGCTAATATGCCCTATAAGCTCTAACTTTAAATACGGATGTAGTGACTTGGCCCTCTATTGCAATCACTCCTACTGCTGCCACCGTGGTCTTTGTAACCATCATCTCTCCAGAACTACTAAAACTGCCTCCAATAGTGAAACTGTTTCCACTCTTCCACTCACAGTCAATTTTCCAGATAATAGCACAGGGATCTTTCTGAAAACAAAATTTCTCATCACACAGATCAAAATTCAAAGCCCTTCCTTTGAATTTCAAATGCCCTTTGGTGCAGCCCAGGGAGACCCCTCCCAACCTCATTTATAATCAATCTTCTCCTTTGCTCAATGTGCACCAAACAGCATTTTTGTTTTTTGAACACAACAAATAGTTCCTATTCCAGGGCTATTCTCTACCTGGGACAGCCTTTGCCCCAAATCTTTGCAAAGATTCTCATTCACTTAGTCAAGTTTTTAGTTTTTTCTCAAACTTAATATCTTAGTAAAAGATATTTTGAAATTCCTTGTTGTTGTTGTTGTTGTTGTTTGTTTTTTTGTTTGAGACTGGATCTGGCTCTGTCACCCACACTAGAATGCAATGGTATAATGTTAGCACACTGCAGCCATGATTTCCCAGGCTCAATGGATCCTCTCACCTCAGCCTCCCAAGTAGCTGGAACTACAGGTGTGCACCACCATGCCTGGCTACTTTTTTTTTTTAGTTTTTGTAGAGACGGGGTTTCCCCATGTTACCCAGGCTCCTCTTGAACTTCTGGACTCAAGCAATCCACCCACCGTGGCCTCCCAAAGTAGTGGGATTATAGGTGTGTGCCACTGTGCCAGGCCCACTCCATTTCTAACGCCTTTTCCTTCCTCTCTCACACCACTCTCTTTCACTTTAGTCCTCTCTAGTTTGCTTGTGGTGCTAGTGGTTGACATCACGCAATATATTTATTTGGTTATGATTCTATGCCTTTCCTCACTAAATTAAGAATTAATGAGGGCAGAGAGTTATCTGACTCACTTATATGTCTATCCCTAGTGCTTGATTAGTACCCGGCATAAAGTGGGCACTCAAGAGATATGGTGTTGTGTGAAAGAATAAATGAATGAATGAAATATAAGTGGGTGTAACTACAATCTTCTACAGGTGCTCCACTTTTTGAAGTTGAAATAAGTTAAGGAATAATTTGGTGAACTGCCAGAAACTAGAGAGATGTCATAATGTAGCTAGCACCACGAATTGAGAAGGGAGAAAGATTCAATTATTGATATTGTTAATATCTTGACAACAGCAATTGCGTTCTGCTGACATTTTGAAACAATTTATGGAGTTCAAATATTGTTGTCTGGAAAATAGAATAAGGGTAAAGATAAATCCATAGCATAAGGCTTAAAGAATATATATTTTCACATGGAAAAAAATGTGCTTGGGCCATGCTATTAATTTCCAGAAATGAATGTAAGAAGTAAAAAATTCGTCCAGAACATAATCTTAGAAGAAAATGTAATGAACAGTTTGAGAAGCAAAATTGAAACTTACAGGATTCACCAATTGTGAACAACATTTAAAATGGGATTTAAATCATTCAATAGGAGTGACATTTTATTAATCCAAACCTATGCACTGAGTCAGAATACTGAACATTATGGTCTGTTTGGACAAAAAGTTCCCCATGGGCTCTTGTAGTCACAGCCTTATCAGGTATGTAAGTATAACCAGATGGCTACAAATATTGGATCTGGTTATTTGCTCTTTTAGGCTAAAGAGAGAGCCAAATCTTTATATTACTTTGTAAAAAGAAAAGAATACCCATTATTAAATAGCTATGTCATATGCTGAGGAATGCTTTGTGTTTTAGAATATATTTATATTTTTATACATGCACTTTATAGTATAATAAATTACCTGAATGAGAAGTTGTAAAGAATTGAATGATCATTAAATATTTTGGAAATATGAACTCAATATTGGTATGGGACATAATCCCAGATGACAACTGAGAATAAATAATATTATTGATAGAAAGAGCAACTTTGGCACGACGTACTTTACAAAGTTCAGAATGGACCAGTGACTACCCAAATCAGAGCTTTGTGAGTAACATTTAAGTTGGCTTAATAGCAAGTATGATATTCAGATTCTACTTAGAAAATGAAGCCTGATTTACCTCTATTTTAGAGACAGATAACAAGGAGTCCAGTTGAAAGCAAGCAGAAGAACAAATAATAAATTTTTAGTTGGTGATTTAATGCACTTTAAAAGGATATGGTTAAAGATGACAGGGCTCAAATTGAAGATATCCTGTATATAAATGGTTGTGTTTGGCTCCTTCAGTGCTGGTGTAATGTTTCTCACTCAGTGTCCTAGAATTTGTAACCCAATGAACTGGGATAAAAATACAGCAGTGATATTACCCATAAGACAACCAACATAGCCTATTTTAAGCTAATATAGACCAATTAATTATCTGATCACAAGACAAGGTAAACATATATTCAATTGTGTTTCAAATCTTGTCATAATTAATAGAGAGGCTTAAGTATCAAGAAATTATGAGTTAAGGGATGGGTTTTTCTCCTGTAATCAAATATTAACACATGTTCCAATGAGTGTGGAACTAAGTGCATAGGTATTTTCAATGTCTGTGGAAGTTAGCTGTCTTGTGTTCAATGATGTTATTACCTAAAGCAATCCATCTGTCCATCTCTCTCTCTCCCCTTACTATGTGCTTCCCTCAGAGATGTTTTATAATCTCAGTTTCCAGTTTCAGAAAAAGATTAAATATCTTGCTCAGGGACACCAATTTCATAATTTTAATCCTCTTGAGCCCATGTTCATCTGATTCAAATATTCTTTTTTTTTCCACTATATAATGCAGCCTATCAAAACAGAGATTCAAGTAAACTTTTTGGAGATAACCTGCTTATAGAATTTTGCTTTTTTCTGGTTGACACTCACAACATCCCAACCCCACTTTCTCGCCTTCAACCTTTCCCCAAAAAATGCCACAAAATATATATGTGAAATATATAATTTTAAGGTTGTATTAAATGCTAATAATTAAGTATTCAAAATGTTATATCTCATGGATTTTGTTACTCTGTAGTTTTACCATCTAAAATTCCTAGTATTAATTTTATTTATACGCATACACCCTAAGGACTTTCAAATTTGTATTAAATTTATACATTGTACTTTATTGCCAATGATATTACTAACCAGACCTATGGAAAATATTAGTTCTAACATATTTTTATTCAGTTTAACTCATGATTGATTGCATTTTGTTTAATCAGAATAGAGAATATCTAAATATATTTGTATTTCTTGCTTATCTCTTGGCATTGGAACTAGCTTGTATCACTTGGCATGTGTCTCCTTTCAAAATGAGGGCAGCGTTTCAATTGCTATTTACTTGTGCCAAATCCTAACTACATTATTTAACTCACATGGTCCTGAAGAAATGGTAGCTGTGGGCTTTGTTTGTTTTTGTTCCTGTAAATCATAGGACAGGACATGTTTGAGGGCACTGTTTGAATCAGTCCCTCAGGCCTCCCTGAACAAATGGGTGTCACTCAGAAATGCTGGCGATGATGACTTCTTGATTTCAACTGCACTTTTAGAGGGCTCGTAAAGTGACCTATGCCCTTTCTTGCAGTCAGTCCGAGGAAGATGGGAAGTAGTAATTATAGTGTAATAAAGAACAGGAGGACTCTATTTAAATGGCGGAATTTGCATTTAAATGGAAATTTCAAAATGAAAACATGTAAAAGCTTGATAGGTACAATATTTGGTATACAGCATATGCCAGCAGTTTGAAGCACGTTTAATCACATGTCAGGGGGGATGTGTAGAGGTTAGCTTTTGTGCAGTCCAAAGGTGAGGGGTGGAGTTTTCCAGTGAGATTGAAAAGGGAAAGCTAAAATTAGCCACAGATGTGACACATTTCATTGAATTGAATTAATAAGCATATTTTCGTTCATGAAAAGAGTAGGGAATCAATTCATAGGGGCACTCCAATCTTATGACCTACAGCTAGTGAAATGACTAATTGATTAACACTTAGGAAATGTAATGGAATTTAACTCTCTGAAGTACTCACAGTAATTCTGCATTAATCCATTAATTGAAAGTGTTTATTTATATCCTGGGTAAGAATTAAAGCAGACACAAGTTTAAACACATTGGACAATTACAAGATATTTTGAAATTGACATAAAAACCTATCATGAAAGTGATTTCCTTATTTTAAATAAAAGACATCCTTATAAAGATGCCTCTGCAGGGTACAAGATGGCAAATGAACTCACTTCAAGCAAATGCTGCAAATAATGTGATGAAGACGAAATGATGTTTGAAAATCATAAAAGTTCATTTCAACCTACTCTCTTTTGCCCAAGTAGTAATATTATTGGATAGGGCAACTAGCACAGGCTATTTTAAAGCAATATAGACCAATTAAATCTCTAATCACAAGAAAAGGTAAAAAATATACTCTTGTGTTTTAAATCTTGTCATATTAAAATATTATTCTTTGGCAGCTAAATGAATAAAATATACTGAGTAGCTTGTTTCTTAAGTTTTACATATTTAAAAGCAGACACCAGCCATCTATTTTTTAAAAAGTGTGAGATCATCTATGTGAAAACAATTTCTACAATGTAGAGTGTTTTGTAATTTAAGGCAGTTAAGTCAGTACACTAACATGAGTGTTTCTCACCCTTTCATGTTCTGCTTTTTGTTTTGTATTTAACAAAGAAAATACAAGTGCCAGTGTTATGACAGACAGAGTGACTTCATTATTTGGTTCTTTAGTATATCTATTTCCATTATATTGAGCTGTGCAAATAAGAGAGATCAAATATATGGCACATTTTAGCTATCCATCTACGCTCATGAACTCTTCATTTTAGTGATTAGATAAGTTATAAAATAGAAATAGAAAAGGGTCAGACTTGGATCCAGTAGATTCAAGAGTCTTTCAAGTAGACTTAAATATAAAATAGAATTTTTTTTTGTAAATACAATCGCCGTGTCAAGAAGTGACAGATTCTATAGGCTTTAGTTTGATGCAGAATTTATTTAATGATGCCGGTATTCTTTCAGAAGGATAAACACTTTTGCACATAGTATTTGAACTTCATTTATTAAAGACTTATAGCCATTCTAAAATATGTGAAGATATGTCTTCAAAATTTCAAAGATCAGCAATGATATTGAGAATGTTTCCCTTCCACCCACAATTCTGTCTTCTAGATTTCATCTAATTTATTAACTGCAAAATTGGGTCCTTGCTCTAATAGTGATGGAAGTTAATGAAGAATAAAGAGGGAGGTCTCTGAAAGCTTTCATTAATGTATTCACTCATTTAACAGTTATTTAGTGAATCTTTACTGTACTCTAGGTGCTATTTTAGGTATTGGACAGGTAGTGGTATATAAAATAATAAAATCCTTACATTCACATTATGTTATATAATAAATATAATGGCAGGTAATGAAAGAAGTTAAGAACCATATTAAGACACAAAAAGATAATTCAGCTTGAAAGAAGTGCTATTTTATATAAGAAGGCAGAAGAGCTGAATAAATTTAGAGTTAACTATGCTGCAGACCTCCTGGGCAACATTTGTGTGAATGGTGCTAAGTGTCCAGGGTATACACTATTTAATTTCATATTTTTTGCAATACTAATCCAAGTAATACATAAATGCAGAGTCATTTGTTCAATAAACATTGCTTAGGTGCAAGCTATGCCAGGCCCAGTACTTGGCTCAGTAATGCTGTTTTTCATCTACCTTCTGGAACAATAATAATTTTTACGTATTTCCTCATTAAAGCAATATGCTAAAAAAAAAAAAAAAAAACTAAAAAAGAGAAAAGTCCTTATCTTTTAAATATCCAACCATGACATATATATAATTTTGAGCACCTACTATGGGTGAATCACCATTCCAACATTTGAGGATGAAAAAATTAATATGATTAATTCATTTTTTTTCATCCATTCATTTGTGATCTGGATTTTGATGAGTATTTAGTATCATTTTAGAAAGGCTGGTTTTTATCCTGCTGATAATGAGAACTCATTGAAGGTTATTCGTCAGTGAGAAAAATACTTTTTTACTTTGAATTTAAAAATATTACTATGCAAGAAGGTGCAGAATGAATTGGAATGAAGATTGGGTCCAGGCAGAGTAATAAGTAAGCCATGAAAATGATAAAGTAGGAGATGAGAATACCATGAACTAAGGTGATAGTAGTGTCTGTAGAAAAGTGCATTTACTATATTTAGTGTATCTACTGTATTTAGTGTATTTGAATGATATTAAAGAAGTTAATTGTAGATACAGTCTCATTTCTTCTATTTAATATTCTAAGATTGAATACAATTTTTCCATTTATTTTTCTGTATATATTTATTGAATGCAGAAAAGAACCTCTCTAGTTACTTGAGAATGTTACTTGACTCCATCATTATTACATGCAATCTAAAAGCATGAAAGGAAGGAGTCACACAAAAGCCTTATCACCAAAATATGTATGATGATTATCTTATGTTCATTGTCTTAAAGATTCCTTATATATTAATTATTGTTCAAAGCTGTATTTATTAATGACTTTTATATAATCAGGGAAGTTGTTTTTCCTATTGTGGATAACCATTGTCACTTTCTTAATGAGACTTTCACTAACTACAGGAAAATATTCAGGCCTTGAGATATATTCTAATAGCTTATTGGTTATTGACTAGTATATAGCTGTCATATTTTTACTTACGTATATTATGCTTAAATGTTATCTTAATTTTCTCAGCCTTTGGTAGTTTCCTCATACTTGTGGGCTTATTCGCACTCAGCTAAATATTCTAGGGGTAGTAATGTGTTTTTGATGAAGTGGAGCATAATGTAATATATTTTACATAGATTGCAGATAAAGTAATTCTTTTCATGAATAATTCTATTATTATATTAATAATCCACTATAATTTGAGTTAAAAATAGAATATTAGAAATTGTATGTCCATTCAAGACGGATAAATTGACACCAACCTTTTACTTCTGCTTGAAGCAACTGAGAAAATTTTTAAAAAATGAAACAATAGTTCTTAAGACATTGGAAAAAGCAACAAAAGACAATGGCACCTGAGATTTTGAAAACAAATAGAGTCTTCCAACTGCCCCATATTTTCAGGCTTTGTTGCAAAAAGGAAGAAAACAAATGCAGCCTGAGTTTCCCTTACATGAGGAGATGAAGCTGGCAGTCTAGAGAAGCTAAGGAAGCTGCAATTAACAGATCTTAGTATCAGAAAAGAGAGTTGCTCAGAGAGATAACTCGGAGATCTTTAGAACAGCAGTCCCCAATCATTTTGGCATCAAGAACCAGTTTCATGGAAGACAATTTTTCCACAGATGTGGTAGGAAGATGGTTTGGGGATGAAACTGTTCCGTCTCAGATACCAGGAATGAGATTCTCATAAGGAGCATGCAACCTAGATCCCTTGCCTGTGCAGTTCACAGTAGGGTTCACACTCCTGTAAGAATCTAATGCCGCTGCTGGAGGCGGAGCTCAGGTAGTAATGCGCATTCACCCACTGCTCACCTCCTGCTCCACTGCCAAGTTCCTACCAGGCCACAGACCAGTACTGGTAGGCAGCCTAGGGCTGGGAACCCCTACTTTAGTGGACACACTTTGAGTAATCATCTGAGTACTGATCAGCGCATGGATGTGAGGAAACTACTCAAGACTGGGGAAAATCACCCAAGGATTAGAGAGCACAATATCTGAAGATTTTGTAGGTCTGGGAATATTTTCTGTTCCTACCAGGCAGAGGGTAAACCCTCATAATTTATAGCACATTACTTATCTCACTCGGAAGAGTCTTTCCTCAGTAGCAGAGAAAAAGGACACAGAGTAAATCTTTATCTTGTCCCCCTCGAAAAATTTTAAAAACCTCCTCAAGTTACAAAAGCATCAAACTCTTTCTAAGTAACTTAAACACATCCCAGAAGAAAGCTAAATAATTTTTGTCTGTATGATTACAGGAACATTTTTGTATGAATAAAAACATGCCCAGCAATCAATTACATAAAGTTTTCAATGTTTATAATCCAATCAAAATTGGCCAAGCATAAAAAGAAGCAGAAAGATAAAACCTGTCATAAGGATTATATTAATCAATCAAAAGTGACATAAATGACAAACCTGTTGGTATCAGCATAGGAGGCATGAAAACTGATATAACTGTATTTCATAGGTCCACAAAGCTAGAGGAAAACTTTAACATGTAAATTAGAGACGTGGAAAATACAATGAGACCCAAATGAAACTTCTAAAAGTGAAAACCACAATGACGGAGATGAAAACTACACTAGATAGAATTAAGAGAAGTTATTTATTGTAGCCAAAAGTATTACTGATCAAAGTAATAAAAATAATCCAACATGAAAGACAGAAAAGAATGACCAGAAAACAAACACACCTAATTAGTACCAAACATAAGTGAGGTGTTGGGTATGTATGTTTGTGTCCTAATATATGTGTAACTGGATTTCCTCAAAGGAGGTCAAGGATGGAAGAAATATTTCAAAAAATTACTGTCCAAAATTGAAGAGAATTATAAATACACAAATTAAAGAACATTAATCACATGAAACAAGAAGATAACTACACCAAATTACCATAAAATTATTGAAAGTCTGTTATAAAGGGAGAATTCCAAAAACAGTCAGATAAAAAAATGAACAAATGAACAAATATAAAAATGACAGCTGACTTTTGTTTGGAAATAATGTAAGCTGGAAGATAGTGCAGAACTCTATATAGTAATGAAATAAAAAATAAAGTACTAACTGTCTAAAATTTTAAAACCAGGGAAAATAATTTTCAGAAATTAGGGGGAAGACTCGACTATTTGAGATGTACAAAAGCTGAAACAATTTAAAGAATTTATCACCAGCAAATATTCACTGCAAGAAATAATGAGGAGTCCTTCACGTAGCAAGGAAAAATACGGAATAAAAATCTGAATCTACACATAGGAGTGAAGAAAATCAGAAATGTTGATACAATGGGCATTTAAAACAAAGCTCTTTAAAAGTTAATTTATCGTTTAAGGGAAAAACTATGGCAATGCATTGCAGGGATTTATAATGGGATAGAGGATAGTGGTTTAGGCTTCGTAGAATCTGTTTTTTCTCTGTTGAACATTATTCTGTTTGTTTCATAACATTTTAGAGGAGAAAAAAACTTTTTTTGCTGTTCTGAGATTATAAAAAACAGGTGTTTGTTAAATTTGGCCCACAGGATACAGTGTACTAATCCTTCTTTACAACATATGTAAGAATAAAACATATGACAATTGCTGAAAGGTGACTGTTATAAATTCTAATTTTAAACACAGAAAGGTAAAATATCATTTGAATATAGCTTGTGATAAGCTATACTTGTACACTACAATACATAAACAATAAAGTAACACAACAAAAAATTTGCCAAAATCTAAAAAGAAAAACAAAATAAAATAATAAAATACATTTGACCCTTGAATGATGCAAGGATTAGCTGCATCAGCCCCCTGAATAGTCAAAAATTTATATATAACTTTTAGTTTCCCAAAAACTTAACTTCTAATAGCCTACTGTTGACCAGAAGCCTTACAGGTAACAAAAACAATTGAACAATGCATATTTTGTGTGTGTGTGTGTGTGTGTGTATATACATACATATATATATATATACTTTATTCTTACAGTAAAGTAGGCTAGAGTAAAGAAAAAATAAGAAAATCAAAGAAAAGAGAAAATACACTTACTGTTTATTAAGTGGAGGTAGATCATCATAAAGGTCTTCATCCTCATCATTGTCACATTGAGTATGCTAAGGAGAAGAAGGAAGGGAAGGGGTTAATCTTGCTGTCTTAGGTAGCCAGATTTGTTAATCTTGCTGTCAGAGATGTAACGAGTGATGGTAAAAAGGGGAAGCAGGTCCATGCTGTGTCAATTTACATAAATACATCATAAGTTCTGTCTGATGTTTTTGCTTTTTCATTTCTCTAAAAATGTTTCTATATGGTACCAATTCTTTTTCTATGATTTTCTTTAGTTTCATTCCCTGCATCTCAGAAGTGTCCATGTGGTAAAAGAAGTAAAAAGTCTTGAAAAATCAGAACGTTCCTGCCAAATTGTCTAATGTCAATTTGTTTTCTGACATTGCTTCTTATACATCCTCACCATCTGGCACTGGTTTGGACACACTCATCTTCAATCAGGTTGTCTTCTGCTAATTCCTGTAGTATGTTGTCTACTAGATCTTGAATTTCTCTAAGATTCATATCTTAAAACTCTTTACACTCATTTTCTTTTCTTTTTCTTTTAACTAAATCCACAGTCTCTTTCATTATTTCTTGACTGGCTCTGTTGTAAATCTGATGAAGTCACACACAACATCTGGGCACAGTTCTCCTGCAGAAATTTATTGGTTTGAGCTTGATAGCTTTCACAGCTTTTTCTGTAACAAGAATGCATCTTCAATAGTGTAATCATTGCACATTTTTATGATGTTCTCTCTATCGAGGTTCTTCTCTATAATGTTGACAATCCTTTCATACTGTATCATTTATAGTGAACCTTAAAGGGCCTTATGACTCCCCTAATCTAGAGGCTGAATCAAAGACATTGCATCTGGAAGCAAGTAGACCACTTCAATACTTTCAGTATTGTAGTCATGGAGTTCTGGGTGGCTAGGGATATTGTTCAATACCAGAAGAATTTTCAAAGGCAATCCCTTACTGTTGAGGAACTTCTGACTTCAAGGGCTAGGCATCAATGGAACCAATCCAGATGAAATGTTCTTCTTGTCAGGCCTTCTTGCTATATAACGAAAAGACTGGCACCTAGTGTTTATCATTTCCCTTCAAGGTTTGAGGTTAGCAGCTTTATAAATGAGGACAGCCTTTATCATTAACCCAACTGCATTTACACAAAACAGTAGAGTTAGCTTAAAGTTTTCTGCCTCAAGTCCTGGTAATAGCTTCTCTTCTTTATTCATAAACGTCCTTTTTGGGATATTTTTCCAGAATAGAGCACTTTCCACTGTATGAAAACCTTGGTCAGGCAGATATTCTTTCTTCTCATTGATTCTCTTAATATATATAATTTATGCATTCCTGACATATCTTTTTTACTTTTTATATTTTCAGGCTATGTGTTTTGTCTGGGATTGTTTTCAAATTGTCATAAATCTTCAAATATTTTCCAATGCATTTACTGAAAAATATTCATATATATGTAGACATATGCAGTTCAAACCCAGGTTGTTCAAGAGTAAATTGTACACTCAATATATTTTCAAGAGACAGAAAAAGAACAAAAAGTATACAAAAAACAGATATGACTAATAGAAAACACATAGCAAAGTGGCCGGGTGCGGTGGCTCACACCTGTAATCCCAGCACTTTGGGAGGCTGAGGTGGGCAGATCGTAAAGTCAGGAGATTGAGACCATCCTGGCTAACACGGTGAAACCCCATCTCTACTAAAAATACAAAAAATTAGCCGGGTGTGGCGGTGGGCTCCTGTAGTGCCAGCTACTCAGGAGGCTGAGGCAAGAGAATGGCCTGAACCTGGGAGGTGGAGCTTGCAGTGAGCCGAGATTGCGCCACTGCACTCCAGCCTGGGTGACAGAGCCAGACTCTGTCTCCAAAAAAAAAAAAAAAAAAAAAAAAAAAAAAAAAAAAAAGAAAGAAAGAAAGAAAAGAAAATACATAGCAAAGTGATTTATTTAAAATGAACTATACCATCAATAACTTAAATGATCTAGACATCTCAATTAAAAGAAGGTATTATCATATTTGATAAAAAAAAAAAGTGACACCACTATATGTTGACTAGATCACAGACACAGATTATAAAAATGGAGGAAATATGCTATGTTAATATCATGGTATAAAAATATATCAGGATAAATATACATTAATCAAACAAAAACTGGAATGTTTCATTGGTTCTAGAGAAAGGAATATCACAAGGGATGTAAAAATCATTTTATAACAGTAATGCAGTCAATTCATCAAGAAGACCTAAACATGTATGCATGTAATATTAGAGCTTCATGATATATGCACTGTATCTGATACAACTGAGAAAAATGCACAGAAAAATAAACATAACCACAATTAGAATCTGAACAAGTAGATAACTTTCAATAGAAAGCCAAGAACAGTATGTGGGCTCACATATGTTTAGTGATTGAGAAATGAGAAATGCCATTATATCACTTTCCCAGGGCTGCCACTGCAAAGTATTGCAAACTAGGTAGCTTAAACACAGAAATTTATTGCTGCACGGTTCTGGAGAACAGAAACTCAAAGTCATGGTGTTGGTAGAATCACGTTGTCTTGAAGTCTCTAGAAGATAATCTTCATTGTTTCTTCCTAACTTCTGTTGGTGGCCACACAACCTTGGCATCCTTTGACTGGCAGCCACATCAGTCCAATCTTTCCTTTTGCTGTCACACAGGATTCTCCCTGTGTTTCTGTCTCTTCTCTTATTGTAAGGACATTAGTCACATTGGATTAGGAGTATTTTCTACTCAAGTATGGACTCATCTTGACTTAACTAATTAAATCTTCAATGACCCCATTTCCAAACAAGTCACATTGTGAGGTACTAGAGGTTAGGACTTCAACATAACTTTTGAGGGACACAATTCAACCCATATTAGCTACAGTTAAATTTTCGGTAATGTAGGGTATGAATTAATGGTAAACTGATTTTCAATTGAATATATAAAATATGACAGAAAAAGGGAAGACCTGAAAGTTACTCCTAGCTTAAAGCCTGAGTCTCTAGGAAAAACACAGAGCCAGTTACAGAAAAAGGGAATAATATATTCTATTTTGAAACTGGTCAATTTTAGGCAATAATGGCTCATTATTTGTCATTTCTGTTTACTGATTTTCCTCCTGAAGGAAGAAAGGAGATGATTTGGACAAAAGTTGTTTACATCTGTATCTCCTTTCTTACCAAAAAAGCATCAGTCTCTTCTCCACTAAATCATTCCATCTATCATTCTATGTACTGGTTCTCATAATAAATATCAAGGACATTCTCATTCTTTGCACAGATGTGATAGATGAAGTCATAATACTATACAATGCATAGAAAAAATAATTTTTTAAACAAAACATGGAGTCCTATATCTGTAATGTTGGTGGATGCTGCATGCACTAAGGGCTCCAGAGAACACAGAGTCTAGAACAATGAGATAGAGGAGTAATCGTAACCACAGAACAAGAGACAAACCATACTTATCAATATTGGGAACACAGATGATCAAGATCAGCTGTTTCCCAGCCAACACTTACAGGTAGCTAAAAGATGAGAGGAAAACACAAGCAAACAATAAAAATGGAAAACTTTTTATTCAATTTGGAGGAAATAACTGGTAATCTTGAAGAAAGTAATTTCAATAAAATTTTTGTGGAGGAGCCAAGATGGCCGAATAGGAACAGCTCCGGTCTACAGCTCCCAGCGTGAGCGACGCAGAAGACGGGTGATTTCTGCATTTCCATCTGAGGTACCGGGTTCATCTCACTAGGGAGTGCCAGACAGTGGGCGCAGGCCAGTGTGTGTGCGCACCGTGCGCGAGCCGAAGCAGGGCGAGGCATTGCCTCACCTGGGAAGCGCAAGGGGTCAGGGAGTTCCCTTTCCGAGTCAAAGAAAGGGGTGACGGACGCACCTGGAAAATCGGGTCACTCCCACCCGAACATTGCGCTTTTCAGACCGGCTTAAGAAACGGCGCACCACGAGACTATATCCCACACCTGGCTCAGAGGGTCCTACGCCCACGGAATCTTGCTGATTGCTAGCACAGCAGTCTGAGATCAAACTGCAAGGCAGCAACGAGGCTGGGGGAGGGGCGCCCGCCATTTCCCAGGCTTGCTTAGGTAAACAAAGCAGCCGGGAAGCTCGAACTGGGTGGAGCCCACCACAGCTCAAGGAGGCCTGCCTGCCTCTGTAGGCTCCACCTCTGGGGGCAGGGCACAGACAAACAAAAAGACAGCAGTAACCTCTGCAGACTTAAGTGTCCCTGTCTGACAACTTTGAAGAGAGCAGTGGTTCTCCCAGCACGCAGCTGGAGATCTGAGAACGGGCAGACTGCCTCCTCAAGTGGGTCCCTGACCCCTGACCCCCGGAGCAGCCTAACTGGGAGGCACCCCCCAGCAGGGGCACACTGACACCTCACACGGCAGGGTATTCCAACAGACCTGCAGCTGAGGGTCCTGTCTGTTAGAAGGAAAACTAACAAACAGAAAGGACATCTACACCGAAAACCCATCTGTTCATCACCATCATCAAAGACCAAAAGTAGATAAAACCACAAAGATGGGGAAAAAACAGAACAGAAAAACTGGAAACTCTAAAACGCAGAGCGCCTCTCCTCCTCCAAAGGAACGCAGTTCCTCACCAGCAACAGAACAAAGCTGGATGGAGAATGATTTTGACGAGCTGAGAGAAGAAGGCTTCAGACGATCAAATTACTCTGAGCTACAGGAGGACATTCAAACCAAAGGCAAAGAAGTTGAAAACTTTGAAAAAAATTTAGAAGAATGTATAACTAGAATAACCAATACAGAGAAGTGCTTAAAGGAGCTGATGGAGCTAAAAACCAAGGCTCGAGAACTACGTGAAGAATGCAGAAGCCTCAGGAGCCGATGCGATCAACTGGAAGAAAGGGTATCAGCAATGGAAGATGAAATGAATGAAATGAAGCGAGAAGGGAAGTTTAGAGAAAAAAGAATAAAAAGAAATGAGCAAAGCCTCCAAGAAATATGGGACTATGTGAAAAGACCAAATCTACGTCTGATTGGTGTACCTGAAAGTGATGTGGAGAATGGAACCAAGTTGGAAAACACTCTGCAGGATATTATCCAGGAGAACTTCCCCAATCTAGCAAGGCAGGCCAACGTTCAGATTCAGGAAATACAGAGAACGCCACAAAGATACTCCTCGAGAAGAGCAACTCCAAGACACATAATTGTCAGATTCACCAAAGTTGAAATGAAGGAAAAAATGTTAAGGGCAGCCAGAGAGAAAGGTCGGGTTACCCTCAAAGGAAAGCCCATCAGACTAACAGCGGATCTCTCAGCAGAAACCCTACAAGCCAGAAGAGAGTGGGGGCCAATATTCAACATTCTTAAAGAAAAGAATTTTCAACCCAGAATTTCATATCCAGCCAAACTAAGCTTCATAAGTGAAGGAGAAATAAAATACTTTATAGACAAGCAAATGCTGAGAGATTTTGTCACCACCAGGCCTGCCCTAAAAGAGCTCCTGAAGGAAGCGCTAAACATGGAAAGGAACAACCGGTACCAGCCGCTGCAAAATCATGCCAAAATGTAAAGACCATCGAGACTAGGAAGAAACTGCATCAACTAATGAGCAAAATCACCAGCTAACATCATAATGACAGGATCAAATTCACACATAACAATATTAACTTTAAATATAAATGGACTAAATTCTGCAATTAAAAGACACAGACTGGAAAGTTGGATAAAGAGTCAAGACCCATCAGTGTGCTGTATTCAGGAAACCCATCTCACGTGCAGAGACACACATAGGCTCAAAATAAAAGGATGGAGGAAGATCTACCAAGCCAATGGAAAACAAAAAAAGGCAGGGGTTGCAATCCTAGTCTCTGATAAAACAGACTTTAAACCAACAAAGATCAAAAGAGACAAAGAAGGCCATTACATAATGGTAAAGGGATCAATTCAACAAGAGGAGCTAACTATCCTAAATATTTATGCACCCAATACAGGAGCACCCAGATTCATAAAGCAAGTCCTCAGTGACCTACAAAGAGACTTAGACTCCCACACATTAATAATGGGAGACTTTAACACCCCACTGTCAACATTAGACAGATCCATGAGACAGAAAGTCAACAAGGATACCCAGGAATTGAACTCAGCTCTGCACCAAGCAGACCTAATAGACATCTACAGAACTCTCCACCCCAAATCAACAGAATATACATTTTTTTCAGCACCACACCACACCTATTCCAAAATTGACCACATAGTTGGAAGTAAAGCTCTCCTCAGCAAATGTAAAAGAACAGAAATTATAACAAACTATCTCTCAGACCACAGTGCAATCAAACTAGAACTCAGGATTAAGAATCTCACTCAAAGCTGCTCAACTACATGGAAACTGAACAACCTGCTCCTGAATGACTACTGGGTACATAACGAAATGAAGGCAGAAATAAAGATGTTCTTTGAAACCAACGAGAACAAAGACACCACATACCAGAATCTCTGGGACACATTCAAAGCAGTGTGTAGAGGGAAATTTATAGCACTAAATGCCTACAAGAGAAAGCAGGAAAGATCCAAAATTGACACCCTAACATCACAATTAAAAGAACTAGAAAAGCAAGAGCAAACACATTCAAAAGCTAGCAGAAGGCAAGAAATAACTAAAATCAGAGCAGAACTGAAGGAAATAGAGACACAAAAAACCCTTCAAAAAATTAATGAATCCAGGAGCTGGTTTTTTGAAAGGATCAACAAAATTGATAGACCGCTAGCAAGACTAATAAAGAAAAAAAGAGAGAAGAATCAAATAGACACAATAAAAAATGATAAAGGGGATATCACCACCGATCCCACAGAAATACAAACTACCATCAGAGAATACTACAAACACCTCTACGCAAATAAACTAGAAAATCTAGAAGAAATGGATACATTCCTCGACACATACACTCTCCCAAGACTAAACCAGGAAGAAGTTGAATCTCTGAATAGACCAGTAACAGAATCTGAAATTGTGGCAATAATCAATAGTTTACCAACCAAAAAGAGTCCAGGACCAGATGGATTCACAGCCGAATTCTACCAGAGGTACAAGGAGGAACTGGTACCATTCCTTCTGAAACTATTCCAATCAATAGAAAAAGAGGGAATCCTCCCTAACTCATTTTATGAGGCCAGCATCATTCTGATACCAAAGCCAGGCAGAGACACAACCAAAAAAGAGAATTTTAGACCAATATCCTTGATGAACATTGATGCAAAAATCCTCAATAAAATACTGGCAAACCGAATCCAGCAGCACATCAAAAAGCTTATCCACCATGATCAAGTGGGCTTCATCCCTGGGATGCAAGGCTGGTTCAATATACGCAAATCAATAAATGTAATCCAGCATATAAACAGAGCCAAAGACAAAAACCACATGATTATCTCAATAGATGCAGAAAAAGCCTTTGACAAAATTCAACAACCCTTCATGCTAAAAACTCTCAATAAATTAGGTATTGATGGGACGTATTTCAAAATAATAAGAGCTATCTATGACAAACCCACAGCCAATATCATACTGAATGGGCAAAAACTGGAAGCATTCCCTTTGAAAACTGGCACAAGACAGGGATGTCCTCTCTCACCGCTCCTATTCAACATAGTGTTGGAAGTTCTGGCCAGGGCAATTAGGCAGGAGAAGGAAATAAAGGGTATTCAATTAGGAAAAGAGGAAGTCAAATTGTCCCTGTTTGCAGACGACATGATTGTTTATCTAGAAAACCCCATCGTCTCAGCCCAAAATCTCCTTAAGCTGATAAGCAACTTCAGCAAAGTCTCAGGATACAAAATCAATGTACAAAAATCACAAGCATTCTTATACACCAACAACAGACAAACAGAGAGCCAAATCATGGGTGAACTCCCATTCACAATTGCTTCAAAGAGAATAAAATACCTAGGAATCCAACTTACAAGGGATGTGAAGGACCTCTTCAAGGAGAACTACAAACCACTGCTCAAGGAAATAAAAGAGGATACAAACAATTGGAAGAACATTCCATGCTCATGGGTAGGAAGAATCAATATCGTGAAAATGGCCATACTGCCCAAGGTAATTTACAGATTCAATGCCATCCCCATCAAGCTACCAATGACTTTCTTCACAGAATTGGAAAAAACTACGTTAAAGTTCATATGGAACCAAAAAAGAGCCCGCATTGCCAAGTCAATCCTAAGCCAAAAGAACAAAGCTGGAGGCATCACACTACCTGACTTCAAACTATACTACAAGGCTACAGTAACCAAAGCAGCATGGTATTGGTACCAAAACAGAGATATAGATCAATGGAACAGAACAGAGCCCTCAGAAATAATGCCGCATATCTACAACTATCTGATCTTTGACAAACCTGAGAAAAACAAGCAATGGGGAAAGGATTCCCTATTTAATAAATGGTGCTGGGAAAACTGGCTAGCCATATGTAGAAAGCTGAAACTGGATCCCTTCCTTACACCTTATACAAAAATCAATTCAAGATGGATTAAAGATTTAAACGTTAAACCTAAAACCATAAAAACCCTAGAAGAAAACCTAGGCATTACCATTCAGGACATAGGCGTGGGCAAGGACTTCATGTCCAAAACACCAAAAGCAATGGCAACAAAAGCCAAAATTGACAAATGGGATCTAATTAAACTAAAGAGCTTCTGCACAGCAAAAGAAACTACCATCAGAGTGAACAGGCAACCTACAACATGGGAGAAAATTTTCGCAACCTACTCATCTGACAAAGGGCTAATATCCAGAATCTACAATGAACTCAAACAAATTTACAAGAAAAAAACAAACAACCCCATCAAAAAGTGGGCGAAGGACATGAACAGACACTTCTCAAAAGAAGACATTTATGCAGCCAAAAAACACATGAAGAAATGCTCATCATCACTGGCCATCAGAGAAATGCAAATCAAAACCACTATGAGATATCATCTCACACCAGTTAGAATGGCAATCATTAAAAAGTCAGGACACAACAGGTGCTGGAGAGGATGTGGAGAAATAGGAACACTTTTACACTGTTGGTGGGACTGTAAACTAGTTCAACCGTTGTGGAAGTCAGTGTGGCGATTCCTCAGGGATCTAGAACTAGAAATACCATTTGACCCAGCCATCCCATTACTGGGTATATACCCAAATGACTATAAATCATGCTGCTATAAAGACACATGCACACGTATGTTTATTGCGGCACTATTCACAATAGCAAAGACTTGGAACCAACCCAAATGTCCAACAATGATAGACTGGATTAAGAAAATGTGGCACATATACACCATGGAATACTATGCAGCCATAAAAAATGATGAGTTCATATCCTTTGTAGGGACATGGATGAAATTGGAAACCATCATTCTCAGTAAACTATCGCAAGAACAAAAAACCAAACACCGCATATTCTCACTCATAGGTGGGAATTGAACAATGAGATCACATGGACACAGGAAGGGGAATATCACACTCTGGGGACTGTGGTGGGGTCGGGGGAGGGGGGAGGGATAGCATTGGGAGATATACCTAATGCTAGATGACTCATTTGTGGGTGCAGCGCACCAGCATGGCACATGTATACATATGTAACTAACCTGCACAATATGCACATGTACCCTAAAACTTAGAGTATAATAAAAAAAAAAAAAAAAAAATTTTGTATTGAAAACAAAATTATTGGGATCTAAAGAGGAAAAGTAGATGTCAATCATATTTTAAATTATTTTGTATTCAAAGCAAATAGACACTGGTAGCATGAAGAAGTACAAACGATGATAGGTTTTAGTTTTCTTTCAACAAGGGAATTGTTCTAACCAAATATGTTAGATAATAAGATGAAGCCTATGCATAAAAAGGCTAAAAATACAGGAGAGAGAAAAGATCACATATTGGATTACAGGATATTTGCAAAACTCGTATTTCTCTGAACCATTGTATCTGCTTTTCCTTCTGCTTTCCTTCTGAATCCATTCCATTTTCTCCACTGCAAATAATTCATTCATTTTTTGAGTGTCTGATAAGCAAATATCATAATCTAGTGTGGCTTGATGTTCTGTAATTTGAGTCGTAAGGTGGTAATATTATCAGATTCAAAAAGAGTTAATATAATTTTGAGAAAAGTTATTATTGATTCTAAAATGGTCTCAAAAATCCTGCCTTTTACTTTGTATTATAAGTTTCTTTCTCTCTTTCTTTCTCTCTCTTTCTCTCTCTTTCTTTCTTTCTTCTTTCTTTCTTTCTCTTTCTGTCTTTCTTTCTCTCTTTCTCTCTCTCTTTCTTTCTTTCTTTCTGATGGAGTTTCACTCTGTCGCCCAGGCTGGAGTGCAGTGGTGTGATCTTGGCTCACTGCAACCTCCGCCTCCCAGGTTCAAGAGATTCTGCTGCCTCAGCCTCCCAAGTAGCTGGGACTATAGGCACACATCACCATGCCTGGCTAGTTTTTGCATTTTTAGTAGAGACATGGTTTCACCATGTGGGTCAGGCTGGTCTTGAACTCCTGACCTCAAGTGATCCACCCACCTTGGCCTCCCAAAGTGCTGGAATTACGGGCATGAGCCACCACGCCCAGGCTTGTTCTTTTATAATAGATATTTATTGCTCATTATTAAAAAAGTTACATTAGTTTTATCCATCACTTTTTTTAGAATCTATGAGTAAATATAATTACATTTACCATAGAGTGAATGCTTGCTATTTTCTATGCAAATATTGACTAATTCAATCATTGAAATAACTGTGTTAGTCAGTTTTATACCCATTTGTAATTGAGAAAACTGATACACAAAAAAGTTGTTATATTCCCCAAGCTACATGTTTTATAAAATGTGAAAATACATTGAGAACTAAGCAATGAGGTTGTAGAGTTCTCATTCTTATTTGCTACAGTGTGTTGTCTCATGGGCTCAATTTACACATATTTCTATCATTTCCAAGAATGAGTGTGAGAGAGAATACATTTATATGTTTTGAAGTAATGTTCACTACTCTTCTGTTTGTTGTCTTTCTATGAACTTTAAACGTAGAAAATTTTAAGTTTTACAAAACGTAACATAAGAGAAATAAAAGTGTGTGTGTGTGTGTGTGTGTGTGTGTGTGTGCCTTTGCTGCTCCTCACCTCTCCAATGAACTTCAAGTTCAGGTATTAATTCTAAAAGTCAAAATTGTACTGCACTTTAATATTCTTGTGTAACAAAACTACGAACTATCTGAAATAGTCGATATTACAAGAGAGTCTTATAAAGGACATGCCAGCCAATTTTTGACATATATAATGTTAGGGACCTTAGTACAACCATGTCTCAGCAGTAGCTGAAAGGTTAATGGAATTGGGATTTGTGCAGACATGACTGATTTTCCTCCTGCGGAAAGAGAAGGATGGAGGAAAGAAGCTGATTTGGATAAAGACCTTTAATGTCATTCACATTTACATCTTCCTTTTTAAGGGAAGCACAGCACATGTCTCTTTGACAGCAAATCACTGTAATCTCTTAGAGGCATCCAAAGCTTATCAAAGAAAACATTGTTCAACCAAGAATAAGCTAAGAGACAAGATTAAAAAGTTTGAGAAAAGCAAAAACAAACCCTGTGAATCAAGCAAATCTGAGTAGTATTTCTGTTTTAAAGTTAGTATCTTACTGATATAAAACTTGAATATTTAAGGGCATGGCTTCTGGCTCCTGAATATTATATTACAATTTTCAGGGTACATTTCTATCATCGTCCCTATAAAGAATGAAGTTAAAACTTCATTTTCAATAGCATCAAGATGACACTCTACAGCAGTTTGCCATGAAGGACGTTACTTCTTTTTTCCTTATGCATGAAGCAACCGATTTTATTTTTTTAAGCCTTCCATTAAGAAGTCATTGTTCAGCCTTTGGATTCTTGTTGGGATATAGCCATTGGCTCATGTTTTGGCATGTCTTCACAAGGCAATGCCATCACAGCTACAAGGGCAAAGCAAGGCAGAGTTGAGACCATTCATTCAGCACTACATTCTTTTAAAAATTGATTTAGATGAATATGCCCAATATAAGGTTTTGAAGAAATTATTTTAATATATTCTGTACTTTATAATTTTATGTGTGATTTTAATTTTTTTGAAGTTGAAAACAAAATGTGCAAAGGAAGAAAAAGGCTGAAAATAAATAGCATGGTCCATTTTTGTCATTGTCATAAATTTTAAGATGCCTTGATTTACAAATATTCTACAAATTTACAAATATAGAAATCTTACAAATGTTCTTTCTATTTTTTTACATGTAAACTTCACTCATTTTTCATTTAGTATATGTAAATATCTTCCCTCTTAGAAACAGGCTTACCAAAAATTATTTCTGCACTTAAGTAAATAAAATATATTACACATTATAAACTAGGAAAGTTGGTTGCAGATTGAAATGAAATAAGTGCATATTGATATTTAGTATCATCTTGATTGCAGTATTTTTTTGCCAAAGATGTTTAAGATAAGTAAAATAAACCAAAACTATAGCTCTGATAATATGCCGCAAATTTTGATTGATTATTATCACCTGATGGCCCCTCCTCACCTTTCTCTGTAGAATAAAAAATAAATCAGAGGCAGAAAATATTGATTCTTCATTCCTGATGCAGTTAATATTTACTCTACTGATGATAACATATTTATTTAATATTTCAAACTAGGAAAGGGAAAAGCAGAAACATAAATTTATACTATTGACATGAAATAGTAAATGTTAATGTAGTCTGGGTCTAGAAACCCAGACACAGCTAAAGAAAGGCATATAAGATAAAGGAATATGAGACGGCAACAGTTTTAGGGTTCACATAACCCAACACTTTTGTTAAAGCCAGAGAAACTGAAGCCCACACATGAAAGATGCCAAGGTCAATATCTTAAACCAGGGGTCAGCAAACATTTTCTGCAAAGGGCCATATAGTAAATATTTTACGTGTTTAGGGCCCTTTGATGTCAGTTGCAACTACTTAACTTTACTGTTGTAGTAAAGAAACAGTCACAGAGAATATGAAGACAAATGAGGATGAATATTTTTAATAAAGTTTTATTTATAGACAATAAACTGGATTAGGTGCATGGGCCATAGTTTTTCCCCTGCCAAACTTGTAAAGTAGTGAGCTATAAAAGTAAGGGACAAGAACTCAGAAATCAGCTCTAAGAGCTGTTCATCATCTACTCTGAGACACTATTCTTCTAACTTACATTTATGCTTTGACACCTGTAACATGGGAAAGTGATTCTTTTGGAGAATGTTCTGAAGGATTATAAAATGCTTATTGAGGTGTAAGCAACCACTAAGCTCATATAACGTGCAGAGACTGGATTATCAGAAAAAAATAACAAGATAATCTTGAAAGATTATTTGATTCATTCACTATTAAGAGAGTCTATAAAATGTATTCTAAATTGATGGATGTGATTTAGATTGATGCCTCAAAATAGTGCCACCTTAAATTTTCGGGTCCACTAATGACTGATGACAATTGAAAGAGTTAAATCTATGAACATCATTACAGTTTTTTTAAAGAGAGGAAACAATAACAACTTCCTGCCTCTAAAGACACTATGCAACAACATGCAATAGAATTGGGTGTGCTAGGTTAATTCCTAGTCCTCCTCTCCTTCCTCCTCCTTCTCCTCCTCCTCCTCCTCGTCTCCTTCCTCCTCCTCCTCCCCCTCCTCCTCCTCCTCCCCTCCTCCTCCTTCCCCTCCTCTTCCTCCTCCTCCCCCCCTCCTCCTTCTTCTTTTTCTATCTTCCTCTTTCTAAACACACTATATACAATTACAAATATGTTCTGAACTACTGTTGTATCCACATATGACTATGTAGACCAGTAAAAAGTTTAACACAGCATAGATTACTGAAAGCTCAGGTAATGTATAACGTGATATCATCAGTTATCACTTCTCTCTACTTAAAAAGCTATTTGATAAAGAGTAGCGTTGTGAATAAATACTTGATACAATCACATGAATTAAATCTACTTTTTTGAGAGACAAAATACAAAATAAGATATAATAAAATGTTACATCCACTCATCAAAAACCAGTTTCTGATATTATGCATTAAATTGGCTAATATTTAATTAATACTTACTATGAGTTATGCAGGGTGCTAATTGTTGAAGAATCAGAGATAGAAGGCAAACAATGTTCCTTCTCTCCTAGACCTTTAACTAAAAAGAAATTTATAAAACAATTATCAGCAATAATAAATTCCAGGAAGGAAAAAAAAATAAGATGGTGGTTAAGAATAGTCCCTGTGCTTAAGTGATCTGAATCTTGAAAGATAAAATGTTTGTAGTCATTCTAAGAGTGAGGAAAAGAGAATTACAAGCAGAGAAAGTAGAATTAACAAAGTTCATATACAGAATCCTGAAAGAAATAGCACAACATATTTAAGAAAAAAATGAAAATTGATCTTTCTGAGGAATTGAGCAGATGTAAAGGAGAAATTTGGGGAGCTGGCTAGAGTTTAGATAAATAATGCTGAATCTTCTATGTCATGTTTAAGACTATTTCATGATCATATAGGATATTGAAAAAGAAATAAATTGATATTGGAGCAAGAGTGAACAATAAGAAGTGTTTAGTTGCAAGAGTGTGGGTAAGAGATGAGTGGGTGCTATCTATATATTAGAAGACAGAAGGGGCTTGCAGTTATGGGAGTTATGGAGAGAGAAGAATCAGGATTGATTGCCAGGTTTCGAATTTGAAAGGTGAATCTCATTGGGTGGGTTAAGGGTGAATGGGAAATAAAAGTGTTGTGAAGCCCATCAACTGATACAGTTTGGAGACACCATGCAGTGTAGAGTTCACAGAAGAGGTATAGGGCTGGAGATTTGAGAATTGTCTGTAATGTTCTTAAATGCTGATGTGAATTAGATTTCCATAGAGAAAAAAAGTGGGAGCAGAATTTTCTTAAATGAGAAAAACAGACATAATTTAGGAATTAGCAAGAAAATTAAGAAACAAAACAAAAACAGTGTCATATAATCTATACATTTCAAGAGGATGAAAATAGTAAATTGTGCCAAATATTGTCAAAAGATCAAGGAAACTGGAGGCAAAGAGGTATCCACTGGATTTAGCAACAGACAATTTGACCTCAAAAAAGATCCGTTTCAGTAGAGCAGTGCTGACAAATCTAGAGTAAAGTAAACAGAAGATAAATTGGACAATCTTTGCTAAACACGGCAGATGGAATGCACACATTTATTTTTACTCCTCCAAAAAATACAACTAAATGAGAGTAATGTATTTAAAAAGTCATAAACTCCAAATGACGAAGTGAAGAACGCATTAAATAACAATGGAATAAAATATTGTAAATAAAAGGAAACTGACAAGTGTTAGCATACTGGATAATGTTGAAACTTTAACTGAGCCGCCCAGATGAAAAAATCTTTAGATTCTGACATTTGTAGATCTTTATATAGAAACAGGCTGTTTTATATAAAACAGGCAGCTTGCTACTTCAT
The DNA here is from genome assembly GCF_000001405.40 of Homo sapiens. Classification (NCBI taxonomy): domain Eukaryota; kingdom Metazoa; phylum Chordata; class Mammalia; order Primates; family Hominidae; genus Homo; species Homo sapiens. The sequence continues at coordinate 59,090,714 of NC_000004.12, forward strand.
TGCCTTTCAAACAACAATCCCTATACAGTACATGCACACAGAGATGGCAGTCTCTCTCATAAAGTTGCACTTTTTACCTGAACAAACCCCCAAGAATCCCCAATTACTTGGCAAAAATCTCTAATGTGAGACAAGAATGAAACAGGCACAATGAAACAATAACAAAATCAATCAGAACCAAAAATTCAATGATAAAACAACTATAACATACAAATTACACATAATAATAAAACTTCTAGTAATACTAATTTAAATAAACATTTAGAAAACATTTAAGAGCATTTGGAATTCAAATGTTGTTAACAAATATATAAAAGTAAAAGAAATATTGGTGATAGTATTGGGTAGGAGCCAACTATATTAGCTCATAAAAACCACTTCTTCAAACTTCATGCAATTTTGTGAGCTATGGTTAAATAATAAATTATAAAGTTACTGTTGAATAAATTATATTTAAAACAGCAAATATATTCAAACGTATCAATTCCTAATTATTTTAATTCATTTTCCTGTTATATATGTCCTTGATGTTATTTAAATCTATTGCTCCTGTGACGACAGCAGCAGCCCATCTGGAACAGCTGCTGTGAAGACACTGGCGGAAGTGAGGGAGGTACTGCTGGGATTGCATGCTCTGCAGGGCTGGTGCAAGCCAGGAACAAGTGGGAGCCCCACTTCCTACTGAGTTAACGGGGTGGGAGCCCTGTACTCTTGGGCACAGCTGCAGCTGCCAAGCCATGGCTCCAGACCTGGACATCCCCGAGCTCTTGGGGGCCCAGTAAGCCCCTGCCACCGCAGGCTTATAAGTGCCTGCTCCCACTGTCTGACCTCTCCCTGCTTCCGGCACCCGTTCTTGTGTGAAGCAAAGTAGTGGCTGAGCCCGGGTGCTGTCATGACATGGCTGGGTGTGCACATGCTTGGGGCGGCACTGAAACTCCAGCTCCCTGCCACCTTGGCTCCCTCCAGACTTTGGGTGCAGACCAGCGTGGGAAGGAGGAGGGGTGTGTGTTTGGGGGGTGGTGCTGAGGGCAGCTCATCCCAGACATGGAGGCACCCCTTAGCACAAACAGCCTGGGTGTTGTGGAAGGCATGTTAATGGCAAGAGGAAGACATGTTCCTGGACAGAAAGGGATGGGTCCCTGGGCAGAAAGGGGTGGGTCACTGGGCAGAAAGGGGTGAGTCACTGGTGAAACCTCACCTTCAAGCTGGGGACAGCCTGAACCCTGGGGGCTGGGCTGCCAGGTACCAGTGGAGTCTGCAGCTAGGAGTGAGATATTAGAGTGCTTTTTCCGGCCTCACCCATGACCACCCATGGCCCAATTAGCATACACTTCCTCCCTTTTGAGCCCATAAAAACCCTGGAATCTGCCAGTCACAGACACAGGGACAACCAGCTGTGGGAAGAAGCTACTCACTTCAGGTCTCCTCTCTGCTGAGAGTGGGACACTCGTCAGGCTGACCTGCCTGCAGAAAGGAGGTACCCACTTCGGGTACCTTTTCCCCAGAAGCTCCCAGGGGATATACTCCATTAAAACAGTACAAATGAGAAATAGGAACATAATAGATTCAGGAAATAGATTCAGTAATTCCAGTAGAAAAGAGGACAAAGGAATTTTCTTGAACAATGGAAAAACAAAACCCTAGAAAGACATCTGTGAAACAGACCTACCCAGCTTTTGATATTGTTTGAGTCAGGAGGGTAGATAACTTCAGGATACATATCACCAGGAAACCGACATACAAAGAAAAACCTGTCAGACTGATAATTTTAAACATTTTGGGAAGAATGTTATGACTGATAGAGAGTTGGAAAAAACAATCTACTTGGAACTTTCACAAAGATAAGTTAAAAAATAATCTTTTATGAAACTAGAGAAAATGCAAATGCATATAAGACAGAAAATTTAAGCAAAATCTACTGTGTGGTTGAGGCTAAAACTACAATTTATAGCAGTAATAATGATTTAATCAAATATGATATATCTATATCTGAATTTAAGTATATGACATACCCAAAATGGTATCTAACTTTCCTCTGACATTTTTCCATTTTAATTTTTGCCTCACTTTTTATTGTGTTTCTTCTGTAATGACCTTTCTTTTTATCACTCCCTTTCTCCTTCTTCAGTACCAGCAAGGGTATGTCCAAGCATGTACAAACAAAATTGTGTGTGCACACACACCTACACAACAAAATTCCTTATATGCATGGGTTTAAATTTTTCAGAGAAAAAATATCCTTGCTGGCCCTTACCTTGGAACTACTTAAAGTGTCATATAATTATTCTTAATTACCTTAACAAGTTTCCAATATTGTTGTAAGCTAACCCTTGCCAGAAATATATTTTTAAATTTAATGAGACCAGGCTCTATTTTCTCTATATATTTTGACTTGAACTATTTTTAAAAATTGAATGTACAGAATTTATTCTCAGAAATCTTTCTGCCTATTATTTAATGAAATGAATGTGTGATTGAAAAATGATCATTAGCATGGTAGTTCACTGTGGCCTGACATGGGGATGGGAGGCATGTAGCTGTTCATGTTTTAGGATGATTTATTAAAAAAAAAACTAGAGACGTCAAGTATAAGTCCTTCTAACTAGTTGAGAAAATGCATTTTTAAGTGTCCACTATGTTCACTAAAACACATCTATGTATCTTTTGTACATTATATTTTGAAAAGACTAAGTCTCAAGTTGCTAATTCCACATGCATTTGATAAATTCACTTATTCTAAATGTAAAGCTACATCAAAGAGTCAGATTGCCTCCCTGTTGTATATAGAAAGAAAAAGATAATAATGATAACCAAAACACTCGTCATTTTGTTTCAGTTTGTTACGTTTCCCTTCAAATGTAAATTTCTGAAAGTGTTTGTGAAGCATAAAGCCCATAAATACAGGTTCCAAAAGGAAATCTTTTTGTTTTTAAAATCACAGCAAGAAGTCCTTGGTGTATCTTTTACTTATCAGTACATGGTAAATTATTTGTTTCTAAATTATCTAATAAAAAACATTTTCCCATTCAGAATTAATCCAACTCATAATTAAGTGAGCTAACTGCCTTGTGCTCATTTCATTACGCTTTTTGAATGCTAATTATGTTGTGCTAGAAAAAAATTAATAAATTTCCATAGTTCATGCTTTAAGTTCTTCACTTTTGTCAAAAACAGCATTTCATCCTCTTCAGTTTTTCCTAAATGTGTTCATTATTTTGCATTAAAATGTTATTTCTTTCTTTCAATAATTAGAGCTCTTTTTTATTCCCTTCCCATTGCTTTATTTTCTCTTGACCCATTGATTGGCCCATCTTATTCTTTCTGATCACTTCCTAAATTTGATGGCTTAAAAGGAAAATCTCTCTTCCGGAATCTTACCAAATATCAAGACCAAATATTGATCTTTAATACAGGATGGTCTTACTTCCTTTTTTTTTCCCCATATAACACAGAAACACCGTTAAAGGAATTAAAATTATTTGGAAAACACACATATTGGGGATTGTGGTAATACTCAAATTTGGCATCCGTATAAGAGCAAAAGTAACTCTAACTATTCATACTAAAATGAGAGTCTGCATTGTGCCTCTTCTCAGTAAACATGGAGCTGACTGATTATCAAATATATGACTCCTGAGAATTGGACAGTTTCCATGAGGCTGTCAATTGCAATAAAACTTCCTGGTATATCAGTCAGGGTCCTAATCAGAAACAGATGGTACATCCAATTAAGTTCAAACCTTTGAAGGGTTGGGTATTCTTTTTCTTTTTCTTTCTTTCTTTCTTTTTTTTTTTTTTTTTTTTTTTTTTTGCTTTGTTTTGTTTTAAATAGATCACGTACAAAAATTTACAGGTAAGGTGTGAGAAAGACCTTAAAGAACAGTGCGGTACTATGGGGCTGAGAACAGCAGGTCAAAATTAACACTCTTCAGCTCAAAGGAGAGGACAGGTGCACAGACAGAAGGTTGCCACTAAGGGGCAACCTTAAAGGATACCTTCAACCTCAGTCTCTATTTTTTTTTCTCGTATTCTTTTGCTATTTCCCACTGGGCAGACCTAAACCAAAGTCAGAGAGCCAGAGGGGAGGAGGAACTAAGGACTACACACAGTGAACCTCCCAGAACCCAGGGCAGAGTGGAGTGCAGATATGGCGGACAAATGGAAGGTGGTCAGCATGCCTGGTACAACTATTATTCTTCTGCTTTCCTCTGTCCTCCCTGTAAGAATCTATGTTAAACAAGGTATTATACTTTCAAAGTGGGCATACCATTTTTTAATATCTCTTATTAAATAGGTCTGTGAAATTAATGAAGTAATAGTTCATGGCAAGTAAAAAAATCAAAATTTTTCTACAAATAATAAATGCACTTATGTAATTTTTTAAATGAATGAATATCAAGGAGAAAAAGAAAAAAATAGAAATGAGATGTAGTTACAAAGTTCTCAAAATCTCAGTTACAAATTATTAAGACTTGTTATACAGTTGTGTGCCACGTAACAATGCTTTGGTCAACAGCGGAACACATACAGGATAATGATCCCATAAGATTATAATACCATATTTTACTATACCTTTATAGAACCAAGGTTTATGTAAGTACACTGTCTTGTGTTTCCACAATGACATAATTGCCTGACAATGCACTTCTCAGAATGTACTTCCATCATTAAGAGATTTATGACTGCATAACAATAACAATAATTTTAATTTTTTAAAGTCATTTAAAAACATTTTTAAAAACATTATATTCAATATTTAAAATACATTGTGTAGTGTATAGCCTTGCTCTAGTGCAATCTTAGAACTTTCATAAAACTATATCACATTTAATATTATGAAAAAAATTCAATACTTTATGAAAAGCAGAAATCATATTTTCTAAAATGCAACACAATGAACTAATTGTTCAAGAAAATATTCATTTGAAAAAATTTTAAAACAATACTAGTAAAAACTGATGGCATAAGAAAAATCAAAGCTGTAATTGTATTTCTTAGAAAATAACTATCACAGTGTCAAGAAAAACATCTTTTTACTTTATTTATTAATAAGAAGATATTAAAATAAAATAATATATGTTTAATTCAAAATATTATTTTCCTGATTTGACAATTAAACAAGCCTGAGCTCTATGGGGAAAAATAAAATCTAAAGAGAAATTAATTAAATTGAAAAAGACAATTGATAAAGTTATTATTTTTTCAAGAGCTAATGTGAAAAATGTAATAAACAACTAGAATCTAACTAGAATATATATTCATGTATACGTATACAGATATATAGATCTTATAGCCTTGCTATAAGAAAATATATATGTACATATAATAATTAAAATTCAAAAAGGTTGAATACTGCTTTTTTGTTAGTACCTTTTAAATCTTGATAAAATATAATTATAACTAGAAAATAGGAACTATCAATATTAATTACTGGAGTAGAGAATCTCAAAAAGGCACTTAGAAATTAAAATAGAAAAAAACAATTTTATAAGAGCACTCAAAATATGCACCAATTACCTTTGAATAAATAGATCATTTAAAATAAATACATACAGAAATGGATGTTTCCTATGCCATGTAAATTTTGTAATATAAAACAATAAAGGATGGAAATTTAACTTTTGGCTCTACTATGCCAAATGTAATTTTAATCTTCTGAAATTGCTTGTATTTGATTTATGACTTAGCATATGGCCAATATTCATTATTAGTTTATGTATGTCTTAAAAATATATTGTTTAAATTTGTATTTTGTCTGTTTTTTCTATTAATTACCAAGACAGATGTCTTAATAGTTGGCTCTATCATTGTGTATTTTTCTATTTCTCCTTGTATTTATTTTTATTTATTACTATTTTGAATATTGTTCTCCAGCAATCCAAGTCCACCTAGAACCTCAGAATATGACCCTATTTGAAAATAAAGGAGTCTGCTCAGATGTAATTAGTTGAAATGAGATATTATTGGATTATGATGGGCCCTAATTGAATAACTAGTATTTTCACAAGAAGAGAAAGCACAGACACTGAGACACAGAGGAAGTACACTGTGTGGTGAGAGAGATTAGAGAGGTGAACTAGAAGCAAAGGAATGCCAAGGATTGACAACAGTCAACAGAAGCCCAGAGAAAGTGTTGGGAGTTTCTTCCTCAGGACATCCCAAAGGAGACAACCTTGCCAATATCTTGATTTCAGATTTGTATTTTCAAAAACTTTAAGGCATTAAGTTTCAGTTGTTTTAAGCCACACAGTTTGTGGTACTTTGTTTTGGCAGTCCTAGGAAACTAATACATACATGTCGAGGCAATACCAGTAGATTTTTACAAATCTGAAATTATCATATTTGCTTGGTGTATTGAAATGTTTATTCTAAATTGACGTATTTATTGCCAATTATGGAATCCACCTTAAATTCCATTTTTTTCTAGTATTAATATTGTAACTTTAATTTTTCTCTTCTGTTAGTTTTTTTCTATTTTTTCCATCCTTTTAGCATCTTTATATTTTGCACAGGTCTCCTATTTACAACATTTTAATAGATTTCCCCCAAGTAGGTGACTTTAAATTTCCACTAAGCATTTAGTCTATTTATGTTTCTTATTTTCATTTGCTGGTAGAATCAATAATTTTATTTTTGTGTTTTACCTTTGTCATGTGTGTTCTTTTTTTTCTTTTTCTCTACCCCTTTAGCCTCTTTCAAATTGGTTATTTTTTGTAACTCATATTTTTCTTTTTGTATTTTTGCAGTTATTCAAGTAATTTTATTCTTTCAGTAATTATTTTAGAAATTACAACATGCTTTTTAAAATTATTGAAGTCGTGGTTAATCAGCACCTTTATTCTCCTAAATTAAAAAAAAATTGTGCAATATACCTCCGTTTGCTTTCCTCTCAAATTGTGTGTAAGTTCTTTCTTGTATATTAACATACTATCAATTTTAAATCCCAAACAGATGTATTTTACAGTTTTATCTTAATGTTTACAAGATTTTTATTTATTTCTTTTTGCATCAATGTCTTCTATCTGGTGTCACTTTAATTTGTCAAGTACTCCTCTGATTATCTTCCCTTTATTTAAAAAATAGCCCTTTATAATTTTCCTTAGTAACTCTTTTCTGGTGACAAACTCAGTTTCTGGTCTGAAATGTTACTGTTTTCTTGTTGTTATATCCTCAAACATCACCTCTGTCTCATTCTCTCACTCAACATTTGCGATATTAAAAGAAACATGTAATAGACATTGTCAATTTGGCTTCCATATTTCTTAACTTTTCTGTTATACTTTCCTTCTTATTTTTCTCTCTCGGATAAATGGATAATTGCTTCTGACCTCATAATTTCTCCTACTGGAAGGAGTAATAGTCTCAGCAATCTACTGTGTTTCCTACATCATGTGCTACATTTCTTGCAATATGTAGCTGGATTGCAAATTTCCTGAAACTGCTTCTACCTCCACTCTTACATTCATGTATGTTTATTAGGCTATAGGTTACTGACATTTTGTTTCTTCACTCATATATAATTGTGTAAATATAAGTATTTATGGCATCTTTTATTAGTGTTTTCAACACTATATCCCTTAATATATATTTGCCTAATTCTGCTTCTCTCAAAAACAAATAAATATAAAACATAATGATACTTTTCTTTTTAATCACATTGTTAACCTCGTACTAACAAAGTCAACTCTATGTTCACAATCACTTTCACTTTACATAGCCTCGAAAGAAAATCATATAAGCTATTATAAGAATATTACCAATAAAAAACTGACTTATTTTCCAAATTCAGTCTTCATACATTAAAGATGTTATTTTACAAGATTTTGTCATTCTAAAGTTGAAAATACGAATTTGTGTAGTTAATACAGCTGTGAACATTTTCAAATAGGATACAGAGAAGCAGCCAACTGAAAACACATTGGTTCTATGTGGTAGTCTAATAACGTGAATTATTACTTATGAATATATATCAGAATTTTAAAATACCAGGGAATGAACTAATGAATAAATAGATAGTTCCCTTTGAAAAAAGTTAACTTTTACTAAAGAAATTATATTTTTCATTTGGCACTCAATAGAAATAAAATTTATATATAGGTTGTGCAATTTTGAAATTTCTGAACACGTATTTTAAATAACAGTGTCAAAAATGAATACATGTCTTGCTGTCTGTAAAATGTTAGGGTATCTGGGTGAATTGTGGTGATATATTACTTATTTCGGAGACCAAACATAAAATTGAACAGCCTATTTTACTTTGGTCATGATCATTGAAATTAAAGGGAATGATATAACATGAATATAAAATTAGTTTACTTAGTTAGATGTTTTAGACATTTAAAGAAAGTTAGTGTGCAGTGATGATCAGGTCTAAATCACAGCCCTAATTATATACATTTACCTTGCTTCTCTCTTAAATTGTCACTGAAATGAGAAAAGTTCCTTATTAGCCGAATGTTGTTCAAGTTGAATATCAAAAAAGTAAGTAAAATAATAAATCATAGAACATTACAAAGAAAAAATAAATCTATTCCTTTATACTGATACTAATTGATTGAAAATATATGATAGATAATGATAATGATAGATATAGATAATTGATAGATAAACAGTTACTCAGAGAAGAAGAAGGAAGGGCTTTTGCTTGTCATGAAATGTCGACTGTCAAAGGCAAATTGGGAAGTGCCTAAGTTGGAAATTCATCTTTTTGCAACTAAGCTGGGAAAAATTTGTTAGGATAAAAATTATGATTGACGTTACATGTAGAGGAAATATTTCAAGAAAAGCAGTTATTTTCTTGATCTTATACTGTAACCATCCAATGAAGAAATTGTACAAGATTTTGACGAAATAAAAAGAATAAGTATCACCAATGAGTGGTAAATGGATATCATGTGCCTTCAGGTATCATAACATGAAGACAGAAAATCACTTACATTGTATCTTGTCCTAAATTATGTAATAATCTAAATCTAATCATGAGAAACATCAGACAAACCCCCAAGATGATTTAAAAACTAATGTTTTTAAAGTGTTTCTTCAAAAATGTCACCAAAAAAAAAATGTACTCAATGTGTTCCACTTCAGATGAGACTAAAAAGAGGTGGCAACTAAATTCAAATTAGATCCCATGAACTTGAGGGGGGAAACATGAGAAAAAGCACATTTTGACTTTGTATTAGTTCCTTTTCATGCTGCTGATAACGACATGCCCTAGACTGGGCAATTTACAAAAAAAAAAGAGGTTTAACTGGACTTACAGTTCCACGTGGCTGGGAAGCTTCACAATCATGGTGGAAGGCAAGGAGGAGCAAGTCACGTCTTAACATGGATAGGAGCAGGCAAAAGGAGAGAGAGCTTGTGCAGGGGAACTCCTCTTTTTAAAACCATCAAATCTTGTGAGACCCATTCACCATCACGAGAACAGCAGGAGAAAGACTTGTCCCCATGATTCAATCACCTCCCACTGGGTCTCTCCCACAACAGATGGTAATCATGGGAGCCACAGTTCAAGATGAAATTTGGGTGGGGACACAGTCAAACCATATCAGATTTTTTTAATTGAAAAAAAAATCAGAATATACACACTAGATTACATAATAGTATTATATCAAGGTGTTCCTTGATAACTGTATTATAATTATGTAGAAGAATGTCCCCATTTTTAGGATATATATGTTGAACTATGATTTAAGAGTAAAGTACCATAATGTATGCAACTCAATCTGGAAATTAAATGCATGCATATACACATACATAACACACAAATGCACATATACCCACACAGAGCATACAGAGTCAAAGCTACATAGACTAAAGGGAAAATCAAATATAAACTACACATTCAATGCAAGTTTTAAAAGAACAAATAAAAAAGTCCCATAGGGTCACTGCCAATACATTATTTATAAAAGCAGGCACATAGACCAGCCCAGGAGAAAGAGATTCCATACGTTGATATGTAGTGGAGAATTTATGAAAGAGTATATAGGCCCAGAAATTCTGTTGTGGTCATTTTGTGAAGATAGAATATGCCATAAAAGCAGGTACTCTGGACTAAGACTGTGTAGATTCAAATCTCAGTTTTCCCACTTACTAGCTATTTCAACCTAGTTATCTTTGTTGTGGCTTAATCTCTTCACCTGATGAAAGAAGAATATTATTAATACCCACCTCACGGTGTCACTGTACTAAATAAGTCAGTGCATGTTAGTACATGTAAAGTGCTTATAGCTATGTCGGTTCTATAATAAACATTACTTAAGGACCACATATTCTTATTACCCCCTCCTTTTTGTTTTGGATGTTGATCTAATTTTCTAGTTAAAGCATCTGAGATGATTTAGTCTTTAAAAAATGTTTAAAAACCATCAGTAACAGAATTTTAAATTCTATTAATTTTTAAGTATACATAATTTTAAATTATAAAATAATTTATAGATTTTCTTTAATCTATCAATTATCTACAAATGGAAATAACACAATTTTAATATAATATGTTACGGTGAATACTTGATAAAATAAATAAAAGAAAAAATTATGGCCTGCAATATTGTGAGTGCCAGGGGATACATTAGTCATTCTGTAAATGTTCTGAATTGAACCACAACTAACCATCATAACTATAACTGAGCAATGAATGCAATACACCAAGTTGTTATAATCCTTTACATAAATTAAATCACAGCCTCATAATCAAATGAGGAAACTAGCTCCAAGGTAATGGCAGAACAAATATTCTAACCCTCTAGTCTACCTATGGAGCCAACACTCTGACCTACTAGGCCCAAGTTCCAACTCTATGACATTGAATAGATTTTATCTAAAGACTCATCATAAAGGAAGTATTTCTGAACCCAACCACTGTGAGACATAAACAGTATGCTTTGGTGGTCTTTTTACAATAAAGTTTGTCACTTCTATGTAACTAAAACTTAAGTAAAAATTAAAATAATATAATTAAGACAATAAAATAGGAAAATCTCATAATGAAACTGCAGGTATAATATAAAAAAACATTAAAGAACAATAAGAAACACAACAAATGAAAACACAAGCCATTCTCTTAGATGAGAAGACCTAATTTCTTAAATGTAAGTAGTCTCAAAATTAAACAATAATATTAATGGAATTGTGAATATAATAAAAACAGATGAAGGAAAGTTAAATAATTGAATAAAAATGATTTTTGTAAGTTAAATAAACCTTATGCTGTCATTTTAAATGGGAATTAAAAATAACTATTTTAGGTGGTTTATAGAAGAGTAAATCTATGAAAAATGTACAGAATATTTCCTTACACTTAATAAATGTTATCAGTAATTATCTTTCAAGATAAAAAATTGTAAAATTTTGATGTCAAGAGAAGAAGAAATGTATCTTTTAGACATGTTGTATAGAAAGCAATTAAAATAGTTCTAAAATCTTTTGGCTATTTCACAGGTAGGATTAAGTAGTGGACATTGCTTAATTATTGAGTAAGAATTAATTCTGAGACAAAATTGAAATAGAGGCTGATAAATAGTGATGCTTCCATGAAAGGACAATGTGTAAAGTAAAATGCAAACCAATGCCTTCTTGAAAGTTTGTTCCTGCATAGAGCATACATAAACAAATACAGAAAATATGTCTGTACCATCTGGTGCAGTTACTCTTGTAAATTGTACTTTCCTTGGCAGAAAAGTCCAGGTACATAACAAATGTGATTCAGAATTAGCTGTCATTGTCAGGTTTTGAAGGTTTCCTCTCCCTTCAGTGGATCTCTTTCTTCAAATTAATTGTTATGGGATTTTTACTTTCTCTTTGCCTTAGGTGCCAATCATACAGAAACCACTTTGGATAGGCATCGTTGAATCTTTTCTTTCTTAAGTCACTTCCTTTCATCTTCCTATTAACTTCTTAGAATAAGTCTATTCCTTTTCCTTAGGTTAGCCCTAATTCAGGCTGTTAGTTTATTTTATCTTCTTTATCCCATCATAAGACCGGACATATAGTATTCAGTATTCAGAAGATTCTCAAAATGGCATATATTGAAATAGCTATTTCAATATTAGTGTTATTACAAAACATTTATAATGACACGCATAGTTTTCTTGCTAATAATGAATGTGCCTCTCTAAGCTGTTGTGTAATTTCATTAAAAGATTCGTGCAATTTCATTAAAAGATTTGTGCTTGTATTATATCCTATTTTGGTTCTGTTTATGATACCAAATGAGAGGAAGCTCTTACCCCAGGAATAGATGGGGATAGAAAGTTCAATTGAGCAACATATAAAAACCTCCATAGAATGTGTTCATAATTAATTAAGAGGTAGACAGTCTAAAAATCTCACTCCCCCAAAGGCTCAATATTGAACTTCCACCAACAAAGATAGCCCAGTAATTACCTAAACATACTTATAACACTAAGGGACACATACAAAAAAATACTCTAAACATTGTCTTTATTTTTAATAGTAGATTTGTCACTGCATCTTTTCATTAGCTTAATTTCCTTTATGTAAAACATAAATTCATCTAAATTGCATTGCATAATTCCCTGTATACTAGCATTAATTGATATTTAATAAACTTTAAAAAGAATTATTGTATTGTTTTATATCAGAGGTTGCCTTCCAGTATGTTGACAAGTATAAGGCTTTTTAAATCTTAAATAGCTCCAGATCCTTGAAGACTTATGACTTTGAATTAACATTCCCATCCGTCTTTATTATATTATTTGTCTCGTGAGTATCATGCCTAAAGCAACTATTTCCTTCATTCAAAAACGATCTAGGTTTGTAATGCATGTGACAAAGAGTGTTGGGATGCTTAATAAAATAAACCATAAAAAAGGAAGGAGAATGCAATGGAAAGAGGGGTTTCAAATTTTGTGCAAACTAAATTTAACAATAGAAATGGGAAAGAAGTTGGAAGACAGCAAGAATATGAGAACAATGTAGGAAGAGAAATATAAGGACTCAGAGAGAAAGAGAAAGAGAGAGAGAGACCCTTGGTTCCAGCTACTCTGAAGTACCACTTGAGCCCAGGAGTTTGAGGCTGCAGTGCCCCAAGATTGCACCTGTGAATAGGCACTGCACTCCACCCTAAGTAACACAGTGAGACACAGTCTCAAAAAGCAAGCAAACAAACAAACAAAACAACACTATGTGTCTCACTATCTAGCTACAATTTAAATGTATAGTTAGTAATAGCCAATAACAACCCAATATCCAACATTTACATTCAGACTTACATTTACTTACCTAAAATCAAAAGAAAGCATTTGCTTTACTTTTGTCAAAATAAAGTGTTCTTTCTGGCAAATTTCTTTTAAAGGCTCACCCTCCCCCACTAATATTAAGAAACTCTCTAAATACAGATACTAAATTTCTAAGACTCTTCAAATGATAGTGACTTCACTATTGTGTCTTGTGTTAGAATATAGGCTTGGCTATTGTAACAGATACCCATGAGAAAGTACAGTTTGGATTATATTTCTCTCATGTGACAAAATGTGAACAGTCCAGGCAGAGAGGGCATCCTTAGGATGTTAAGGAAATGCGCTGTCTTACTTTTTTGCTTGCTGCATCTTAATACCTGACACATGCTTCTTTCTTTTTGAAAGTATAACTTGAAAATTGCACATATTAGTTTATTTTATATCCTTGACCAGAAATAAATCACATGGCTAAACATCATTGCAAACAATATAGGCAATGTAGATTTCAACTGATTATCAATGTTGTAATCTTACTTAATAGAAAAAAAAAGGACAATGGATATGGGGGTAATCATAATCTCTGACACATTAGTCAAAACTTACATTAGACTTTGAACATTGAAATACTAAAAAGAGGAAAATTATTAGTTTTGAGGTGCCTTTGAAATAAATGACTAGTGAAATAGCAATTTTATAACTATATATATTCATAATGAAAATTTTTGGACTCCTTAAGTTGTCATGCAAGAATAGAAAACAGTTTGCTGTCAGGTTGAGCTAAATGATATTTTTGGAACTCTCATAAGATACACACTCCTTGCTCCTAAAGATTGTGTGTGTGTGTGTGTGTGTGTGTGTATGAAAAATCTCTATATACTTTTTGCCCTTTATAGCTGCTGCTTTCATCTCTTTCAGCTACCTTTTATATGTTGTACAATATCTCAACCTTTTTTCCCATAATGCTTGTTGCAAATCAACACCTTTGTTTTATTTTCTTTCCTTTATACTCCCTTTGTTAACTGAGGTTTTCTTAACAGTCTTGATCAGTCATACTAAAATTAATAGACTGGATCTGATGAGAAATCTCTTTTTCAAAAACAATTTTTGCAAGAAAATCCTGAAGAGCATTGACATACTCAAACTACTGGAAAATTGTGTTTATAAGACGCCCTTGTCAAGTGCTATCTATTTCTATGCTGTGTTGGGTTAAGGATGGGGGAAACTTGGTCCTAAGCCTTGTCGTTGTTGAAATGGTAGATCTATCCCTGAAAAATCTGTTAGTATGAGGGACTGAAAAGCCTCTTTTGGGGATAAATATTAAGGGAGAACATCAATTCACAATCATATTTGTACCTAAGACTTCTAGGTTACACAGGAGGGAAAATTTTAGTTTAATATTATATTTGTCACTTGAACTTTTTCTCCAACCTCTTCCCCCAAGTAATATGGTAAAGCAAGAGAGGATGAGTGGTTAGGGGAAATTTTCTGGCTGAAAATGAAAGATCATTGCAATAAAATCTCTTTAATACATTGAAGCCCACAAAACTCGATAATGCCACAGCAGCAAAACAGTGTAATACTAAAATCAAGAGACTGATCTTTTCATATTTTTCATAGACAGGGTCTCAGACATGTCTAGAACACTAGAGGAAATGATACCAGTGAAAATGGCAATAATATTCATCAGAGACATCACAAGTAACAACTGAAAATCTGAATCAGGATTGACAGTACTGAGGATGCAGGCAGATATGTTAGCATCTCATGAAGAGGTTCAAAAGTGAAGGAAAGAGGGGACTATTTTCTACAATAGTTTTCATAAATATCAAATAAGTTAAAGAAATGGTTTGACGACAAACCATACCCTCCAGTCTCATACCTCATATTATATTTAATGAATGAGGAAGTTCTTGCTATCTGCTAGCAACTTTTCCCCAAATTGATTCAATTAATGTTGAAATCAATGTATTTAATGAGTATTGTTAGGTGTTTTCTAATCCCTAGGCATTTTGATAGTGGCAATTTCAAAACTGGAATGAGACACAGTAGCTGCCCTTGTGAAAAGTCCCCTGGGTGAGTTAGAGGCGAACACTTGCTGGTTGTGCTGGTTCTTGCTGTTTATCTTCTCTCTCATCTGGGACTAAAGGCTTAGTGTTCATCAAGCTGTGGCATGGTTCCGTACTTTATTAATTTTTATGGCTGGAAAATATTATATTGTATGGAAGTACACAATTTGTTGATTCATTTATCCGTTGATAAACATTTGGATTATATCCACCTTTTGTTTGGTATGCATAGTGCTGCAATTAATATTTATAAATGAAAATTTGTTTGAGTGCCTATTTACTTTTCTTTTAGGTATATGATATACCTAAAAGTGGAATTGCTGGACCATAAAATGAATATATTTTTAAGTATTTGATAAACCATCATTTTCCACAGTGACTGTACCATTTTACATTCCCATCAGTAATTTATATGGGTTACTATTTCTACACATCCTCACCAAGACTTGTTATTTTGTTTCTTTCTTTTATTATAGCCACATTAGTGGGTTCTAAAATGGTATCTTATTGGGGTTTTGATTTGCATTTCTTTAACAACCAATTGTGTTGAACATCTTTATTGGTCATAATTGGACTTGAATATATTCTTTGGAGAAATGTCTCTTCAAGTCTTTATCCATTTTTATTGGGTTGTTTTGTCTTTTTGTTGTTGAGTTATGAGTTCTTCATATATTCTGAA
Organism: Homo sapiens; assembly: GCF_000001405.40. Taxonomy (NCBI): domain Eukaryota; kingdom Metazoa; phylum Chordata; class Mammalia; order Primates; family Hominidae; genus Homo; species Homo sapiens. The sequence goes on from NC_000004.12 coordinate 59,106,661, forward strand.
TAGTAAATCATTATCAGGTATAATTTGCAAAATTTTTTCTATTCGTTATGTTGTCTTTATAATGTCTTTGTAATGTTTTTGATAAACAATATTTTTGAAGTACAATTTATCTTTTTTTTTTTTATTGCTTGTGCTTTTGTTGTCAAATAAGAATCTATTTCCAAATCTGAGATCATGGTGATTTACCCTTATGCTTCTTCTAGTAGTTTTACAGATTTAGCTCTTATATTTAGATTATTTGTCCATTTTGAGTTAATTTACGTATATGGAGTGAGGTAGCTGGTCCAACTTCATTCCTTGGCATGTGATTATCCAGTTTCTTTAGTTCCGTCTGTTGAAAATGTATAATTTTTGAGTGCATAGAATTCTTTCACAATTATGATTATTATGTAGAATTATAATGAAGTAACGGTTTATAGTGAAGAGTAGAAATATTTTGATTTGGGAGATTTCATAGCTTTTGATCCAGGACAATATCTGCCTATGAAGTCAGCATTGCTGAATATAATGACAACAAGATTATAAACAGAATGATTTCATCAACCAGTTGACAACCAATTAATACCCAAAGAAAAAAATAGCCACTTGAATAAAGGATAAGTCTTCCATTATTGGAGAGTCAATTTGGTTGAATGAGATGCTAGCCAATACCTATTATACATGGTTTTGTATTCATTAGCCACTATTCCTAGCCTACACTGATAGTCAGATATCTGAAGGCACTGAAAAAAGTATGTAAAGCTTTGCAATAGGCAGAAGTCAGTTTATAAGCACTTTTAATACATGTTGATGCCAGATAGCTTATTGTTTCATTAGTACCAGACACATTATTTTAAAGACAAATGCCTCTTTACCTTATAATATTTAGAAGTATATGCACATTTAAGCTCAGAGACAATTTTAGACTCAGTTTAAAAAGATTATTTTAGATTGACCCAAAAGATTTTATTATTATTTTAAAATTCAGGTGTCAAAAATTTTTAATAGGAAGCTAGTTCAGTCTCAACCCTCAAATAAAAATGTAACTAAGTAAATAAATAAAAGATTTGATACTTATTTTCTATTTCAGTAGAGACAGAACTTAAAGCATGGTGTGAACAAAAGATCACTTTCTTTAAATGCATAATGTTATTAGCAATGAGCAGTTAATAATGAATAAAACACAAGAACACCCTCTTTATTCTCCTGTGCAGTGGCTGTTCCATGTGTCTAAATGACAGATATCTATATTTAGATACCTTAATGAACTGTTCTTTCTTTTCTTAAAGTCTTTTTATTCATGTCACCTTCTCACTGAGTGCTTTAGTGATCAAACATTACCAAACCCTCTTTCTAGTTCTAACTCCATAGCATTTGTCACCATCAGATATACACAGTTTTATTAAAAATAATTATTTTGGAATTATTTGAGTTTACAGAAAAGTTGCAAAAATAGTAATGATTTCAATCAGTTAGCCTTACTATTGGCACCTTTCATAGCAAGAATCCCTCGGTCAAAACTAAGAAATTAACTTTGGTTACACTACTATTAGCTCAACTACAAACTTTATTCAGATTTTTCCAGTTGTCTATTAATAGCCTTTTTTAATTTCAGTACCCAATCTAAGATACTGTGACACTTTTAGATACCACATCTCTCTTTGGTATCTACCATCTATGTTAGTTTCTTAGTTTTGCTTTTCATGACCTTGAACCTTTGGAAGAGATTTTATAGGATATGCTGTAGAATACTCTTCAATTTGAGGCTGTCTGAAGTTTTCTTGTGAATACACTAGGGTTATGAATTTAGGTAAATAATATTATAGGGGTGAAGGACGCTGTTCATGACATTATAACTAGGATTCATGATGTGAATATGACTTACCACTGATGACGTTAACCTTAAACATGTGGTGTATGTTGTTTCTCACACCATTCTTCACTGAAATGTCATTATTATTTTTTCTTTTTTTAAAATTATATTTTAAGTTGTAGTGTACTTGTGCACAACATGCAGGTTGGTTACATAGGTATACATGTGCCATGTTGGTTTACTGCACCCATCAACTCATCATTTACATTAGGTATTTCTCCTAATGCTATCCCTCTCCCAGCCCTCCACCCCCAGACAGGCCCCAGTGTGTGATGTTCCCTGCCCTGTTTCCAAGTGTTCTCATTGTTCAATTCCTACCTATGAGTGAGAACATGAGGTGTTTGGTTTTCTGTCCTTGTGATAGTTTGCTGAGAATGATGGTTTCCAGCTTCATCCATGTCCCTACAAACGACATGAACTCATCCTTTTTTATGGCAGCATAGTATTCCATGGTGTATATGCACCACATTTTCTTAATCCAGTCTATCATTGATGGACATTTGCATTGGTTCCAAGTCTTTGCTATTGGGAATAGTGCCACAATAAACATACGTGCGCATGTGTCTTCATAGTAGCATGATTTATAATCCTTTGTGTATATACCCAGTAATGGGATGGCTGGGTCAAATGGTATTTCTAGTTCTAGATCCTTGAGCAATCGCCACACTGTCTTCCACAGTGGTGGAACTAATTTTTACTCCCACCAGCAGTAAGACTGTTCCAATTTCTCAACATCTTCTCCAGCACCTGTTGTTTCCTGACTTTTTAATGATTGCCATTCTAACTGGTGTGAGATGGTATCTCATTGTGGTTTTGATTTGCATTTCTCTGATGACCAGTGATAATGAGAAGTTTTTCATGTGTCTGTTGGCTGCATAAATGTCTTCTTTTGAGAAGTGTCTGTTCATATCCTTTGCCCACTTTTTGATGGGGTTGTTGGCTTTTTTCTTATAAATTTGTTTAAGTTCTTTGTCGATTCTGGATATTAGCCCTTTGTCAGACAGGTAAATTGCAAAAATTTTCTCCCATTTTGTAGGTTGCCTGTTCACTCTGATGGTAGTTTCTTTTGCCATGCAGAAGCTCTTTAGTTTAATTAGATCCTATTTGTCTACTTTGGCTTTTGTTGCCATGGCTTTTGGTGTTTTAGACATGAAGTCCTTGCCCATGCCTATGTCCTGAATGGTATTGCCTAGGTTTCCTTCTAGGGTTTTTATGGTTTTACGTCTGACATTTAAGTCTTTAATCCATCTTGAATTATTTTTTTGTATAAGATTTTAAGGAAGGGATCTAGTTTCAGCTTTCTACATATGACTAGCTACTTTTCCCAGTACCATTTATTAAATAGGGAATCCTTTCCCCATTTCTTGTTTTTGTCAGGTTTGTCAAAGATCAGATGGTTGTAGATGTGTGGCCCCTGTTCCATTCCATTGGTCTATATATCTGTTTTGGTACCAATACCATGCTGTTTTGGTTACTGTAGCCTTGTAGTATAGTTTGAAGTCAGATAGCGTGATGCCTCCAGCTTTGTTCTTTTGGCTTAGGATTGTCTTGACAATGTGGGCTCTTTTTTGGTGCCATGTGAACTTTAAAGTAGTTTTTTCCAATTCTGTGAAGAAAGTCATTGGTAGCTTGATGGGGATGGCATTGAATCTATAAATTACCTTGGGCAGTATGACCATTTTCATGACACTGATTCTTCCTATCCGTGAGCATGGAATGTTCTTCCATTTGTTTGCATCCTCTTCTGTTTTGTTGAGCAGGAATTTGTAGTTCTCCTTGAAGAGGTCCTTCACATCCCTTGTAAGTTGGAGTCCTAGGTATTTTATTCTCTTTGTAGCAATTGTGAATGGGAATTCACTCATGATTTGGATCTCTGTATGTCTGTTATTGGTGTATAAGAATGCTTGTGATTTTTGCACATTGATTTTGTATCCTTAGACTTTGCTGAAGTTGCTTATCAGCTTAAGAAGATTTTGGGCTGAGATGATGAGGTTTTCTTAATATACAATCATGTCACCTGCAAACAGGGCCAATTAGACTTTCTCTTTTCCTAACTGAATACTCTTTATTTGTTTCTCTTGCCTGATTGCCCTGGCTAGAACTTCCAACACTATGTTTCATAGGAGTGGTGAGAGAGGGCATCCTTTTGTTGTGCCATTTTTCAAAGGGAATACTTCCAGGTTTTGCACATTCAGTATGATATTGGCTGTGGGTTTGTCATAGACAGCTCTTATTATTTTGAGATACGTTCCATCAGTACCTAGTTTATTGAGAGTTTTTAGCATGCTGTTGAATTTTGTCAAAGGCCTTTTCTGCATCTATTTAGATAATCATGTGGTTTTTGTCATTGGTTCCATTTATGTGATGGATTATGTTTATTGATTTGTCTATGTTCAATAAGCCTTGCATCCCGGGGATGAAGCCAACTTGATCATGGTGGATAAGCTTTTTGATACACTGCTGGATTTGATTTGTCAGAATTTTATTGAGGATTTTTGCACTGATGTTCACCAAGGATTGTTGCGGGAAGTCAGGGACCCTGAATAGAGGGACTGTCTGGAGCCATGGCAGAGGAACATAAATTGTGAAGATTTCATGGAAATTTATCACTTTCCTAATAATATTGCCATAATTTCTTACGCCTGTCTTTACTGCAATTTCTGAACATAAATTGTGAAGATTTCGTGGACATTTATCAGTTCCCCAATAATGCTGTTCTAATTTCTTATGCCTGTCTTTACTTTAATCTCTTAATCCTGTTTTCATGGTAAGCTGAGGATGTACATCACCTCAGGACCCTGTGATGATTGCGTTAACTATACAGATTGATTGTAAAACCTGTGTGTTTGAACAATATGAAATCTGATTGTAAACATGTATGTTAGAACAATATCAAATCAGTGCACCTTGAAAAAGAATACAATAACAGCAATTTTAGGGAACAAGGGAAGACAATCATAAGGTCTGACTGCCTGTGGGGTTGGGCAAAAAGAGCCATATTTTTCTTCTTGCAGAGAGCCTATAAACAGATGTGCAAGTAGGAGAGATATCGCTAATTATTTTCCTAGCAAGGAATATTAAATATTAAGACCCTAGGAAAAGAATTAAATTCCTGGGGGGAGGTCTATAAATGGCCGCTCTGGGATTTTCTGTCTTATGTGGTTGACATAAGGACTAAAATACGCCCCGGTCTCCTGTGGTACCCTCAGGCTTATTAGGGTGGGGAAAAAATCCCACACCAGTAAATTTGAGGTCAGACCAGTTCTCTGCTCTTGAACCCTGTTTTCTGTTGTTTAAGCTGTTTATCAAGACAATACGTGCACAGCTTAACATAGACCCTCATCAGTAATTCTAATTTTGCCCTTTGCCTTGTGATCTTTGCTTTTGTCCTTGCCCTGTTTCCTCAGAAGCATGTGATCTTTGTTCTCCTTTTTGCCCTTTGAAGCATATGATCTTTGTGACCTACTCCCTGTTTATACACCCCTTCCCCTTTTAAAATCCCTAAGAAAAACTTACTGGTTTTGTGGCTCAGGTGGGCATCACAGACCTACCAATATGTGATGTCATCCTGGGCGGTCCAGCTGTAAAATTCCTCTCTTTGTACTCTTTCTTTTTGTTTCTCAGACTGGTCGACACTTAGGGAAAATAGAAAGAACCTATGTTGAAATATTGGAGATGGGTTTTCCCAATAAGGGATATTGGTCTAAAAGTCTCTTTTTTTGTTGTGTCTCTGCCAGGCTTTGGTATCAAGATGATGCTGGCCTCATAAAATGAGTTAGGGAGGATTCCCTCTTTTTCTATTGATTGGAATAGTTTCAGAAGGAAAGGTACCAGCTCCTCTTTGTACCTCTGGTAGAATTTGGCTGTGAATCTGTCTGGCCCTGGAATTTTTTTGGTGGTCGGCTATTAATCATTGCCTCAATTTCAGTCTGTTATTGGTCTATTCAGAAATTCAACTTCTTCCTGGTTCAGTCTTGGGAGGATATATTTGTCCAGGAATTTATCTATTTCTTCTAGATTTTCTAGTTTATTTGCATAGATGTGTTTGTAGTATTCTCTGATGGTAGTTTGTATTTCTGTGGGATCGGTGGTCATATCCCCTTTATCATTTTTTATTGCATCTATTTGATTCTTCTCTCTTTTCTTCTTTATTAGTATGGCTAGCGGTCTATCAATTTTGTTGTTCTTTTCAAAAAACAAGCTCATGGATTTATTGACTTTTTTTGAAGGGCTTTTTGTCTCTATCTCCTTCAGTTCTGCTCTATCTTAGTTATTTCTTGCCTTCTGCAAGCTTTTGAATTTGTTTTCTCTATTTCTTTTAATTGTGATGTAAGGGTGTTGATTTTAGATCTTTCCTACTTTTTCTTGTGGGCATTTAGTGCTATAAATTTCCCTCTGCACACTTCTTTAAATGTGTCCCAGAGATTCTGGTACATTATGTCTTTGGTCCCATTGGTTTCAAAGAACATCTTTATTTCTGCCTTCATTTTTTTGTTTACCCAGTAGTCATTCAGGAGCAGGTTGTTCAGTTTCCATGTAGTTGTGCGGTTTTGAGTGAGTTTCTTAATCCTGAATTCTAATTTGATTGCACTGTGGTCTGAGAGACAGTTTGATGTGATTTCTGTTCTTTTACATTTGCTGAGGAGTGGTTTACTTCCAATTATATGGTCAATTTTAGAATAAATGTGATGTGGTGCTGAGAAGAATGTATGTTTTGTTCATTTGGGGTGGAGAGTTCTACAGATGTCTATTAGGTCTGCTTGGTGCAGAGCTGAGTTCAAGTCCTGGATATCTTTGTTAACCTTCTGTCTTATTGATGTAATACTGACAGTGCAGTATTAACGTCTCCCATTATTATTGTGTGGGAGTGTAAGTCTCTTTGTAGGTCTCGAAGGACATGCTTTATGAATCTGGGTGCTCCTGTATTGGGTACATATATATTTAGGATAGTTAGCTCTTCTTGTTGAATTGGTCTCTTTACTATTATGTAATGGCCTTCTTTGTCTCTTTTGATCTTTGTTGGTTTAAAGTCTGTTTTATCAGAGACTAGCATTGCAGCCCCTGTTTTTGTTTATTGTTTATTGTTTTTTTTTTGCTTCCCTTTTGTTTGGTAGATCTTCCTCCATCCCTTTATTTTGAGCCTATGTGTTTCTCTGCATGTGAGATGAGTCTCCTGAATACAGCACACTGATGGGTCTTGACTCTTTATCCAATTTGCCAGTTTGTGTCTTTTAATTAGGGCATTTAGCTCATTTACATTTAAGGTTAATATTGTTATGTGTGAATTTGATCCTGTCATTATGATGCTAGCTGGTTATTTTGCCTGTTAATTGATACTTCACAGCATCTATGGTCTTTACAATTTGACATGTTTTTGCAGTGGCTGGTACCAGTTGTTCCTTTCCATGTTTAGTGCTCCCTTCAGGAGCTCTTGTAAGGCAGGCCTGGTGGTAACAAAATCTCTCAGCATTTGCTTGTCTCTAAAGGATTTTATTTCTCCTTCACTTATGAAGCCTAGTTTGGCTGGGTATGGAATTCTGGATTGAAAATTCCTTTCTTTAAGAATGTTGAATATTGGCCCTATTTACTTTTCCACATTGTATTCAAATTTCTACATCCAGCCCATGCTCTAAGAAATAGAAATTAATCTTCATATAATGAAGTGTAGATATCTGTCTGTAGATTTGAGAATTCTTCTGTAAAGAAAAAATATCTCTTCTCTTCCATGTATTTATTTATTTAAACATTTATTTATATCAGTAGGGACATGAGCATTATTATATATTTTGGGATATAGTACACTACTACAATTATTATTGTTTTAGTCAAACTGTTCTCCCTTTGGAGTTCTTACAAGATGGCCCCTTTGACATGCTGCCATCTGTTTAAGGGTTTTGTTTTGTTTGTGCTTGCTGGTTTGGTTAGCACTCCCTTACATTCTGGCAGTTCAAGCCCTTAACAGGCCCATCCTGGATTTTCCCTATCCCAGTTCTAGATTCAGCCATTTATCCAAGGAGGCTGTTTCTTTATATAACTTGCTGTTTTACTTGTATATTTTCTATATGCTTACACTGAAATGTAAATTTAATGTAATTAAAATTTCTGTTTGTTTGATTACCTGCCACACCCTCAGTGGTCAACACAATGCCTGTTGCATAGTTAGCATTCAGTAATAATGTAAACAAGTGAATGAATAAAAAGAAAACTAAGTCTCCCTATGCTTACTTCTCATAACCAAAATGTTAAAATTCTTTTTATTATTTTTTCCTCAAAAACTTCCCTTAAAAAATGACCATAAAATATAGGTTATCCTGAAATTAATTTCCTCATAGGTTTTTTTATAATTATTATGTTTTTCTAAAAATGTAACTATAGCTAAGATGACCCCTGGTATATTTTTAGATAAGTGTTCTTCCTCCTGCTAGTTTCATCTCATCATCATTATTCTCATCACCATCATCGTCATGACCACTATTTTCTGATAGAACCTTAAAGATTACCAAAGCAGCAGTGGAATTTTACTCAGGCTTACAAAAATGAGCTTAACAAAAGCTTTCTAAATAATTCTCCATGCCTAATATGACATGATACTTTCTTGTTCTGTCTACCATAATTTTTATTGCTTTGATAAAATAAAAGAGAATAAAAAGAAGTCATTACTGAATACCTGTTTAAGTCAAATGTCCAAACCCTTTTGTTAACTTCAAAAGAAAATAGGAGAAAAACAAAAAGAGAGAAGGAAAATAAGAAACGAAGGCAGAAAAAAATACTTGACCTTAAATTCAATGAAAGTTAAAATAACGTATACATTAACATATTAATAAAATAACAATTTGGCAGTATGACATGGTTCTAGCCTGTTAGCCTTTTCTTCAAATGATTGGGAACTATACACATTGAAAATATGTCACAGTATCACATTTATTTTTCCCTTGCTTAGGAATGCTATAAAGTCCTAACTGAATGTCTTTCAAAGTCATATCAGCCAATGAACTTTAATCTTTTTAATTATGCAACACTAAGTTTACTGTCAGAAGCAGATATAAAAAATAACTGTAAAAATTGAGAAGTCACTAAAATGAAAAGCTTATTTATCAGTGCAATTTTGTTACTCCAGCACAAATTTCCTGATTGTATCAGGTGCTGTCATGCCTCAGAGGTGTTTGTTTTTAATGGTAGAGATGATATATTTGGTTGAAATTTATAAAAAGAGATAAATTACCATACCAGAAAATGCTGATTCCAAAATTGCTTTTCAATCACAATTTTCACACTCTGTACATAATCTCAGTGTGTTATAGGCCCTTAGTCATTTGTGGCTTGATTTCTTCCAGTAAATATTTGCATTGCTCATAAAATACATGAATTTTGTCAATATTTTGGACTCAGGTGGTGCTTTGTGTTAATAAATGATTGACTAACACTAAGAGAATTGGAACTGTTTATAAAAGGTAGCTGGAATTTTTAAAATTTGGAATCATCCTACAAAAGGTAGAATTTATTTTTCACTTCCTGATTTGAAAATGGCTTAATCTCTTCCTAGCAAAATGCATTGAGTCAAAACTGAGGAGAGACTTACTATATATATATATATATATATATATATATATATATATATATATAGCTGTCTCCTCTAAATAAGAATTATTGATGTTGTTTCCTAGGAAAGCTGTTGTCCACCTGCCCCCTTACCCTGCCAGATTAACTTTAACAGGATATGAACTGAATTGATTACATCATTTCACAAATGACACGTCAGTGACTGATAGAGGTTGTGAAAAGATTTCACCAGTGTTGACATCAGATGAATCACTGTGTTGTAAAGTCGATAATAAAGAGTTTGCCCACACAGGACAGATTTTCATATATATAAATAGCTATTTCTTTCCTTTTGCAGATATGGGTATTCTTGTTTGAGCCCCTGGCGCACTTTACACAGAGTACAGCTGTATTTCTTGTCTCCTTTCCTGAAGGATGGTAAACTGAAATTACCTGAGATATGGTTTTGCTGTGTCTCCACCCAAATCTCATCTTAAATTATAGTTCCCATAATCCCCACATGTCATGAGAGGGACACAGTGGAAGGTAACTGAATCATGGGGCGTGTTTTTCCCTTGCTGTTCTCGTGATAGTGAATAAGTCTCATGAGATCTGATAGTTTCATAAAGGGCAGTTCTCCTGCACTTCTCTCTTGCCTGTCGCCATGTAAGATGGGCTTTTTCTCCTCCATTGCCTTCTGTCATGATTGTGAGGCATCCCCAGCCATGTGGAACTGTGAGTCCATTAAACCTCTTTTTCTTTATAAATTATCCCGTCTTGGGTATGTCTTTATTAGCTGCATGAGAAGAGACTAATCCAATCTGTATATCAAAACAAAATTTTTAAAGTAAACATAAATAAGATATTCATTGGCATTTTAAATTATAATAATTTTAAATTTAAATAATAATTTTAAATTATTAATCGGTTTAAACTTCATTTCTGATTATTCCTGAACAGTAAAATTAACATTCTATTTGCTACAAGATTTGTTGCCATCATTTTCTTTAATACATTAACTGCTCAGTATATTTTGTTTGCTTTTAATGATGTATTTATGCATATACATTGTGTGTGGCTGTTTAATGAAGATTTATTTTCTTATACCATATTTTTTCTTTGGTAAAATTATTGCTAACTTAAAAATAGATTACTTATATGTACATATCTGAAACTGTTACATGTCTAATTATCCATATTGTAATGTTTTTAAAGCTAAATTAGATTAGCAGGCATTTTGAGTTATGCTTAAAGTAAAAGGTTATAACATCTGAAGTCTTCTAAGCATAGCTATGCAACAAAACAGAAGATAATTATATTCAAAAGTCACGGAGAATCATAAAATCTTACAATCTTATTGTATTAAGAATGTAGAAAGTATTAAATGTATGACTAATATTTTAAATTCTAAAAGTTAAAGGAAATTTACTATGCAATATCATAAAAGGTGATATGAGGGGGAGAAGTCAGCATGGATATTGATGGATATCTGAAAGTAACTCAAAAATGAGAAAAACAAATTTACATTTAAATACAAGTGTTATAGACTGAACCACTTTTTCCCCACTACTGTTCAATAGGATTAAATCCTACTGTTCAATGTGATGGTGTTAGGAGGTAGAGACTTTGGGAATAATTATAATTAGATGAGGTCATAGGGAGGAGTCGTCATGAGTGGGATTAGCGTTCTTATAAAAGTCACAAGAGAGCTTGCTTCCTCTACTTTGCTTTCTGCCATGTGAAGATACAGTGAGGAAGTGTTCTGAAACCCAGGAAAGGCTCTCGCCAGAGCCTGACTATGCTGGTCCCCTGATCTCAGACTTCCAGTCTCCAGAAGAGTGAGAAATAAAACTCTTTGCTTATAAGTCACCTAGTTCATGTCATAGTAGCCAAGCTAAATAATACAACAGATAATAGCATAGGCTAGGAAGTCTGTGTCATAATGTGGTTAAAAAATTAAAAAAATACTTTTAAAATTAAAGATTTTTTTTAAAGAGTACAGACATTTTTGAGGGATACATTAGCTGACATTCATAAGTTTAAAAATGTATCACTTCTGAATTGCATGTACTGCCCTTTCCCTCTATAAAACATGAGGGGTAATGTAGGTGTTGGGCAAGAATACATAGTGAACATTTGTCTAAACACAAATGTTCATGGGTTTCCTTCTGTATACATTATTTTCTCAGTAACTGATTAATAGTAGTTTCCTATAATTATTTTAGAATTCAATATTATGATGTTAAAAATTATTTCATATTATAATGTAGTTTGCACTATATATGTCTCTCAATTATATTCTGAGCTTCTTGAAAAGGTAGTAAAACCATTGCGTAGAGACGACCTACTGTGTTACTTAAAACAGAGAATTCTGAGACATTTGTTAAGTATTTTCATGCATGGTGATCCTTTTGAAAAAGTCATGAAGCTCTAATCTAAGCAATGTTTCTTTCCTCAGAAAATGAATTTAAAATCAATCTAATCAATTGAAACACATAAAAAGATAGAAATAGGAAGGCAGAGGAAGTAGGCAGATATGGGTGAAAAGAATTATTGCAGAAACTTGTCATTTGATATAATTTTCAAACTTTTTAGTTACTGAATTTATTTTTTTCTGATTTTTTAACTTAACTTATTAATACTGTGTGACTAATTTCTTACCGAGGTAAAGTAGGTAAGCACTTCTGTTCCTATATCTGACTAGCCTTTGCTGTTACGGTCTCCACTTAACTCTGGTCTGAATTCAAGTCCTTGGTAAATAGATTCTATATGAATTCCAGAAACTTAAGCTGAAAACAATCCTAGTGAAAGCAATTTTTTATTCTGCTGTGAATGAAGTCCAGTAAGGTACACTAAAAGTTTAAACAAATATTGAGCAAGCTATTTACCGTATCTACTACAATCACTTAAGTCTCTGACTGACTGGAGCATTTATTAAAATAATGTGAGGGTTATTAATCTTTAAAAGAAAGAAATATTATTAATCTTCTTATTCTTATGTGTATTCAAAATAAAAATCTCCTCCTTCAAAAACAGTTTGATCTGTTTGTTACAATTTCCCTTTTGAAAATATTTTACCTTCATATATTATAAATATGTAGGAATATAACATAGCTCCCATTCATGACTACAAGTCTTTCTGATGTAATGACTGTATATGATGCATACCATAAAACAAATTGGTTCCAAACAAGTATACGTCAGTTAGAAGTGGTTTTCATGTCTGGCTTCCCTTTTCAAAGCATTCAGGGTATGCTTAAATCCTGTTAGATAAAAGAAAAATAGACAGTTGATAAGAAAAAAAAATCTATTTTCTCTCTACCCTCCTATATTCTCCAGCTGTAAATTAGATTTACAAAAGATGGATTAACAATATAAAAACGTATACATTTATGTAATATGTTTTACATGACATTGGAGCTTTCATAAGGAAATGAAGACACATGAAGAGGTGATTAAACTAAATGTGTTTATACTGGGTTTAATGACGAGTGGAAAGCCATAGAAAAATGTGATAGGACAAAAGGTATGAGCTAAAGGTAGTAAACTAGAGGAAACTTAGCAAGGCCTGTTTGTTCAGATTCCTTTTTACATCCTTCTGTCTTTGGAGATAAAGCTGTTCTTTTTCTCTGTGTAGGGAGGACAGCTCTCACATGAGGGTCTTCTGATCTACTTTCAGAGAAGGTAAAGATCAAAGCGTCTTTCTAGCACGCACTCTTTCTACGACCTGCTTCAGGGGCAAAGGAGAAAGTCAGAGAGTCCTTCTCACACCTGTTCTTTAAAGTATTTCAATCTAAACTATTCAATATGCCACAGCACCACATTTTAGGTAGTGTGTTCTGAACCTCATGAGACTCAAGAAAACCTATGGAAATAAAAAAATTAAAAATTAAATTGTCACAAAAGTCATAATTACATAAGTTGGAAAAATTACTGTGAAATGGAAATGTTAAAATCATAACTGAATTTAAAATCAAATTTTATACCAAAACAAAAAACAATGCCAAAGTTAAAAAAGTTAAAACATATATTAGATGGACATAACCCAAGTATTAAAAAGTATTTAATTAGGGAAGAATCTATCATAATATCAGAAAGACATTTTCCTGGTCACTGATGATGCTAAAAATGGAAAATATGGGACTAAGCTGCCCATTAAAAACAACACATTTTGGACGCAAAAACATATTTTTAAAAATATAAAAATCTACAAGAGGATCATCTCTGCATAAGGTTATGCATGTGACAAAATGTGCTTTTAAGTTCTCATTGATATACTTAAGCTAAATAGATGACAAAGTGCTCTGTTGACAGTCTTCTTACAAAATAGCTTTTATTCTCAAACACCTCAGCAGGAAACGTTTAAATCAAAGAAAATGATTCACTTACCTGAAGTAGAGTTGTATAGCAAGCACATGTAACGGAGAGGAGTTGATAAAATTGTAGTAAGTCTGAAATTTCTTAGCAGGGAATCTGTTGTTGTCCATATTAACAAGAAATAGTGAAGGGGAAACTGAAAGGAGCCAAGGCTTCAATCAGGAAGGAATCTTTAAATGACAATCTCAGGCCTCAAAGCCTAGTGTCTTGTGCTTCATGACATGTACAGACAATTGTCATCAAAGCGTTCCTTTGGGATCATTTTATATCCACTTATATAACAATACACATTCTCACATTTTAGGGATGACATATTTAAAACATATGATAGAGAGAAAAAGCATGTGGAACATTTATTTACTTAACGTATATTTACTATGGTATTTAACCACACAAAATTTTTATGAGTGAAAATCAAAAGACACAAATTTATGTGGAAGAATGCAGCCCCTCCAGATGAGGCTAAAGTAGATGATCCTGCATGTTTATTTGATTTTATGGGGTAAAAACTTTTAAAAATGGGAAAAGAGGGTGAATATGCTGCAGGGAATATGAAGTCATCAGTCTCAAAATTTCTCCTTTGATGTAAAATCCCTTTAAAATATACGAACAGGAAATTATTTGAAACCTTTCGCCAGGCCTACCACACTAACAAATACTACATAAACTAAAATAGGAAACATACATTCTGTTTACATTTTGCCGGGTGAGTCACCACGAGCTTTCCATTCACAAACATATTTAATACTTCTGACACCCCAGTAAAGAAATTGGATGTTTCCTCCTGTCTGCTGATGCATAGTTGAGGGGGAAAAGGGGTTAATCGCCCACAGACACACCAATTATTAAGTGACAGAGCCTGGATTTTAGATCCTTGCCCTCTTGTCATGTGGGTCATGCTCTTATTCATTGCACCTTTCTCTGGAATGTTGATAATTTGTCACGATCTTTAGCATCATTATCCACAAGGGGTAGAAAAAGACTAAAATTGACATTTATTTTTAATTTTGGGGGGAATATGTGTGGCACTGTTTTTAAATCATGCCTGAATTGTACTTTCGAATTTCATAGTATAACTTAATTTTTTAAATTTGTAACAAGATTCTATACAGAAATATGGAATTATTTTCTTCCATACATTTTATAAAAGGTAAAATGTAAAAAGATATTAGAAATTAAATGCGTGATGTGAGGGGGACTTATAATTGATATTTAATAGTCAATATCCCCCAGAAAAAGATAAATATGAAGTAATATATGCAGGGACATTATAAATGAACCAAAAAAGCAAACAAAAAATCAATCCTTAAGATTCTTTTCAATGAAATCCTGAGGGGTTTTTAAATTATAGAATCAGAATCTCTGAAGGGGAAGTAGGTATTCTGCAATTTAAAAAAATGAGTTCCTGTCACACTGATATATATTTTATATTGTAGTTGGGAAGCCACTGATTAAGATTGTGTATTATTAATAAGCTATTCATTGTCTATCATATTCTGGATCTAGCACCAAACAATGAGCACGCAATTATTTAATTTACCCTAAGAAGTATCCCATTCTTTTAAAAGATACTGAAAGAAAAACTCAAAATAACACAAAAACATGTCTTAGAAATTGTATTCAATTGCCAACTTACCTGACTTCAGATACAAAAATGTATATACATTTCCACTAGAGGCGCACCAGAACTAATTCAGATTATATCATTATGCAATAAAATATAAATGGTTATATTTTATTCTATTTGTTCTTGCTTGTAATTTTTGTTCTATAATTTCTATTATGCTAATCAGAAATGATAGAACAGGGGGACAAATGTGGAAATCTATTTATTACTGATCTGCCAGATACTAATATCAAATATTTTCTTTGAAAAAAATTACACAGACGTATACTGAGAACACTGCTAATCTCTGTCCTCATTTTCCAATGTTTCTGAAAGATCATCGAGTATCTCCCTGATCACACGGAAATGGGAAAGTGTTGCTTTTTCAGTATATCTATTCCATGTTGTAGAAGTTCTAAAGGTTGGAAATGTAAATTTGTTTTTTCATATTTTAATTAGGCCTACACAAAATTAGTTTACTTTCCCTATGCATGTAATTTGTGTTTGTCTTTTTAATACTGATTTATTTATTTATTTTTGAGACAGGGTCTCACCCTGTCACCCAGGCTGCAGTGCAGTGGCGAGATCATAGCTCACTGCAGCCTCTACCACCCCAGCTAAAGTGATCCTTGTGCCTCAGCCCGCTAAGTATCTGGAACTACAGATGTGAGCCACCATACCCAGATAATTATTATTTTTTCCAATTTTTTTGTAGAGACACAGTCTCCCTCTGTTGCCTAGGCTGGTGTAAAGCTCCTGAGCTCAAGTGATCCCTTCACCTTGGCCTCCCAAAGTGCTGGGATTAGAGGCGTGAGTCATTGTGCTAGGCCTGCAATTTGGTTCTTTACTGAAAAAAGCTACATCTGCATATACTCCCTTATGCCATCTGTCATTACTTCTTTGACCTCATTTTTTTATCCAGCTTTCCCTTTACTTCCCATCACACTGAACTTTTGCATGTTCCCACTGTCAGTCAAGGAAAATGATGAGACAAGTCTCAATTATTTTAGGAGATTTATTTGCCAAAGTTAAGGATACTAATTTATCCCAAGTGCCTGGAGCAGTATCCAGTATCTAGTAGTCACTAAATTATACTTGTTTAATAAATAAACATTTGCTCTAAATTTGTTTGTTTTTCTCATTGGTTTTCCCATTCCATCAGCTACTTTTTATATCATTTTCAGAGCCCATTCCATCTGGACCATAGACTTCAGGGCCTATTCCAATTTGTGTCATGCTGGAAATTGAACACAATAATAATAAGTGAGAATTGCACAATAATAAAAAGTGATGTGTGTATATATATACTTATGTATCCTGGCACTAGATTTCGTGCACATAGAGTATTAGTTGCTTGCTATTTTCTTACATGATTACATCAGATACATCACATTTTTTACTTTGATTCACAATGAGGACATATTAAATAAAATTTTTTTATGAAAAGCCAATATTACATTAAAAGTTATTGCTAGAATTAGACAAAACTTTAAAAATCAAAACATTACATGCCAAATGTAATTGGTTTTCTCTATTATAGGTTTACAGGTAATTTTTGTTGTTTTTGTTTATCTCAAATTTTCCCTTTTGTCTTCTGAGGTAAATAACATTACTTCTGTAAGAAGAAGAATACAATGTTTAATTGACAATTTTGCATCATATAATAGAGAAGCATCAGATTAACAAATCAACTATTCAGTACATCCAACTGACATCTAAGAAATACAAAATCTCCATGAAAATTCCATATTGAGGTTTACCTGCAAAGCAGATTGTGTTCTTTAAATTAAAGTTACAAATGTCATTTATAATAGGCAAATAGCACTCAGCCATCAAGAAAAAAATACCTCTTGCAGATAAGTTCCATGTAAAATTTTGTCATTCACAAATTACTTTGTACACCCTTCACCTATATTGTGTGAATACCAAAAGATGAACTTTCCATATCAAAGATTATGTACTTTATATACAAATATTATAATTGAAAATGCTAACCTTCAAGGATAATTACATTTCTGGCATCATATTTAAATTAGAATATAAGAAAGAGGAAATTCATGGCTATAGAACAAGCTGACCAATTCATCACAATCTTTTGAGAAATTGCCATAGGACTTACATAATAGCTTGCGTGGAGGCTTGATCCATGCATTTGTTACTGCTCTTTCCAAAGCTCAGTATTAGTCACGTTCA
Organism: Homo sapiens; assembly: GCF_000001405.40. Taxonomy (NCBI): domain Eukaryota; kingdom Metazoa; phylum Chordata; class Mammalia; order Primates; family Hominidae; genus Homo; species Homo sapiens. Next base: position 59,124,228 of record NC_000004.12, read on the forward strand.
GAGATTTCTTTTAGACAATGAAAGTACTTTAGCAATTAACCAGCATCCTTTGACTGCAGTGAGAACATGAGCAAATAAAGTTTGCCAAGTGTGCTGATAGCTCAGTTTGGTTTATGTAACTAAATCTGAAGCTCTTTGTATAATAACGTAATCTGTGCATAGAAATATAGATAATGCATACAAATTACCTGTAGTAACATTTTTCAGAAGCTCTGTTTGTATATTATACATCACAGTGAGAAGAACTATTTGAGTTAGTTGAAATTTATATTGTTAATATATTTAATTATTTGCTATTGAATTAGAATGTGTGCTATTAGTAAAAAACTTTTTGTATAAAATTCCAGTTTGCTTCTTCATTGAAAAACAGAAGCAAAAGAAACTATTTCCTAATAGAAGCGTGGTTTAACGTACTTTTGTATTAAAATTGTCATAGGATTCATCATACACTAGATTAAGAGGAAAAGACAATGGCAAGGTAACACTGGAGTGATTTAATGGGAGTGATACTTTAGCTCACTTTAAAAAAAACTCTTTTAAGAAAAGATGAAAGTACAAAAAATAGGAGAATGTTTAGGATTAAAAATTGATTTGGATATCATTAGAAAAGATGTGAAGGACAAAAATTCCTGCTCTGGGAGGAAGAAATGTGTTCAAAGTATTAAAATCTATTTTCTAAAAAGACTCCTCATGTTGAGGGATGACTATTTTACTTGTTTGGAAGTACAAGAATTTTACATAAAATGTTTATTTTGCCTCAGGTAATTTCCTCTTTACCTAGATTCTTCAACTCTAGTCAAGTAAGTTCTTAAAGCTTAATGTGATTAGACATGTAAGAGAAAAAAGAGAAGTTCAATATTGACTTGTAGAGAAGAACACAACTCCCAACTAAAGCAGGAGCCTAAAAGTAAGATGGAAGCAAAATCAGTAAATGGTCATCCTAAAGGGCAAATCAAGGAGATTGCAGAAGCCTTGACTAGACAGTAAAATAAAGAGCAGGATGTAAACAGGAAGCTTGGAATAAATTAGAAAGCTGTCTTTGCATGTGTGAGTGTAAGTGTGTGCTGAGACAGATATGGATGTAGATTTAATGAAATAGTATAGGCTGACATCCAATTGACAAAGACTAATATTTTACCTATGGCGCTGGATAGATACTTAAAGTGTAGCCATGAACAAGCAGACAGGTCCCCACCCTCTTGGAGTTTACAATACAGCAGACAAGACATGCTTAAACATAACAAATAGTCAATAACTGATTTAAAAATTATGAGAAAGAAAATTGCACAAATGTAAAATTCATGGTGATATGGGGTCATATAATGATACCTAACCTAATCTGTTGAGAAGGGTCAGAAATAGTGTTCTATGGAACTGAAATTTCATTCGAAGTCTAAATGGTGAAGAGAAGAATCCCCAGTGTGGGAATTCTGCCAGTTGCTGACTGTGTCTATGCCAATTATATATCCTGGAACTAGGGAAATAAGCACAGGATGGGTTCAGGGACCTACTAAGCCCAGTATGAGATGTATTGAGATAAAATTCCACTGGTCACCTGCCTTCAGTAAGTCCCCACTCTGACTGGTGCACCACCATATATTGAGTCTCCTGGAATTAGTTTCAGTTTGGAACTAGAGTCCCTTAATTCTCAAAAGGTCTGATTACTTCCTTTTTCCCAATGCACAATCATCCTGGTAAAAGGCCATAGGTCCCTTTGGGGAAAGCCTGAAGAAGGATTAACAGTACATGGTTTGACAGTATAGTGTGGTCCTTCTCAAAGGGACCTGGCTTTCTCTTTATTCAAGAGGTTCTGGGAGGGTGAACTGGCTGGAATTGGGAATTGATCTGGGAATTGATTGAGGGGCTGTGATGCTATGTTTTTATTATTCAAGTTAGACTTTTGTTCACATTTTTCCCAACTTCTCATTTCTTCTTATATGACTCCAAATTGTTATCTGCCTCCACTAGTCTTTTTAAAATTACCGATCCACTCTGTACTCTGTATTTTAGTCCTCTTACATGATTTCTTAGCGGCATTCCCCATGGTGAACCTCTTCTGTCTTCCTTCTTAACACATCCCATTATATTTCACCAAAACAAAAGGTATTTTAGCAAAGTCTACATTTGATTGCGAAATCCCACAGGTAATATCACTGAATAGCTTCCTATTCCCTTAAGATAAAGTCCTGAAAACACGTATTATAATGTAAAAGTCTTTTCAAGTTGGCCATCTCATCCTTCTAGGTATATTTTCATTAGTGGCTGAAAAGTATATACATACAATATGTTCTACTTTGAAATAATAAGCTAATAATAAGCTATTAAAACAACAAAGGTTTTTGTTTGTTTGTCTGTTTGTTTTTGAACAGAATTTCACTCTGTCTCCTGGGCTGGAGTGCAGTAGCATGCTCTCGGGTCACTGCAACCTCCACTTCCTGGTTCAAGCAATTCTCATGCCTCAGCCTCCCGAGTATCTGGGTTTACAGGCACATGCCATTATTCCCGGGTAATTTTTTGTATTTTTTAGTAGCAATGGGGTTTCACCATGTGCCCAGGCTGGTCTCGAACTCCTGAGCTTCAGGCAATCCACCCCCCTCGGCCTCCCAAAGTGCTGGGATTACAGGTGTGAGCCACTGTGCCCAGCCAAAAAAGTTTTAAACTCCAAAATAAACTAGAAGTATTTGAAATACAAAACATTTTATTTTACATTAAAGCAAACATGTAGAGACATTAATGGAAATTAGACATGGCATATTTAGTACTTAGTGGATAAGAAAAGCAGTTTAGGCTAAAACTTAGGGCAGCAAAACTAGAAGATAATTGATGACATGAGAAGATCATACAACTATAAGCTCTTACAGGAAAGAGAAGACTTCGGGCTCATCAATTAAGGGCAGCAATCCCCAGACCCTTGGAAAAGGGAAAATAATGCCTGGAGGGAAAAATATCTATATTGTGAATCAACTCTGGCACGCAACTATGCTGAATCAGTCTCATGTGAGACTTCGCTAAAGAATAAAGCCCCTTCTCCATTAAATACATCACTCCCAACGGCAACAATTACAATTAGGAATTACGAGAAAAACAGCAAAGTTTCAAATATTCAGCAGTAATATCCAGATACTAAATCCATAGTTAAAAAAAGATTTCACTAGAAGCTCCTCACTCTGAAAAGAAAATGTCAAAGCAAGGAAGGATATCAGCAATGTTCAGAGGAGAATGACGTGTTTTCAGTTATGGAAATTAGTCCATAATTGAATGAAGAAGAGATAGATCCAATAGTATTATAGTACATATATTATAATGATGGAGATAGAAAAAGATAAAAGTGAAGACAGAAGCCATCAAGAAACAGACAAGATTGGAAACCAGGATACAGGAGAAAGGACAAAATATCTTTTACTTATTACAAAATAGTATTTTACTTTTATAAAAAATATTTAAATCATAAGTCTTGCATTTCTCATTCTCTTCTATTTTTTTCAGCCGGTCAGTGGGAAAAAGGTAGCCCCTTGATATCCTTGTAATATTAGAATTACACAGGCTAAGTATTGCAGTAGGAGCTGTTATATAAAATATCTGATGTGTTATGTGTGTATAAGCAGAATAGTTTCCTGCCCGGAGGGCAGTTTCTCCTCTTGACATCTCCAGTCCATTTGTCTAGCACCTGACAACACTACTATTGGCAGTCATGTCATCATTTGCTTTTTCCAGGCATTTAAGGATGTCATTAGGCCTTAGGCTTTTTGAAGCAAGAAAGGGCAGATGCTTTGTACTTTTTCTGGTGTCATATTTGGCAGCCTTTCTGTGAAATTACTGCAGTGTTCTCATCTGCCAGATGTCAGTGAAACTTGAAGTAAAGGGACAAGCATCCCAGAGATGTCAGTGGAAACTGGTTTTTGTTGTTTTGTTTTTAAATGAAGTCTCCACTAAAGACTGAAGAAGATACAAACTCATAGACACTGCAGTTGCTTGTAAAGTGCTTTCCATCATAGCTTTAAAATATATAGAGAAAAGTAAAAGGCAGTATCAAGATAACATCGAAAGATATACATGTAAGTTTAGCAGAAATGAGATGTAGTGAAACAAAAATGCAGCACAAAAACCTCAAAGATTAAGAAAACAACAGAAATATATGAAGAGACAAGAGAAAACAGTGGTGAATTACAACTAGATAAAACAGGAAATACGTAGCATGCAATTTCAAGGACCCTCAATGTTCTACCTGAACAAAATCAACTTCCCTTATTACATAATTTTTTAAAAATTGTATTTGAGTATATATGGATTTTAATTTGTTCAAGATAGTCATAATTAGTAGAAATAAATTATTAACTAGTTAATGTATTAGAACCAATTTTTGATGGTGCAGCAAAACACAGACATCTGAGGTAATAAAATTAATTCCTTGATTTATAAATTGTATTACCATATATGATTGTATCTAATCATCCTGTCAATTCTGTGAATTAAATAAAGCAAGCATTGCTGTTATATACTACAGATGGGGAAATTGAGGTCTAGGATAAAGTACTACTCAGCAATAGAAATTCAACTAAAAAATTTGCTTTCTTCCTCCCAGCTAGAGTTTTTACAGTTTTCATAATACAGCTCCAAGTACATAAGAAGAGACAAATTTGGATGAGTAGAGGAATATAATAAATGAATAAATCAGCAAGAAGGCAAGCAAAATAAACTAAAATAAAGAAGTAAAACATAGGTATATTACCCAGAAATACCAAAGGGATACTCCTAAATATTGTTTAGAAAAAAAAATGATATAAATAATGGGATGACTATGTGACACATGAAAAAGAAAGACAAAAACTATTGGATGCTCCTGCTCAATTTTACATCACATTTCTGTTTGGTGAGGCAAGGTATAAAATATTTCTTTATAAACTCTATTTACCAACTCCTCTTGCTGGAGGAGGCTGGTATTTTGTTCTACTCAAGCCTTCAACTGACTGGATGAGGCCCACTAACACTCTGAAAAGCCATCTGTTTTACTTCAAGTTCATCATTGAAATGGTAAACTGATTCAAACACACCCTCCAAGTTGACACACAAAATTAAGCATCAAAATGGTATCTTCTCAATAAAAAGCTGAATTTCAACTTATTTTTAAAATATAACTTAATATTTATTAATCTACTGAGTGTCATGCCCTTTTCCAGGCTTTAGGGATATAGTGGTAAAACTGGCAGACAAATCTCTGAGCTGTATGCTCTATATATGGTCATTACCAGTAATGCTTTAATTTTGGGGCAATGGCATTTAAATGACTCGTACTGTTTAAAGCAAAAGGGCTCTTTCCACAACATACACATAAGACTTTTCTCCTCGTGGCAAGACTCTAACATTTACATTCTTAGTAACATAAACCTATTGAAAACTTACAGCACATGAAAGCATTTAGAAATGATTAGTGAAACACAGATCTCTGAACATCTACTCTGGGAGAAAACAAAATAATGTTTCCTAAAGCTTTCCACATTTTTTATCAATTTTTATTGAGATCATTTTTATTAAAAGGTATTACAGGGATATATAATTTCTTAAAAGTCTTCCCTATAGTATAGTAATTATTTGTCAGCATTGAAAACAGCTTCGAGAGGAGATATATATATATATATCCTCTCAATGGATATATATATATATTTTTAATATATGTAAATATTATGTTTGCTGTATACATTTGCTTCAAATATAAAACAAAGCACTTATTATAAACTTGTATGTTCAGTTTGATAGTTTTATGGGGTTTAGGACTTACTCATTGTTTAGTATTAATACATTTTATATGAAGCCAATGCTTACTTATGGGGAAAACTTAAAAATAAATATATTTTATTAAAAAATGCTAGTTTATTGAAAAATACAGCAGCTATAATACATTCGTTTTATAAGGCTGTTTTAACAAATTATCACAACCTTAGTGTCTTAAAGCAACATAAATTATTCTTTCACATTTCCAGAAGCCAAAAGTCCTAAATCAGTAGCACTGTGCTGAAACCAAGGTGTTGACAGAGCTATGTTATTTTCAGAGGCTCTAGGAAGGAATACATTCTTTCCCTTTTCTGGCTTCTGTTGGCTGCTGGCATTCCTTGGATTGTGGCTACATTATTTAAATCAAGGCTCACATCTTCAAATCTTTCTCTGCTCCCTTTTCATATTGACTTCTTCTCTGTGTGTGGCTGTGTGAAATCACTGTCTGCCTTTCTCTTATAAAATTACTTGAGGTTGCAGTTAGATAACCTTTCCTGGATAATCCAGGAGAATCACTGTGTTTCAACATCGTTAATTTAGTCACATCTGCAAAGATGCCTTTCCCTTATAAAAAGTAACATTTACAGGTTCCAGAGAATAGAACCTGATATCTCTTTTTTGGGGGAGGGGGACATTAATCAACCTATTGTAGCCACCTTGCAATACATGATTAATTTTCATTTTTATGAATGTGTTGGTAAAGATAAATTATATTATGGTACTGTAAAAAAAAAAACCCAAAGTATTGATGGCTGAAAATGACAAGGGCTTATTTTTCCCTCATACCCACATCCATCCATACTATCCTCACCCAGAGATTGAGCCTTTAACCTTAAGACGTGGGCTGGTATACACACAGATACAAACTGTGTCATTGTGCATCACCAATTTTTTAAAATCTCCACCTGGAATCTGACATTTCATTAGCCACCTCTAACTACAAGAGATCCTATCGTGTGCCTACAAAGAAAAGAATCAGAAATGTTGGTGTATAGCTCTAATGACTATCACAATGAGGTCACATGTTAGGACCAAAAGGCCCAATATGATATGAAGAAATCTGATTTGCGGCAAAAGTTAAGAAGAATAAATTGAACTTACTTAGCATGATGTTGCTTAATACCAGTGTCCAGCTTTTAACTTGATGATTCTGCTTTCAGTTTTGGAATACCAATTTAGAAAATATATTATTTCACATTTTTGTATATTAAATAATAGGTTTTCATAAAATATATTAGGTACTATCTGAATAACCTGGATCATCTTTGTTTTAACTGGTATTGGTTAAGATTTTGAAGCATAATTGAACTAGGTTGCTATTCGAATGGACCTGAACATATTTCCTTGGGGTGATGGGAGAAGATGTGATATTGTCTCAAGCAACAGTACAAATAACAAGTCCTTTGCTAAGACTTTGATTTTTGTCTTTAGAGTTGCTTGTTCAGCAGAAAGAGGGTATAGGTTTTTATGTAACATCAAATAAAGAAAAGGCAGTGGCCAGTTAAAACAAGGATGAATTATTGAAGTGTTCTGAAGCTAAGGAGAACTTGAAATAAGTTTTAAACATTGGCAGTAAGGCCAGGTTACTAACGGAAAGCTTGAAGTGCTACTTTTGGGTGGATTTCATTTGTCATGAATGTATCCTCAGCATTAAAGAATGATCTCACACTTATTTGGTCATCTTGACAAAGAGATTGTAAGAAATTAGTGTTTTTTTAAAATATAAAGAAGCACAGTGACATGATTTTTATAAAAGCATGTTCTAAACTGGAAAGCACTATACAAATGTAGACTTCTTTATCCCTGAAGTTTTGCATGTTAATTCATTGGCAAGTCATGAAATTTATAGCTCAAATGCACAGAACACACAGACTTTTTACACAGCATTTGGTATCATATCTTATTTTCTGAACACTGGAACTCCAAATTACAATGTAGGACAGCAAATTGCAGAGGAGTGAAATTAAGAGGCCACCTCTAAATTATCAGCTAAGGCCAACATGTGGTCAATCCTCTTTAAAGTAGGTAGAATGAAATTAGTAAAACACATGTGACCTCTTGGGAGCACAGAAGAGAAGATAAAGCTAAGAAGTAAATGGATGCAAGCAATGGAGTAGGATAAATATAATACAATTTTAGAAGCTAATAAACACTAATAATATTACATATCATCCAAATCAAATTCTTTTGATGGTGAAAAGAAGGTGATTCTAATAACATCTCTACAACAACAGGAGCAAACCAGGACTCTAAGCACACTAAGTTCTATCACCATCTTTTTTTTCTTTTTTCTTTTTTTTTTTTTTGAGATGGAGTTTCACTCTTGTTGCCCAGGCTGGAGTACAACGGTGCAGTCTCAGCTCACTGCAACCTCCGCCTCCTGGGTTCAAGCGATTCTCCTGTCTCAGCCTCCTGAGTAACTGGGATTACAGGTGCCCACCACTACGCCTGGCTAATTTTTGGTATTTCTAGTAGAGATGAGGTTTCACCATGTTGGCCAGGATGGTCTCGAACTCATGATCTCAGGTGATCCGCCCCCCTCGGCCTCCAAACATGCTGATATTACAGGTGTGAGCCACATACCCGGCCACCTCACCCTCTTTTTAATGTTTAAATTTTAAAAGAATGTTTAATATCTAAAAGACTTAATGTTTAAAAGGTTTAATCTACTCCCAGGAAATCTGCAAATTAAAATTCCCCTGGGTAAATAGTTCACATATACTCCTCCACATACCAACACATGTTCTAAATATATATTTTTATAATCTACAGAAATCTTAAACCTGCATTATGCTGTGTTATCTAATCAAATGTTTAAAATTACATTCTGAACCTACTTATGAAAAGTACTATGTTCATCCTATAGAAAAAGACCAAATCTTACAGTAAGTAGCATGGTAATTAGCAGTTGGAGCATTGTGTGGTTTAATACACTATACAAGTGTTTTTCAAAGAGTAATATATTTTGTTGTTGGTAGCGGGGCATGACGAACTTGGGTGGGGTTCAAACAATATATGCTTACCCCATTATCCTTCTCATCACCTATTCCAGAATCTCTTCTGTAAGACCTTTTTTCCAGTTACAAGGGATTGAACTTGCTCATTTCTGCAACCTCTATGGAAAAAACAGATTGCAAATGTCTTCTCCACCCCACAAACTACCCAGTGGTTCCATCTAGGACAAATTGAAATCCTGTGCATGTCCAAATTTTACTCAGTTGCCATACCAGGAAAGAAAGGTCTCTACCAATTTTCTGTAGAGTAGAGTAGAGTAGATATTCAAGGGAACACACACGGTGCATAGATGGGGGTTCTTATGGCTGATGGATAAAGATTCCTCTCTCAGAGCTTCAGGTCACATACACTGTATCTTCCAGCACGTTTCCTCGAAAGCCTCACTCAGAACTCCCTCAGCTCCCACAGCACATCCTCTGAAGCAGATCTATTCAGTTTGGTCCTGGATATCCAGCAACGACGCCTTCAGTTGGCATTCTGTCAGTTCCCCAGGTATCCATCAATCCTACCATATCCCTTTTGTCTCCTTTTGTCCATGTGTGTCCCTTTTTATGCATCACCTTGGCTTAATTTTATGTATTTTGGATGTTTGGATGTATTCATGTATTTCGGATGAGCCACATCTCATTGGCACTTTTTCTGGAGATGCCTAACTAATATGCCATCAATATATTTTTTTCTTTCACAAGGAAAATTAGTAGTACATTTTATAAAATAAGAAATAAAAGAAAGGGAAAAAAATCCCAGTCACATTCATATACGTACACATTCACTCACAGAAATGTACATACACATACACATACACACACACACACGCACACACACACATCGATCATCATCAAAAAAATCAAAACCATTCCCCTTTACAACTAATGCTGGTAGGTCACAGATTTAACACACTCTTTTAAAATAAATAAGTAAATTCACTGCTAAAAGGTATAATCAAGGAAATGAAAATAGTGATGGCTGAAGGCAGAAGGGCAAAAGAGAGAACAAGAGATATTCAAATTCACCCTTTTATATGGGAACAATACCACCCAGGAACATGTAGCCCTCATGGCCTAATCATCTCTTAAAGTTTTCACCTTTGAATATGGTTACATAGAAATTAAATTTCAGCATGAATTGTAGCAGGAGCAAACATTTAAATCATAGCAGCTACTAATAGTAGATTGGCAAAAACAACAACAACAACAACAAAAACACATCTTATGATTCTGGTATTCAAAGGGATATATTCCTATGGAATTAAGCAGGCAATAATTAAGATAAGTACATAATATATAAAATAAATATAGTATGCCTACATATGCATAGTTAGTGTTTCTGAAAGTGAGATATAAAATAATAGAAAAGAGAGAGAAAAAAAACCCTTTGGTATCACAAATATTAAAAGACATCACAGTCTGAAATGTAAAAATCAAAACTACAAAAATAGTAGAAGACAACAAAGAAAAAAATAGATGACCTAGGCTTTGATAATAACATTTTAGATATGACACCAATGGCACAATCCATGAAAGAAAGAATTGATAAGTTGGCCTTCATTAAAAATTTATCATTTTTTCTCTGTGAAAGATATTGTCCAGAGAATTAAAAGAGAAGCCACAGACTAGGAGAAAATATTTGCAAAAGACATAGCTGATAAATGACTGCTATCTAATATGTACAAAGAAGTCTTCAAACTCAACAATAAAAAAACAAACAACCCAATTAAAATGTTGAGCTAAATACCTTAACAGACAACTCACCCAGGAAGATATACAGATGACAGTTAAACATAGGAAAAGATGCTCCACATCATATGTCATCAGGGAAACACAAAATAAAACAACAGTGAGATGTCTCTACACACCATTAAAATGGCCAAAATTCAGAACATTGACAACACCAAATGCTGACAAGAATGTCGAGCAACAGGATCTCACATTCATTGCTGGAGGGAACACAAAATAGAACAGTCATCTTGAAAGACAGTTTGACTGTTTCTTACCAAACTAAATATACTCTTACCACAAGATCCAGCAATCATGCTTCTTGAAATTTACCCAAAGGAGTTGAAAACTTATTTTCTCACAAAAACCTGCACATAAATGTTTATAGCAGCCTTACTCATAATTGCCAATACTTGGACACAACCAAGATGTTCTTCAGTAAGTAAACAGATGAATAAACTGTGGCATATCCAGGGAATGGAATATTATTCAATGGCCAGGGTGGGGGGGGGCATATTTTAATTGCTATGTATACCCATTTCAAATATATACTTGCGGATTGAAGAATTGAATATTAGGTGGATCCATGGACTTTGTAGGTTCATTGTGAGCTAGGACTCCAGCCAGTACTTTATTTATTACTTTTTCCTTGTAAGCATCCACTTATAACAATAAAATAAAATAAAATAAAATAAAATAAAATAAAATAAAATAAAATAAAATAAAATAAAATATAAAATAAAAAATAAATAAGCAATCAAGCCATGAAAAATACTGGAGGTGTGGCATCAGTGTGGATTCAGAGAGCAGCAGAGGGGGCTATCAGACAATTATACTCCCTGAAGCAGAGGCTCAGAAAGCCACATTTTCAGAGTTACTCCAATTAATCCTTCTTATGTAAAATATTTACTTTTAAATGCAGATTTGGGAATAGCTCCTCCACAGACCCCAGGATTTCTCCTCCTGAAAGGAAACATAAAAGAAAGATTAACAGGACAATTTATAGCCCTGGTCACTGCAGTTGGTTTTGAAGTTGCAGTTGCAGGTATCCTCTCTCTCCTACATCATCCATTCTAATTTTTGTTTATTGTTAGCCATTGCATCAGCATGTCTTGGTGGCCAACCTAGTAATGTGACCCAAACCTTCATTCCCAAGTGGTCATTTGACTTTCAGGTTGCTGCATTTATCCATTCACAGTTATAGTAAGGAAAGAGAATATCAGGAGTCACCCAAATTTATCACTTCAGCTTCCCAGTGCTCCTCCCTCATTGGGTAAAAGCAGCCCTAACATTTTCTGCTGATCAGAGTCAGTTATTCTGGCCAGTATGCTGATTTCCCTTACCAGTTGGATGCTGCACGCAAGGAGTCCAAAGAACCCTGGTGTAGCTTGTAGTCTGTAGTCCAGTGGCATCCATGCTGTGTCCCCTTAAAGAATATGCTCCATTTATGAACTAAGAACTCCAATCATGAAGAGCACATGAATTTAGAGAGAAGAAGCGCAAATTCCCTCCAGCTGTGTTTTTAGAAATATTAGTAATGGATCCATACTACTCCACTTCTTCATGTTTGTTCTGGGACCTATGTATTCTTCCTTTGGAGAATACAGCACCATATAGATTCCTCGGATTTAATACATGTACTTTGTCCTGAAGGATGGCATCCCATTATTTCACACTGGATTATGAGATAATAATTCAGCTGCCATTTAAAAGGCTTTCCAGATTTTTATGGGGCTCTTATTTTCAGATGGTGCATTATCGGCCATAATTTTTCAATGTGATGTGAGTCCCCAGGTCACATGCTATGCTGTGGCAGATTTCATGCCTGCAGAACAGGTATTTTGTAAGTTTCTTTACAGTGGACTCTGCAGGCAAGGAAGGCAAATTCATACTCAGAAAGACAGTATGGCTGAGAAGACAGACGGCTGAGTTCAAACTGAACTGAGCTCAATGTACTCAAGTTGCCATAGAAAATCAATTCCTTAAGGAATATTGCCATATTGCAGATTCAGTGTTGGCCTTTTTCTGAACATTTGGACATTCAGATAGACCAATTACTAGCAAGAATCCATGTTGTTGGGTTTCTAGATAGCCTCTGTCTCCATTACCTTCATTATTCCCTTCGTGCCTAGAGGGTGAGTTCTGGAACAGTCGATGAAGAAGTTTGACAAACACCAACTGGTCAAGTCATTTGGTCTGTGTTGTTCAGTTCCTGGTTGTGGATGCTGTCTAGCAGGCTTTAACATGTGTCTGCAAAACCTTCCAGTTATCCTCCCACTCTCATGTATCTACCTGTGTGCTTGTATCACAGACCTCCTTATTTCCATTCCATTAATTTTCTATTATTGGTGTAATAGATTACTGCAAACTCAGTGGTATAAATAAATACACATTTATTCTGTTACAGTTCTGTAGATTAGATGTCAAACACTGGTTTCACTGGGATAAAATCCAAATGTCCACGGAGCTATATTCCTCTCTAAGGGAACGCCTATTTCTTTATCTTTTTCAGCTTCTAGAGGCTACCCACATTTCTTGACTGAAGACCCTCTGCATCCTTCTTATTAAGCTTTTGTAGTCACAATTCCTTCCCAATACAGCCAGGAGAGGTTTCCCACTGTTAATAATTCATATTATTAGACAGGACCCCCCTAATAATGCAGGATAATCTCACCATATCAAGGCCTTTAATTTTACTTACGTCTACGAAGTCCCTTTTACTATGTAAGATAATACATCCTCAAGTTCCAAGAATTAGGATGTGGATATTTTGGGGGGAGGGGGATATTGTTCCTTCTACCACATGGGTTTTCTAGTTCTTTTCCTTTTAGGCACCTGAGCACATAAACAGACCATTGGTCACTGTCTAGAAATCTATATGCATTCTCATCTTGGGCCACCTTTTCTTCATCCAATATGGATGACTAGGTGTAGTGCTGTAGTTTTGTCCATTGGGAAAATTTTTGATCTCCACTATCTTTCAAGGCTACTTCTAATGTGGCCACAATGCAGCTGCTATCCATTTTTGGTTTCCACACATGCTCTGAGACAATCTGTCTGTAAGCCATAGTCAGATTGTGTTTTTCTCCTCCTTCAACTGGTCGTAAGGATCTCTCCCCACAATATGACCGCAAGCACAGTGTGGGTACCTGGTCATGAAGCTTACCCACATATTTTTACTTTGCTTAGGCTGAAAACAGTATAAAATATTTTTACGTTAAGACTGCCTGCTGCCAGATTCATCTGAATGCTTACATTTAGTAGTTCAAACATAATACAGCTTCTAATGGTATAGATTTTTTGACTATATTGTGATAAAGGGTGGGAGAGTTAATATAAATCTGAAACAAAACTGTAAATGAATAATGTCTATCTCAAGTACATGTAAAATGTTTCTCATCTTCTTATCTAATTGGAGTGGAAAACACATATTCACCAACTCAATGATCACATTACATGTACATGAGATTGCAGCTGTGATTGTGGCTACCATTTGGTTAAGACTGTGGCAATTTATAGTCATTTCCAGAACTCATCTGTTTTCTGCAGTGGCCAGATTGGAAAATGAAGTAGAGATATGATGCAGACAACCAGCCATGCATCTTTTAGGTCTTTATCCATGGCACTAATCTATACCATCTTCCTAAGGATGAAATATTATTTTTATGTATTATCTTCCCTGAAGTGTTGGGGAAGGGTCAGAGGTTTTCTTTTGCCTTTTATCATTGTACTAGGTCTTACTTAACAATCTAAGATCTCAATGGCAAGCGGGGAGGGGCATATTTTAATTGCTGTATATACCCATTTCAAATATATACTTGCGGATTGAAGAATTGAATATTAGGTGGATCCATGGACTTTGTAGGCTCAATGTGAGCTAGGATTTCAGCCAGTACTTTTTCCTTGAAAGCGTCCACTTATAACAAGGGACCTATTATTGTTGGTCTCTTGGTATCAAAGTAAATTTATTCCTTGAGCCTTTAGCGTCATAGTTCTTGAAATAACTGGATATTCTTTTTTTTCCCTGAGACTGGGAGAATCATCACAATCTATATTTCCCATGGTGTTGAAGGGTCTTTCCTCATCATGACACAACCACTTCTTTAATCAATGTGTTCCAGATATAAAATCTAGCTGACATTTGGGATCGAACAAGGAACTCTGGCTTTCGGCTGAAGCGAATATTCGCGCTTCTGCAGGTGCCTATACGAGTGGCTAAATCCAAGACTTGATATAGTTATTTTTCCATGAACCACCAGTGAAAATCTCTGACCAAGTCCCTCATTAATTGCAATTTTATCATTTATGTTCACTGTGGGTAGAGAAAAATATGAAACACATATTGTGGCTTAATTCTTTGCTTTGGTATAGGTGCCCATCATTTTGTCTGGAAAGTGAAATTCAATCTGCTCAGCTTGTCTATGAAGTCAGTGACTTCTTGTCCATGGTAACTGTTAAACTATACAATGCAAACTTGTGTACTAATATAGCATAAAGGGGTGAAAAGTGTGATGTGAAAGGAAAAATACAGATAGTTTAATATTATATATTAAATGAAAAGAAGGCTAGGCATGGTGGCTCACACAATTTGGGAGGCCAAGGCGGGCGGATCACAAGGTCAGGAGATCGAGACCATCCTGGCCAATGTGGTGAAACCCTGTCTCTACTAAAATATAAAAAATTAGCCTGGCATGGTGGTGGCCGCCTGTAGTCCCAGCTCCTTGGGAAGCTGAGGCAGGAGAATCACTTGAACCCGGGAGGTGGATGTTGCAGTGATCTGAGATGGCACCACTGTACTCCAGCCTGGTGACAGAGCAAGACTCTGCCTCAGAAAAAAAAAAAAAAAAAAAAGAAATTGTAGATGTCAGAGCATGTCTTTAGGAAAGTAACTAAAAGGGGAAAAGTGTGAAATCTAGCACACATTAAGCACTGATAGAAGGGCATTGAACTACTTTGCATGAAATTAGGAAGATTTAGAAAGTACATGACAATTGTCTTCCAATGTCTGCATTCTCTTCCGATGTCTGCAAGTTGTCCATGTGTAACATTTGTGCAGGGATTTCCAGCTTATGTTGAAGTGTTCTTCATGAATTTGCTTATTATTTGATACTGATATTATAGTAAAATTATACCAAAAATGCCTAGCAACTATGTCTGTAAATCTTCAGTTGTGAAAATTAACATCATTGAAATTAAACTGAAATTTATGAAAAGGCTTAGGGTCTGTGGAGAAAAGCTATTGCATAAATGCCAAGAAGTTAATATATGTATATGTGTATATGTTTTGATAAAATAGAAGCTATTCTATTAATTTATGTTTTCATATTCAGTGTTATCTAAGGATCACACAATATTTGATAAGTTAATGAATTCCATTGTTTTCAATCTGTGAATAAAATACAAGTTCCCGGGATTTCAAATAATTCACTTTAAGTGGAGCTGAATAAAGATTGTAATCTTAATTCAAAGTATGTGTAAACTTCCCAACTTAAGTCATATGCTTTAGTAAGTCTAGTTATAGAATTAATTACCAATTTAATAAACTATGAATAGTAATAATAACTTACTTTTATGTTTTCCTTTACTAATCAAAGTACATTATTTCCTTTAGTCTTTGAAAAAGCACATGTATAAATATAAAAAGGCATGTCTCACTATGAATAATTTACAATGACAAATCAGAGGAAAATTAGTGGTAGGTGAGTTCCCTGAGGTCGCCTGTCCAGTGAGTAACAGGACCAGGCAGAGAAGGATCTTCTAGTGCGGATCTTTTTTCACTATTTCGCATTTACATAATTCATATAATATTCAGAAGATTAAAGATGGCTTTTTGGCATTTTATCTCCCATATACACCTATAAGTAATTGGAAATCAATTAATGTTTGTTGGACTCAAATAGTGGATAATGAATTATATAACCAGAAATATCTGTATTTTTTGTCCAACGAGATTATACTAAGTGGCTCTGGAGTCAGAGGGTTTGAGTTTAAATCCAGGCTCCTCCTTCTTAAAAAATGTGTGAACTTGGTCATGTTTCCCAAGCTATAGTTCTCAATTTCTACATCTATAAACTAAAAGTAATAATAATACCTACTTCATAGGATAATATCCCACTTATAACAGGGGAGCCATCATAGTCGGCTATGAATTCTATAATTCCTATGGAAATTAATTGAATTAACATATGTAGAGTGCCAAAAATATTGTCTGGCACCAATAAGACCTCAATAAACATTAACTGCTATTATTATTGTTGTTGTAATTATTATTATGTTAGATTATTTTCACCATGGAATTATAGTGCTTAGCTTCTGTCAAGAAAATGGAGCTCCCCAAGACCACCTCTCTGAAGATCACTTGCAACGGCATGATCTTATTTAATTTTAGGTACACAAGTGTTTACAGAAGCTGTTATAATTTACATGTGAGAAAACTAAGACCCAAAAAAGTTACAGGCCTTCCCAATGATAATATCTCATCGTGGCATGTGCTCTGGTCAACATTTCTTCTAGGAAAGTTATCTCAGAAAGTGTAATATGGAATTCATTTTACTTGAATTAAGATAATAGAGAAGTTTTGCCTTTAGTTATATGTTATGAAAGTAATTAACAATTTTTTAAAAATTGCTGCTTAAAAGTGTACAGTTGTACTTTTTTTAACATTTACCCAGGTACATTTGTATAAATGAGGTAAAATTGTACTTTTTAGTTCAAAGTACAATCATAAATCATTGGCTTAGTTCAATAAGAAGCAACAGTATAATTCATGAAAAAATATGTGTAATATTTAGCTTGGATTTTCTGAGTAGCCACTCTCTGCTAATATATTTAATGCTCTAGAAAAGATCTTCAATTCCTGAAGTATCAGAAAACTTATAATGAAACATGATCTAAGAACCATAGAAGACAAATAAACATTATTATATTTATTATCAATTTAATAATAATTGAAGTGAGTTTCAGAGATTTGAGTGTCTTTTCTTAACTGACTCCTTGATTTGCAATGAAATTTGTTTTGCTTAATAAGGATATAAAAATTATTTTATGACCCAATCCTGGTAATATGAATAATGGTGAATTGAATACTTAAATTTAGTTTAAATCTATATTATGTGCACATTAAGTAAATGTGTTAGAAGTCTTAGATTTATTTTTAAATGAAATGGGCATAGAATAAGAAATTGCATAAATGAATGTACATTGTATTCATTTCAAGAATTTCATTACTCTTTTCAATATACTTAAATGACTCAAATATGATATCTTTTCTTTAGGCTTCCATACATTTGTTCACTTTAAAGTTGTTTTTTAAAAATTTTTCAATGCTTAAAAATGTACCTTGAAAATTAATTAAGTTAACTAATATAAAAAAGTTTACTCCTGTGACATGTAAGACCATTTGCTTTGTGCATTCTCAAGAACACTTAGTGTGCAAAGGTTCTTCATTCCAAAAGATAGGGCTAAAAGAGTGAATGCTTCAATCAGAACTTTATGTTACTCAAAAATGGAGAGATTTTAATTCAAATACAAGAAAATTCTCATTGACTTATATTTCATATATGAACATCTGCTTGCCAATTGCACCCACTCAGATTTACTTATCTTTTAAGTTGCTTCCTTGGAAAGATCCTAGCGATTTAATTGAATGCAAATTAGGCTTTCAGGGTCAGAAACCTTAGGAATAAAGAGCATATTTCATGATGAATTTAAATAGTTTACACATTCTTTCACAGCACTAGACAAAGAAAAGTGCCATAACTAAGCAGGTTCTTATACAAGATGGCACACGAACTGCAGCTCTGTCATACTCGAAACAAAATTCTCTCCAGTTCTTTGATCTACAAATATTAAAATATTTCATTTATAAAGCTGCCTGTTGCAAATACCAGTTAAGGCTTTTTATATGTACAGTTCCTGTACTTCAAGAGACATAACCTTCTGAGCATAAGAGAGAAAGACTCACTTTTGATTTTCCTGTTTTTTGTGTTTTTTTTGTCCATTGTAAATGAGCTGGACCATCGTTTGATATAACTCTGACAGGTGCTCTAGGATGTGAACTCTTCCAACTCTTTCCAGTTGTAACTAGATTGTCATTTTGACTAGTGGGAAAATGTTCTGTTAGCAGAACTTTAAGAACATAAAGAAAGTGTGAAGTTTTGTGGAATATTTGTAAATATAAATATATTTTCATTTAGATGGAAACAAAGTATGAAAATACTACCCTCAAATTCCAGAAATTATCAGCTTCTCAAATAACAGAACAAATGCAATAACATTGCTCTGTGTGTGTGTGTGTGTGTGTGTGTGTGTGTGTGTGTGTGTATGTGTAATAGTTATCTGGCAATGTTAAACGGAATTAGTTTCCTAATATGCACCTACTGAATTGTTAAGAAGTTCCTCTATTGTGGATTCTACCTTTCACTCTCAATAGAAACTTCTTAATATATCATAATTTATATGGATTTTACAGAATATACAGAAAACTATTTTTTAGTGTCAGGGCTCCAGTTGTTAATATTTATCTGACACAGGCACCTTACAGCATAGTTCAAGTGTAATACCTCCTTATAGCAGATATGTCATTCTAAAGCTCACAGTAACCTTTTCATAATAGCTGTTTCCTTAACTAGAGTTTAAGTCTTTCACCTACTCCATCCTCACTTTCAATCAAACAAAAGAAAGATTTTTTTCCCCCTATTTTCTCTCATTTTTCCCCAAAGATAAAAAATGTTGATCTTTAATTGGGGATCAAAAATATTTATTTGTTTGTTTTCCTAATTTTGTATTTTAATTTCAATGCCAATCTCAATCAATACACACACAAACACATACCCATTACATGCTGCCTGTTTCTTTGTGTGTCTGTGTGTGTAGTTGGATTGTCTACATCAGCACTTTACATCAATCAGTATCATGTCATTCTAGTGTCTTTCTTGCATCTTTACTTATAATTACTTTAGCAATAGATACTAGTCTAACTACAAAAAGTTACTGTCAAAGGAACAGAAACAGGAACTATTGTATGATGCATTTATATCAACTAATGGTCAAATTATGCCATGACTGGAAAACTAGGGCATCCCAGTAATCCGAATACATGAGGTGAGAGAAGATTTAAGTTATCTCAAGACACATAGTTAAAGGGATGTGCTGAATTTAAAGAAAATCCTGCTATGGCATATCATACATTATTTATTTTATAAGCAATTCCATTTGTAAACATCATCTGTTCTTAATTTAAGTAGCATTGTTTGAGTATTTTCGTGTTTTGTTTTACTAAATTGGCTTTTTGATTATTATACATCAGCTATGAGTGTATACCTAATTTCATTATTTTACATGTTTAAATGACATTATGCTAAAAATAAATCAGCAATCAGGAGTACATGAAAATAATTTTGCCCACTCGAGTGGAATTTTTTCTATTACTTAAGGTTGAACAATACTGTTCCAAGGCATCAATATATTTACCAGGAAAGTAAAAATATTGTAACTTTCCCATTTTATGAATAATAAGATTTCTCATTATGATTTAAGTTTCATATTCAACTACATCCATTTAAAAAAATATTTCCTTGCTTCCAGGTAGCTAGACTGCACCTTCATACAATATCATCAGTATTCTAGAGAGAAGAAAACATTTCAGAATGCAGTGTTCAGGTTCCTTTGTCGGTACTTAATGCTGAATATCCATATAACCCTTCGGCAGAGGTAGCAGAATGGTTAATGCTATCAGAAAACTTTTTATTTCTTTAAATCAGTTGAATAAGTTCTTTGGGAGCATTTTATTTCTTGTATGAAGTAAGCTGTTTTGGTTTGCTGATTATTGATATAATAAATTCAGTAGTAAAGGCAATATCTCCAGACGGTCTCCTTTATTGTCTGTTCCAGTTCTCATTTTAGCACAGGGAAAATATCATCATCCTGTACAGTTGGAATCCTCAAGGCTATTTAAAACATAGAGGCTTCCTATTACTATAGATATGTTCATTTGATATTGCTTGTTCAAATGTTTCTGTGCTTTGCCGGATCCCACTTGGTTTATGATTTCTATTTAGACATTTTTAAGTGGAAATATCTATTGCTGTATGATACAAACCATACAGCCTTCTTGTACTATTCACTTTAAACCCTATATAACAACAAGCTCTAAGAGAGCCACCAATGGACCTTGCGTCTTGGTATTCACATACTTGCATAGGTCCCGCTCATGATGAATTGAGCTGACTTGAATAACCAATAGAATATTGCAGAAATGATGGGTGTGAGTTTAGAAGATACGTCAGCAAAGATGTTGTGGCTCCCGTCTTGTGTTCTAGGATGACTTTTTCTGGTGTATGGGTGTTTTGAAGACACCCAAGGAATCCTACGGACAGACTCATATGGTAAGAAACTAAGACATTCTGTCAACAGTCATGTGAGTGAGCCATTTTGGAAGTAGATACTCTAACCTCAATCATGCATTCTAATGATTTTCAGCCCCAGCCCACATCTTAACCACAAAATCGTGAGACTGTAACATTTCAAGGATGGCCTCAGAATTCAACAGCCCATTCACAAATGTTTTACACTTAACCACAATTAGAGGTAGGAATTTGGAGAAGAGTCTACCACTTTTCATCAAAAGATTCATAAAGGGCTCCAATAATATAGTAGTAAATCACTACTTTTAGAGAAAAGTAAAATGAGAAGCTTTTTTGCTTTCACTCATCTTTTTACATTTATTACCCAGTAACCTAAGCTAGCTAAAGGATTCAACATTCACAGGAATGTACATGAATTTCTTGTCTTGCATAATTCTTTTATCTCCCTATCCCTTTCTTTTTGTTTATTTTCCTCTTTTTTATTTTTGGATTTCCAACTTTTTTTTAAGTTCACGGGTACATGTGCAGGATGTGCAGGTTTGTTATATAGGTAAATGTGTGCCATGGTGGTTTGCTGCACAGATCAACCCATCACCTAGGTATTAAGACCAGCATCCATTAGCTATTCTTCCTGATGCTCTTCCTCCTCTCATCCCCCACTTTCCCATGGGCCCCAGTGTGTGTTGTTCACTCACATGTGTCCATGCGTTCTCATCAGTCAGATTCCACTTGTAAGTGAGAACGTGTGGTATTTGATTTTCTGTTTCTGCATTCATTTGCTGAGGATAATTGCTTCCAGCTCCATTCATGTCCCTTGCAAAGAACATGATCTTGTTTCTTTTTATGGCTGCATAATATTCCATAGTGTATATGTACTATGTTTTCTTTATCCAGCCTCTCATGAATGGGCATTTAGGTTGATTTCATGTCTTGGCTATTGTGAATAGTGCTACTGAACATACATATGCATGTATATTTATGATAGAATAATTTCTATTCCTTTGGGTATATACCCAGTAATGAGATTGCTGGGTCAAATGGTTTTTCTACCTCTAGGTCTCTGAGGAATTGCCACACTGTCTTCCAGAAAGGTTGAACTAATTTACACTCACCAACAGTGTAAAAGCATTTATTTTTCCTCCACACCTCACCAGAATCTGTTGTTTTTTGAAGTTTTAATAATAGATATTCTGACTGGTGTGAGATGGTATCTCTTTGTGGTTTTTATCTGCATTTCTCTATCAGTGATGTTAAGCTTTTTTTCATATTTTTATTGGCCACATGAATGGCTTCTTTTGAGATGTGTCTGTTCATGTCTTTTGCCCACTTTTTAATGGGCTTTTTTTTTCTTGTAAATTTGTTTAAGTTTCTTATAATGATGGATATTAGACCTTTGTCAGATGCATAGTTTGCAAAAATTTTCTCTCAATCTGTAGGTTGTCTGTTTACTCTGTTGATAGTTTCTTTTGCTATGCAGAAGCTCTTTAGTTTAATTAGACCCCATTAGTCAAGTTTTGCTTTTGTTGCAATTGCTTTTGGCCTTTTTTTTCATGAAATCTTTGCCTGTGCCTATGTCCTGACTGTGTTATCTAGGTTTTCTTCTAGGGTTTTTAGAGTTTTCGGTTTTACATTTAAGTTTTTAATTCATCTTGTGTTGCTTTTGTATATGGTGTAAGGAAACGGTTCAGTTTTAATTTTCAGCATATGACTAGCCAGTTATCCCAGCACCACTTATTAAATAGGGAATTATTTCCCCATTGCTTGTTTTTGTCAGGTTTGTCAAAGATAAGATGGTTGTAGGTGTGCAGTCTTATTTCTCGATGCTTTACTTTGTTCCATTGGTCTATGTGTCTGTTGTTGTACCAGTACCATGCCGTTTTGATTACTGTAGCCTTGTAGTATAGTTTGAAGTTGGTAGTGTGATACCTCCAGCTTTGTTCATTTGGCTTAGGATTGTCTTGGCCATTCAGGCCCTTTTTTGTTTTCATGTGAATTTTAGAATAGTTTTGTTTCCAATTCTGTGAAGAATGTAAATGGTAGTTTAGTGGAAATAGCATTGAGTCGATAAATTGGTTTAAGCAGATGGGCAATTTAACAATATTGATTCTTTCTATTCATGAGCCTGAAATGTTTTTCCACTTGTTTGTGTCATCTCTGATTTCTTTGAGCAGTAGTTTTTAGTTCTCCATGAATAGGTCTTTCACTTCTTTTGTTAACCATATTCCTAGGTATTTTATTATTTTTGTGGCAATTGTGAATGGATTCTGTTTACTTTTCTTATTGTCTTTCAAGCAGCTAACTTTAAAAGTTAAAAGTATGGGTTTGGAAGTTACACAGACCTGCTTTAACTCCCGCTTATCCCCCACTAACTAACTTATGGCCTTGGGCTAATTATTTTACCTCTTCATACGCTGAATCCTAATTTTGATAATTGTGACATAATACTTTTCTTAATTATTGTGTACATTAAGTATAAGAATTTACTTGAAATCCTTATTGTAAACATTTGATAAATGCTAAAAATCTTTAATTTGTTCTGTACCCCTTTTTATTGTGATGCCATTAAAAATGCAGCTTGTAGACCTCCAACTCAGGGAGTATTACGGACCAAGAGCCCCAGGTGCTGTGCTTTAAAATCCATAGCCATGACATGATTCCATCAGGCTCCTCTCAACCAAGGGCTGAGGGTAGCTGGATACTAAGGCTTTCCTGAGACACATAGGTGTCTTTTGAAAGCTGACTTGGTCTTAAGGCTTCCAGATACCCTGCCAAGTCTTTCTTAGACTGCATGACAGTCTAGCATGCTTTCTCCACCCTCCTGTTTCTCTCTTCTTGTGTCTGAGGTAGAACTGCATTGTGATCTGGTGCCTCTATCAGCCTCCCCATACTCTTTCACACAGTCACTCTATTAAAATATACACAACTCAAGTCTCAGTTTGGTGTGTGATTCTCAGAAAACTCAGACTTTATATAAGCATATATCTTCAGAACACCTAACCCTTTGCCATCAGCTCCCCTTCTGCTGCTAACATACATACATCCTACACCCAACCCCGGCTGCATTTTTCTACCCCACTTCCCTCTCCTGAAGTATCTTGCCAATAAAATCCTGGAATCAATAAATAGGATGGACTCAGGAATGATCTATGCAATAGGATGGACTCAGGAATGATCTACGCATTTCAAGGGATTCTTCTCAAGAGGCAGATCAGTTTGCCAACAATATTGCTCTCTATCAAACTCATAATAAATGAATAAGAAACTCAGCCCTGTTTAATCTTTAGTAGAGATCAAAACTCTTGAAAATTTTTGATGAATGAAAGTATAGAACACATGCCAAATCCACTGGGTATCAATTGATTCAAAAGTTTTATGTGCATTTCACCAAGATGTCATTCAGTTTGTAGTACTTGACAAAAATATCCTGTGCTATCTTTAGATAGGTCTATGTGTGTAAGAAAATTTACCTCACTTTTTAAAGCAGGGATTAGTCCTTCTGTGCTTTAAACTTGGAAGAAAAACCTCAAAGTGAAAAGGGGACATTCATTATTTATCAGTCCAGTGGTTTCCAGAGTGAAGCATCTCTCTTTGGAGTTCTCACACTTTGATTCCTGATACTCCAGTATGGAGGCACCTCAGAAGTACATCACTTTCATTTTATAGTTTTGATATAGATTTGTATCCCAATTCTATTCTTACTTCAATTTCAATTTTAGCTCAGCATAAGCTGCCCAGAAATATAAATAAATCTCTTAATAAATACCAAGAAACAACAAATAGCAATAAAATACTATAGAGTAACTTAAACAGGACAAGTTTCTTGTGCTAGCAC
Source organism: Homo sapiens (assembly GCF_000001405.40). Lineage (NCBI taxonomy): Eukaryota > Metazoa > Chordata > Mammalia > Primates > Hominidae > Homo > Homo sapiens. The sequence continues at coordinate 59,148,923 of NC_000004.12, forward strand.
AGGGAGTTTGCTCTCTGGGCTGAAAGTGGCTGCTCCATTTGCAGTAAGTTTTTTGGTGCCTTGAAGAGCTGATACAACTTTATAGGTACATTTTAAGGTTTCTTTTTGCCTACCTTCTCTCCCATCTGTTTGCTTTCTTATTTCTTTATGATTTTATGGTAAAGGTCCAAGAAATAGATTACCTGAATGTGGCCCAATCAGGATTCTAAAAGTCCTCTTTTCCAGGTAATTGGTACACAATGAATGTTCTCACTGCTTTACTTGAGGACCCTGTTGCTACAGCAAGTGATGTAACTTGAACTCAATTTTCAGTTCAATATTGCAGCCCTATTATAATACATCAAAACGTTCATATAATGGGAATCAAAAAACAAACAGTAGATTGTGACTTTCTGAAGGAAGCAGAATGCTACACCCTTCACAGTGCTTTCAATTTATTTGAAGCTCAGTGTAATTTTGAGAATGAAATGTTCAATCTTTTTATAAACTTTTCAAACAATGAATGTCTGAAAGGTTCAATAGTGCCCTGTGTATCCTCTGAACTGCAGGCCCAGGTGTTAATTGGCAAAGTAACTCAGCGCCAACCTCTGCTCAGTGTGTAAACATGCAGTGCAGGGACCTTTCCCTTTCTTTCTCTCTGCATGCCCCAATCTGAAAAGACCAAGCATTAAATGAAACTAGTAAATCAGATTAAAAATACAAAGACATACAGTAATCTCAGATCTCAGTTTGAAATCAGCTTCTCTCAAAATGTTATTTTCATGTATATTATCTTTTTTATATCTCAATGGTGAGTCAACCTCAAAGGTAAATATTAAAGACAGTAAGAACTAAGACAAATATGCTGAGATAAAGTAAGAAAAAAAGGCATTTTATACATGACAAAAGTCACATGGACAATACATTTATGAGATGCAGGCATTAAACTGATAATCAAAACATGAAAAATAAATGAGATGCCAGTTTTCTCCTCACAAAATGGCACCTAAAATTATTCACAGTAGTCCAAAGATTAGGAAAGGAAGTGTCCTCATTCATAGATAATGAGGATTATGAGTAGTTGTATATATTTTTCAGGATAATTTGTTTAAATAAAAAGCCTATCCCTTAGCCCATTCTTTGTCTTTCCATCTCAATTAAATGATGCCAATAGAGGTGGCAACTATCAGCTATCTAGCCTCATTCTTGCCCTCAGACACCTCATGAAATCTAAAATTATAGATAGATAGATGATAGATAGATAACCACAAAGTCAATTTAGCATGAGTCACTTTGATATGAGAAAACAAGGAAAACTTGCAGGAAAAAAATAGGTACAGATAATTAGATATAGAGTGGACTCAAGAGCCAAATTTTTTAATGGAAGAGACATAGAGCCTGGCAGCTGTCAGATAGTTTGATAAGCATAAAATCTTAGTGTAGTGAAATGGCTAAAATATTTCTTCTAAGAACCAAAATGTTGTGGAAAGACCAATCCAGCTCTCTCTCATTACCATGAATTCCAATGCTAGACTGCAGGGACAAGAAAATGAGTAGACAATCTCCTTTTGCATTTTTTTAATTCTTAAATGAAGAAGAACTGGAACTCAAAAGCCATAACATTATGTATATACCCTTTGAACTGATAATCGTGTTGCTGGGAATCGATCATAAGAAAGTAATCATGTCTTCGTTCAGTGAATAAGCTGTAATCATCACATGAAATTTTAAATAATAGAAAACTGAAAAGAGCCAACATTTCCAAATCCAGAGTCATCAGTAAATTCATTCATTACTTTATTCATTAAACAATTATTCAACACGTGGCTCATATGCCAGGCACTTTTGATGTTCATGTCAGTGAATAAGACAGACAAAAATTCCTTCCTTCATGTTAAATTTAAATTTAAATTATTGCTCCATAAGGAATATTGGATACGCAGACATTAAAATGTGTTTTTAAATTAATGAGATGAAATTTACAACTTGTAAAATAACATGTGTATGTATGTGTGTAAAAGAAACTTATAACATTATATCATCACATCTACTGTAGATTCACAAGTGATTTTTAAAATAGATTTTTCTATTGTGTACAGAATAAGTTCCATTACTTTAAATAAGACTTTACTTTTCTCCTATGCTTAAATTTATCATGATGAATAGAATCACATATTTTAATAATTTTTACAGACGGATAATAAAATAGATAACACAGTATGTTTGAGGAAGAGACACACATACACACGCACATTGTTCCATCATATTTCTGGTAGATTGAAAGGTGATTTTTTCCTCTTTGCTTTCAATTCACACACACATATAATGTGAAGTCCTTCACAGAGGAACAGTAGAATATTTCAAAGGAACAACGATAGTCCTTTTATGTATAAGGTTTATAAAATATTCATATAAGAGAATTTGACAAGAATTCCTTCCTTTGTATTTGACATACCTGAAATAGGAAACAGCACAGTGCAATGACTGAAGGCTAAGAATTTGTCATGTGCCTTCACATCCTGATTGTACCATTTCTTGGTAGTAAGATATGAGACAATCTTTACCTCTCCATGTTCACCTGCTTCACCCATAAAATAGGGATTTTAAGTATTTTTAGATATTATATTATAAAATATTCAAATTTAACAATGTACTTGGCACATATTAGGTACTCGAGGAAAGGCAGCTAGTATTATGTATGTAACGTTACAAAATGAATGAATAGAATTTTTATCAGAACCACAATAAATAAGTGATCTAAAGCATGACATAAGTTCAGTAGAAATTAACGTAATGTATGTGAATTGAGATTCCCATGACTTAATACACCAATTACTTCTCATATCAGACACTGAGGCTGAGTAAAAGAGAACAATATTTATGAGGAGATATTGCAATACATCTGCTTCCCATATATTCTATTTAATAATTAAGTTGTGCAAGGAAAAAGTGATATTTTATTTCTGCTATTTTTACAGCTTTCATGTTCCAATGGTGTAAGACAAATAAAAACTTAGTTCAATAAACACACACATACAGATGAATAATTTATTATTCAAATTAGGCATTGGTCATAAAATCAGTACAAAAATTATACTCTTGTGACCCTCATGATTTTTCCATGTGAAGTTCTGATATTGGAATATACACATTTTATTTAAATAAGATTGTTATGATTGATTTTACATTTACATTAATTGTCATGAAAGCCAAATAAATTGTTTGTGAGCACCAACAATTTACTTGATTACATGTTTAAAGCCCAAGCCTTCAGCTATGTATGTGTCTTTACTTTGCACTATGCAAGTGTCCTGCTGTTATGATAAGAAGTAATAGAGTAAACTTGTAACCTAGCCATTGGAGGTTGCCCCAAAGACAAGGCAGAAACAATAACATGAAAATGTTTAGAGCAGTATTTTGTTGATCATGCCAGATTCCTGTCCCACCCCAAGAGATCACACATCTAGAAGGATGGATTGGATCTTCTGTCATGGAGGATAATACAAGAAGTGTGTTTATTTAACATTTCATAATTGGTCTAAGGGCTACAATATCTTCATGTCACCTCATAACCTCCCCATAGTGAGTCTTTCACAGTGAATGACTATTTGTTTGTAGGATTAGAGAACTTCAATCTTGCAAACATCAGCAGAATCTAGTTCATGCAATTCTTTGGACTCTGGAGGCCAGTAGGTGTTCCAAGTTTAGGTGCAGGTGTGATGATTCCATATGGGGTAGCAAAAAAACAAACAAACAAAATCAGAGTAGAATGTAATTATCCTAACATCCCGGTCTATGCCATATAGAGACCAAGCAATTCAAATGTGCAGACTCCTTGTGGTAACTTGTGGACTCAAATGCATTCTTAAGCTTGAGAGCAGAGGAAGGCAAAAACCAGACCGATTCACCTATCACATGTTTCCTTTCCCAGGCTCATTCATTTGTGTCAGTGAGGACTGAGGAATGATGAGAATTAAAATCATGGGTAAGTTTTGATGGGCATATTTTAAGTAAAAGAAGATGATATTTGAAGGATTTTGCTCATTGATAACAAGATAAAAGAAACTAATTAGAGCTAAACTATCTAGCTCCTATGTTTTCCTAGTTCTAATATGTTACAGAGGTAGAGCAATGGATCCCAAGTCTGATAGACTATCAGAATTATCAGGGGAGGTTATTTTTACAATATTTTCCAGACTTTTCCGCTGTCTTCTGTATCAGGTCCCCAGGTGTCTATTTTGGCAATGGTCCATGGGAGATTCTAATTATCAGTAAGGTTAGGAAAACATTAGTCTTGAAAAATACTTTATTGTGCTGCCAACTGATTCCTAAGGATATGTTAATTTGTATAATTATGTTATTCTAATTTTTTATAAGTTGGTTTTTAATGAATCAGTTTTATTCTTCATTAACTTAGATTTTAAAAATTTCCCTAACATATTTAAATGTGTTTACTTATGGCCTTAAGAATTTAGAATCTATATTTTATGTTTCACCATGTATAGGGGACTGTTTTAAAGACACCTTACCTCATGATTTCTGTATGGAAGACACTTTTACTAATTATTTTTATTGGAATCAATTTCTAAGAAAATTTAAAGTTGTACACTGCCTAGATGCATTTGGACTAACATGGACTCCTTTCTATAAGCTCCTAGTTTATCATCTTGGTTTTCTTAAACATAAACAAACCTTCTATAAATGTTCACTTGGTTTATTTTTTCAGGGTCCTCCAGAGAGACAGAAAAAATAGGAGATACACACAAACACACACACACACACACACACACACACACACATACATATATAATGTGTATGTAGATAGATGTAAGAGAAGGGATTTATTAGAGGAATTGGCTTATGCAGTTATGGGGACTGAGAAGTCTCACAAAAGTCTTTGCAAGCTGTAGAACCAGAGAGGCTGGCAGCGTGGCTCCATCTAAGTCTGAAGGCCTCAGAACCAGGGAAGCCTAAGGTCTAATTCTCAGTCTGAGCTGAAGGCCTGAGAACTCGAAGAGGGATGGGGTCTTGCGCAAACCTCCCAGGGTCCAAAAGCTGGAGAGCCTGGAGTTCCAATGTCCAAAGGAAGGAGAAAAAGCGTCCCAGTTCTAGGACAGAGGGAGAAGGAAATTGTTTTCTTTTGTCTTTTTGTTCTATTTGGGCCCCCAGACAATTGGATGTTGCTCATCCACATTGAGGATAGATCTTCCCCATTCCGTCCATTGATTTATATTCCAGTCTCCTCTTGAAACACCCTCACAGACACATTCAGACATAATGCTTTACAAGTTATTTAGTTATTCCTGAATCCAGTCAAGTTGACATGTTAAATTAACCATTCCAATCAGTGAACAAATGCATACATTTATTAACTTCCCCCAGTTAGTCATTGAAAATGTATTGAGTCCTAAGTGATGTGCCTAGCACTGTGCAATAGTTTTTATTGTGTAGGCTACAAGAAGAATACAAACTTACTTATAATTGCTTTTACAATGCTACCAGTTGGAAATTGTACTTTGTTTGGTTGGTTGCTTTATTTTTCTCTCTTTCTTTCTTTCTCTCTTTTCTTTCTTTCTTCTTTCTTTCTTTCTTTCTACTTTATTCTTTTTGATTTATCTCTTTTAACTTATAAATGGCCATGTATATTTATAACCCTGATTTCAGCCTTCATCGAGTTATCAATCCCTAGTAGAGAATTAAAATTAACGATAAAGAAGTACTCCTATTTATTTCAGGGATTTTTGCATGCATCCCTGAATATGTTTGGTGAATAAAGTGGCATGATATACCAAATTTATTTGAGGAGTCAGAAGGCTTGTGAGAAAAGACCAAGAAAACAAACACATACAAATAGATAAATGAAAACTTTCAACCTGTTTCTATCATTAAAATTCAGATATATCTCAAAATAGAGAAAACTCTTGGGGTGACTGGACACATGCCTATTTTTCAAGGGGAATAACAGGTTTATGAGAAGCAACTCATTCTGAGAAAAGAGAGATAATGATCCTGACCTAATAACAAAGGCTTAGTCATTGATGAAGAGTAGAGAGTTTGAATACAGGGAAGTGACTGCTATTGAAATCCATTTTTAACCCAACCTCTTGGCCTTACCTTTGGCACAAAGTGAGAGGGCTGAAAGCAACCCAAAAATGTTTATTTATTTTTGTAAAAGACGATGTAGTAAGTAATTGAGCATACCTAACAATATTTAGCATATTCTTATGCTGGTTAATAAGCATATTGTTATCTGGTTAATTATTCATTAAATTTATATGAATAGACAAGAATGACTAATATCAGGTAGTATTAACTATTTTTTTCTGGAATTTATTATAATTAAGTGTGATGGAAATAGTCTATCTAGATTAATTCATCCATATAGTTAACAGATATTTTCAGAGTTCTGCAATGTGTCAAGCTCTGAGACAGGTTTTACAGTCTCGATAATTTTTTAAAAAATGAAGAGTTAAATCATTACAAAACTTCCATTAAATACAGAAAACACACAGATATTCAAGAGAGACTTACAGGGTCTTTTCCACTTATACAAAAAAAATGAAGTAACTTCTAAGTCAGATCCTGAGGAAGAATTAATATCTGGCCATGGAAAACAATAGGGACCACTGATAAAATACTTCTGGCAAGAAAATAAAAGAAAAAAGAAAGAGAAAACACTATATATTAAGCACCTTAAGGAGAGAAATACCATGAGCAAAACAAAAATTTAAACATGTTATTTGTAATAGCAAAGTGATTAGTGTCACACACACATGCACACAGACAGAAAGCGTTACATGTTTTTGAATGTACAAGCTAAACACCGATGCAACTATATACTGAGAAAAGTTGATATATCTGAATTGTGTAAGAGATATTCAGGAGTTTAGCTTTCTATGCTACAATTAATGACAGCTCTTTAACCTCAATGTCATAGAAGAGATTTCTTTGATGTATAACACTAGCAAAAGATTCGATAGATAGATAGATAGATAGATAGATAGATAGATAGATAGATAGATAGATAAAGTAGATAGATACATAGGCCCACTGCATTTTTTCATTTTCTTCCCATTAAGTATTTTCTACTTTTGTATGCCTAGTGAGTACTGATGGTGTAGCTAGAAACAAGAGCTCACAACTTTCCTATAGTAAACATCTCTTGAAGTACCAGCACAAAGAGCAAGATCCATTTCTCAGAGAACTAAGCTGCTGCATGTGTCTATGTGTGTGACTTTTGACTCTGCCCCTAATCACAGTATAATGACCAGAAGTGGATCCCTGACACACACAGTGCCAATGAGATTATTTCTCCCTGGAATTTGGATTCAGAGACATCTGACAGTTTGCTATCTTTCGATCTCTCAAAATGAAACTTGCATTCTATGAATCTTTATGCACTAAAAATCTCCCACATTTTAAAGAAGAATTTACTCTTATTTAGCAAACAGTTAAATTGTGCTCATGGTGTGTCACTTCATATTCTAAGTAAGCATGTGGAGAATAGAAATAAGAGATAAGAAAACATCCCAGCCCAGAGGAAAAAAAAAGGAAATGGCATGGATAGCTGTTTGACTTCTTCAAATTTTCAATTTCAGTGCCTAGTTTCTCCTAAGGCCTGAATGTGCCAAATAAATATTCTGCCTTTGTTTTCAGTAAGATAACTTTTATGTTTGTAATAAAGCTCTTTAAAATGCATGAAATGTATTTATTTATTTATTTAAACTTTTTTTGGTATTACAACAATGTCTAAAACTGACCCTAAAATAACTCTGGACAGGTGGAAAAGCACTGTTCTTTACATATTATCTGTCATTTTTGAGAAATTTTAAAAATTATACAATTACTATATTAATAATTTAGTTGTTTTGGCAAATTATCAAAGAAGAATTTGCTCCTAATTCAATATTTACTTAGGAAGCTGACTTTCCTTTTTTAAAATCACCTTAAAGTGATATGAACTAGTACTTGGGGATAATAAAATATGATTCTAAATTACAATTCCCAAAACCTTATTTATGCCTCAACATCCTTAAGAGTGCTACTTCTCTATTTATAAAAAGTGGTACGTAAATACTACTTTACATTCTGCATCATCATCATATAATTATAAAATGTTTAATATAAAATAAATTTATAATCTGGAAATAGCTATTATTTGGAAAAGTTAGAGTAAAAAGTGATGATGAAGTATTTAATTGTGGAGGTTTCTGAATTTAGTTTTTATGTGACAATTTTCTTAGTCCTTACATACTGAAAGCTTTTCACATATTGTCTGAAATCTTCACTTTTTTTTTTTTACATTTTACAGAATAGAAAATAAAGCCAAGAGATTCTCAGTAAATTACTCAAGTCCACATAAAATTTAACTTGACTTCAGATTTCATAGTATAAATTTCTTCATTGTGCTATCCTGGCTTGTGAGGAATTATGGCTATTTCTTAGTGAAAATAATAGTTAATACGAAAAAAACCTTACATAGGTATAACTACTTATGGTTTATATAAATATCTTTACAACATTCTCTTGTTTAAAATAACTTCAATAACATTCTTGTTTACTAAATGTAAAAAGAAGGTTTTTTTTTTTTAATTTACTCATATGGAACAAATAATTTCTAAGGAGCAGTGGAATTCAAAGCACATTTATTAGACACTAACCACAGACCAAAATTCTGAAAACTCAGTAAGCAAACTAACATTAGGCAAGTTAAGTCTTCTGAAAAGCACGGGTCATGCAGAAAGAAGCATAAAACCTGAATAAACCACTCCAAAAAGTTTGGTTTGCTATTAAGAAGGGAGGTGAAAGAAAGGTCTTATACATATTTTGTTTGTTGTTTTTATTGATGGGAAATATTTTGGAGTAAAGAAAAATGCTCAATGTAAGATAGTATTGCACAGATAGTATAGCTTTATTAAGTTTTAGTGACCATACATTAAGAAAACAATAACAAAAACAGGGATTCCGATTTGTAATTACTTTAGCTGCAAATACACATTTAACAATTAAGAATCACAGACCAAAAAAAGTTGCATTTCATCCTTCTACACAGAGTTATCTTAGGCATTCTCTTTGGCAGTCTATGCCCACTCTGATACATTATACAGGCACAGATTCTCTGTTACAAGCCACAAAGGAACTTGGCAGTCCTGAATATCATGATCAACAGCCATGAATTCACTCATGCTCCGCTCTGTATAGACAGATCCATTAATCCCATATACCCTCGGATGGATTTATCTGTACTCAATTTGGTTAAAAGCCACCAGCACCTCCTTTTAAAACACTCTTCCAGAATTTTTCTTCTTTATTGCAGTCTTTCCTATTTTTGATCACTGCATATGTTTTCAACATTTCATTTTTCCGCTCCATTGTATTCCATTTATATTTCATTATGTTTCTTATTGGTCCAACATATCACCATGTCATGTCAACTATTTCCTATAATAGTTTCATTCTGACCTTTATTGACGTGTCAGTTTTATGCTTTGTACTTTAATCAATATCTATTCAGAAATGATTTACTTTTGTTCAATGAATGGCTTTGGTGTATAGAAATTTTGTCATTCTTTATTACAACAAACTCTGATTGCATGTACCTATTTTTCTGGATGTCAGCTTTCTATCACTGTTCAAGATGTATCTTATTTTACATCTCTTCAGACAATAATTTTAAATATAATAATATGCCTGCCTTCCTACAGAATACTATTTCAACAGCTAACATATTTTAAAAGCTTTTACCCTGGATTTACAAAGTTTAAATAAATTTCTGAAATAGCTCTAGAGTAGAAAAGGCATCTTAGAAAATAGTCTTAAGGAGAGATTTTCAGTTGAACTTATTTCTTTATGAAAAATATATTTTGTCAAATATTGCTACCATTTATAGTAATTGAATAAAATTTTATTAGTAATGAATTAAAACATTGGCTACTAACCAATTATATAGAGAGAAATTTTACTCCTTGTCTTTAATAACTTAAAGTGTTTAGATAGAATCCAACATTTTCTAATGCTATAACTAATCATAAATTTTTATGAAGTTCAGTAGAAAAGTGTCATGCAAAAACATTAAACTGTATTATTCCCTTCTTTTGATTTCCCTCTTATTACTATCCCTTTAAATGTTAAACTGTATCTACCTATTAGTTATTCATAAATTATACGATATAAGTGTATATACTACGTCATTCTTTGAGGATTTATGATACTGACATTGATTATCCTCCCAAGGCTGAGAAAAATCTTGTATCTTTTCAGGTAATGTTTAACCTCAATCCCTGACAAAGTTGATACTCACACAAGAGCTCTGGGAATAAAAGGGAACATGGTAATTTAGAATTCGAGAGACCTGCCTGTGATGGTCAGAGCATTCTCTTACTAGTTATGTGACATGAGACATATTATGTAACCTTGATGATCATCTGTTTTTTACCTACAAACTAGTTTCATTGATAAACAAAGATCCTCCCTCACTGATATTTGTAAAATTAAAAGAGATAATGTTTGCCATACACTTAAATTTGCATACGATGAGCATGCATGAAATCATTGTTGTTTTTATTGTTCTTGCAAAGAAATGGAAAGAGATCAATGGGGGGTGATGCTGAGTGGGGAACAGTAAAATTCCAAAGCCCTGCATCACCACCTTGAAAATCACAGAAAGAATAGGAAATAATCCAAATGCTGCTGCAGTAACCAGTAAATGGTAAGAGGAAAAGAAATGAATTATAGCTGATCATCCCTCTTCTCAGGTGTATAGAGAGACTTTAATAATAGAGACATGAGGTGACACTGGAGAATATTTTTGATATTCCCACTAGCTAAAAACAAATTATGTAATTTTAAATTTAAGTATCTACAGACATATCTTGGAGATATGGTTTGGTTCCAGACCACAATGTTAAAGCAAATATTGCAATGTAGCAAGTCTATTAAAAACACCTTATGGATTAAAAATGCTAATGATAATCTAAGCCTTCAGCAAGTATTAATCTTTTCACTGGTGGAGGGTTTTGTCTCAATATTGCTGGCTGCTAACTGATCAGGGTGGTGGTTGCTGAAGGTTGTCGTGGCTGTGCCAATTTCTTAAAATATAAGACAACAATGAAGTTTTCTGATCCACTGATTCTTCCTTTTATGAAATATATATTTGTAGCATTAAATGCAGTTTCACAGCACTAGACTTACAGTAGAACTTCTTTCGAAGTTGGAGTCAATCATCTCAAACCCTCCTGCTGATTTGTCATCTAAGTTTAGGTAATATTCTAAGTCCTTTCTTGTCATTTCAACAATTTTACACCATCTTCACCGGGAGTAGATTTCATCTCAAGAAACCACTTTATTGGCTCATCTATAAGAAGCAATTCTTTGAGATAGGGGACAATATAGCCAAATAGATGCAGCCAGAAAGCAGCATTCTCATGGAAAAGAGACTAAAATTGAGCAAAGCAACATTTTAAAAACACGTCTTTGGAGAAAGAAAACCAAGAATCATTACAAAGACAATGTAGACACTGAGGCTGAAGAAGAGGGAGGAAGCTGAGAACCCTGCACGGGGTTGCCAAATGTCAGGGTTAGTATCCATTCCCGAACTCCTCCTAGGGAACTTGTGTGCGATGGAATGGTGGGTCAGCTCTCTCTCTCCATAAACCTCTGGGATCCTAATTTCAAGAGATTCCACATCCCCTATGGACACTTGAGCTGACAGAGGAGTCTGCCTAAAGAGTAAGCAGAGACAGAATTTCAGCCCGTGCTAAGCCAAAGGATTTTTGTGCACAGGGCAGTCGCAGCGAACAGGGCCATAGGCACCCATCCCCCCAGGCTCCCCATTTTCCTCTGAGTTGCTCTTACCTCAAAATACTGAGAGCCCAAAAGACAGCACGGCTGATTTTCCTACAAGAGAGCATGGATGATTTTCCTGCAGAATTGGAGCACATTTGTTTTTCAAGCCCTCCTGCCTGCTAGCCTCTCCCAAAGCCCCTGCCTGGCCACTCCTGCAGGAGCATGTGTACAGCAGTTTCCACTGCCCAGCCTTGGTGCATCACTGGCATCCCCAACTCACCAATTTCTGATGGCCTGATATTATTTCTGACACTTAAGTGCAGTCAGTGCCCAACCCCAAGGGATAGGAGACTGGAGCTGCTGGCCAGTCCCAGTTTCCCAGGGCTGCACGCAAGGAGTGCCTTGCAGACACTGGTGTCCAGCACTCAAGCAGGGGAGAAGCCCCCACTCTCAGAACACTCAGAGGGGTCAGAAATGTAGGCTCATGGGCTGGCACAGAAGCAGGGTGTGCCTTACTTTACAGAACCTGTCTGGGAAGGGTATCGCCTATCTGCTAGCTATAGCTTCTGCTCAAGAGAGCCTCAGAGCGTGGAACACCTAACAGAGGAATGCGGGCATGGCACAAGTGATTTGAGAGGGCTCCCAAAAGACCCAGGAGCGAAGTTAGTGATGGAGTCATCTCTCCCCCGACCCACCACTGTGAACATGCTGAAATAGAAAAGAGCCATGCAGCTGAGCCAGGGACTATCTGATGGCAATTACTCTTAAGTGCCATCTACTGGTTTGAATCCCAAATTACAACACCAAAAATATTGTGAAATATTCAAAATGTATGACACTCAGGGCAAAAATTCACCTGCAAATAAAAATCCTGTACAGAGTTTTGGCCCTCTGAAAACATCCAGAAATGAAGCCAATCGACTATACTCAACGCACACAACAATTAAAAGAATACTAACCCTCTCAGATGAGAAAGAATCAGTGTAAGGACTGTCAATTCAAACAATCAGAGTGTCCCCTTAACTCCAAATGAGCGCAGTAGCTCCCAAGCAATAGTTCTTAGCCACGTTGGAAATGACTGAAATAACAGACATATAATTCAGAATCTGGATGGCATGGAAGCTTATCAAGATTCTAGAGAAAGTTGAAATCCAATCCGAGGAATTCAAGGAAACTAATAAAATGATCCAAGAGCTCAGAGACAAAATAGCCATTTTAAGAAAGAACCAAACTAATCTTTTGGAAATAAAAAATATCACTACACTTATTTTATAATACAATTGTAAGTATTACAAGCAGAATAGATCTAACTGAGGAAAGACTCTCATAACTTGAAGACCAGTTTTTCAAATAAACTCAGTTAGACAAAATGTAGGAAAAAAAAAACCTTAAAAAGTTAATAAAACCTCTGGGAAATATGGAATTATGTAGAGACCAAATCTATGATTCATTAGTATTCCTGAGAGAGAAGAGATGGTAAGCAACTTGGAAAATAAATATGAGGATATAGTCCATGAAAACTTCACCAATCTCATTGGAGAGGTTTACATGGAAATTTTAAAAATACAGAGAGACCAAGGAAGATACTATACAAGATCACCATCCCCAAGGCACATAGTAATCAGATTCAGCAAGGTCAATTTGAAAAAAGAAAAGAAAGAAAAGAAAAGAAAAGAAAGAAAGAAAGAAAGAAAGAAAGAAAGAAAGAAAGAAAGAAAGAAAGAAGAAAGAAAGAAAGGAGGGAAGGAAGGAAAAGAAAGAAAAGAAAAAAGAAAGGAAAGGAAACAAAGAAAGGAAAGAAAGCAAAGAAAGGAAAGAAAGGAAGAAAGAAAGAAGGAAAGAAAGAAAAAGAGAAAGAAAGAAAGAAAAGAAAAGAAAAGAAAGGAAAAAAGGAAAGGAAACAAAGAAAGAAAAGAAAGGAAAGAAGGCAAGAAAGAAAGGAAGAAAGAAAGAAAGAAAGGAAGTTATTTGGAAGGGTCAGGGAAACCCATCTGGCTAGCAGCAGACCTCTCAGCAGAAGTCTTATGAGCCAGAAGAGATTGGGGGCCTATTTTCGGCATCCTTAAAGAAAAGAAATTTCAACCAATAATTGTATATCCTGTTAAACTAAGCTTCATTAGTGAAGGAGAAATAAAATTATTCTCAGACAAGCAAATGTTAAGGAAATTCATTACCACTAGACTGGTCTTATAAGAGGTTCAAGTCTACAAAACAACTAACTAACAACAAGATGATAATATCAAAATTTCACACAGCAATACTAACTCTGAATTTAAGTTATCTAAACCCCCCAAGTAAAAGGCATAGAGGGCTGGATAAAAACACAAGACCCACTTGCCTGCTCCCTTTAAGAGACCTGTCTCATATGTAAGAATACCAACAAGCTCCAAGTAAAGGGATAAAGATCTACCATGCAAACAGAGCAAAAAATAAGAGCAGGAGTTGCAATTCTAATACCAGATAAAACAGACCTTAAATCAACAAAGAAGGGCATTACATAATGAGAAAGGGTTCACTTCAACAAGAAGTGTCATAAATATATACACCCGCAATATTGGGGCACCCAGATTCATAAAACAAGTTGTTCCTGACCTATGACAAGATATATAAAGCTACATAATAATAGTGGGAGACTTCAACAACATATTGACAGCATTAGACAGATCATCAAGGTAAATACTAACAAAGAAATTCTGGGCTTAAACTCAAACTTTGACCAATGGGACATATTAGACATTTATAGAGTACTCCATCCAACAATGACAGAGTATATATTCTTCTAATTTGCACATGGAAGATAGTCTAAGATTGACCACATGCTCAGTCATAAAGCAAATCTCAATAAAATTCAAAAAAACTGAAATCATACAAAGCACACTGTCAGAACACAGTGCAATAAATATAGATATCAATACTAAGATATCTCACTACTACACAAATACATGGAAGGTAAACACCTTACTCCTAAACTCTGGTGAACAGCAAAATTATAGCAGAAATTTCAAAAATTTTTAAAATTAAGAAAAATAGAGACAAAACTTGTACAGTTTTTAGGATATTCTAAAGCAGTGCCAAGTGGAAAGTTTATAGCCCTAAATGACTTCATAAAAAAATTAGAAATAGCTCAAATTAACAATCTAACCTTGTACTTAGAGGAACTAGAAAAAAAAAGAAAAGGAAAAAGAAAAAAAAGACCAAACCAACCCTGGAGGAAACAGAAGAAAATAAATAACTAAAATAAGAGGATTGAATGAAATTGATATGTAAAATTCCATATAAAAATCAATGAAACCAAGAGCTCGTTATTGAAAAGAATAAACAAGAGCAATAGACCACTACATAGATTAGCAAAGAAAACACAAAGAGAAAATCCAACTGAGCACAATCAGAAATGATAAAGATGACATTACAACCAATTCCACAGAAATTCAAAAGGTCCTTAGAAGCTATTATGAACACACTTACACACACAAATTAGAAAACCTGGAAGAAATTGATAAATTCCTGGAAACATGCAATCACTCAAGATTGAAACAAAAAGAAAGTGAAAACATTAACAGACCAAAAACAAGTTTTTAAATTGAATCAGTAACAAAAACACTTACCAAACAAAAAAAGACCTGGGTCAGATGAATTCACAATTGTATTCTACCTGATATACAATGAAAAATTCCTACCAATCCTACTGAAACTATTCCAAGAAATTGAAGAGTAGAGGCTTCTCCCTAACTCATTCTATGAAGCCAGCATCAGCCTGATACCAAAATTTGGCATAGACACAGTGAAAAAACAAACTTATGGTCAATATTCCCGATGAACATAGATGCAAAAATCCTCACAAAAAACTAAGAAAACTAAATATAGTAACACATCAAAAAGTTAATTCATCATGATCAAGTAGACTTTTTTCCTGGGGTGCAAGGTTAGTACAGCATACACAAATCAATAACATGATTTGTTACATAAATAGAATTAAAAACAAAACCCATATGATCATCTTGATAGATGCAGAAAAAGCTTTTTATAAAATCAAACTTCCATTCATGATTTTAAAAACCCTCAAGAAACTAGGCATCAAAGGAAAACATATCAAAATTATAAGAGTCATCTATGACAAATTCATAGCCAACATCAAACTGAATGGGCAAAGGCTGGAACCACTCCCCTTGAGAACTGGAACTTGGCAGGGATGCCCATTCTCACCACTTAACATAGTACTGGAAGTCCTAGCCAAAGCAATCAGGGAAGAGAATAAAGTAAAAGGTATCAAATTAGAAAAAGAAGAAATCAAATATCTCTCTTTGCTTATGATATAATTCTTTACATAGTAAACTCTAAAGACTATACCAAAAAACATCTAGAAGTGATAAATAACTTCAATGAAGTTTCAAGATACAGAATCACTGTAGAAAAATTAGTACTATTTATATATACAACAACAATGTTCTAACTGAGAGCCAAAACAAGAAGTAAATCCCACTTACCATAGCCAAAAAAACAGTGAAGTACCTAGGAATATATCTGAAGATCTTTGCAAGGAGAACTAAAAAACACTGCTGAAAGAAATCAGAGATTACACAAATAAATTGAAAAACATTCCAAGCTCATAGATTGGAAGATTCAGCATCATTAAAATGGTCATACTGCTCAAAACAACTTGCAGATTCACCACTCATTCTCTCAAACTGCCAATGTAATTTGTCATAGAATTAGGAAAAAAAAAAACTATTCTAACATTTATATGGAACAAACAAACAAAAAAAAACCTGAATACCCAAAGCATTCCTGAGGAAAAAGAACAAAGCCAGAGGCATCACATTCCCCATCTTCAAACTATACTATAAGGCTACAGTAGTCATAACAGCATGAAACTGGTTCAAAAACAGACAAATAGACCAATGGAATATATAACCCAGAAATAAAGTCCACACACACAACCATCTCATCTTCAAAAAAGTCTACAGAAATAAGCAATGGGGAAAGGATTTTCTGTTCAATAAATGGTGCTGGGACAGCTAGCTAGCCATATGCAGAAGAATAAAATTGGCCCCCTACCTTTCACCATATACAACAATCAACTCAAGATGGGCCAGGCGTGGTGGCTCACGCCTGCAATCTCAGCATTTTGGAGGCTGAGGAGGGTGGATCACCTAAGGTCAGGAGTTTGAGACCAGCCTGGTCGACGTGGTGAAACCCCATCTCCACTAAAAATACAAAAATTAGCCAGGTGTGGTGGCACGTGCCTGTAGTCCCAGCTACTTGGGAAGCTGAGGCAGGAAAATCGCTTGCAGTCAGGAGGCGGAGGTTGTAGTGAGCTGACATCACGCCACTGCACTCCAGCCTGGGTGACAGAGAGACACTCTGTTTCAAAAAACAAAACAAAACAAAACAAACAAACAAACAAAAAAAACAGATGGATTTAAAGACTTAATTATAGGACGTCAAACTATAAAAATCCTAGAAGAAAACCAAGGAAATAGCTTTCCTGAGATTGGCCTTGGCAAATAATTTTCTCCAAGTCCCCAAAAGCAATTCCAGTAAAATAAAGGGAACTACCTACACTAAAAAGCTTCAGCACAGCAAAAAAATTATCAGCAGTGTAAACAGACAGCCTACAAAATGGGAGAAAATACTCTCAAACTACATATCTGACAGCAGTCTAATATGCAGAGTTTATAAGGAACTTAAACAAATCAATAAGTAAAACATATAACCCCATTAAACATAAGCAAAGGACATGAACAGACACCTCTCAAAAGAAGATATACAAGTGGTCAACAACAAGCATAAATGCTCAACATCAGTAATCATTAGAGGAATGCAAATAAAAAAACCACAGTAAAAGAGGATTACACGCCAGTCAGAATAGTTATTAATAATTCAAAAAATAACAGCTGCTGAGCAACTGCAGAAAAATGGAAATGCTTTTGTATTGTTGGTGGAAATTTAAATTAGTTCAGCCGTGATAGAAAGATTTCTCAAAGAACTAAAAACAGAACTACCATTAGACCCAGTAATCCTACTACTGGGTGTATAAACAAAAGGAAACTTAATTGTTTTACAAAAACCACACATGCATGCATATGTTCATCATAGGACTATTTACAATAAAAAAATCGAATCAATCTAGGTGCCCATCACCAATGAATTGAATGAAGAAAATGTGGTACATATACACCATGGAATACTATGCAGCCATAAAAAGAACAAATTATGTCCTTTGCAGCAACATGGTTAGAGCTGAAGGTCATTATCCTAAGTAAATTCATACAGGAATAGAACACCAAACACAATATTTTCATCTGTGAGATGAAACATTGTGGGAGCTAAACTTTGAGTACACATGGACATAAAAATGGGAACAATAAACACTGGGGACTAATAGAGTAGGGAGGGAGGGAGATGAACACGGGCCAAAAAACTACTTGTTGGTTATTATGCTTACTACCTGGATGAGGGAATCCTAAACCTCAGCATCACACCATCCACCCATGTAGCAAATCTGCACTTGTACCCCCTGAATATAAATGTTGAAATTATTTTAAAACATCAAATCTTTATTCATTCAAGTTTTATCATAAAATTATAGCAATTGTTCAGGGGCAGTGGTTCATGCCATAATTCCAGAACTTCGGGAGGCTGAGGTGGGCAGATCACTTGAGGTCAGGAGTTGGGGACCAGCCTGGACAGCATGGTGAAACTCCATCTCTACTAAAAATACAAAAATTAGCCAGGTGTGGTGGCCCATGCCTGTGATCCCAGCTACTTGGGAGGCTAAGGCACGAGAATTGCTTGAACTTGAGAGGCAGAGGTTTCAGTGAGTCAAGATGCTGCCACCGCACTCCAGCCTGGGTGACAGAGTGACACTCGGTCTCAAAACAAAACAAAACAAAAAATAGATTATAGCAATTGACTCGTATCTTCAGCCTCCTTCTAATTTGAGTTATCTTGCCATTTCCACCACCTGTGCAGTTATTTCCTCCACTGAAGTTTTGAACCCCTTCAAGTCATCCGTGAGGTTTGGGATCAACTTCTTCAAAACTCCTGTTGATTTTGTTATTTTAACTTTTGTCCAGATCCACCAGAGGAATCACTATCTATGGCAGATATAGCTTTACAAAATGCATTTCTTTAATGAGAATTGAAAGTCAAAATTACTTTAAGATTCATAGGCTGCGGAATGGATGCTGTGTTAATAGGAATAAGAATAGCATTAATCTCCTTATATATCTTCGTCGGAGCTCTTGGGTGGCTAGGTGCCTTGTCAATGAACAGTAATATTTTGAAATAATTCTTTTTTTTCAGCTTTCTACATATGGCTAGCTAGTTTTCCCAGCACCATTTATTAAACAGAGAATCCTTTCCCCATTTCTTGTTTTTGTCAGGTTTGTCAAAGATCAGATGGTTGTAGATGTGTGGTATTATTTCTGAGGGCTCTGTTCTGTTCCATTGGTCTACATCTCTGTTTTGGTACCAGTACCATGCTGTTTTGGTTACTGTAGCCTTGTAGTATAGTTTGAAGTCAGGTAGCGTGGTGATGCCTCCAGCTTTGTTCTTTTGGTTTAGGATTGACTTGGCAATGCGGGCTCTTCTTTGGTTCCATATGAACTTTAAAGTAGTTTTTTTCCAATTCTGTGAAGAAAGTCATTGGTAGCTTGATGGGGATGGCATTGAATCTATAAATTACGTTGGGTAGTATGGCCATTTTCGCAATATTGATTCTTCCTATCCATGAGCATTGAATGATCTTCCATTTGTTTGTGTCCTCTTTTATTTCCTTGAGCAGTGGGTTGTAGTTCTCCTCAAAGAGGCCCTTCACATCCCTTGTAAGTTGGATTCCTAGGTATTTTATTATCTTTGAAGCAATTATGAATGGGCATTCACTCATGATTTGGCTCTCTGTTTGTCTGTTATTGGTGTGTAAGAATGCTTGTGATTTTTGCACATTGATTTTGTATCCTGAGACTTTGCTGAATTTGCTTATCAGCTTAAGGAGATTTTGGGCTGAGACGATGGGGTTTTCTCAATATACAGTCATGTCATCTGCAAATAGGGACAGTTTTACTTCCTCGTTTCCTAATTGAATGCCCTTTATTTCTTTCTCCTGCCTGATTGCCCTGGCCAGAACTTCCAACGCTATGTTGAATAGGAGTGGTGAGAGAGGGCATCCCTGTCTTGTAGCAGTTTTCAAAGGGAATGCTTCCAGGTTTTGCCCATTCATATGATATTGGCTGTGGGTTTGTCATAAATAGCTCTTATCTTCTTGAGATATGTCCCATCAATACCTAATTTATTGAGAGTTTTTAGCATGAAGGGCTGTTGAATTTTGTCAAAGGCCTTTTCTGCATCTGTTGAGATAACCATGTGCTTTTGTCTTTGGTTCTGTTTATATGCTGGATTACGTTTATTGATTTGCGTATGGTGAACCAGCCTTGCATCCTAAGTAGTAGGTCCAACAGCGGGCTTAAAATATTCAGAAATCCATGCTGTAAACGAATGTGCTATCATTCAAGCTTTACTGTTCCATTTTTAGGGCACAGGTAGAGTAGCTTTAGCATAATTTTTGAAGGTCCTAAGATTTTTGGAATAGTACATGAATATTGAGTTGAACTTAAATCACCAGTTACATTAGCCCCTAACAAGAGAGTCAGCCTGTCTTTTAAAGCTTTGAAGCCAGGTATTGACTTTTCCTCTTTTGCTATGAAAGTACAAGATGACAGACATCTCCTTCCAATTGAAGGCTGTTTTACTTACATTGAAAATCTGTTGTTTAGTGTAGCCACCTTAATCAATTGTCTTAGCTGGATCTTCTGGATAACTTGCTGCAACTTCTACATTAGCACTTATTGCTCTGGCTTGTACTTTTCTGTTTTCCATATGGCTTCTTTCTCTAAATCTCATAAACTATCCTCTGCTAGCTTCCAATGATTCCTCTGCAGCTTCCAAACTTTTGTCACCCTTCACAAAATAGAAGAGAGTTAAGGCCTTGCTTTGGATTAGGCTTTTCCTTAAGGGAATGTTGTGAATGGTTTGATCTTCTAGCCAGACCACTCAAACTTTCCCCATATCAGCAATGAGGCTGTTTCATTTTCTTATTATTTGTGTGTTTACTGTAGTACCACTTTTTAACATTTTTTTTGAGACACAGCCTTGCTGTATTACACAGGCTGGAGCTCAGAGGCCCGATCACAGCTCACTGAAGCCTCAACCTCCCTGGCTCAAGTGTTTCTCTCACCTCAGCCCTCCTAAGTAACTGAGACTACAGGTATGCAACACCATAGCCGGCTATTTTCTTTTTTAATTTTTTGTAGAGATGGGTATTGCCATGTTGCTCTTGCTGTTCTTGAACTCCTGGGCTCAAGTGATTCATCCTCCTTGGCCTCCCAGAGTGCTGGGATTGCAGGCATGTGTAGTAACACTTTTAGTTTACTTCAAGAACATCTCCTTTGCATGCACAGCTTGGCTAACTGTCTGGTGCAAGAGGCCTAGCTTTCAGCCTATCTTTGCTTTTGACATACCTTTCTCATTAAGCTTAATCCTTTCTAGCTTTTGATGTAAAGTGAGAAATGTGCAACTCTTCCTTTCACTTGAACACTTAGAGGCTAATTATAGAATAATTAATTGACCTCATTTAAATATTTTGTCTCAGGGAATGGGGAAGTCTGAAGAGACAGAGAGAAACAGGAGAATGGACAGTTGGTGGAGGAATTAGAACACAAAAAAAATTATTAAGTTTGCCATCTTATATGGGTGCAGTTTGTGACACCACAAAACAATTACAATAGTAAATCCAAAGATCACTGATCACAGATCTCTATAAAAGATATAATAATAATGAAAATATTTGAAATATTGTGAGCATTAACAAAATATAATTCAGAGATATATGCTGTTGGAAACATTGTGTCAATAGACTTGCTAGATGCAGGGTCGCCACAAACCTTTAATTTATAAAAAGCACAATATCAATAAAGCACAACAAAGTGAGTCACAGTAAGATGAGGTATGCTTGTACTTTCACGTTGGGAAATTCTGTAGATAACAACTAAAATTTAATTAATGTTAAAAATGACATTACAGTTTATCAAAGTACAGGATACCTTGTATAATTACATCAACCTAAGATCAAAAAGCAAACTTTTGAAGATAAATTTGAGGTGATAGTCTAGTTATGCACAGATGGGTGTTATTGAATTTGTGGTTATTTTTCATCCTCTCTGGAGGGTAAGTATTGAATGCTACATTTCTCAAATGTCAATCAATGCACTATACTACTCACATCAAGTCAAGGCTATACAACTCTCCATTCTTATAGTTCAGTTGTCTGGATTGCTCTACATTGATTTAGTGTGCTTTGAAAACTCAGGAAGGTTTTGTGATTTGGATCTTTTTATGCATTTTATGCAATCCACTCATTCATGTAAAAATATTAGCTAGAGTTACAGTGTTTTAAATTTAAGAGAGATAGAGGAAAGAAAAAAATTACCTCTGACTCTTGTTCTTTTTTAATATGCATGGCAATTTGGACAAATATTTAGAATGGTAGTTAAAGAACAAATTACTCTTCCAATGGCATTACATTACAAAACCATGAATTACATAATATGGAGTAATCATAATTTTGTGGAAATTCATTACAACAGTTTTTATCTACCGAATTATTCAAGTCAAATACTTGGAGGACATATTCAACTCTTCATCTTTCTATATCTGATAAACCATCAAATCCTACATTCTCTTTCTAAATATCTTCCTAATACACTGTTTTCTACCAAGCTGACTATTGCATGTGCAGGACTTGGGTAAATGTTTATTTTAGGGTCTCTATTTTATAAGCAATTTGTTTTAAAAATTATTCATCAGCCTATGAAAAGTATAGTGATTTATCAATAAGGTTTTTGAAAAATGGGTAGAGAACATGTGCTTGCATATGTGTTAATTTTCTCATTAGTCTATATACAAATTATTTGTAATAAGGCACTATATCTTTTTGTTTAGGTCCAGAAATCTTCCTTTATTTTATTTTATTTTTTTGGCAAATGTGTCTTTGTTTGTTGGGAACAGGCCCCCAAGTCTGGCCATAAACTGGCCCCCAAACTGGCTGTAAACAAAATCTCTGCAGCACTGTGACATGTTCGTGGTGGCCATGATGCCCACGCTGAAGGTTGTGGGTTTACCAGAATGAGGGCAAGGAACACCTGGCCCACCCAAGGCAGAAAACCGCTTAAGGCATTCCTAAGCCACAAACAATAGCATGAGAGATCTGTGCCTTAAGGACATGTTCCTGATGCAGATAACTAGCCAGAGCCCATCCCTTTGTTTCAGCCCACCCCTTTGTTTCCCGTTTTAGTTACCCTATAATCTATAGAAACAATGCTTATCACTGGCTTGCTGTCAATAAATATGTGGGTAAAACTCTGTTCATGGCTCTCAGATCGGAAGACTGTCAGCCCCCTGATTTCCCACTCCACACTTTACATTTCTATGTGTGTGTCTTTAATTTCTCTAGTGCTGCTGGGTTAGAGTCTCCACAGCCGAGCTGGTCTAGGCAATTGTGGCTAACGTCTTACCTCCTACTGAGAGAAAAAGCTAACAAGCCCAGTATTACAATGCAATAGCTCTTCAGAACATGTTAGTATTGAAATAATTTGGATCTTCTTGCCTCTGCAAATCCCTAATACCAATTATTTAATACTGGTTACATCCTCATATTATTATTTATAATGTTTCACCATCCATTGTGCCACCTTCTTCCCAATTCTTGGCTTCCAATTGATTTTCTCAAAAATTGTTACTGTACTTAATTGATGATGAACACATATGCAAGCCTTGTCCAGGGTTTGCAGAAAAATGTGAGTTATTATTTATTTTCTGTATATGCTACTTTAATATAAGATTAAGATAAATATGGAATAACATATTGCCCAATCTTCTTTTCTACTGAATGCATTATGCTATAATCACTGCATTCCTAGAATTTGATGTCTTTAAATATTAATTGCAACCCCTCTCTCTTGCACAGTTACTTGGAGGTGAAAGTTGTAAGACAAAGAGTATGTGGGAAGAATGAAAATAACAGTTCTATTGAAACAAGGAATGAAAACTCTGCCCCTAAGCTGACATGGTTTATGACTGACGATGTCACCAAATTGTGGAGAAGCACTCATTAACATAACTGAACAATAGTTTTGAAAGCTCTTGTACAAGATACAAGTAGCCATAAGACTTACTGGCCTGGTGTGTGGAGACTTCAGAGGAGGTAGGGCAACTCTTCTAGGTGCCATGAGCAAGGTAAGGTATGCTTGGACTACCCCAATTAAGATTCTGTAGTTCAGTTCACTCCAAGTAAAGCTTATTTTGTCATCCAGGGGGCATGTGCAATGTCTGAAAACATTTTTAGTTGTCACATAGTGGGAGGTTGGGCAGGGAGGCAAGGTTGCTACCTGTGTCTAGTGGGTAGAGGACAGTGATGCTGCTAAGCATCCTGCAGTATGCAGACAGCCTTCTACAACAAGGAATTATCTAGCTTGCAATGTGAATAGTGTCAAAGTTAAGAGAACCTGCTGTAGACCCAAGGCCCCACTGAAGTACAAATTCTGATGGGTAAGAGCTAAATAAATGGTTCACATGCACTGTTTGAACCTAAAGGTCAGCAGTGGACTATTAAATTCTTAGTTGTCTAGATTTGCCCTCTGTGCAACACAACTATAATCCCAAGTCAGGATGTCAGCACCCTACCATTCCAATCTCATATGAGTCTGAAAACAAAATCACATGATCCACCCTTGTCATGAGGCCCTTGGACAACCTCATGGTGCGAGTTCCAGAGCTTCTTGTAAAATCAACCCCATGGCCTATATAGGTAATTGAGGATAAAAGAAAGTCCTAAAGGGGAAACACAGGTCACAGGGCCCAGGTAGGTCATGATCTGAGCTCCAGATGCTCTGCTATCCTAATGGTGTTGCTATTCTGGACACTGTAGGTACCAGAGAGAGACTTAGAAGATCTTAAAGAGGGCACTTCAAGTTCAAGCTCTCAGAGCCACGTATCATGCTACCAGTTCTCCTTTCCACTCCCTGAAACATCTCCATTTCTTATCTCAATGCCTACAGTATCCTTCTCCTAACTGTTCTCTCAAAGACACATCTGCCATCCCTTATTTCATTCTTTTCATTTCAGCAAGAGTGAGTTCTCTCACATAGTCATTTAATTCTACTTAAGATCATTCAGCAACTTCCCACTTTTCTCAGAATAGAAACATAAAATCCTTAACTTAATCTAAAGGAAATTCAGCTGTTGTCTAGCATTCTAGTCTTATTTCATTTGTATTTTCCCTTTTACCTCTCTATTTTACCACCATACTGCACTTTTGTGTGTGTGTTCTTTAATAAATTATGCTTATTTTTAAAAAAGAGGAAGCGGCAAGGCCATCCACCACTCACTGCATGTCCTTTATCTGCACTTGAGATTCCTTCTAATAGGTACTTTTCCCTGGGAGATTTCATTTTGTCTCAGACTTAGTGAGGTCCAACTGTCACTCACATTTGTAGCACCTCCCACTTTATAATCCCTTTATAATGACCTGGTCAGTGCTTATCATCCCCCTTACACTGCATGTTCTGTAAGAGTAGAGAATAAATCAGAGAAGCTCACTGTACGACCAACCCACAGATATCATGGAAGCTGGACAACTATAGGTGGAGAGTTAATGAATAGTTGGAAGCTAAATATTTGAATGGATTCTTTTCTGTTTGATTTAGCATTAAGTAGACTCCATTTTATATTGCATTTTATTATTAAAACCTACAAATATGCAGAAATATAAAAGGAGAAATATGATAAACCCTGAATTCCCATCAATATCTAACAACTGTCACCTTATCTTATATTTACTTCATCTATTTTGCACTAATATTTTAAAATAATTTCATGTTATGTACCCCATAGTACTTCAGTATGAATACCAAAAAAAGCATTCTCCTAAGAATACTATGCCACATCTAAAAAAACAAAAAATAATAACTTAATATTATCTAACTCCCAGAGTATATTCTTATTTCTCCAGATTTTCCCAAAATATCTTTTCCAGTTCATTTCAAACCAGTATTGAGCCATATCCACATACTGCATTTGACTCTTATATCTCTTAATTCCTTTTGATATCAGCAATGGCTAAATCTTTTCACAACATTAATTTATTGAAGCAAACAATTGTCTTGTAGAATGCCCCACCTTCTGAATTTGTCTGATTTATTTCCTATATGCCTTTAATGTGCTCGTTTTCATTTGTTTTTAATGCCAATTGGAAGTTAAATCTAAAATGTTGTTTGGGTTCACTTGAAACATTTTTTCTGGTCAAGAATACTTCAGAGCTGATAATACTTTATTCACACTGTAACATGTCAAGATACATTTCATGTCTGATCATGTTACTATTTCTGGTGCTGAGCTGTATCAGTGGTAAAAGGACTCTTCCAATTGTACATACCCTATCGTAGAGAAAAATTAGAACGTTAAGATCAACTATGAAAATAAAATAATTTAATGAACTTATCTATTTATTTTTATGCTTATGGATTTAAAGGTACAAGTACAGTTGTGTTCTGTGGCTATATTGCATAATGATGATGTCTGGGATTTTAGTGTGGCAATTACCCAAGAAGTGTGTACATTGTAGCCAGTGGGAACTTACTGAATATTTACTGAATAAGTTTCACTTAGTTTTTATATTTTCCACTGCAAGTCTTTATGTTTTAAGTGTCCAACTCACTGAGATTACTTCCTATACGAATATTTGGAAAATTCATATAAGCACACTCAGAAAGTCCGAGGGGGAAATTTTTAAATATATGTGATATAAAACATAAATAAATTCACAAATAAAAGGCCAGATGTTATATAATCAGATCAGAATACAAACACATCTGAAAACATGTTTCTAGTCAATCACTGACTACAAATTATGGTTTAAGGGATACAATTAAGGCTCATTACTATACAACTGGGTTTAGAGATCTCTACAAACTAACAAAGCCATAACAGGTTTACAAGCTAATTAGTGCTCTTAACATTGTCTCATGCTGATCAAGCACTTTTGCTTTTGCTTATTTCCCTTATATGCTATTCAAAAATAAAACTTAGATTCTGAACAAATTAATTAACCCTCTTACTTACTTGGTTGTTTCAGCCCCATTAAACTAAAGAAATCAAATCACCTCATTCTTAAAGTCTTGAGAAGATGAGATAAACTTAAAAGCTTTCAACTGTGAAAGAACAGAAACAAAGCTCGCTGGAGAGATGGGATCTGAATAGTCAAATCATTTTGAATAGGCACTATGTACTTGGGAACTTCTGCATGAGCAAGTGATTCTTGGATATTCCTGTAAATCCATTCTGAATATGGTAAGTAATACTGAAGAATAACTGTTTTCGAGTGCTTTATCTGCATGTATCAAAATAAAAAAGATTTGTGCCAATGTGCATTTGGTGCCAATGTACATTTGTCTTTTAGTCCCAAAGTCGGGACTTGTCTCTTCTTCCTTCTCCCTCCTCTTACTCATCCTTCTCCACTTCTGAAGTAAATAGAAACATACCAAAACATTTCTTTTAACTAGACTCTGTAATGCGAATTTATATGCATCTTGTTATAAAAGCCTTTGCCATAAATCTGATTATTACTTTTATGCACATTTTACAGACAATGAAACTAAAGCCCCCAAAAGCCAAAAGAAACTGCCCAAGGTGACATAGCTGCTGAGTGATGGAATGGGGACTAGATCAAACTCTAAAATCAAAGAGCATGCTCACAATTACCCATTAAGAGAACTAAAGGAAACAAAATTCTCCAATCTATTCTCCCTGTGCACATTAAAATTAAAACAATGGTGTTGCATTTTTCAAACAGTTATGTACTGATATTATACCAAGATGCAAGCACGGGTGGATTCCTTAATTGTAATAGGTATAAGTAATATAATGCTAAAATGCAAATTTTGAATCCCATTCTGTCTTCCAACTATTATCTCTGCCAAATTCTTTCACAATTCTACATTAATACATATTACACATTTTGGAAAATTTAATATATAAGGCTACTGTTTGTATTATATTTGAAATTAGTTATGTTAGCCATTAATATTTACACTGTTTCACGATCCTAAAAATATCACTATCTTGTCTTACTAAAAAAAATTGAAAATGGAGTCATTAAAAAAAAGTGAAAAAAAAACCTCTCAAAGAGTAAAAAATCTAAAAGCTATGCCTTTAGGAGGAGGTGAAAATTAACTAGTGTCATCTCAAGTATGAACACACATGGCTTCTTCACACTTAATTAGAAAACTAGAAGCACTTAAGCCAAAGCATTCAAAAGAACAATGTGTCAGAGTCAGAATTAGTTATAATCGGTTAGCTTGTGCTATTAACATTGCCTAGCTTCTTTTCTGAGTCTACACAGTAGATGTCTGTTTTTCTCTTTTTTTTTCCCCAACATCTAATTTATCAAAAACTCAGCCCCAATAAAAGACATGGTTGTGTTACAGTGTTATATGAAAGAAAAATACTTTGTTGGAGTTAGGGTTCCCCTAGTGACTAGTTAGTGAGCTTGAACAAGTGAAGTAAATTCCATATGACTCAGTGAACCTCATATCTATAGTATGAAAAAAAAAAACCATGGTACTTCTTTGTGTTCTTTTGTCACAGATTAATATTTTATTTTCTTACACATAAAATAAGTTTAGGAAATATTCATTTAACCTGAAATATTAATTTAAAAAATGCATTTGGTATTACAGTTATCCATGTACTAATTTGCCTGAACCTAGAGAAAAGTGTAAAAAGTGTTTACAATTTTGAAAGTCCTAGTGGAAAGATTTTGTTTTTACTTAGTTTTATTTTATTTTACTTTTTTTGTAATTTTATTTTTTTCACACCACATAAATACAATGACACAGGATACCATTTTTACAGCTGTGCATTGTATACTCTTAAATTATAAACTTTTAAATACATTTTAAATGATAGAAAAGTATATACAAACATAGATATACACAACTTTCAATCTATAATTATTTGTTTTTAAGAGATTATATATATAATTAGAATTGGAAATATATATAATAATTCTATATCTCTATAATTCTTTTTTATATCTATATAATTCTTATTACTCATTACTTCAATAATTTCAATATAATTATTTCAATAACAATTAATTAACTATAGTTCAGGTATGTTGCCAAATACTGTTTGGTCCAAGAATAACCTTTGCAGTTTAAATCAACTAATTTTTGTCACCAAAGAAGTAAGAAAAATTGTATTTCCATGAATGATGTGTTATAATAACTATCTTAATCATAATGATTTTAGTAATCAACAATGATAGATAATTATTCAATACGCACTAGACACTGTAGTAAGCACTTTTCGTGATTGTTTCTTCTTAATAACACTTCAAAGGTAAGTATTATCATCCTCAAACACACATAGTAGTTAAAGTATATATTTTGTCTTACACTCATTTATTTGTACCAGGCAGGGGAGGCTTCAGAATTGGTTTGTGATGGTGATGGGCTTCAGCATAACACCTCAAATTCACCAATTACTATAATTAAATATATACATTAACCATAAACAATGCATCTATCAAACAAGTACAAAAATCTTAACTTGTCAATTGTGTCACTGAAGCCCACTTCTAAGTTACTACATAAAAATTCTCAACCTCCCATAGTGAGAAGATGTAATCCCAAGTGTTATTTCTCCACATCACTAAATTCCCAGATTAGCTAGCCTTTTGGATTCTTATAAAGGCACTGCAATCCAGCCTGGGTGATGGAGTGAGACTCCATCTCAAAAAAAAAAAAAATTTCTTTCATTTTATTTTCCTTATACGCTTTACATATTCTGTTAGTCCAAGAAAGGAACTGCAGGTCTCAGTTACTTAAAGCAAATTCCTGGCTGAGAGCTGGCAAGTAGGAAGACATCTCAATCATTCAACTGCAAGGACTTGAATTATTTGAATAACTTGGGTGAGCTTGGCAGATGAAGCTGGGTCCCAGAGGAGGACCTCAATACTGGTCACCATCTTGATTAAAGACTTGTGATACCTGAAAAAAAAAAATCTAGCTAACTTGTGTCTAGACCCCTAACCCAGAAAAACTGTGAGAGAAATGTGTGTCTATGTTTGTGTTAATATTTTATGGAACAATGGAAAATAAATACATTTAATTTGGTGTAGTTCAGCATTGATTTTATTTTTACAAACTGATCATTGTCTAGATATGTTAATTTTCTGGGTTAAAACTAAATTGTGAGTAGAATTAAAATATGCACCTCCTCCATATCTCTTTCGGTAAATATGAAGAGAGAGATGAAGAAAAAGAAATAGATACTGAAGCCATCCCTATAAGCTCTATAAAATTAATGAAAATGATGGTAGGGGAAAAACGAAAATGAACTAAGCTTGCAGCACATTCAGCATTAATCGAGGTTAGCTTGCTCTCTTATCTGCTTCTTCATGGTTGTTCACTGCCTCTAGTCATAGACTTGATGGCAGCAAAGGCCCTTCTGGAGTGCCCACCACCATGATGTGGCCTAGGCTACGTGCTCAGTGGAGGTGGTGGGAGCCAGGAACAGGTGGAAGTTCCACTCCCTTCTGAGTTGGAGTGGTGGGAGCCCCATCCTCCTAGGTACAGCTGCAGCTGCCCAGCCTCAGCTGCAGACCCAGATATCCCTGCACTCTTGGGGACCCAGGAAAAACCCTGCCCCAATAGGCTCAGAAGTGCCTGCTCCCACTGCCTGGTCTGTCCCCACTCCTTGTGCCTGCTCCAATTTAGGGGCAAAGTGGAGGCCAGGCACTGTTGTGTTGACACACCAGTCCCCTGCCACCTTAGCCCCCTCTGGACTTGGGCACCTACAAGCACTGGAGGGAGATCAAGGGAGTTCTGAGGGCAGCTTGGCATGGGCCTGCAGGCACCCCTCAGCATGAACAGCCTTGGCACCATGGACAGTAGGTTGATGGTGGTGGGAGGCTGATAGGCTCCTGTGCAGAAAGGGGTGGGTCTCTGGTGAAGCCCCACATTCAGGCCACAGGGTCGGGTGGCCAGTTCCATGGACTGAAGTGAGAACTTACGGTGCTTTCTCCAGGACCATCCATGGCCACCAACGGGTTAATCAGCATGCACTTCCTCCCCTCTGAAGCCCATAAAACCCCCTGGTTTTATGATTTCAGCAGCGATGATAGGACAACCTCTCTGCAGAGAAGAGCTACACACTGTGGGTCTCCTCTCAGCTGAGAGCTGAGCAAATGTCAGGACAACCTGTCTGCATATAGGATCTACCGACTGTGGGTCTCCTCTCAGCTGAGAGCTGAGCAGACATCAGGATGATCTGCTTGGAGAAAGGAGCTACCCACCCCGGGTCACCTCTCCACTGAGGGCTGCACAGACATCAGTATGACCTGCCTGCAGACAGGAGCTAGCCACTTCAAGTCTCCTGAGAGCTGTTCTGTTGCTCAATAAAGCACCTCTTTACTTTACTCACCCTTCAGCTGTTCGCAAACCTCATTCTTCCTGGACCTGCCGAATGGTGGGACTGAAAGATCAGTAACACAAACACGGCTGAAACATGCTCCTTGTTAGCCAGGCTGTGGGTGACGAAAAGGAGAGAAGAGAGAGAAGAGCTGCAGCACTTCAGCGAGCTCAGACCTAGGATTATTGATGTCAGCTGATCTGAAGAACCCCACTGACACCAGCTGTTCTGAAGGACCGCACAAGGAGCTGATTCATTAAAAATGAAGATTCTGGCCAAGTGCGGTGGGTCACGCTTGTAATCCCAGCACTTTGGGAGACCGAGGCGGGTGGAACACGAGGTGAGGAGTTTGAGAGCAGCCTGGCCAACACAGTGAAACCCCGTCTCTACTAAAAATACAAACATTAGCTGGGTATAGTGGCGGACACCTGTAATCCCAGCTATTTGGGAAGCTGAGGCAGGAGAACAGCTTGAATCCGGGAGGCAACTGAAATTGCAGCATTTAACTCCAGCCTGGGTGACAGAGCTAGATTCTGTCTCCAAAAAAAAAAAATATATATATATATATATATATATATATATATGGTTTCCACGTCCTGATGATTTCATCCCTTTTACCTCAACCAATCAATGATCTCAGTTTTCCAGCCCCTCATCCTCCATGATCCCCTTAAAAATCGCAGCCCAGAACTCCTCAGGGCAATTGATCTTTCTCTGCTGTAAACACTTCTGTCTCAGTATTTTGATCCATTACTGTGCAGTGGGCATACAAACCTGTTGGTTTTATAACAAGACAAGAGAATAAAGCAAATATATAGTATTCTGATACTTGAACATAACTGTAGGCTCAATTAATTTGAAAGATTAGTGGAGCTTGAGTCAGGAAGGGATCTTTCTTGGTTCTTCACCATTAGAAACTTGTTGAGTTTCTGAAAGTAAAACCCCAAGAAGTATGGAAGTCACTGTAAGACTGTTACCCTCAAGGGCTTCTTACTTTCACTATAACCTACACTCAGTCCCCAGCAATTCAAGGGAACCAAAATTTTTTAATTTTTATATGCAGCATCTTTCTCCTTTGTAAATCCACTATCAAACAATTTTAGATTAATTTATAGATTTTTACCTACAGAACTTATCATTTTTGATGCATAAAATGCAATTTATATGTAAATGAGTTACAAATTAAAGTTTTCTGGTTTACATAAACTTATTTTGGAATAGATATAGGCTTAGGGACAAAATGTGATGACACTAAGGTGTCACCATATACCCTGCACCCAGTTTCCCCTATTATTTACATCTTACACTAGTGTTGTATGTTTGTTACAATTAATGAACCAATATAGATTCATTATTAAAGTTTACATATTCTTCAGATTTTCTTGGTTTTTCTTAGTTTCTAACTAACATCCTTTTTATCTTCCATTATCCCATCCAGAGTCCCACATCACATGTAATGATGATGTCTCCTTACATTCCTTTGGCTGTGTAGTCTAGGTGTTCTTTGTTTGATGATATTGACAATTTTGAGGAGTAAAGTTCAAAATAAAGCTTTTCAAAGTAAAACTGTTTTTTAGAATGTCTATCAATTAGGATTTCTTTGATGTTTCTCTCATGATTAGACTGGTATTATGCATTTTTGAGAGGAAGACTACAAAGATTAAATGCCATTTCATCACATCATTTCAAAGGTACTATCAACATGACTTATCACTACTGATGTTCACTTTTATTACCTGACCTCAGTAGTGTTTTTCAAGCTTCTCCACTGTAGTTAATATTTTTACCCAATTATCCATACTGTACTTTTTGGATGGATGTTACTATGCAAATACAGGAAATAAAATTTAAAAGTAGATAAGTTGAGTTTCATAAAAATTTAAAACTTTTTCTTGCTATAAATGGCACTTCAAAAAAGTAAAAATGCAACTCAGAACAGGAGAAAGTATTTGCAAATCATATACCTGATAAGAGACTAATATACCTAATATGTAAAGAACATGTACAATGCAATAATAAAAAGACAACCAATTAAAAATAGGAGATAGAAATTAAAACCACTATAAGATATGATTTTTACATAAACTTGAAAAGCTAAAATAAAAAAGAGATAACAAGTTTTGATGAGTATGTGAAAAATTGGAACCCTCATTCATTGCTAGTTGGAATATAAAATGGTACAGTAAATTTGGAAAACTTGTACTATTTCTGAAAATGTTAAACATACTCTTACCATATTACCCAGTAATTCCACACCTTGGTATATACCAAAGAGAAACAAAAACATATATCTACACAGAAACTTGTATATGAATGTGGAGAGCAGCATTTTTCACAATACCTATAAAGTGGCAGCAACCTAATTGTCCATTAAATGATGAATGGATAAACAAATGTGCTATATTCATACAATGAAATGTGATTTAGCTATGAAAACTAATGAAGGACTGATTCATGCTGCAATACAGAAAGATCTTGAAAACATTAGGTTAAAAAAGCCAATCACAAAAACTTATGAAACATCCAGAGTAGGCAGATATACAGAGACAGAAAGTAAGCTAGCAGTGTTTTTTGGGGGATAGGGTATGGGGACTAACTACTAGTGGGCATCAGTGTTTTCTTTTTTGAAATGATAAAATTCTAGAATTAAATTGTGTTGAAGATTGCCAAATTTTTTGAATATGCTAAAATATTTAACATTTAGTTATATACTTAAATCAGTAAGTTTGTAACATTTGAATTATGCCTCAATATAGCTATTTAAACAAGAAAAAAGAAGTAAGGATGAAGGGACAAAACAAAGACAGAAGGAAGAAAGGCTGCTTCTTGAGCACACAATATGAGCCAGATATGATGCTGGATGTTTCCCCCAACAGTCATAATGCTCATGACAAACAATAGGTTTTGCTACCTTTCATTTATGCAAAAGAAGATTGAGTCTTAGAGAAGTTAAATGACTTTCTAAAGGCTACTAGATGGCATATGATAAAATCGTGATTCACACTAAGGTCCAATGAGTAACAAAACCCATGATCGTTCAATCACACAGGTGCATGAATTATTTCACCAACATAAACTGAGTATAAAGAAATTCACTTGGCTGGGCACGGTGGCTCACACCTGTAATCCTAGCACTTTGGGAGGCTGAGGCAGGTGGATCACCTGAGGTCAGGAGTTCCAGACCAGCCTGGCCAACATGGTGAAACCCCGTCTCTACTAAAAATACAAAAATTAGCTGGGTGTGGTGACAGACATCTGTAATCCCAGCTACTCAGGAGCCTGAATGCAGGAGGCAGAGACTGCAGTGGGCCGAAATTGTGCCATTGCACTCCAGCCTGGAAGACAAATTTGATACATCGAAAAGTTTTATACAATAAGTAAAAATGTTGGGAGATGAAAGGAAGTATTGAAACAGCAGATAATGTAGATACATTTTTAAAAAGTATTTGATTTGTGGAATGCATAATGATCATTTTGCTTCGTTTACTCCGAGTAAAAAATAAGCAAATGATTTTGTGGGACTACGTGAACTCCTACTGATTCTGAGAATTACAGTTATCAAGAAATACTCATTTCAACTTCAGAAACATGTTAGTGGTGTCAGACAAGATCTTGAAAATATTATTTTGATTTCAACTTCTGTAAGAAAGTAAAAACATAGAGAATATTTATCATTTTAAAGTGGGTGTAATTATTTTTATAATTAAATAAATAAAAAATACAGTTTTTTAAAAAAGCTTTGTTAGCCTTAAAACACATATGAATGAAAAGTGATACTATTGTTAGCACACCAGGTTTTAAATAATTATTAACTGAATACAATTTCTTAAAATAGCTCTTCTTGTTGAAATGATCCCTTTACCATTATGTAATGGCCTTCTTTGTCTCTTTTGATCTTTGTTGGTTTAAAGTCTGTTTTATCAGAGACTAGGATTGCAACCCCTGCCTTTTTTTGTTTTCCAAGACAAGTATCCTAAATATATAGGGACCCAATACAGGAGCACCCAGATTCATAAAGCAAGTCCTGAGTGACCTACAAAGAGACTTAGACTCCCACACATTAATAATGGGAGACTTTAACACCCCACTGTCAACATTACACAGATCAACGAGACAGAAAGTCAACAAGGATACCCAGGAATTGAACTCAGCTCTGCACCAAGCAGACCTAATAGACATCTACAGAACTCTCCACCCCAAATCAACAGAATATACATTTTTTTCAGCACCACACCACACCTATTCCAAAATTGACCACATACTTGGAAGTAAAGCTCTCCTCAGCAAATGTAAAAGAACAGAAATTATAACAAACTATCTCTCAGACCACAGTGCAATCAAACTAGAACTCAGGATTAAGAATCTCACTCAAAACTGCTCAACTACATGGAAACTGAACAACCTGCTCCTGAATGACTACTGGGGACATAATGAAATGAAGGCAGAAATAAAGATGTTCTTTGAAACCAATGAGAACAAAGACACAACATACCAGAATCTCTGGGACACATTCAAAGCAGTGTGTAGAGGGAAATTTATAGCACTAAATGCCCACAAGAGAAAGCAGGAAAGATCCAAAATTGGCAACCTAACATCACAATTAAAAGAACTAGAAAAGCAAGAGCAAACACATTCAAAAAATAGCAGGAGGCAAGAAATAACTAAAATCAGAGCAGAACTGAAGGACATAGAAACACAAAAAACCCTTCAAAAAATTAATGAATCCAGGAGCTGGTTTTTTGAAAGGATCAACAAAATTGATAGACCACTAGCAAGACTAATAAAGAAAAAAAGAGAGAAGAATCAAATAGACGCAATAAAAAATGATAAAGGGGATATCACCACCGATTCCACAGAAATACAAACTACCATCAGAGAATACTACAAACACCTCTACGCAAAGAAACTAGAAAATCTATAAGAAATGGATAAATTCCTTGACACATACACCCTCCCAAGACTAAATGAGGAAGAAGTTGACTCTCTGAATAGACCAATAACAAGCTCTGAAATTGTGGCAATAATCAATAGCTTACCAACCAAAAAGAGTCCAGGACCAGATGGATTCACAGCCGAATTCTACTGGAGGTACAAGGAGGAACTGGTACCATTCCTTCTGAAACTATTCCAATCAATAGAAAAAGAGGGAATCCTCCGTAACTCATTTTATGAGGCCAGCATCATCCTGATACCAAAGCTGGGCAGAGACACAACCCAAAAAGAGAATTTTAGACCAATATCCTTGATGAACATTGATGCAAAAATCCTCAATAAAATACTGGCAAACAAATTCCAGCAGCACATCAAAAAGCTTATCCACCATGATCAAGTGGGCTTCATCCCTGGGATGCAAGGCTGGTTCAATATATGCAAATCAATAAATGTAATCCAGCATATAAACAGAACCAAAGACAAAAACCACAGGATTATCTCAATAGATGCAGAAAAGGCTTTTGACAAAATTCAAGAACGCTTCATGCTAAAAACTCTCAATAAATTAGGTATTCATGGGACGTATCTCAAAATAATAAGAGCTATCTATGACAAACCCACAGCCAATATCCTACTGAATGCGCAAAAACTGGAAGCATTCCCTTTGAAAACGGGCACAAGACAGGGATGCCCTCTCTCACCACTCCTATTCAACATAGTGTTGGAAGTTCTGGCCAGAGTAATTAGGCAGGACAAGGAAATAAAGGGTATTCAATTAGGAAAAGAGGAAGTCAAATTGTCCCTGTTTGCAGATGACATGACTGTATATCTAGAAAACCCCATTGTCTCAGCCCAAAATCTCCTTAAGCTGATAAGCAACTTCAGCAAAGTCTCAGGATACAAAATCAATGTACAAAAATCACAAGCATTCTTATACAGCAATAACAGGCAAACAGAGAGCCAAATCATGAGTGAACTCCCATTCACAATTGCTTCAAAGAGAATAAAATACCTAGGAATCCAACTTACAAGGGACGTGAAGGACCTCTTCAAGGAGAACTACAAACCACTGCTCAAGGAAATAAAAGAGGATACAAACAAATGGAAGAACATTCCATGCTCATGGGTAGGAAGAATCAATATCGTGAAAATGGCCATACTGCCCAACGTAATTTATAGATTCAATGCCATCACCATCAAGCTACCAATGACTTTCTTCACAGAATTGGAAAAAACTACTTTAAAGTTCATATGGAACCAAAAAAGAGCCAGCATCGCCAAGTCAATCCTAAGCCAAAAGAACAAAGCTGGAGGCATCACACTACCTGACTTCAAACTATACTACAAGGCTACAGTAACCAAAACAGCATGGTACTGGTACCAAAACAGAGATATAGATCAACGGAACAGAACAGAGTCCTCAGAAATAACACTACATATATACAACTATTTGATCTTTGACAAACCTGAGAAAAATAAGCAATGGGGAAAGGAGTCCCTATTTAATAAATGGTGCTGGGAAAACTGGCTAACCATATGTAGAAAGCTGAAACTGGATCC
Organism: Homo sapiens; assembly: GCF_000001405.40. Lineage (NCBI taxonomy): Eukaryota > Metazoa > Chordata > Mammalia > Primates > Hominidae > Homo > Homo sapiens. The sequence continues at coordinate 59,186,705 of NC_000004.12, forward strand.
CTTCCTTACACCTGATACAAAAATCAATTCAAGATGGATTAAAGACTTAAATGTTAGACCTAAAACCATAAAAACCCTGGAAGAAAACCTAGGCATTACCATTCAGGACATAGGCATGGGCAAGGACTTCATGTCTCAAACACCAAAAGCAATGGCACCAAAAGCCAAAATTGACAAATGGGATCTCATTAAACTAAAGAGCTTCTGCACAGCAAAAGAAACTACCATCAGAGTGAACAGGCAACCTACACAATGGGAGAAAATTTTCGCAACCTACTCATCTGACAAAGGGCTAATATCCAGAATCTACAATGAACTCAAACAAATTTACAAGAAAAAAACAAACAACTCCATCAAAAAGTGGGCGAAGGATATGAACAGACACTTCTCAAAAGAAGACATTTATGCAGCCAGAAAACACATGAAAAAATGCTCATCATCACTGGCTATCAGAGAAATGCAAATCAAAACCACAATGAGATACCATTTCACACCAGTTAGAATGGCAATCATTAAAAAGTCAGGAAACAACAGGTGCTGGACAGGATGTGGAGAAATAGGAACACTTTTACACTGTTGGTGGGACTTTAAACTAGTTCAAACATTGTGGAAGTCAGTGTGGCGATTCCTCAGGGATCTAGAACTAGAAATACCATTTGACCCAGCCATCCCATTACTGGGTATATACCCAAAGGACTATAAATCATGCTGCTATGAAGACACATGCACATGTATGTTTATTGCGGCATTATTCACAATAGCAAAGACTTGGAACCAACCCAAATGTCCAACAATGACAGACTGGATTAAGAAAATGTGGCACATATACACCATGGAATGGTATGCAGCCATAAAAAATGATGAGTTCGTGTCCTTTGTAGGGACATGGATGAAATTGGAAATCATCATTCTCAGTAAACTATTGCAAGAACAAAAAACCAAACACCGCATGTTCTCACTCATAGGTGGGAATTGAACAATGAGAACACATGGACACAGGAGGGGGAACATCACACTCTGGGGACTGTTGTGAGGTGGGGGGAGGGGGGAGGGATGGCATTGGGAGATATACCTAATGCGAGATGACTAGTTAGTGGCTGCAGTGCACCAGCATGGCACATGTATACATATGTAACCTACCTGCACATTGTGCACATGTACCCTAAAACTTAAAGTATAATAAAAAAAAATTCTTAAAATAAATGTTGATACTTTTTTCACTGACTTTGCCTTAAAACTTACTTTTCTTGCTAACTCACTTTTCTCACTAATGTATCTTCCACATCCTATTAAAGATAAAAATAAATATTCAAACTGATTAGTCATTATAACATATAGCAACTGTAGTAATTTTCCTTAATTAAAACATAGAACTCTTTGAAATACAGGTGCTTGGGCTTGGCTAGATTAACAAGGAGTTAATTTAAGAGAACATCTGGTTGTTTGTAACTGCCTAGGGTGGTAAGAAAGAAATCCAGATGCTTACATAAGTCATCTCCACATTTCTCTCTAGTTTACAACAAAAACATTTTCACAGTAGATATAGTAAGCAAAAATTTAATGCTATTTGGGCTTACATATGCCTAACAGAAATATATGTATACATATTCTTCCAAATTTCTTAAACCAGGAGTGTGCATGAACCTACTCGATATGCATGTATGTATGTATGTACGTGTTCTTACTACAACTCTGAACCATATTTGTTACAGCTACTTTGACCACCATAGAAAGATACATTGGTAGGAAGAATTCTAAGACTGTCCCCATGTTTCCACTCTCTGTCATGAATATTCTGCATTATCAATCCCCTCCCTTCTGAGTGTGGCTATGCATTGTGGATATGATAGATGCCACTGTCATAATAGGTTACATTAAATGACAGATATGAAATAATTTTGTAGATGTAAATCTCCCAATCAGTTGACTTTAATTTAATCAAAAGGAAAATTATCTTGGCTGGGCCTGACCTAATCAGCTGAGCCCTTTATAAGACTCAGAGCCGCAGAGAAGCAATTCTCTTGGCCTTGAAGAAATAAGTTGTCACGATTTACACATCTGCAAGAAAATGAATTCTGCTTTCAAACACATGAGCTGGGAAGAGGACCCTGAGCCTCAGGTGAGGTCACAGACCCAGTGGCAGATAACTTTGCATTTGTTTCCCTTCCTTTCTACCTCTCTCTTTGCTTTTTTCTTTCTTTCTTTTTCTTTCTTTCTTTTCTTTTTCTTTCCTTTTTCTTTCCTTTCTTTCTCTCTCTCTTTCTTTCTCTGTCTTCTTTCTTTCTTTCTTTCTTTCTTTCTTTCTTTCTTTCTTTCTTTCTTTCTTTCTCTTTCTTTCTTTCTCTTTCTTTCTTTCCTTCTTCCTTTTTTTTCTTTCTTCTTTTTTGACAGAAGAAAAAAAGTCTTCTTTTTCTCTCTCTCTCCCAGGCTGGAGTGGTACAGTGGTGTGAGCTTGGCTTCCTTCAGCCTTGACTTCCCCCAGCTCAGGTGATACCTCCCATGTCAGTATCCTCAGTATCTGGGACTACAGGCAGGCACTACCATGCCCAGCTAATTTTTATATTTTTTTTTGTAGAGTCAGGGTTTTTGTTATGTTGTCCATGTTGGTTTTGAACTCCTGAGCTCAAGTGATCTTCCTGCCTCAGCCTCCCAAAGTGCTGGGACTACAGGCATGAGTCACCATGCCCTGCCGACACCTTTGATATGTCTATGTCAGATACTGAGCAGAAGACACAAATAAACTGTGCTGTGATTCCTGTCCTTTGGTAACTGTGTGATAATAAGCATATGCTGTTGCAAGCTGCTAAATTTGTGGAAATTTTGTTGCACAGTGGTGGGAAAATAATAATAATAGCAGTGGGAATAATAATGGAGTATGTATATCACAAGGCCTTGCATTTACTAGTATTTTATACATGGTAGGCATTAACTAAAACTCATATTAATAATTTCAGTTTTATAAACTAAAATTAATTTCAAAAGCCTTCCATAATATCAAAGATTGTTTTCTGTCCTCACATTAGCAAATGGTTCATTAGTAGAAACTTTTTAATGTGGCAGCCGCAGGTTAACCTAAAGCATACTTGTTCCCAGCTAAACTTGATTGAAGTTATATCCTTGAATATAAAAGATGCTTACTATAGACAGGCAGAGTAAGAAAGAGGATTATTATAATACATTGAAAAATAAAACAGATTTATAGTATAACCAATTGAAGTTTAGCTTCTAAAGCTAGGAATATTTTCTGAGTTAACTGGGCTTGTGAGGCATAGGTGAAATGTGGCTTACAAAATAAAAAGGGTTTCTTTTTCGGGAAATATAATTGCAGAGGAAGATCTAGCAAGAAGCAGTGTGAAAGGATGTAATTTTCTATAAGCATTATTTATTTACATTTGCAATAATACTTGAGAAATTCAGAAACTGTTTTCTAAAGGAGGAATAGAATAAACAAAAAAGCTTTATTTAATTGTGTTCTGATTTTTTTCTTTTGAGAAATGGAAAGGTAAATGGGCAAGAATTTCTTTTGATCATTAAAAACATCTTGCCGTAGTACTAACAAGTATTATGGTTATTTATTAAAAGTAGAAATATAGGATGACACAAAGGGACACGAATAACAACTTGTAGCATCTTTTCATAAAAAATGAATCATGGTCATAGGAATAGCAAGTATTCAGAAGACCAAATACATCAGTAATAAGGTACAGAATATATTATCTGAGAGAAGTTTAGAAACATCCATCCCCACTGGCAAAATAAAGGGCAAGAAAGAAGCAAGACAGTCATCACTTGTATATAATTGGAAAACAAATAGAGGAGTCATGTTATGTTGAATACCCATTAAATATTGCAAATAGTATTGAAATGTTTAAGAAATGCAATGAATAACCAATGAGTTTATTTTACTCATCATTACCAAAATGCTATATAATAATATGAAGTTCATAATACAGAGTGTGTACTTCATTTACCAAATCTCTGTTTGTGTCTAAACCTTTATAAAGAAATATACTTTGTCTTTGTAGGTAATTTACCAAGGTTTCATTTTTTCTATCCATCACCCTAGTTAATACATATTCTAACAACTCAAGTGATAAACCTTTGTAATTCATCAAGCATAATGTATTTAATTCATTTACTTTTAATTAGAATTGCTTTTTCAACAAAAAGATAAGAGAAACCTAAACAGGAGACTCAGTTCAACTTAACACCAAAATCTATTAATTTGCTCATTAGATTTCCTAGGTAGGGGTTAAAAATATCATTACCTGTGTTTCATAACATTTTTCATTAGGGATTTAAAATTAGCCTTAGGACTCTATGCATAAAAAGTTGTAAATTTTCCAAAAAAAGTTCTTCTTTGTTCCCTGTAAATGTTTCTTTATTCTTGTGCTTTCCCCTAGTCTCGGTTCCACAACATTCATGTGGGATTCTCTCAGGATGAAGGCAACACTTGAGTATTATCCTGCAATAACCATTTCTCCTTGACACTCTCCCAGTTACTCTTTCATTAGTTTACATTGATCTTCTTGAATTTTTTCCTCTCAAGTATGTCTCACGTTTGGAACTATATTCTATTGATTCTTAAGGGTATGTTCCCAGTGAACATAGTGAGAGACATTTAATTTGCAATTTAAAAAAAATACTTCTCTCTTCTTCCCACCCGCAGCCCAAAATGCATCTTTCTCATAGAAGAGAGGAAAAATAGAACAGAGCCACAATACTACATTACTTCTACCAGATTTAATAATCAAATAACTCAACCCTCCTCTCTTGAAAAAGAGTAAGTTAAGAATTGTGTTTCTAAATCCTAAACTCCATTCACACAGATTGCTGAAGGCAGAGAAAGAAAGTTCCCAAAATTGGGGTGGGGAGACTCCAGGACAACATTTACGTAATACATCTTACTAGATATCTCTACAATTTTCCTAAGAGAAGGGTTTAGGGTTGAATGTTGTTGAAGAAATCTAAAGGCCATTCTCTACATGAACTTATCCACAGGATAATTAAAAAACAAAAAAATTTTGGAATAAAGTCTAAATACTCTCATGCACACAAAAACCTGAGAACAAAAGTAAACCGGTGATTCTAGTTGTCAAGTATTCAAAATTGAAAGCTAACCTTTTTTTTTTAGATTCAACTTAATAGCACTTATTTTATTTCATAAAAAAGATTACTTATTTTAATTTGCTATCATAGATTATAAATTAAAGTCTAATTTTTGTTTCTTTATTTGTTTGTGTGTTTGTTTTTGAGACGGAGTCTCACTTTGTCCCAGGCTGGAGTGCAGTGATGCAATCTCGGCTCACTGCAACCTCTGCCTCCGGGTTCAAGTGATTCTCCTACCTCAGCTCCCGAGTAGTTGGGATTACAGGAGCACAACACCACGCCCAGCTAATTTTTGTATTTTTAGTAGAGATGGAGTTTCACCATGTTGGCCAGAATGGTCTCAATCTCTTGACCTTGTGATCCACCCACCTCAGCCTCCGAAAGTGCTGAGATTACAGGCGTGAGCCACTGCGCCCGGCCCCTTCCTGATATTTCATTTAACTTTGAACAGTGATGCCTACATATGCAGTGGTATGTCCACTGTGGCACATTATACACAGTTATATTCTTCCATTCCCAATTTCTCTATTAGGGAAATAGAAATGTTCTACTATGCTCCTAGTAGTGTTCCTCTTTCACCTACATAATCACTCAACACTACCCTCTACTCACTAAAGGAAATTCATTCTTGTTGATGGTGTTGTTTGTTTTTTTCTTGTAAATTTGTTTGAGTTCATTGTAGATTCTGGATATTAGCCCTTTGTCAGATGAATAGATTGCAAAAATTTTCTCCCATTCTGTAGGTTGCCTGTTCACTCTGATGTGGAGACATAGGAACACTTTTACACTTTTGGTGGGACTGTAAACTAGTTCAACCATTGTGGAAGACAGTGTGGCGATTCCTCAGGGATCTAGAACTAGAAATACCATTTGACCCAGCAATCCCATTACTGGGTATACCCAAAGGATTGTAAATCATGCTGCTATAAAGACACATGCACACGTATGTTTATTGCAGCACTATTCACAATAGCAAAGACTTGGAACCAACCCAAATGTCCAACAATGATAGACTGGATTAAGAAAATGTGGCACATATACACCATGGAATACTATGCAGTCATAAAAAAGGATGAGTTCGTGTCCTTTGTAGGGACATGGATGAAGCTGGAGACCATCATTCTCAGCAAACTATCGCAAGGACAAAAAACCAAACACCACATGTTCTCACTCATAGGTGGAAATTCAACAATGAGAACACATGGACACAGGAAGGGGAACATCAAACACCGGGACCTGTTGTGGGGTGGGCGGAGGGGGGAGGGATAGCATCAGGAGATATACCTAATGTTAATGACGAGTTAATGGGTGCAGCACACCAAAATGGCACATGTATACATATGTAACAAACCTGCATGTTGTGCACATGTACCCTAAAACTTAAAGTATAATAAAAATAAATAGATAAATAAATAAATAAAGTCATTCTGCTTACCTGGATAATCCACTGATGGGGTTGGATGCCACAAAAACAAGCAAGGACTACATAGGCATTAAATCTGAAGCTCTTGAAATGTTCCGCTTTGCGCTCACTGGTTACCTTATGTTATACCTATCATCTACGTGTCTTTTCACATCCACCCTGCACATTTATCCACTTTTCTCCTGCTGTCTGCACTGGAAGAATGAACTGCATATATTACACAGACAAATCCCCTGCCTTCTGCTTTAGATTAGCTTGGGCCAATGGTATGCCCAGAGGGTAGAAGGGAAGACAAAAAGTGAGATCATGGTAATTGTTTTTCTAGCTCCCTATTTGAGGGGATGCCTCCACTGACTGTGTCTCTCCCTTGAAGGTCATTGCCCCTCTCAAAGCTTTCTTCTCCCCTGGACACTCTCCTTCAAGTTTCTAGGAACCATCACTCTGTGTTCCCTGCCCCAGATTATTGTATTCTTTCTTACATCCAACGAACACCCTTGGGTTCTTTCATACCCAACTACACCTTTCTAAAGAGTCCCTTTTTAAAGACTCCTAGAATTATCCTAATTTTAACATGCCATCTATTTTATATAGACATCCAGACATGCACAGTCTGCATGAAAAGGTCTTTCTAAAAGCATATCAAATATTTAGTGTGTACTAAAGCCAGAGTACTTCTTAGTCTCAGGAAATGCAAAAATTTAGTGTCAGGTAGGTAGGAGGAGCTACTTACCTACTTTGTATAGATCAATTGCATTTTAAATAAAGGTAGCTTTTACCATGCTCAGACAAACTTACAGATATCTTTAGTTATTGAAGCTGTCCTCATGTATAGGCATTTAAAGAACTTTAAGAGTGGATGTTTTCTCATCCATCTCCATAGCTGCCAAAGAAAGGCCTTTTCCTTAGAGAATTATGATTATGTATGGGGTGTTGTCTGATCAATATATTTCTACTTAAGAATGCCAGATACTTAAAGTGATGATCTTTCAGACTACTCAATATTAGAATCCATTCAAGAACTCCTAGCATTTTAATAAGGAAAAGCATCTATAAAAACAACTTAATTTGAAGTATGGATTAAAAATAAAATAAAATTAAACTAAAAAGGTGCTGAATTAGTCAACAAATAGATATATGGAAGTCACACTGCTTTCCTGAGAAGTAAAAGCTAATTACATTTCTAAACCCTGATATTCACCTAGTGTTAGCAGCCTATTGCTAGCTACATAACCACACACAGATGAATACAAAACGACAGAACAGGAACACATTTTAAAAATAGTGTCTGAAAAATGAAATAGAGAAATGCAGCATGAATGTTTTTATAGCTACTGGTAGTTTTCCTTCCATATTTTTTTGTTCTACAAAATAAATTCTTTTGAGAAAACACTTGTAGAAGAAGCCATGCATTTTGAAATGCAAGTGAAGTGATATGTCCTTTACACAAAGGTGTTTCTATAATGTGCACATGCATGCAATCTGTTTGTCTTCTTGCTTTCCTTAGGAAACTTCTGATACTAACAATTGGAAGCATTCATGCAACTTTCTTTCATCTCTAAATTACTAAAAATAAATTGGATTAAGTTGTGAACAAACAATATTTCTTGAGCTTCTCTTCAGAAAGGAATATTGCTCTAGAGTAGTGGGAAAATACAAGAGGAATACTGGTATGTTTTTGTCCTCCAGGGATCTGGTTTTAATCTGGAGCCCTTGATAATAAAGCACCAGGAAAAACACTCCAGGGAAAAGAAACTTATGAACTGAGAGATGTTTTCCACTTTAAAGGAACAATCTTTGGCCTCATGTTTTTTCCTTGTTGGGCAAGAAAACGTCAAAGAACATTACAAAAGCTTTTTTTGAAACCTGATATTAAACATAATGTCAATAAAATTTTACCTATTCTTTCTAACATTTGCCAAATAAATACATGTGTCTAATTATAAAATAAGTTTAATAAAATAGAGGAAAATATTATGCACATATGAGTCACAGTTTGAAATGGATTATTAATGAAATACATTTCAAGCCATCTGTTTTTCAATTTGATTAAACTAGAATGTAATCAGTATGAATGGATCAGCTGTAGGACACACAAAAACTGTTAGGTATAACTGAGTTATGCATAATAATTGTCGATATATTTAAAACGAAATTTTCATACACCAAATCACAAGAAATATATGATTAAGTATCTTCTCCCTTAGTCTTTCAATGCAAATTACCATTAGTAATATTCCCTAACTTTACATTTGCAGAAAACTGTTTGCTTTTCTTTCATGATCAATTATTTGTTAATAAATTTTTCATTCTTACTTTGGTAAAAGACAAAAACAAAATAGTAAGTTAGAGTGTTATCTTGTAAACCTCCTGGGAAAGAAAATAAATGCACATTGAATTCAAGTGAACACTATAAAACAATTCTAATACATGTTACAGGAATTTCATCATAATTAATGCCCTATATAATTTACAGAAGTAAATTATTGTTCATGCACAAAATATAATAGTGTGTACAAAGTTGATTTTTTGGTGAATAGTTGATGCTAAACTTGTATGGTTCTATGCAAAAATCCAAGTTTTGTCTATTTTTTGAATTTTTAACATTGGTATTTGGAAAATGTGTGGCAAATTATAGGTGCTAAATTGATATTTATTAAAGGAAAAAATAAGGGACTGTGAATCCTCTGAACTGAGAAGATTCTCTAGTCCATCAAAGCACTCACAGTTATGCAGGCATCTGGAAACAAATTTCCTAGTTGCCATGGTTGCTTATTGCTTAAGCTGCAATATTGTTAACACTTTCAGCATCAGTAGTAATCGTGTTTGTTTTACAGTCATTATTGATCTCCCTGTTGGAAGTCTCCCCTGACACCTCAGAGGAAGAGTGGGCACTGTGAGGGCTGCCTAGAATGCCGTGAGATAAAGGATGTTCTGTTCAACATCATGCTTCAGGAAATATTTCTGCCTTATCATTCCTGAAATGCCTCCCCATCTACTCTGGCTCTTGTTTAGCATGTTTTCATTTCTAGAACAGTGTCAAGGTTCCCTGTGGCTATTTGAACCCTCTACAGGTCCTGGAATCCTGACTTTGAAATTGTCTCTCTTGTCACCTGCTTGGTGACATGTATTAAACCCCTTCTGATCATTTCTCCTTTCTTCTTTACTAACCTTAATAAATAGCTGTGTTGTTGATTGACTTTGCATGAACCTATCTTGCTGTGTTTTTTGGTTTGGATTGCTTCATTATATATCTTTAAATTCCACATTTGCCTTGGGCGAGTCCTTAGCTGTATTTAAACTACAGAAAGATAAGTATGAGGGGAAAGGAACAAACAAAAATCTCTATTTAATTTAGATGTATGAACCTAGGTATCCTTCATGAAGCAGAACATTCCCTAAGAAGTAACAGGCCACAAAAATTCAGATTTAAGTAGTTATCTGTAATTAATACAAATGGTTGGTAGATATTAACCCAGTTTCTTAGGATAACATTGGGACTAGGAAAATGCAAAACTTCTCATTTATTTATTTCTCTCTTGTCATTACTATCACCTATGCAACAGCAAAGTGGTTCTCTGTAAATACGGCATAGAAGTATAGGTATAGATATGTTCCCCCTAACCACCTGCGATACAAGTTTTAAAAATATTTTTACTTACATACCGTCTTGTTTTGGAGATTTTATATATCACCTACTTTTGCTGAGCATCTCTTTCCTCAGAAATGAAATGGGTTGTAGAAAGAAAATCTCCAGCACCAAAACCTGCAGGATGAATGTTAGGGGCTTGTAAGGGAATCCCAGAGACAGCAACACAACAGAGACAGCTAGGCTGTTCATAGCATGGAGGAGAATATTATGCAAGAAAACATGAGCAATGGTGGTTGTGCCAGCTATTGAATTATAAGAGTCAGAACCTGAACGAAAACATATCTTAGATATAGCTTAATCAATTATAGGTTAATAAATTATATCATTTAGAGCTTTTTAAATGCATACTCAATAATTATATATGATAAATATCTAAGTCTAAATAAATCTCAAAGAGCTCATAAAATAAACATAAGTGAAAAGATTGCATTTTATCACTATTTAACTAGAATGTGTTTTAATATTAAAATAATGTTTTCTTTTAAAATTGATAGAACTTAGGTTAGATGAAGTAAGGTAACTATCTAGTACCTATTTGATTAATCTACTTTTGGGTTATCTTTTGTACTTTAAGTTCCAAGGGAAAGACTCTGAGATGAAAATTTGTGTGTAGGTAGTTTATTAGAGTGCCCCCAGGATCAACTGGTGGTGGCTGAAAATAGTAGGATTGTGCAAGGGAGTTAAACTGAGGTGGAGTAACAACAAAGGTACCAATGAATCAAATGGGGAAGCTCTAGAGAACATTAGTAGAGCACATAAGAGTGGTATAGGGATCTAAAAGTAACTGGGCTATAGTCAATTAGGACTCTTGGTCAGTTTTCTTGTAAAAGCATTTTCCTACTACAACAGACTTCTATATCTGAAGATTTTGACCTCTAAATCCGAGTATCCCAGAGTTGTAGAAATAAGATGCAACATTCTACAAGTGGACCACTAAGATTGATGAAGAGCGTCATCATCCTCACTGCTATTTTCATGCCTTCGTTCTTAGAACTAAGTAGTCTGTCTACTGGAATACAGCACCATATAATTATCATTGAGATATATCTATCTATATCTATAGATATACATATATAGATGTACATTTATTTAGGCTTATATATAGATAATATAATTTGTATCTATAATTTATAAATACATTTATACATATATATTTATAAATGTATACATCTCTCCCTTCCCCTGAAGGATGATGTCTCATCTTGCCGAGTATCAGTTTTAACCTGAATACTCAATTGTACTTTAAAGAGGTCATCCCATATCCTATTACACTTTAAGGCCTGCAGCAGCTTCTGAATGATAACTCATACTGTAGGATCACTGGATCCCATGCCATACTTTGTCTTTAATTGGGTTTCTCAGTTGAATGAGATGTTATATAAGATCCCATGCTGAGGCATCAAACACTGACATGGATAGTGTTGCTGGCTGAGTTCAAAAGGTAAATATAAATCCACAATCAATATACCTGTAAATCTTACTCACCATTAACTGATGTTTTTTCCAGTTGCAAGGGGTCCCATTTAAACGGATTATTGATCTGCTTGAGGGATAATGTCATATAATGGTCTCAGCGTTGGTCTGTGTTGTAATGGAAGGAGAAGTATTATACATTTGCTGTACTGTCACAGGATCCCTCCTCCAGAAGATCTAGCTGCTTCTTTCTTTAGTGGGTTCCAGGTCTAAAAACTGGCTCCAGTTCAGGAACGAGGCAAAGCGTTGTGCCTTTTTATTAGAGAGTTGTGTCAGTTTTCTTATCATCCAATCTTTATTTTGATTTGAAGAATCAACCAATGCCCTTATGGTCTGCCCATCTCTCTTGCTCCTATGGATGTAGAGTTTCTTTTACATCCTAACACCTATCGGCAGATTAAATCCTTCTAGCTGGCAGTCCAGTCTTGCTGCCCATTATGATAAGCATGCTCACCTTATTCCTGACACTGTTGATCTGCCATTTGGTTTCTATTACGCTGAGGTTTATCATCACTATTGCCCTCAGCAACCTCTGTTCTCTTACAGCTTTCCCTACCATTAGACTGACCTACGAAAGCATAATCATCCTTGAGCTTCACAAAGATATCTAAGATTTAACTCTCATGAGCATATGTTCTTTTATTTATTTATTTATTTTTGAGACATCATCTCTCTCTGTCACCCAGGCTGGAGTGCAGGAGTGATCATGGTTTACTGCAGCCTCTACCTCCCAGGCTCAAGGGATACTTCTACCTCAGTCTCCCAGGTAGCTGTGATTACATGTGCACGCCACTGTGTTTGGCAAATTTTTGTCTTTTTGGTAGGTACAGGGTTTCATTATGTTGACCAGACAGTTCTTGAGCTACTGGGCTCAGGGGTTCCGCCAGCTTCTGCCTCCCCAAATACTGGGATTACAGGTGTGAGGTACCGGGCCTGGCCTGGTCTATCACTTTATAAAATGGGATGTCTTCTGGGCTCCTCTGTGAAGCATAATCAGTTGGTGGGTTTTCAGGTCTCACAAAGTACAGCTACTCTAGCATGCCTAATTTTTTAAGCCTTCTGGCCCCTTTTTTCACTGTCTGTCAACGTGGAATATCCACTGCACTTAATATGGTGAATTACTTCCTACCAATTTCCAAGAGGCATTTAGCAGTATTAACAGGGATTCATTTCCAAGGTCCTTCTTCCCATATGCTAGGAGCCAGTATGCTTTTTTTTTTTTCCCCCCATCATTACTTTCCAACAGCTTTCCTATAGCTCTCTTGGGGTCTAGTATTATACATGCTTTATGAGCTGTTTCCAAAATGAGTGGACTAGGTCCTGGAGGTCCTTTGGAATATAGGTCCTTTACTTTCTTAGAAGGCCTACCCCTTTTTTAGCTGAATCATGTAATATGACCATAGTTAAAATCTAGTGCTCAAGAGAGAAAATGAGGGTAGATCCTGATGTGTTTGCATAATGTCTAAGCAAGAGAGAAACGCTAGCCATGTAAAGAAAAGGAGGAATCATTTGTGCATACTCAATGGGTTCTGGGGAATATGAAATTTTGAGATTTCCAAGAAGGTTAAGTCAGATATCCACATCTTAAGTCTCAGTGTCCCACTCCTTCTCAACCAGCGCCCTAACCTTGGCAGCCCAGAGGGGCCACAGTTGATAATTCAACTTTCTCTGTACTCTGAAACACGTATAATCTTCCTCTTGACTGCAGGAGGTGAGTTTCTCTTTGTATGCTGCCAAGGAGTCACTTTGACTTTTAGTCAGTATTGCTAAAGCAGTCGTAAGTGGAGAATAATTACCCCCAGAGTTTCATTTTCATCCTCCAAAGTATCAATGACACTCAACCTAGCTGTCTGATTCCATTTTTCATATAATTAGTACTTCTTAGATCTCTTAGCCTAAGATACTGCAACCAGCATTACAATACATTTTAGTGGTGTCAATTTTCTACCAGTAAATGTTTTAACAATTGCACTGCAATAGCATACCAGAGATTATTAGAATTCCACCTACTACAAGTGATGAGGTCTTTATTACCATGTAGTCTCTAAAATATTCTTAGAGACCGTTCATTAGATAATTCTTGGCACCAAATATATTAGTTCAGTGTCTTCAGAAAATAAACTTTGAGAAGCAGATACGCATGAATAAATATTATTGAGAGAAGTAGTATTGGAGAGTGCCCTTAGGCTCAACATTTGGTAGATGAGTGAAGTAGGATTGGGCAAAGGAAGAATTGAACTCTGACACAGTATGAAAAAAAGGCCTTGACCAATCCCATGGAGAGTTGGGATGTTTCTTTAAATTGACCACTTTGAGTCAAGGTTGTCACTCTCCTCCCATCCCCATCCTAGCTGCTGCCTTGCACCAGTCTTTGGATGTAGGCTCTCCTAGAGGACGTGGTATGACTTGAATAATCAGTTTCTCTTAAACTAAGAGCCTTTTTCTCTCAATGTACTTAGCTGAGAGCCACTGGGAAGGTGGGTAATGCACTACTCTACGCTCTAGACTCCTCAAGCCTTTTGATTTTCATATTCTTTCTCCTTGGTGTTTGCCTAGCTTGCTATTTCAATGCTATCCTTAGTATTGTGTCTTTTACTCAAGTAACTTTCCGTATTGCCCAAAGCAATAATCACCCAGCTGAGATAACTCACACACCAAACCCCTCTTCTCTTGCTTCTGGATGGTAGAGTATTGTTGGAGGAGATGTAACACTAGGTAGACCTGTCCCAGTACAAATTTATGCTGTGCGACTGCAGTTACATTTTCACAATTATAAGCACAAACATATGAAATCACCTCAGGCAATGCTTTGACAGCTCCCTAGGGTATTGCTCAATTCTGAAGAACACTATAAATAGCTTTAAAAAATGTGCTTGTCTACCCAGCACCAGCATACACAGACAGAACTGAGCCAGGCCTCATGCAAAGTAAATTATTTCCCCAAGAACTTGACAATGTTATAAAATGATAACGAAAGTTCTGCATAACTAACAACTTAAAATTCATACCTATTGTAATGTTTCCCAGTGTAAAACATAATGTTACGTTCATTCTGTAAAACTACGTGAACAAAGAAAAGCCATTTTCTTTTTCTTTTTTTTTTTTTTTTTGAGACGGAGTCTCGCTCTGTGGCCCAGGCTGGAGTGCAGTGGCGCGATCTCGGCTCACTACAAGCTCCGCCTCCTGGATTCACGCCATTCTCCTGCCTCAGCCTCCCGAGTAGCTGGGACTGCAGAAAAGCCATTTTCATATCCTTATCTCTACTGAACTTTGAAAATACTTTAGAACAAGAGAATACTAGAAGTTATAATTTCAGTCTGGAAGTATTATGGAACACCTAGAATAGTCCCAAGCATTATTTTAGGAATTGAAGATATAGCAGTATAAAGTAATAGCAATAAGAAAACTCTATTTTTGTTGCAATTGCAATGTTTTTCACTTATTCAGTTTCTCCCTTATTCCCCATTTCCTTGTCTCTGCACTGGCTATCCCTTCCTCTGTCACTGCTGTGTTGTCTATCGTATGGAAATCTAGTTAAGCTCAAGTGTAACCTGTTTTCTTACCCATCTATCTCCTCTCCTAGCAATTTTCTCTCATCCACCATTTTCATGTTTCTTCCATCTCTTTTTCTCTTTCTCATCATTTTCTTGTTTATACTGATTTTCAAGTTCCTCAGTGACCAGAAGAATTTTTTTCTTTGCATCTCAAGCAGTGTATTTTGACATGTATTTGTTAAATATATGAAAGAATTCATATACATTGGTAACCTATAGGGAGGAAAATATGAACAGATGTGCTAATACTTGCAGTTATGTATCAGTTTTTGTTTAGTAATTTCTCGAGAGGAAATACAATTGATCCATCTATAATGAAACTAGAAAATACATTTATCTCACTTGCCACTTTCAGTAAATTGGTAATGATTTTGTGGAGTACCAGCTGGAGGAGAAATCATGACTGTTGTGCTCACGCTCAGAAGGAAAAATTATCACAACCCATTACCTAAACCTACTCTGAATTTTTGTGAAGAGATGTTAGCATAGATGCTACTCCTTTGCAACTCCTTCCTCCTCTCCTTTTTCATCTTCTTCTTTTTCTTTCTCTTTCTATTTTTCTTCTTCTCCCTCTCCCTCTCTCTTTTCCTCTTTCTTATTGATTTACTTTCTAGAATATTCTTTAAATCACAGTAGTAAAGAGAAAAAGAACACAAAGTTATATAATGTAGTTTTCCTTCTTTGAAAGAAGGAAAATAATTCAACTGAACAAAAATTTTTTCACGTAAATCATTTTAAGAAAAATGTATATTGCACATCTTTAATGAACATGGAGTAATGAAGTCACAATTAACTGTCATGTCAACTGGCATGTATCACTTGACTCTCCTTGACCTTTCCTTCTCTGAAACATTTTGTCTTCACTTTCTTTCAGCAACTCACACACACAACTGTAACCTAAACCTTACCATAACTCAGAGCTACTTTTATTCAGCAATTTGAACTCTGAAAAATCCTCTCAGGGTGCAACTTCCTATCCTTCTTCCTCTCCCCCTTATATTTTTTTCTATGAGTGGGAGAGGTGGAAGGATGAAAACTAATTCTTTTATGGATTCACCTTTTCAAAAGTTTTCAACCCTTTTCTGACCTGACTTTCCTTTATATTCCACCTGGAAATTATAAGTTTATAGATACTCTGAACTCTGTCCTCCATTAAATAGAGAAAGTCACATATCTTTGCAAATTCTCTCTATTAGAAATGTATGAATGCTTATGAAGTATGTTTCAGTTAATTGAAAGCAATTCCATGTACATCCTTTCTTTCCCATTTTACATATAACACAATACATAAACAATTTATGACAAAAACAATGATATAACAATGTTTACAAAATAAATAAAAATAATTATGAAAAGTTTTAATCAAATATTATACAACTAATTAACATTAATAACACTATATGTCTAGTTTCATATTTTTGACATTTTTAATCATGGAATATTTTTCATACTCAATAATGTCCCAGATTTAATATTTTAAAAATTTTAATGTTTGATCATTACTATCCTTCACTTTGCTTTCAAGAAAGTAAAAGATGTAGCCCAGGTTGGTGCAGCTGATAACTTTCTTCTTCACCTAAAGATGATAGTTTAGAAGCAGATACGATATTGATTCTAGAAATTCAGAGGTGCTAGAAATTTATTTGTTTCTAAAATTGAACTTATATTTAGTCATGTTTTTATTTTGCTGGCCATGAAAACTTGAGTTCAGGTAAAAAATTATTTAAACTCTATCCTTATCTTTTATGCCATACCTAACATGAGGGCCTTACATAATACACCAGTCAGTGGAAGAAGGGGTCAAGAAATCCTGGCATTTAGATCTTTTATGCTGCCAACTATCAATTGCTGAACATCATTTCATCTGGTTTTCAAGTGTTGTTTACACCATATGGTGTTGTATTCTCCCATGTTTGAAAACAAAAGATCTTTGCAGACTTGCCTTTCTCTCAGTGTTTTCCTACCTTTTTAGACACATTTAAAAATGCATTGTTCTCAATCCACTCGGGGGCTGAAAAAGTGAGTAGAATTCTTTAAAGCTCTTCATTAATTTAACGGTAATTCTATTGGTGATGAAATAATTTTCTCTATTATTTGCATCACACTGAGGTGATGAAAGACTTTTCAGTCTCAGCACTATTGACATTTTGGACCACATAATTCTTTGTTGTCTTCTGCTCTGTAGGAAGCTTAACCTTAACCCTGAAATGTATGCAATAAATACCTCATTCCCACAGGTCTTTAAAAATCAAAAAGTCTCCAAACATCTTCAATTACCTTGGAGGTAGTGCAAAATCGCCCCCTCTTGAGAACCACTGCACTCTTAAGAATTCATGTGGCTCGCTAACCTTCATCTATCTTCTACTGCTTCCCATTAGTTGGGTAAAGAAAATCTCTGGAACCTTACCAACAAGTAAGAATCTCTCAGTGGTATGGGGAGTACAAATATTCTTTTATTATTGATGCTCAAATCAATGCTTTATTCTACTCTGGACTTGGCTTTGTAGGGCCTGAGACTCACAGAAAGAAGACTCTTATCCCTGGTACATGCACCAGCCTCTCCCCTCCCCTCCCATTCTCTCCCCTCCCCTCCTCTCCTCTCTTTCTTTCTCTTCTTTTCACTTCTCTTTTTTTCATATAGCAGATATTATCCGCAATGTTGCACCTTGAGGTTTGAATTTCAAAGATCGATAATTTGTCTCTGCTGTTCCCCCAAGGTAAATTAATTTGGTCCTTCAAATTGCCCAATTATGAAAAGAATTAAGGAAATGTTAAAGGCCAGACCAGAAAGTATCCATTAATGTCTAAAAATATAATGCCACTACTACCTTCTGCGGCTTACTAACCAGCTGGTATGACATACATTTTCAGTTCTCATTTTATTTAAAAGTTAAGAAACATCTAAGTGCACAGAGATCAACTTCAGCACATGTGTATTGTATGATATTACATGGCAATTGAAAGGAAGTTATTGGTCTGAAGATCACCTTTCTTTATGCTGGGAGTAGTCAATTGACTTCACATAGATACTTGTCAGTGTTCTTTAATTATGTTGCAAGCAATATATCTAAAATAACCATTTAAAAATGTGAATCCAAAATTAATGTGTGTGTGTACACACCTACATATAATGCTGTCAGTTCCTTGATTCCTCTATTTAAAGAAAGACATACATATACAAAATTTGGTTATCTATTGTTAAATAAATAATAGACAACTTCAAAGCTTAATAACCTAAAATAAGAACCACTTTTTCATCACTCGTGATTTTGTAGGCTATTTGGGTTTGGCCCAGTGATTCTTGTGCTGTAAGTGATGTCAGCTGAGATGTACTTATCAATTAGGGAGCTCAACTAGGGCAGGTCCTCCAAAATACCTCGCTCATATGGCAGTTGGCTTGCAGCTCAGTTAGGACCGTTAAATATAGTATTTTGGTTATATTCTATGTGGTCTTTCCATTTGGCATTGGGTTTCTTTGAGCATAGAGGCTAGACTTGAAGAGACAGAAAATACAAGTTGCCAGTTCTCTTAAGGCCTGGGCTTGGGGGTGCCAGAACATCATTTTAACTGCACTCCATTCTAGAAAAGCTAACACAACTCGTAAGGCCATTTGTAATGTTTTCAAGAAATTATTGATAATACGTCTTGGGTGTTTGCATTAGTATATGATATTATGCATTTAAAATTGAAAATGGAATGTATAATGATGGTGTTATATTACCTTAATTTAATATTTAATGTTTCAGTATGCATTCAGTATGTGTTCAATATAAACGCATGCTTGCTGGCCTTAATCTGTGCTACTCAGGGAGGTTACTTAGTATACACAGCAATGCACACTCCAAAAAAGTGGTTAGTTATCTGAGCAATTCTGTTTCATAATGCATGTTCTTAGTTTTACTTACCCATTTCTGGAAGGTTGGTGGCAGTGAGGGAGAGAAAGTGATGGGAGAGGAGCAGAGGCTGCAGCTGGAGAAACAACCACCTGTATCCTTTCTGTTTTGCTTGACATTAACACTCTCAGATGCTATGAAATGGAGCAAGAGAAGCATCCAGAATGAAGTAGCCACATGAGGTGGAGAACATACTTAGAAAAGTAGAATCACCAAAGGATAGCCCAAAAGATGACAAGTGAGGGAAGCTGAAGTTTTGGCTGAATATTATCCAAAGTCCAAGTGCCTAAGATTGAAGATTTAATAAAGATAATGGCTGAAGTACTTCCCACAAGCTTGGGAGGGTGATTTGTGGAAGAAAAAACATTGTCCCTTTTCCCACTACTTTTTATTATTATAAAATAAACTATTTTACTCCTTTTAGTGAAGTAAAAAGCAAAACAATAAGAACCAAAAGCAAGAAATGTATTCCGGCAATTCACTGACGGCAAAAATGTCTGTCAGTGAAGCTGAAGACAATGACCTTGCCTTAGACCATTCTTCTTCAGCAGACTGGGGCCAGAGCAGGAGAAGAGGAACCCTGGTCAAGAAACCTGTTTAGACTCCTAGGATTGGCTGCAGAAGCACTAATAAGAAGCTTATTCCTGGGGAAGCAGCCAAGATGGCCGAATAGGAACAGCTCCGTTCTGCAGCTCCCAGCATGAGCGACATACAGGACGGGTGATTTCTGCATTTCCATCTGAGGTACCAGGTTCATCTCTCTAGGGAGTGCCAGACAGTGGGCACAGGACAGTGGGTGCAGCTCACCATGCATGAGCCAAAGCAGGGCGAGGCATTGCCTCACTCAGGAAATGCAAGGGGTCAGGGAATTCCCTTTCCTAGTCAAAGAAAGGGGTGACAGATAGCACCTGGAAAATTGGGTCACTCCCGCCCTAATACTGCGCTTTTCCGACAGGCTTAAAAAACGGCGCACCAGGAGATTATATCCTGCACCTGGCTCAGAGGGTCCTATGCCCATGGAGTCTCGCTGATTGCTAGCACAGCAGTCTGAGATCAAACTGCAAGGCAGCAGCGAGACTCGGGGAGGGGTGCCTGCCATTGCCCAGGCTTGCTTAGGTAAACAAAGCAGCTGGGAAGCTAGAACTGGGTGGAGCCCACCACAGCTCAAGGAGGCCTGCCTGCCTCTGTAGGCTCCACCTATGGGGGCAGGGCACAGACAAACAAAAAGACAGCAGTAACCTCTGCAGACTTAAATGTCCCTGTCTGACAGCTTTGAAGAGAGCAGTGGCTCTCCCAGCATGCAGCTGGAGATCTGAGAACGGACAGACTGCCTCCTCAAGTGGGTCCCTGACCTCTGACCCACGAGCAGCCTAACTGGGAGCCACCCCCCAGTAGGGGAGGACTGACACCTCACACGGCCAGGTACTCCTCTGAGACAAAACTTCCAGAGGAACGATCAGACAGCAGCATTTGCGGTTCACGAAAATCCGTTGTTCTGCAGCCAACGCTGCTGTTACCCAGGCAAACAGTGTCTGGAGTGGACCTCTAGCAAACTCCAACAGACCTGCAGCTGAGGGTCCTGTCTGTTAGAAGAAAAACTAACAAACAGAAAGGACATCCACACCAAAAACCCATCTGTACGTCACCGTCATCAAAGACCAAAAGTAGATAAAAGCACAAAGATGGGGAAAAAACAGAGCAGAAAAACTGGAAACTCTAAAAAGCAGAGCGCCTCTCCTTCTCCAAAGGATCGCAGTTCCTCACCAGCAACAGAACAAAGCTGGCTGGAGAATGACGAGTTGAGAGAAGAAGGCTTCAGATGATCAAACTACTCCGAGCTACAGGAGGAAATTCAAACCAAAGGCAAAGAAGTTGAAAACTTTGAAAAAAATTTAGACGAATGTGTACCTAGAATAACCAATACAGAGAAGTGCTTAAAGGAGCTGATGGAGCTGAAAGCCAAGGCTCAAGAACTATGTGAAGAATGCAGAAGCCTCAGGAGCCAATGAGATCAACTGGAAGAAAGGGTATCAGTGATGGAAGATGAAATGAATGAAATGAAGCGAGAAGGGAAGTTTAGAGGAAAAAGAATAAAAAGAAACGAACAAAGCCTCCAAGAAATATGGACTATGTGAAAAGACCAAATCTACATCTGATTGGTGTACCTGAATGTACCTGAATGGTTCCAATGGGGAGAATGGAACCAAGTTGGAAAACACTCTGCAGGATATTATCTAGGAGAACTTCCCCAATCTATCAAGGCAGGCCAACATTCAGATTCAGGAAATACAGAGAACACCACAAAGATACTCCTCCAGAAGAGCAACTCCAAGACACATAATTGTCAGATTCACCAAAGTTGAAATGAAGGAAAAAATGTTAAGGTCAGCCAGAGAGAAATGTTGGGTTACCCACAAAGGGAAGCCCATCAGACTAACAGCGGATCTCTCAGCAAAAACTCTACAAGCCAGAAGCAAGTGGGGGCCAATATTCAACATTCTCAAAGAAAAGAATTTTCAACCCAGAATTTCATATCCAGACAAACTAAGCTTCATAAGTGAAGGAGAAATAAAATACTTTACAGACAAGCAAATGCTGAGAGATTTTGTCACCACCAGGCCTGCACTAAAAGAGCTCCTGAAGGAAGCACTAAACATGGAAAGGAACAGCAAGTACCAGCCACTGCAAAATCATGCCAAATTGTAAAGACCATCAAGGCTAGGAAGAAACTGCATCAACTAACGAGCAAAATAACCAGTTAACATCAAAATGACAGGATCAAATTCACACATAACAATATTAACTTTAAATGTAAATGGACTAAATGCTCCAGTTAAAAGACACAGACTGGCAAATTGGATAAAGAGTCAAGACCCATCAGTGTGCTGTATTCAGGAAACCCATCTCACATGCAGAGACACACATAGGCTCAAAATAAAAGGATGGAGGAAGATCTACCAAGCAAATGGAAAACAAAAAGAGGCAGGGGTTGCAATCCTAGTCTCTGATAAAACAGACTTTAAACCAACAAAGATCAAAAGAGACAAAGAAGGCCATTACATAATAGTAAAGGGATCAATTCAACAAGAAGAGCTAACTATCCTAAATGTATATGCACCCAATACAGGAGCACCCAGTTTCATAAAGCAAGTCCTGAGTGACCTACAAAGAGACTTAGACTCCCACACAATAATAATGGGAGACTTAAACACCCCACTATCAACATTAGACAGATCAACGAGACAGAAAGTTAATAAGGATACCCAGGAATTGAACTTAGCTCTGCACCAAGCGGACCTAATAGACATCTACAGAACTCTCCACCCCAAATCAACAGAATATACATTTTTTCAGCACTGCACCACACCTATTACAAAATTGACCACATAGTTGGAAGTAAAGCTCTTCTCAGCAAATGTAAAAGAACAGAAATTATAACAAACTGTCTCTCAGACCACAGTGCAATCAAACTAGAATTCAGGATTAAGAAACTCAGTCAAAACCACTCAACTACATGGAAACTGAACAACCTGCTCCTGAATGACTACTGGGTACATAATGAAATGAAGGCAGAAATAAAGATGTTCTTTGAAACCAATGAGAACAAAGACACAACATACCAGAATCTCTGGGACACATTTAAAGCAGTGTGTAGAGGGAAATTTATAGCACTAAATGCCCACAAGAGAAAGCAGGAAAGATCTAAAATTGACACCCTAACATCACAATTAAAAGAACTAGAAAAGCAAGAGCAAACACATTCAAAAGCTAGGAGAAGGCAAGAAATAACTAAAATCAGAGCAGAACTGAAGGAAATAGAGACACAAAAAACCCTTCAAAAAATTAATGAATCCAGGAGCTGGTTTTTTGAAAGGATCAACAAAATTGATAGACTGCTAGCAAGACTAATAAAGAAGAAAAGAGAGAAGAATCAAATAGATGCAATAAAAAGTGATAAAGGGGATATCACCACCGATCCCACAGAAATACAAACTACCATCAGAGAATACTACAAACACCTCTATGCAAATAAACTAGAAAATCTATAAGAAATGGATAAATTCCTCGACACATACACCCTTCCAAGACTAAATGAGGAAGAAGTTGAATCTCTGAATAGACCAATAACAGGCTCTGAAATTGTGGCAATAATCAATAGCTTACCAACCAAAAGGAATCCAGGACCAGACGGATTCACAGCCGAATTCTACCAGAGGTACAAGGAGGAGCTGATACCATTCCTTCTGAAATTATTCCAATCAATAGAAAAAGAGGGAATCCTCCGTAACTCATTTTATGAGGCCAGCATCATCCTGAAACCAAAGCTGGGCAGAGACACAACCAAAAAAGAGAATTTTAGACCAATATCCTTGATGAACATTGATGCAAAAATCCTCAATAAAATACTGGCAAACAAAATCCAGCAGCACATCAAAAAGCTTATCCACCATGATCAAGTGGGCTTCATCCCTGGGATGCAAGGCTGGTTCAATATATGCAAATCAATAAATGTAATCCAGCATATAAACAGAACCAAAGACAAAAAACACATGATTATCTCAATAGATGCAGAAAAGGCCTTTGACAAAATTCAAGAACGCTTCATGATAAAAACTCTCAATAAATTAGGTATTGATGGAACGTATCTCAAAATAATAAGAGCTATCTATGACAAACCCACAGCCAATATCATACTGAATGGGCAAAAACTGGAAACATTCCCTTTGAAAACTGGCACAAGACAGAGATGCCCTCTCTCACCACTCCTATTCAACATAGTGTTGGAAGTTCTGGCCAGGGCAATTAGGCAGGAGAAGGAAATAAAGGGTATTCAATTAGGAAAAGAGGAAGTCAAATTGTCCCTGTTTGCAGATCACATGATTGTATATCTAGAAAACCCCATTGTCTCAGCCCAAAATCTCCTTAAGCTGATAAGCAACTTCAGCAAAGTCTCAGGATACAAAATCAATGTACAAAAATCACAAGCATTCTTATACAGCAATAACAGACAAACAGAGAGCCAAATCATGAGTGAACTCCCATTCACAATTGCTTCAAAGAGAATAAAATACCTAGGAATCCAACTTACAAGGGACTTGAAGGACCTCTTCAAGGAGAACTACAAACCACTGCTCAATGAAACAAAAGAGGATACAAAGAAATGGAAGAACATTCCATGCTCATGGGTAGGAAGAATCAATATCGTGAAAATGGCCATACTGCCCAACGTAATTTATAGATTCAATGCCATCCCCATCAAGCTACCAATGACTTTCTTCACAGAATTGGAAAAAACTACTTTAAAGTTCATATGGCACCAAAAAAGAGCCCACATCGCCAAGTCAATCCTAAGCCAAAAGAACAAAGCTGGAGGCATCACACTTCCTGACTTCAAACTATACTACAAGGCTACAGTAACGAAAACAGCATGGTACTGGTACCAAAACAGAGATATAGATCAATGGAACAGAACAGAGTCCTCAGAAATAACACTGCATATCTACAACTATGTGATCTTTGACAAACCTGAGAAAAACAAGCAATGGGGAAAGGATTCCCTATATAATAAATGGTGTTGGGAAAACTGGCTAGCCATATGTAGAAAGCTGAAACTGGATCCCTTCCTTACACCTGATACAAAAATCAATTCAAGATGGATTAAAGACTTAAATGTTAGACCTAAAACCATAAAAACCCTAGAAGAAAACCTAGGCATTACCATTCAGGACATAGGCATGGGCAAGGACTTCATGTCTAAAACACCAAAAGCAATGGCACCAAAAGACAAAATTGACAAATGGGATCTCATTAAACTAAAGAGCTTCTGCACAGCAAAAGAAACTACCATCAGAGTGAACAGGCAACCTACAAAATGGGAGAAAATTTTCGCAACCTACTCATCTGACAAAGGGCTAATATCCAGAATCTACAACGAACTCAAACAAATTTACGAGAAAAAAACAAACAACCCCATCAAAAAGTGGGCAAAGGACATGAACAGACACTTCTCAAAAGAAGACATTTATGCAGCCAAAAAACACATGAAAAAATGCTCACCATCACTGGCCATCAGAGTAATGCAAATCAAAACCACAATGAGATACCATCTCACACCAGTTAGAATGGCAATCATTAAAAAGTCAGGACACAACAGGTGCTGGAGAGGATGTGGAGAAATAGGAACACTTTTACACTGTTGATGGGACTGTAAACTAGTTCATCCATTGTGGAAGTCAGTGTGGCGATTCCTCAGGGATCTAGAACTAGAAATACCATTTGACCCAGTCATCCCATTACTGGGTATATACCCAAAGGACTATAAATCATGCTGCTATAAAGACACATGCACACATATGTTTATTGCGGCACTATTCACAATAGCAAAGACTTGGAACCAACCAAAATGTCCAACAATGATAGACTGGATTAAGAAAATGTGGCACATATACACCCTGGAATGGTGTGCAGCCATAAAAAATGATGAGTTCATGTCCTTTGTAGGGACATGGATGAAATTGGAAGTCATCATTCTCAGTAAACTATCACAAGAACAAAAAACCAAACACCACATATTCTCACTCATAGGTGGGAATTGAACAATGAGAACACATGGACACAGGAAAGGGAACATCACACTCTGGGGAGTGTTGTGGGGTGGGCGGAGGGGGGAGGGATAGCATTAGGAGATATACCTAATGCTAAATGATGAGTTAATGGGTGCAGCACACCAGCATGGCACATGTATACATATGTAACTAACCTGCACATTGTGCACATGTACCCTAAAACTTAAAGTATAATAATAATAAAAGAAAAAAAAAGAAAAGAAGCTTATCCCTAGGGGGAAAAAAAAAAGCTTTACTGTATCAGCACATCTAACTATGCTAGAGACTGGTAATTGGCTTCTCAACAATTCACTGTGTTCTTTTCTAACTTACTACGCAGAAATAGCAAAGGTCCTAATTTGTTCAGTTCCTTTTAGGGGCTGACACTGATGAAACTATCCCATGGAGTTAGCAATAGTAGCAACTTTAACAACTGCAGCCTTCCTTTATGTATCATTGTATTTCTATCCAGCTGGACCCATTTAATCCCCAGAATGCCTCTATTTCTTAAGCTGTTTTCACAAGAATCAATTTTAGTTCACCTATCAGTGATGTGCCACTTCACTGAGATTGGTAAAACTGACTGCCCTGTGAGATATGTCTTTTATGCTTTGTGAGTCCACTGGTGTAAAGCAAACCAGAGAGATGCAACAGAGATCAGCCAGGAACATTAAGACACTTTCCTCTCATGTCCTCAGAGGACACATGCAGATTTGGACAGTGTTAGCCCACTGAGTGGTCTTTTCAAACTCCCTGTTTTACCTCGCCGGGCCTCAAGGATTTCAACTTCTTAGAGAATGCTGCATACAAACCAGCTACAGAGGTGGAGATTTAGGAAAGAATTACAAGTTAACCTTTCACCAACACAATGATTGTCAATAACATTATTATGATTGTCAGATTGATGGCAAGAGACTAATTGGTTCAGCATAAAAAGTGATAGAAAAACTTTGACTTTGCTGTTCTAGATACAAGAGCAGGCTGTAAATATTGTTTAAGAACAGCTGCTCTAGTTAGAACAAAAATTTATACCAATTCCATTGGTACTCTAGGCATAGAAGTTCTGTCTGATTCTGTTTTCTTGCTATATAATAATGAATACCGTAATGAGATTCCAACTAAAGGTTATCTGGTTTCTGCTACTAAAATATCATGGCACTTGCCTTGAATCAATCATCCAAAGTGATTAGGAGTGTGTGAGACTTTGCTGCACTTACAAAAGTAAGTTGTGTGACAATTTTTGCCTGCTTTCTGGTATAGAATTCATTTAGAGACTTGTTTTTATCTTGTAGTTCCACCTGGTAGAGAGATTGTGGGAGAGTAGAATTAGAGCCCTCACATCTAATTTCCAAAGCCTGTGTGTATCTACCAAAATAGCCTAATGCAACTGGCTAAATTGACTTAGTTTAGTTGATAGAAGCTGAGTGTCATGAAAGAAAGATGACTAGCTGACTGTCTCTTAATTGGCTGTCTGGCTGACAGTGTACCTCCCAATATAAAGAATACCTCATTGACTTAACCATTTTCCCAAATTTAACTGGAAGCTCCTAAAAGTAGAAACATTTCTTTCTTTCTTTTTAGCAATCGAAATTGTAAGGAATTCTCAGGGAGAAATCATAACACCCAATTTTACACAGAATGGTTTATGACAGAATTATGATCCTGTATTTTTCAATCAGAAAATCAACTGTCCAGGGCATCAAATATTTAAATAATTGGATCATTATATTCTGTCCTTAGAGGAAATCTTCATGGGAAGACAAATTACAGTCAGAAGTTGAAAATAGAAATGGAGCAACAGGAATAAATGGGCTAAGCCAATCCAGGTTAAGAGTCATACCACAATCCACATATGGACCAAAGCATTAACATCTTCAGTCCAAGTTTGCCTGTGTTTAGAAAATGCATTTTTTCCCATAAGACTATGCAATGAACTACTTGCATAGTATTTCCCTAAACAGGGTCAATATCAATGATCAGATTTTAGATGATAAATTATAATCCCTTTCAAGTACAGAATCTCAGATGACAATTCCATGTAGCCTGATTGGTGCTCCAGGTATTTATAAGTGCCTAAGGAATACACTTTTGTTAAAGGTGTACAATTCCCACTGGTTGCTACAATTGTACAATTGGTTGTACAGTTCCCACTACTTGCTAATAATAATTGTATGAATAAACAAATTTGACCAATTTAAGTCTAAGAAACTATTTTAGTACATTTATTTTTCACATTTTCAGAGGACACACTGTTTTACTGTTCTACACAGCCAATAAAAATGTTTTGTAACACACAAGTAAATGATTAATTTCTATTCTTCAATCCTTGTCTATGATTCAGTTTCCTCATTCTCAGTTTTAAATCTTTTCCTATTCATTTTCTTTTCTTCTTCTTATGGTTTCCCCAGAAGCTGTTTGAAGGTGAAACGTCATAGGAATGCACTAATTGACATGAAGAATTATATAATGCATAGGATACAAAACAGGAAGGAAACACACATTGTCGTTATTCCCTTTCTGTGATTCCTCCTGAAAGAATGAACTATAGTTGAACTATGTCTTACAATTTTCATCTGGAACTTATTTTAAGTAAATTTACCATCTTGCCCATTACTAGATACATATTTTCACAAATCAGTCACACAACAATTTGACCATATCTGAAGCTACAAAATCACTTGAGTGCTCTCATCTTGATTCTCTCAGAATGCAACAGACAGCTCAGAGTTTACCACTGGCTCTCTTTTAGTCTTCGTACTGCCAAGGATGTTTTTAATGTTTTATTAAAGTGTAGGATTCTTCTTATTGTTAAATCTGCATTAGGTTAGAGTCTGAGACCAAATTTCCTGACGGGCCTTCTAAGAGTATGTCACAAATGATAGCAGACACAGTAATATTCAGAGCAATATGGCAGCTGCCGGAGGGAAGCAAATAATAAGCTCTAAAAATGCCAATTTTTAACTTAAAAAGAAATATATAATTCTCACAAGGTAGGAACCTTGCCTCATCATGAAATTTTCAGAAAATGCTGAAGAGTATGGATTCTTATGCCCTTGAAACCAACTCTGAGTAAGTCTGCTTTAGAAACAAAGATAATTTAGAAGGCTCTTTTTTTTTTTTTCCTGGCCTCTCAGCTGTAATAGACAGAAAGTTGCACATTTTGGAGAGGTAGTTTTGCTTTTGAATGAATTACCAATATCAATTCTATAGGGAACTGATCTTTGCAAAGAAATTTTCAAACAACTCATAAAGGTGTCTCATGGTAATCCTTTGCCAGACAGAACCTTAGTAAGTACAGGATGTTTGGAATTTTCATGTCTCACATAAAAGAATACCATAATGCTATTGATGGCTCTGTCAACTGGGGCTCATTAATTCTGATCACACTGTATTTTAAAATCCTTAAGGCCCAAAGTGACTATAAAAAATGTAACCAGCTTCATAGACATATCTCCCATGTTGCACAAAGTATTAAGTATTTTACCAAAGTGTTTCAAATTATATATTTTTCTTATGGCCTATCATTTTAATAAATGTTTCATTTTTTTGTTTTCCAAAATCTATGCAAGACCATTTTTGTAATATATATGTATGTGCATTTTCTTTAGACATTGTTCCTAGATCTAATTAGATTTGCTAATGGGTCTGTGACAGTCAAAAGTTAATAAACACTGCAAGACAATATTCCCTATGTGCTTAAATATTATTGCTATTTCTGCTGTTCAGTTGTGTATTAGGGTTCTCCAGAGAGAACCAATGGGATATATAGCTACAGATAGATATAGATATAGATATAGATATAGATATAGATATAGATATATAGATATAAATATAAATATAGTACACGAGAGGGTATTTTTTAGGTGAATTGGCTCTTGTGATTACAGAGGCTGAGAAGTCCCATGATACGTCATCTGCAAGTTGGAGACCCTGAGATGCTAGCACTATGGCTCAACCTAAGTCTAAAATCCTCAGAACCACAGAGGCCAATGTGTGAAATGTCTGGCTGAGGCTGAAGATCTGAGAACCCAGGTGGGGGCTGGTGTAAGTCCCAGAATCCGAAGCCCATTGACTCTAGAGATTTGAAGTCCAAGGGCAGTAGAAGGAGGTCCCAAATCCAAGAAATAGAAAGAGGAAGAATTATTTTTTCCTCTGCCTTTTTGTTCTACCCAGGCCCCCAGCAGATTGGACTGTACTCGCCCACATTGACTGCAGATCTTCTGCGCTCAGTCCACTGACTCACACTCATCTCCTCTGGAAACACTATCACAGACACACACAGAAATATTGCTTTTCCCACTTTCTAGGAATTCCTTAGTCAGGTCAAATAGACACCTAAAATTAACCATCACAATATCCAATTAGATCTATTTCTCTTTTCTGGGCTTTATTTTTAGATAATAGTATAATGCAATTCCTTAAGAATGTAGTACCTGGGGTTTGATTATCTGGCTTTGAACACT
This sequence comes from Homo sapiens, assembly GCF_000001405.40. Taxonomy (NCBI): domain Eukaryota; kingdom Metazoa; phylum Chordata; class Mammalia; order Primates; family Hominidae; genus Homo; species Homo sapiens. The sequence continues at coordinate 59,216,874 of NC_000004.12, forward strand.
GTTTCATAACTTACCTACTATGCAGTTTTCAAAAGGTTACTCACATATTTAGAACCACAGTTTTTTCACCTCTAAGTTTAGAGTTTGTCTTCTTATGTGGTTATTGTAAGGATTAAATGAATTTACGTATGTAAATCGCTCAGCTCAATGCCCGGCACATAGTATAAGCTCATTTGTTGCAGGAATCTAGAGATGAAATTCCTGTCAATACTGAAATATATGCTAGAAATCTAAAATGGAGAAGAATTAGATTGATCATATTTCTATAATGTCATGTTTCATAGGATCAGACTGCACAAAGTGATCTTTACCACTAAAGTACATTTGCTACTTATCCCCACATCACCACCTTAGACATTGCCAATAGCCAGCCTTGTGCTGTTTCAGAAATAATAAATTCAGCTGCTTCATTCTGAAATCAACTTAACTTCTTTCTAGCCATCTCCCTCATGTATTCCATTGTGACTATTTTTCAGACTCACAGCAAAGCCAGCTTCTTGTATCTTTCTGTACTTGTTTTTGGCTTTTTGACAGCCAATTTTGTTTCTCTTCTGTTGCCCATGTGTGTATAAATCATAAGCTTACACTGGACTTTCTAAATGCTAATATAGAAAAAGATGCATGCATATATATACATATGTATACATATATATGTATATATATATATTTGCAAATGGACCTGCAAAGTTAAGAAAAACTGCAATCAAGGAATATTTCACTTAAATAATTTTTTTTTTAATAGTGGACAATTCAGACAACTTCATTCATTCTTTGTTTCTGTTATTTAAATAAGATGTCATCCTTTAACTTATTTTTTTTTTACTTTTTCTCCAGTTTTATTTTGCAATGATTATTGAGTGAATGGAAATATTAATGCATGTATGAGTGCGTTTTGGGCATGGCATAGTCATTTGGACCTAAAAATTGATCAAGTTTTGCAGAAACCTGGTATTTTTCATGTTAAGTATGTTCAAGAAAATATCCAAGAATATCTTAGTTTTAATAAATAGAATATACTTTGTTGAAGATTTAAATATATATAATATGTTCTACTTTGAAGTATATTTAATGTTGTACTTATAGTCTTGGATTGACTCAATACAATTTTGATATAGGTAAAGTTAAAGCTTTCCCAACATTCTAATTGAATGAAGGGCCAAAAACTCAGTTATTTTGTGAATTTAAGTAAATATGTTATCTGTATCATGATTATTTGCTCTGATAATCTCATAACAATGTGTCATTATGTCATCTGTCAAAACTTTGAAGCATTAAAAGGGGAAGGAATTCCCCAGAAACCTTACAACATTCCAATATAGTATATTGATGTAAAATGGGCTGTGGAATTAATATAATTGACTGAAACATAAGCAAGTTGGATAACCATTCTGTTAATGTATCCACCTGCAAACGTATCTAACTTCCACCTTGTTGAGAAGTATACATAGAAGTACCGTGTTGCGATTTCCTTGGCATTGCTAGGGTGAAGAGGTGCTTGCATTACACTTCAAATACTTTTGTCTCATCTGTCCACTCCTCTCTTTGCCCAAACTCTTTAAAGTCAGTTAGTATTTCGCAATTCTCATTAATGACTAATTATTGAATGCAAACTTTAACTGTATTTCTTCATGTCTGAGATTTATAGAATTGTTGGAATTTTATTTTAATTGTAAAAAGCTATGAATACATGTCTTCCCTAATGATAATAAAGACGTTTTGAACAATTCATGTCTTTGAGTCAATTGTTTTTAATGTGCTCTTAATGTTTAAATGAATAACGACATTATCTAAATATAGCAATATTTAATCAATAGGGTTATGATTTATTAGATTTTATTAGACAATATTTTAATATTAAAAATCCCTTTTTAAAAAGCTTAGTGCAAAAATACAAAGCAAATGTATATGCAAGTCTCACTATGTCACATGTGTCATGTAAATAAAAACTTTTAAAGATCAAACCAATTATACACACTTCAAATGTCTCCTAGCATATTTCTTCATAACCACATCATTCTCCCATGTCTTCCTACCCAGTTATAATAATAAAATGCATTAATTTTCAAATTTCTATTTAAACAACCAAACAAAGCTTTCATGAAGTGCAAAATTTTCCTGTAAAAAAGAAAGGAATATTGTGCAACTGTAAACCTGGCACGTTGTCTTCAGTTTCAGTTTTTGTTTTTTACCATATCCTTTATAAAAAATGAATGTACATATCTTTGGAGTACCTTTCAGGAGCTTCAGTATTCTTTTTTGAAATTTTGGATTTGCTATCCATTTTTCTAGACAAAATGGACGAATAATAGGTTTTCATCAGTTAGATAACAATGGAATAAATCTGCGAGGACACTGACATGTTGATATTGTGCCCAAATTGAGTTCAACTCAAAAATCTTACTGTACTAATTCTGAATGACTCATGACTCTATTTTTCATACTGGTAAAAAGCAAATAAAATAGTATTTTGTCTTCTACTCTAATTGGACATAGAATGGATACTTAATTTTTCAAGTACTTTAAGTTAAAGTAAATAAAAAAACAAAGTTAATAATAGTAGCTTATATTGATTCTGATATAAATATGACGTGTCTTCATGCTAACCAACCATATCTACCTTCTTACAAGATTAATCTCTATATAACTGGTTATTGTTATTGCTCATATTTTTTTAATTCCTAATCAAATTTTAAAAATTGTCTTGTGTAGTATGCATTTGATTATCTTTTTCTGGAATTCAGTACTTTTTTAGTTCTCCAGAAGCCAATTTAATGTTAAGATATTTCCCATGAAATTGGTAATTTTTTTGGAAAATGTATCTGAGATGAGTGAAGAGAAAAGCAGAAAAGCATTTTTATGAAGCAAAATTTTGAAAGAGTTTAAATATACGGTTCAAAGGCAAACCATAGAGTAAAAGGTAGATGGCAACCATAATAGTGCTGCTAATTTAACCAATTTTTCCTACCATTGTCACCAAAACTTAAGCTCATCACATCTATTACTTTTAACCCCTCACTTGTTCTGTCCTGAGAAGCATGGTGACATTGTACTTCCTGAACAAATGAAACTCATGGAAAGCTCTTAGCCTTTGTCTTTCCTTGTTCTCCCTTCCCTACCTGGAACATCCTTCTATTTTTAAACTAATCTGGAAGTTTTTTGGTTTTAAGCAACGTAATGCTAATTTGAACCAGCTAAGAAAAATGGAAGTTCAAAAAAAATTAAACCAAAGAAAGTTGAAGGATTGAACTAGATTTCAGGAATTAACAAATAATCTTGAAAAAAAAAAAGATCTGTTTTTTCTTTCCATTGCATATCTGCTTCTCCTTTTATGTCGTCTTATGTCCTTTCCATTATTTTTGACTGACATTGTCCCTGGATTTTGAAATAAGTCTCTCAGCAGATTTTTGACGAATATTTGTTAGCTTTGCTTTTGACATAGACTCAGTATTATCTGCAATATCAAGTTTAAGATTCCTGTTAAAAAGGTTCACATTTAGTTAGGTTTGCACCGTGGAACTAACCATTTGTGACCCAAGAATGTACTACAGTGTTGGGTCACAACTCCACCAATAGATAAAGCAGTGTGGCCAGGAAAGCACAAAAATAAATAAATAAATAAGCACCAAATAAAAGCATAAAGCACTGGAAGTTCCATGAGCAGTATATTGTTGGAATGAGCCCAATAACTAGAAAGGAGAAAAGATTGCTGAGCACTAAATCCTTTAAGATCCAGCATAGAAATCGCTTTGTTCATCAGACTTTGCAGATGGTGTTTCAAGACTGCACTAATTACTACTTGTTTCATGTTCCTAATAGAATTTTTTTATACTCATTTCATGCTATTACAGAAATTGTCATATAGCATTATATGATCTTACATACTTGTCTCCTCACAACGTGAGCTACTTTAGTTTGTATCATGTTTTATTTATCCAGTAATTACAGTAGATCTTGAATATTTGAGCTGCTCAATATGCGCTTTTGATAAATATATGAACAATTCTATATATTGTTTGGTATAAGTACAATGTATACACCTTCTTTTTCTTTCTTTTTTCTTCCTTCTTTCTTTTCATTATATTATCACATTAAATGCTTTAAGCTGACTCTTTTTCCCTACCAAATGACTACAAATGCTCTCTATTATATTACCCTGCATTATTTTCTTTGAGGCACTACTCACTCCCTTCAGTTGTGTTTATTCACCTACTCATTTAATAACTGTTTCTCCCACTAAAGGAATGAATACTTTACTATATCAAAGATCTTGTTTTATTCATCTCTATATTCTTAATACACAGATCAGTATCAGTTATATAGCAAATGTTTTCTTTATAAATGACTTGATAATATACGGACAACCTATTATAAATCCTAGCCTTTAGAGATTATTGTTTTACACTGGATAAAAAGACTAGCAATTAGGCACACAAAAATTACTATGAGGACTCACATCATTTTTTAGTGGTGTAATGTGAAAAACTTTCTGTCGTAGTTGACATATGAATGAGTCTGGGAAGACGGATTGAATTTGTCTTGGTGGAACTAACAGTAAAAGGAAATCCCAATACAAATATAAACATGAATATAGGGTCAAAGTGTGGCAGGCAAGCACAAGTATTGAAATGGTTTGACAGAGAAATAAGATGCTAGAAAGTAAGCACTGAAAAATGAGATTAGAAATAATTGGAGGCAAGACCTTGACAAATTTAAAATTACAACCAAGGAAACTGGATTTATTTCTTAAATGCTGAAGGAGCATTGGTGATTTCTGACCAGAGAGTTCACCAGTGTTGGTTTTCCTGAAGAACGTATATGCTAACAATACATAGGGTAGGAATTAAGCTTGCTTGCTAGATGAAAGGTAATGAAAACATGGAAGGTAAGGAAAATGTCAACTAGGAGAGCGAAAAAGGGGATAAACAATGAGTATATGTGTGAAAACATTGTTGAGAAAAGATACATGCAATTGGCAAGAAATTAGAGAGTCAAACAAGAAGAAAGACACTAAGGTTTTGAGCTCAGGTGATTCGACAAATGAGGATTAATATGTGCATAAATAAGAAAAAATAAAACAGAAAATTTGAGATGAAAGATGCATCATAATTTGAAACAATCCTAGGATATTTGGAGATATTAAGAAGCAGGGGCTGGAAATTCAGAATAAGAAAAAAGTAGAGGCTAAAAACACAGATATGGCAGTCATGCACCAGATGTGAAAATTAAATTCTGATCTGGTGAGATGATTGAGATAGAATATATATAAAAAGATGAGAAGGCAGCCTAGAACAGATCCATGGAAAATTTCTATTTATCTAATATTCCTTATAGAGTAATAGCAAGATGAATAAATGTTTTTGCAGTAAATAATGTATTACAATTAGAAAATGCTTGTGTTATAGAAATAATTCAATATAACATGGTGGTAGATGTCGGACTTGACTTTTATTCCTTCTTCCAAGGCAATTTGCCTTTCTGAAAAGTTGGCAAAAATTTCCTTATTGCTGTAGATCATTTATTCAGCAGTGAAAAACAGATGGCTCTTTTGTGGCTTCTCTGCACTAGGTTTGGCAATTGTTTGTCTTCCCCGCGATTAAAATAACTTGCTGAGCTTATTGCTAGCCTTCCAAAGGAAGATGCTAAAAATGGATATTAGAATGTAATGCAATCCACACTTCTGGTTTTTCTTAATTTGCTTTGAAAACATTCATTCAATTTGTTCATTTTGCAAACAAGCAACGATTACCTATTGTGTACTTTTCTCATTGATTGTAGTTTATTTGTTTACCAGACTAGACTCTTACCACTTGGAAGAACTATAGAGTTTATGTTGAGGGACTGAGATATTTTCATGGAAAATGAACTCGTTCTTAAAGAACTAGCTGACTTTAGTTTGGGGATAATTTTAAAAATTGTTCTAAGGGGACTACAGCGGAATAATTTTGCATAAGATCATGACACTGCTGTAATATGAAAAAAAAACTCGAAGCTTTAGAGGAAGAAATTTATATTTCCTTCCTTACTCAAAATATCTCTACCAAAAATGTGAAAATGAGTGAACCATTACAGATATCAATATCAAAATGTTTATGGCAGAGCATAGAGATAATACTCAACTTCATTCTTATAAAATTTTTAAAAATTTCGGAACAATTTATGCCTGTTCTTTACCACTTTCCTCCATCATGTTGCCTGACAATGGCAAGCTTTTAATTTCTGATTTTAAGGCTTTTATTTAAAATGTGCATTTTATTGGAATGGGTTACTTTCAGGATAATGCAGTTCATCATTATATTGTATAGAGCATTTTGAACTATATTGTCTTAAAATGCATTCAATTAGTAAAAAATAAAGTAAATAATATGTACAAGATACTAAGTCTACAATGAAAATAGCAATACTTCGCTTAAGCCTCCCCAGTCCCTACTCTCTCACAAGAGGGTAACCATTTTCAAATATTTAGCTGTTATTAGTAGTATTTACCTTATATTCATAAACAGTATGCTATGTTAGTAATTTCATATGACAACATTTTACATTTTATGTCAGATTTCTGTATGGTAGGTAAAATTTGATTATACCAATATTCCTTTAACTTCAGCTCCCTACATATTGCCATTTATGGCTGTATCAGCATTTTGTTCAATCAAAAGCTGTATTTTTATTATAAATTATATATTTAAATTATTTATTTCTGCATCAATAATCATATTTAGTTTTCTTTGTTATAAAACTTACTCGTTTTTCTGAAATTAATGATTGTCTCATGTTTTAACTTGTCTGTTTTTTTAATCTAATTTAATTGTTTCCATATGCTCCATTCGACCTGATATAGATCTATCAATGTCACTTTAAAGACATCTAAACATACTAGATAATAATCAGGGTCATTTTCCCTGCCCCCAGATGCCTCCTTCTTTCTGCTACTCTAAGTGCTGCCTGGCTATTCTAGCCTTCTACATGCTGTCATTGTAATAATTTGCTTATGGAACCCTAGACAATCCATTGCCTCTTTATGGTGTTAAATTTCCTGTTTCCTGGATCATACATTCTATAGCAGCTCTATGTCAAAAGAACAATGGAAAGTAAATATTGAGAATGTTTGCATTAATGTAAATGTCTTCTTTTCTATCCTTCTGCTTGACTAGTATTTGAGTGGGTATATAATTTTAAGCTGGAAATTCTTTCTCATCAGAAATTTTAATCATATTGCTAATGAGAAATCTGAAATTTAAATTTTAAATTAATTAAATTTAAAATTTAATTAAAATTAAATTTTAAATTTAATTAAAATTAAAATTTTAAATCTGATTTTAAATTTAAAATTTCTGTTCTATTTTTTGCAACATAACTTTTCATTCTGGTATTTTCTTTATTTCTCATGTTCTAAGACTTCATGTTCAGCTGCCTTAGATTACGTTTTGTGCATCATTTCATGCATTGTGTTGGGTACACAGTAGGGTATGCCTTTCCATATGGAGACATTTTTAACAATAAAGATGTTTTTAAGTACTAAAATTAATATTTATATATTAACATTATTTTTTAAAATATTATTTTAAAACAATTCATGTGTTAACTTATGCATTATTTGTTCTTTGTTGAAATTTTTTGTCGTGTATTGGAACTTCTGAATTTATTCTTTAATTTTTTTAGCTCTTTCTTTTGATTTTTGTTTTATATTCTGTTATTTCTTTATATGTGCTTATATATATCATCTTATGTAATTGTTGAATAATATTTTATGCAACTAAAGTTTTAGTTCCCAAGATCTTATTTGGATTAGTTGGGTTGAGTCTCTTTTCCCCTGCCACCAAATCCCACCCCAACTTTTTGATGACTGTGTTTCATGTTGTAGACTTTCTTTTCATGTCTGGTGTTTGTTGGTTGTTCATTCATCATTAAGAGTAATTATGACTAATTATGGTCTGACAGCTCTGCTTGTCTGAATAGGGAAAATTGACATGTGGACTATACTATAAGAAGATGGTCACTCAATCCCTTCACTGTGTTTTTTGAACATTTTATTGAGACTCCTAAATTCTTTCAGCAAAGAATCCTCCAATGCCCTGCCTAACAGAAATAGGTTTGGCAATGGACATTTCGAAGCAAGGCAAGGGAATGGAACTGAAATTGGTCTTACTCTTGAGTGTAGACTTTCACCCTGCCCTCTGTTTTTTAGTATGGCTCTTCTCTGTCTCCCTCTTCTAAGTAGATACTACTTATTTGGAGACTCTCTGAAACCTACCTGCAGATGGGCTGAAGAGCTGAGGTCAGTCACCTGGGTGAGAAGCATAGGAGATAGAAATTGCAGATTCCCACTGTTCTGTGTATACAGCAAGTTCTCAAGTCAGTGCCTTTATAATTTATGATATCCACATGGTTTGTTCACTCACCCCTTTCAACTACTTGTTCAAATGTCACTTTCTCAATGAGAACTTCATTTAAACATCATATCGAAAATTGACTCTGCCTCAGGCATGACCTTCCCTATGTATAATGTCCAACTAATTTTTCTACAGAATTAGTTGTAATTTCTTGTTAAATTGTTTATTGCCTCTGCCTTTTCTTTAGGAAATAATCTTCGGGCCGGGCGCGGTGGCTCACTCCTGTAATCCCAGCACTTTGGGAAGCCGAGGCGGGCAGATCACGAGGTCAGGAGATGCAGACCATCTTGGCTAACACGGTGAAACCCCATCTCTACTAAAAATACAAAAAAGTTAGCGGGGCGTGGTGGCGGGCGCCTGTAGTCCCAGTTACTCAGGAGGCTGAGGCAGGAGAACTGCGTGAACCCGGGAGGCGTAGCTTGCGGTGAGCCTAGATCGCGTCACTGCACCGCAGCTTGGGTGACAAAGTGAGACTCCGTCTCAAAAAAAAAAAAAAAAAAAAAAGAAAAAAGAAATAATCTTCGTGAGCATAAGGATTGTTATAGCCCCGGTGAACAGGGTTTCAAATATAGAAAGCAATTCACAAATAACTGTTGGATAAAAATGTTTGCTTTCTAAAAATAATCGTTGGAGAGTTCTACATAATCACATTGTTTGTAATGTAATAGAAATATAATTGTAATCGACTACAAAACTATACAAATTCATCAATTCAGATAGTCAAAAATATTTATTTACTGTCTGATATGTACCAGGTACTAAGTAATATGGTAGATTCACAGTAATGAATAAAATATACGTTTAAAAATGTTGTCTTCATGATTTTTGAATAATTAGCAAATAAAATATATCAAAATATGCTACATAATTTAGAGAAAAATAACAAAATGGTAAAAGTCATCAAGAAAAAGCAAAACAAGGGTACTTTGTACTTGCGTTTAGGGAAGTTCACCCTGAAAAAGAAATATCTTCACTGTGTCTTTAATGATGTTAAAAAAAATGACATTCCAGGTAGAAGAAATAGAATGTGCATAGTGTTTTTTAGGATGTGGAAAAAGGTCATTGTAGCTGAAACTAAGAGAGCAATAAGGATAGTGTCAAAATTTGAGGATGCAGGGATGGGCAGGCACGGCATATCCTTGAGATTCTGAAGGCTATGGCGAAAAAATGCGGGCTTTAGTCCACATATAAAGTGAAGCTGTCTTCCCAGTTCAGTAAATAGAAAGTCTATTCTTTTCAGTTGCAAGGACTTTTGTGTTTTATTCACTTGTGCATCCCCAGTGACAACAGGAATATATATGATGTCCAATAAATGTCTATAGATTAAATACATGAATTTTTTTGTATAGCAAATTGTATTCAAATCTATTCATGTATATCATTCTTTGAATTGGCATTATGTTCTTTCTCTTTACTCAATGCATTCTGACAACTATCCAGTTACTGCTATTTGTTTTAACTAGTATATTCTTTTGGAGGTGAGGTGGGTACTGAATATAGCACTTTGGTTAAAATAATTAAATTCACAGGCTGCTACATATAGATTTGAATACTAACTTTATCATGTAACTTTGGACAATTTGCTTAACATCTCTGGCCTTGATTTCTTTTACTATAAAATAGAAAATTACCTTTATCATAGAATTTTAATAATAAATTAATAAAAAAGTGAACGTTACTAACACCAAGAAAATATTCGGTAAACGGTATGCTTTTTAATTTTTATTGACATTAACATCATTATTATTTTTGTAATATAATTGCCTTATGATGATCAACATTAAATTAAAACAGTATTTTTTCCAAATAATTTTCTAAATGTTAGCCATAAAATTCATTTATCTTATTAAAAATATTTTAGAATTCTCACTAATATCTTAAATCAAGTTTACATGGAGGATATTGCAAAAATTATAAAGAATGCATCTGGAAGCATTTAGGAATGCTCTTAAAAACCAGAGGTTATGACTGAAAAAAAGAACAAAAAACTAATGTAAGGCATAAAACTATTTTGATATTTGTATTGGTTTGGCTAAATAATTATAGGCAAACAATATAAATACACATTTTTGTTGTTATTTTCTTTTTCTTTTTGCTCTGCAGGGACATTTTCTCAAAATAACTTGATCTAAATTAATGTGGGAATTACATCATAGCTCATCTATATCTATTTGCCAAATTCATCCCCTTCCTTTAGTTGTCTTTTACTTCACATTACTATCAAACTTTTGTCTAAGCACAATTCAAAGGGAGAAATTTAGAAGTTTGTTCTGTTTGATTTCAGCCTTAACTAGCAATTGTGAATTTCATTGGCACAGGCATTTTATTTGACTGTAAGCTGATTGAGCTTACTTGATTATTTATAAAATCTCAAGAACCTATCTAATCTAAAAATCACCTATTGCATTGATAAACAGTTTTCACAGAGGCCATTTTGATTAAATATAACTTGTTTGTAGGGAATAATGTATTCACTATTTCTTACACTGGCAGAAAATTCTTGCTAGGAGTTAAAGATACCTGTGTTGTCAACACACTCAAAAACATCAGATCACAGAAATGTGAACGAGAAGATTTAAAAACTTTCAAAAGAGATAGATCTGAGTTTAAAAACTGGGGCAATTACATTTCAAAGAAACACATAGATCAAGTGTTAAAATTGCAAACTCTATTTGGTAGATACGAACTATCAAATTTTTCTTGACCTTCGATTAAGACTGAAAAGTTTATAAATATAAGCGTTTTTTGAACTAGCTAAGGGAAGTTAAGTTACCCTTGCTTCATTTCAGTTTAATTATTTATGTTATGCTTTTTCCACCCACAGAGCTAATTGTGGGTTGTGATTTTTGGGTGTAGCTCTTTTCTATTATATTGTACTATTTAAAAGGGTTGCAATATCAGTATTTGTGGTTTGTAATAGCATTATTTCAGAAACAACTGAGATTCCTTCAATCTCCTTTGCTTTTTTGCCAATTCTTACTCCTCACTTCTCCTCTTCCCCTTCTCATGGATTCTCATCTCAGACTTCTCATTAGCACATCACCACTAATCCTTGGCAATTTTTCTTACCCTTTTACCCGCTTCCTCCACTGAAGAGTAGAATTTTTAATTTGTATTTTTTGTTACTTTGGAAAGCAAATATTTTATCAAGATCTCTTGGTCAGAGGGCAGAAACACTCCTGAAGACTATCCTAAAACCTCTTCACAGAAGAGATAAATTTAGCAAGTAAACACATCAGCCAAATGGGTCTGGTTGCTCTAAAGACCACAGGGCAAAGCGGCTTGAAACCAAGAGAAACATCAAAGTCATTAATGGCAAGTAATACTTATATCAGAATTTTAAGATATATTAAATGTGTATCTTAAATTTTATTTAAAATAATATATTGAACGCTAATGTCATTGTTTTTACTATTGAATTTGGGCTTTTAAAATAAAACATTGGCATTTATAACAAGTTTTTTTGGGGACAAGGTCTCACTTTGTCACCCAGGCTGGAGTATAGTGGTGCTATCTTGGCTCACTGCAGCCTTGACCTCCTGGGTTCAAGCACTCCTTCTACCTCAGCCCCAAAAGTAACTGGGACTACAGGTGCACCCACCATGCCCAGATAATTTTTATATTTTTAGTAGAGATGGCATTTTGCCATGTTGCCCAGACTGGTCTGGAATTCCTGAGCTGAAACAATCTGCCAGGTTTGGGTTCCCAAAGTGCACCATGCCTGGCCCTATAACAACTTTTAAAATCCTTACATGTAATATACACCAATGCATCAGAATTGTCATTTGCTTATACGAATATAGTCTTCTGATTAGACATATGTATGTGTTTTACTGGTTAACAAATTATGAAGTCCTGAATAGATGTGATATTTACTTTCTGGTCAGTAACCTGATTTCAGATATCTCCCGTGAATGCAAATTTATAGATTAATTCAGGCTAAAGTGTTAAAAAATGTTTCTTTTAGAAGTCTCGCTCTTGTCCCCCAGGCTGGATTTCAATGTCGCGATCTCGGCTCAGTGCAACTTCCGCCTCCCGAGTTCAAGTGATTCTCCTGCCTCAGCCTCCGGAGTAGCTGGGATTACAAGTGCCCGCCACCACGCCCGGCTAATTTTTGTATTTTTAGTAGAGACGGGGTTTCACTATGTTGGCCAGGCTGGTCTCGAACTTCTGACCTCAGGTGATTCATCTGCCTTGGCTTCCCAAAGTGCTGGAATTACATGTGTGAGCCACCATGCCTGGTCAATATTTGAACTTTCATTAAGGTTATTTCTAAATGTCAGGGAAAATTGTCTGTACTAGTGTGACATTTATAAATTATATTATGTATGAGTGATCAAGAATTTTTAATAAATGAAAACAACCCATTTAAGGTTGTTTCTATTAAGTTTTATTTTAGAGAGACAGATGCTATTATGCTTATACTTAAAGTTTATCTTCTGTTTTAATTACTAAGAGATATAACATTTTATCAAACATTATTGCAACTCAAAGTTATTATAATTAATGTAATTTTATTAAACACATCTTTATTCTTTTTGTAGTGACTTTCTCATAGCATACCCGTAAAGTAAGAAAGCACAAGATCTTGTGATTCACTGAATGCTAGTCAAACCAAAGATCCTCATCCTAAAAGGATAGTTTCCAAATTTGGAGCACGCATTCTTTCTTTTAGCTTTCAAGTAGCTAAAATACTACCTTTCCCACTCCTTCCAATCCACCGTCCCAACAGATTATATTCCTAAATTTAAGTAAAGCTGTTTCCCATTAAAGGGGCTAATGGTCTTGAACTCTTAGCTTCAAGCAATCCTCCAACTTAGGCCCTCCAAAGCACTGGGATTACAGGCATGAGCCACCACACCTACTAGCTAGACTAAGCAAGAAAAGAAGAGGGAAGATCCAAATAAACACAATCAGAAATGAAAAAGAATACATTACAATTTCTACCACAGAAATACAAAAGATCTTCAGAGACTATTATGAACAATACATGTTCACAAACTGGAAATACTAGAGGAAATAAATAAAATCCTAGAAACACAACTTCCTCAGAATTAACCAGGAAGAAACAGAACTCCTGAACAGATCAATAATGAGTAGTGAGACTGAATCAGCAATTTAAAAATCTTCCAAAAAATTAAATTCAGTACCAGACAAATTCACAGTCAAATTCTATCAAACATACAAAGAATAACTAATACCATTCTCTCTTAAACTTTTCCTAAAAACTAAGGAGGAGGGTATTCTTCTTAATTCATTCTATGAGGCCAGCATCACCCTGATACTAAAAGCAGACAAGGAAACAACAGAACAAGAAAACTACAGACCAATATCCCTGATGAACATAGGTGTAAAAATCCTCAACATAATACTAGCAAATTGAATCCAACAACACGTCAAGAAGATAACACATTATGATCAGGTAGGATTTATCTCAGAGATGCAATGATGGTTCAATATACAGAAATCAATAAATGTGATATATCACATGAAGATAATTAAAAACAAAATGTACGTGATTATCTTGATAGATACAGAATAAGCATTCAATAAAATTTATCATCCTTCAGAATGAAAATCCTCAAAAAACTAGCATAGAAGGAACATATCTCAACATAATAAAGGCCACGTATGAAAAATCAATGGCCAATACCACAGTGAGTGTGGGTAAGTTGTAAGCATTTCATTTAAGAACTGGAACAAGACAAAGATGCTCACTTTCCTCACTCTTATTTAACGTAGTACTAGAAATCCTTGTTGGAGCAATCAGACAAGAGAAAAAATAGTCATTCAAATTGCTAAACAGGAAGTCAAATTATTCTTCCTTGCTGATAGTATAATCTTACCTCTAGAAAAACCCCATAAATTTCACTAAAAATCATTTGATTTGACCAGTGAATTGAATAAAGTACCTGGATACAAAATAAATGTACATAAATTGGTAATATTTTTATACACCAATGACCAAAGAACTAAGGACCAAATCAAGAAAGCAATCCCATTTATAGTAGCCACACACACATAAAATATCTAGGAATATATTTTGTCAAGGGAGTGAAATACCTCCACAAGGAGAATAACAAAACACTACTGAGAGAAATCATATGTGACACAAACAAAAAAAATCCCACGCTAATAGATTGGAAGAATCAATATTAAAATGACCATACTGCCCAAAGCAATTGAACAAAATTACAGACAGTTTTCTTCTTTTTTTAACTTTTATTGTAAGTTCAGAGGTTCATGTTTGTTATACAGGTAACAGGCTTGTTATATAGGAAAACTTTGTGCAGGTTTGTTATATAGGTAAACTTGTGTGATGAGATTTTGTTGTACAGATTATTTCATGACCCAGGTACTGAGTCTAGTACCCAATAGTTATTTTTCCTTATCCTTGCCATCCTCCCACCGTCCACCCTCAGGTAGGCCCCAGTATCTGTTACTCCACTCTTTGGGTCCATGTGTTCTCATCATTTAGCTCTCACCTATCAGTAAGAACACGTGGTATTTGATTTTCTGTTTCTTAGTTTGCTAAGGATGATAGCCTCCAGTTCCATCCATGTTTCTGCAAAGGACATAATCTTGTTCTTTTTTATAGCTGCATAGTATTCCATGGTGTATACGTACCACATCTTATTTATCCAGTATACTATTTATTGATGGGCACTTAGGTTGATTCCATATCTTTGCTATTGTGAATAGTGCTGCAACAAATATATGCAGGCATGTGTCTCTAAGATAGAAAGATTTATATACTTGTGGGTATATACTCAGTAACAGGAAGGCTGGGTCAAATGTTAATTCAGTTTTTAAGCCTTTGAGGAATCACCACACTGTTTTCCACAATAGTTCAACTAATTTACATGTCCACCAACAGTGTATAAGCATTTTTTTCTCTGCAACCTCACCAGCACCTGTTTTTTTTTTTGACATTTTATTAATAGTCATTCTGACTGGTGTGAGATCGTATCTCATTGTGGTTTCAATTTGCATTTCTCTAATGATCAATGATGTTGAGCTTTTTTATATATAATTGGTCTAATGTCTGTTTTCTTTGAAGAAGTGTCTGTTCATGTACTTTGACCACTTTTTGGTAGGGTTTTTTATTTTTTCTTGTGAATTTGTTTAACTTCCTTATAGATGCTGGTTATTAGACCTTTGTCGGGTGCATAGTTTGCAAAAAAAATTCTTCCATTATGTGGGAAGTCTGATTATTCTGTTGATGGTTTATTTTGCTTTATAGAAGCTCTTTAGTTTAATTAGATCCCATTTGTCAATTTTTTCTTTGGTTGAAATTTCTTTTGGCATCTTGGTTATGAAATCTTTGTCTGATCCTATGTCCAGAATGGAATTTCCTTGATTGCCTTCCAGGGTTTTCATAGCTTTGGATTTTACATTTATTTCTCTTGCATTGATTTTTGTACATGGTGTAAGGAAGGGGTCCAGTTTCAATCTTCAGCACATGGCTAACCAATTATCTCAGCACTATTTATGGAGTAGGGAATCCTTTCGCTATTGCTTGTTCTTGTCGACCTTGTCTAAGATCAGATAGTTGTAGGTGTGTGGCCTTATTTATGGGATCTCTATTCTGTTCCATTGGTCTATATGGCTGTTTTTCTACCAGTACTATGCTGCTTTAGTTACTGTAGACAAGTAGTATAATCCGAAGTTGGATAGCATGATGCCTCCAACTTTGTTCTTTTTGCTTAAAATTGCTGTGGCTATTTGGGCTCTTGTTTGGCTCCACATACATTCTAAAAGATTTTTTTTTCTCGAAGAATGTCATAGGTAGTTTAATAGGAATTGCATTGAATATATAAATTGCTTTGGGCAATATGGCCATTTTAATGATATTGATTCTTCGTATCCATAAGCATAGGATTTTTTTTCCATGTGTTTGAATTATTTCTGATTTCTTTGAGCAGTATTTTGTAGTTCTTCTTGTAGAGATCTTTCACCTCCCTAGTTAGCTGTATTCCTAGGTATTTTATTCTTTCTATGTCAATTGTGAATGAGATTGCATTCCTGATTTGGCTCTTGGCTTGACTGTTGCATAAAAATGCTAGTAATTTTTGTACATTGATTTTTTTATCCTCAGACTTTGCTAAAGTTGTTTATGAGCTGAAGGAGCTTCTGGGCAGAATACATGGGTTTTTTTAGATACAGGATCATACCATTTGCAAACAGAGTTAGGTTGACTTCGTCTTATTATTTGATGCCCTTTATTTATTATATTTCTTTTGACTGATTGCTCTGACCAGGACTTTCAATACTATGTTGAATAAGAGTGATAAGGGAGGGCATCCTTATCTTAGGAATGCTTGCAGCTTTTGCCCATTCAGTATGTTATTGGCTGTGAATCTGTCCTAGACAGCTCTTATTATTTTAAAGTATGTTCCTTCAATACCTAATTTATTGAGAGTTTTTAATATAAAAAGATATTACATTTTATCGAAAGGCTTTTCTGCCGCTTTTGAGATAATCATGTGCTTTTGTCTTTACTTCTGTTTATGTGATGAACAGATTTATTGATTAGCTTAAGTTGAACCATCCTTGTATTCCAGGGATAAAGCCCACTTGGTGATGAAGGATTAGCTTTTTGATGTGCTGCTGGATTCGGTTTGCCCGTATTTTGTTGAGGATTTTCATATCGATGTTCATCAAGTATATTGGTTTTAAGTTTTCCTTTTTTGTTGTGTCTCTGCCAGATTTTGCTATCAGAATAATACTGGCCTTGTAGAATAAGTTACATAGGAGTCCCTCCTCCTGAATTTCATGGAATAGTTTCAGTAGAAGTGGTATCAGCTCTTATTTGTACATCTGGTATAATTCAGCTCTGAATCTGTCTGTTCCCAGGCTTTTTTTTTTTTTTTTGGTTAGTTGGCTATTTTTTACAGATTAAATTACAGAGTTCATTACTGTTCTACCCAGGGATACAATTTCTTTGTGGCTCAGTCATGGGAAGGTGTATATGTTCAGGAATTTATCAACTTCTTCTAGATTTCCTAGTTCTTGTGCATAGAGGTGTTCATAATATTCTTTTATGATTATTTGCATTTCTGTTGGGTCAGAGGTAATAGCCTCTTGTTTCTAATCGGGTTTATTTAAATCTTTGAATCTTTTATATTAGTCTAGCTACTGGTTTATTTTATTTAAAAAGAGCTCCTGAATTCATTGATCTTTTAATTTTTTTTTCTTTTTTTTTTTGGCTTGTGTCTCAATCTCCAGCACTTTAGCTCTAATTTTGGTTATTTTTTTTATTTTGCTAGCTTTGGGTTCGTTTGCTCTTGGTTCTCTAGTTATTTTAGTTGTTAAATTAAGATCTTTCTAATTTTTTGATATGGACATTTAGTGCTATAAATTTCCCTTTCACCACTGTCTTAGCTGTGTCCCAGAGATTCTGGTATGTTGTATCTTTGTTCTCATTAGTTTCAAAGAACTTCTTGATTTCTTCCCTTAATTTCACTATTGATCCCAAATTCATTCAAGAGCAGCTTATTTAGTTTCCATGTAATTGTATGGTTTTGAGTGATTTTCTTAGTCTTCATTTGAAATTTGATTGTGCTGTGATCTAAGAGACTGTTATAATTTTAGTTATTTTGCATTTGCTGAAGTGTTTTGTGTCCAATATGTGGTTGATTTTGGAGTATATTTCATGTGTGATGAGAAGAATTTATATTCTGTTGCATTTGTGTGGAGAGTTCTGCAGATTTTTATCAAGCCCATTTAGTCTCATGCTGAGTTCAGGTAATGAATGTCTTTGTTAATTTTCTGTCTTGATGATTTGTCTGATTCTGTAAGTGGGGTGTAGAAGTCACCCACTATTATTGTGTGGGAGTCAAATTCTCTTTAAACATCTCCAAGCACTTGCTTTATGAATCTGGGTGCTTCTTTATTGAGTGCATATATTTAGGATAATTAGGTCTTCTTGTTGAATTGAACCCTTTGCCATTTTATAATTGTAGGGACCAGCCCCACAGGGTCGGTGGGTTTCTCCCTGTGTGCGGAGATGAGAGAGTGTAGAAGTAAAGACACAAGACAAAGAGATAAAAGAAAAGACAGCTGGGCCTGGGGGACCACTACCACCAAGTCGCAGAGACCAGTAGTGGCCCCAAATGCCAGGCTGCACTGTTATTTATTGGATACAAGACAAAAGGGGCAGGGTAAAGAGTGTGAGTCATCTCCAATGATAGGTAAGGCCATGTGGGTCACATGTCCACTGGACAGGGGGCCCTTCTCTGCCTGGCAGCCAAGGCAGAGAGAGAGAGGGAGAGAGATAGACAGCTTACGCCATTATTTCTGCATATCAGAGACTTTTAGTACTTTCACTAATTTTGCTACTGTTATCTAAAAGGCAGAGCCGGGTGTACAGGATGGAACATGAAGGTGGACTAGGAGTGTGACCACTAAAGCGCAGCATCACAGGGAGGTGGTTAGGCCTCCAGATAACTGCGGGCGAGCCCGACTAATGTCAGTTCCTCCACAAGAGGTGGAGGAGTAGAGTCTTCTCTAAACTCCCCCCAGGGAGACTCCCTTTCCCGGTCTGCTAAGTAGCAGGTGTTTTTCCTTGACACTTACGCTACTGCTAGACCATGGTCCACCTTGCAACAGGCGTCTTCCCAGATTCTGGCATTACCACTAGACCAAGGAGCCCTTCTGGTGGCCCTGTCTGGAAATAACAGAAGACTTGCACTCTTGTCTTCTGGTCACTCCTCACTATGTCCTCTCAGCTCCTATCTCTGTATGGCCTGGTTTTTCCTAGGTTATGATTATAGAGCAAGGATTATTATAATATTGGAATAAAGAGTAATTGCTACAAACCAATGATTAATGATATTCATATATAATCATATCTAAGATCTATATCTAATATAACTATTCTTGTTTTATATTTTATTATACTGGAACAGCTCATGTCCTCAGTCTCTTGCCTTGGCCCCTGGGTGGCTTGCCACCCACAATAAAGCCCTTCCTTGTCTTCTTTAAAAATCTTTGTTAAAGTCTATTTTTTCTGAAATTAGGTTTGAAACCTCTGCTTCTTTCAGTTTTCCTTTTGCTTAGTAGATTTTTCTTCATCTCTTTATTTTGAGCCTATTGGTGCCATTGCATGTGAGATTGCATGTGACATGGATCTCCTGAAGACAGCATACCAATGGATCTTGGTTCTTTATTCAGCTTTCCACTCTGTGCCTTTTAATTGGGACATTCAGGCCATTTACATTTAAGGTTAGTATTGGTATGTGTGGATTTGATCCTACCGTCCTAATGTGAGCTGGTTATTATGCAGGCTTGTTTGTATGGTTGCTTCATAGTGTCACTGGTCTGTGTATTTAAGTGTTTTTGTAGTGGCTGGTAACAATCTTTTCTATTTATATTTAGAGCATTCTCAGAAGCTCTTATAAGACATGTCTGGTGGCAATAAATTCCCTCAGTATTTGGTTCTCTGGAAAGAATCATATATCTCCTTTGCTTAGTTTGACCTGATATTAAATTCTTGGTTGGGATTTATCTTCTTTAAGAATGATAAATATTGGCCCCCAATCTCTTCTAGCTTGTAGGGTTTCTGCTGAGAGGTCTACTGTTAGTACGATGGGCTTCCCTTTGTAGGTGACCTGACCTTTCTCTTGAGCTGCCTTTAACATTTTTTCTTTCATTTGGCCTTTGAGAATCTGATGATTATATGTCTTGGGGATGATCTTCTTGTGAAATATTTTACTGGAGTTCTCTGCATTCCCTGATTTTGAATGTTGCTCTTTCTAGCTAGATTGGGGAATTTCTTACGAATGATATCCTAGAATATGTTTTCTACATTGCTTACACTTTCCCCATCTCTTACAGCTACACTAATTGGTAACAGATTTTGTTTCTTTACATAAGCCTATATTTCTCAGAGGTTTTGGTCATTTATTTTTATTCTTTTTTCTTTATTCTTCTATGACTGTCTTATTTCATAAAGCCAGTCTTCAAGCTCTGAGATTCTTCCCTCAGCCTGGTCTACTCCGCTCTTAATACTTGTGATTACATTATAAAATTCTTGCAATGCTTTTTCAGGTCTATCAGTTTGGCTATGTACTCTTTTATACTGGCTAATTTGTCTGTCAGCTCCTGTATCATTTTATTGTGATTCTTATCTTCCTTGGATTGGGTTGCAGCATTCTCTTGAAGCTTGATGATTGTCATTCCTATCCATATTCTGAATTCTATTTCTGTCATTTCAGGCATCTCAGGCCAGTTCAGAACCTTTGCTGGAGACGGGGAGTGGTTGTTTGGAGGAAAGAAAGCACTCTGGCTTTTTACGTTGTTAAATTCCTTTCATTGGTTTTTTCTCATCTTTGTAGGCTAATGTTTCTTCAATCTAAAGTTGCTTATCTTTGATTTTTTTTCTTTTATCCTACTTGAAAACTTTGAGGATTTGATTGTGGTATAAGGTGGATTCAGCCAACTAGCTTTGTTTTTGTAAGATGTTGGGAAGAAAATATTCAGCTCCCAAATCCTGGACTACGTGCTCTGATGCTGAGGGACTTGTATCAGGCCCCAACTTTGTTCTCTAGCTCCTTTTGGTTAGGAGTCCACTGCTCTGTAGGGGGGTCAAGGTGATCCTGAAGTATCATTGTTTACATATGCCAGCAGCAGTGGCAGTATGGTAGAGTACACACTCATCAAGTGGAGCAGGGTGTTGGTAGGTGCTGGGGCTCCTGCCTTTGTGTAGGCATTCACAATAGTGGCAGAGGCAGTGTGGCTTGGGGAAATGGGAGACCTCTCCTGGAAACTGGGCATGCAATTGTACTGGTGGTGGTGTTAGTACAAGGGCAGGGCACTCATGAATACTGCTCTGTCTGCATTCTCTGTGCACTTCAGGCAGGGGTGGTCACTCAGGGCAAGGGAGGGTCTGCTGTTCTCTGTGCCTAGTTTCACTCTAATGGCAGTGTTGGCAGAAGGCAGGATGCTGGTGGGGATGGGCCTGGCTAACTCTGTGCCTGCCAAGGCTTCGACTGCAATGGCAGTCTGTTGTGGGTAAGTGGGGATAGATTGCACTCCCACCACAGGAGTGGCAGGACAGGGTGAACACAAACAGCTGTACTGGTGGGACAGGCAAGGCAAAGTCACCCATACACACGTGCATAAAGGCAGGCATGGCCAAGCAGGGACCCTGGAAGTGGCCAGCCGACCAAGGGGTGCTCAGGTTGGAAAAGTCCCATCTGATGGGTAAAGTTGTCCTGCAGAGTTGAGGTCCAACAATTTCCCTGGAACTAAAGATTCCTATGGGGGCAAGTCAAGCCTATAGTTGGCTTCCCTTGCTATGCTCCACTGCAGACACTGCCATACCAAATCCTCTGGGCTCTGCTTCCATTGGCGTTCTGCCCCTACCACTTCTCTAAGCAACTCTTTCCACCAACTCAAGTGTCCATGCTGGTTGTGGGGTCTCATCCTTCTGTGATTCCAAAGACCCATGGCGAGAGTGGGTTACTCCTTGACTATTCAACCCACCCATTCCCCTGGAGTCATTGGGGGCCAGGAATGAGTCCTGGTATATGAAGACACCCTGCAGGGTTACCAGCTTCGTCTTCTTTCAGCCCAGCTTCTGTGTCTTCCCTCGGTCCAATCTCTGTGCCTACCCTCTGAGATCTGTTTAAGAATGTGCCAGTCATCTTGGCCCTTCAGTGGGAGCTGTTTCACCTGGCTGTGTCTAGTTGACCATCTTTTTCTCTCAGACATTTTTCAAAAAAAGACATAAAAGCAGCCAAGAAACATGTGAAAAAAATGTTAAACATCACTGGTCATCATAGAAATGCAAATTAAAATCACAATGGGATATCAACTTACACCAGTGAGAATAGCTAGCCTAAAAACAGATGTTACAAAGGCTATGGAGAGAAGGGAATGCTTATACACTGTATGAATGTGAATTAGTACAGTCTTTATGGAAAACATTATGAAGATTTTGCAAAGAACTAGAAATGGAACTACCATTCAATCCAGAAATATCACTACTGGGTATGTAACTGAAGGGAATTAAATCATTTTATCGGAAAAGGACCTGTACTCATATGTTTATCACAGCACTATTCAAAATAGCAAAGATTTGGAATCAACCAAAGTGTCTATCAATGGAAGATTGGATAAAGAAAATGTGGTGTGTTTTCTTTATATTGAATACACACACACACACATCATGGAATACTACTCAGCTATAAAAAGAGAATGAAATTATGTCTTTTGCAGCAACTTAGATGGAGCTAAAGATCATTATCCTAAATGAAGTAATTAAGAACTAGAAAGTCAAATACCACATCTTCCCACTTACAAGCAAGACCTAAACAATGGGTACACATTGACATACAGAATGGAATAACAGATAACAGACACTAGAGACTACAAATATGGAGAGGTGGGAGGGGGTAAAGGTTAAATATTACCTATTGGATATAATGTTCACTATTTGGGTGATTATTACACCAAAAACCTAGATTTCACCACTGCGCGATATATGCATGTAAGAAGCCTGAACTTGTACTCCCTAAATATATAGAAATATATTACCAAATAAAATTAAAAACAAAATAAAATCAAAGGAGGCTAATGGAAAGATCCACATTGACTTTACAACTTGTGTTTATCAATGCTGTAGAATAAAAGAATGCAACTGCTTTTTGAAAATGAACTTAAAACCTGCAGAGGTTTAGAAACAGATAGTTGACAAATTGGCATCAGGAAAAATGACTCTGAAAATGTTTTAGGAAATTTTTTTCCAGAATAGTTACTTAGACGTTTACTTTGACCAGAGGTGCAGCAGGTCATAACAAAGACAATTGCAGCCAAGCCTCCCGGGTTTCCTTCCTCTGTCGTCACAATTTGCACCCTGCTGAATGAAATGTCAATCCACTGAACCATGTCAGGGCAATGAGCATAATGATAGGAACTCAGTGGTATAAATGAGGTTAATAACTGGTGAGAAAGCAAAGCTTTTTTCCTAGATCCTCTGCATTTTCTTCTCTGCGCAGTGTAGCTCTTTAGAAATATTGCCTGTCCGTGGAGAGCTAATAGCTCTCGTCATAAAGCTAATACACTGTGCTTCAGTCGTCTTAGAACTCATTTCTGAAGTCACAGTAATCTGCCTTTCCTCTACTATGTTTTGTTTTTACTCTTGAAAGCTTTTCTTATTTTCCAAGACTTCAAGCTGAGTGTAAAGCTTTTCTCCTGCTTCTTATGCCATTTCTAATCAGGGGTGACACTGGTTTTCAGAGACGTTTTTCTAATTTCAATTTTTGATACATAGAAAAGCATCTTGTGAAAGAAATAAAGAGCATATTGAAATGTCTCAGACTAGCTTTAATACTGCAGCTTTTTGATCCACGTTCACCTTTCCTTTTCTTTTTTCACCATTCCCTAATTCTCAGCATTGTAGGAGAAATTTTGCTGTTTGCTGCTGTTACTCCTTGCATTCTCTTTCTTACAAGCTATTTTGAGGATATTGAGTCTCATAATAGACTAAGAGAACCATATATATTTTTTGAGTTGCCAGGGATTACCTAAAGGCAACTGGATCCATTTGATCACATACTATATCAATGTATCCTTTGCAATCTGTATCTGTGATTTATTTTGCTCATATGCCCATTCTTTGAGCTTTTCACTCCTGCTCCTACATACTGAAGGTCTGCAAGCCTTTAAGGAATGAACCTACATAAGCAATCTTGAAAGGATATCAAATCACAAAGGAAAAGTATGTTAAAAAAAAAAAGACACCTTCATTTCTAATGCTTATCCCCTTGCCTGAAACAGTATCCTCCATGAACAGAATCCTTTGAGTTCATCTTTGATCACCCTTCCCTTTGCATGTGCCTTTTCCTTTTGTGTTTTAGCTTCTTAAAACATTTGTAGTAATACTTCCTTGGTAGTTAAAGGTTGTCTAGTCCAGGCACTACTTTTACGTAAAGTAACTCCTGTGAGGTATATATTATCATCAGCTTTCTTTCACAAAGAAAACAGTCAAGTAATCTGCTTCAACAGTTTGCATAAGGAAGTAAGGTGATTTGCTCAAAGTTGCACAGCCAATAAGTGGCAGACCTACAATGTGAATCAGGAGGATTTAGCTCTAGAGATCATATATCCCACAACAACAGCATACAGTGTGCAACAGGCTCACGTATAGCTTAAGGGAATCAATGTATAGTCAGCAACGTATGCTTTGAAGCATAGTTCTCCCTCTTAATAACATTTATGATAATGGACATATTACTTTGCTTTTTGAGCTTCAGCATTGTTATTGGTAAAACAAAACTAATAATCTTGTTCTAATTGTGATTTTTTATGGATTAAATTTAAAAAATGTATAAATACTACCTGTAACTTTCTGATGAGAAAAACAAGACATGGAGAGATTAAAAGACAGGTATGGCCATTTATTTAAATTTATGTAAATATATATATTCATAACTATATATATATTTTTAATATAGTATTGAATAATATTTTTTCTTTTGGCTATAACTTCCATTTCCTGGACATACAAAATTATCTTCTCCAGCTAACCCCATTTCTTACTCCTCCAACAAGGTCAGCTCTTCTCTGGGATCCATTGATTTGAGTATCCTATCATTCACAGTGTTATTTAAATTTTCAGTGTATTTCATTTTATATCCCACCAACAGTGTAGGAAATGTATAAATTTTTCACATTCATATCAACATTTGTCATCTTTTGTCTTTTGTTAACAGCCATCCTAACAATGACAATGAGGTTTTATCTCATTGTTGTCTTTATTTGCATTCCCCTGATGATCAGTGATTTTGTGTATCTTTTCATATACCTATTAGTCATTTTTATGTCTTCTTTGGATAACTATTTATTTCAGTCCTTTTCTCATTTTAAAATCATGTTATTTTTGTTTTTGAACTGTAGGAGTCACATATATTTTGAATATTAACCCCTTATCAGATACATAGTTTGTGAATGTTTTCTGTTATGGTGTAGTTTGCCTTTTCATTCTTGATTATTTCATTTGATAAGCAGAGGATTTTTAGTTTGATGTAGTCTCATTTGTCTAATCATTGCTTTTGTATTGTACCTTTGGGTCATATCTAAGAAATTATTGCCCAAACCAATCTTGTAGAACTTTTCCTCTGTTTTCTTCTAGGAGTTTTACTATTTTAGGTTTTAAGTTTTTAACCCAACTTGAATTGATTTTTGTGTATGGTGCAATATAAGGGTCCAATTTCATCATTTTACATGTATATATCAAGTTTTCCCAACTTCATTTTTTGAAGGGATGATCCATCCACCATTGTGTATTCTTTGCACTCTTTTCAAAGATCAATTGTCTGTATATGCAAAGGTTTATCTCTGGGCACCCTATGCTATTCCATTGGTCTGTACATCTGTTTTTCATGCCAGCACCATATTGTTTTAATTTCTGTAGCTTTGTAATATATTTTGAAATCCTAAAGTGTGATGCCTCTAGCTTCATTTTTTTCCTGTCAAGGTTGCTTTGGATATTCAGAGTCTTTTGTGGATCCATATAAATTTTAACATTTCTTTTTCTATTTCTGTAAAAATGCCATTGGGATTTTGATAGAGATCACAGTAAATCTGTAGATCATTTTGGGTAGTATGCATATTTTAACAAACTAAGTCTTCCAATCCATGAACATAGGATATTTTTCTATGTATTTGCCTTTTCTTTAATTTCTTCCATCAATGTTTTGTAGATTTCAGTGTACATGTTTTTCACCTCCTTAATTCATTTGAATCCTAAGCATTTTATTCTTTTTGATGCTATTGTAAATGAGATTGTTGTCTTAATTTTTTGATGGGTGAGGATGGTTTGTTGTTAATATGTAGAAATATAGAATCTTGGTAAGTAAGCAAGAACAAGGAAGTGCTCTCAGGTGCAGGAGAGTATTCTGAGAAATGGCTAACTACAGACAACTCACTGGCACAACATCCTGTTCATAGCCCCAGCAGCATGATCTTATCTGCACATAGTCCCTCTAGCCCCAACTCTTTAAATCTGCTTGTAGCCCCAGCAGCATGACCTTATCTGCACATAGTCCCTCTAGCACCACCCTTTAAAACTTCACTCCAGCCCTTCCCTCTTGGCAGACAGCACCTTCTCTGCTGTGCTGCCCATTGCTTCCTTACAACATACTATCTCTCTAGTAAACTTTTTTCTTTAACTCACTGCTGTTTTGGTAAATTATTTTACCACTCACAACATTACTGATAATCAGTTGCAACCAGTGACGAGAAAAATAGTTGATTTTTGTTATGTTGATTTGTATTCTTCAGTTTTACTAATTGTATTTATTAGCTCTGACAGGGTTTTATTTGCTTTTTTGGTTGTAGTTGTAGTCTATAGGGCTTTCTACATGTACAAACGTTTCATTTGGGAATAGTGCTGATTTTACCTCTTTCTTTCTGAGTTGGATGTTACTTACTTATTCATTTATAGTCTAATTGTTCTGGCTAGGCCTTATAGTACTATGCTGAATAGAAATAAAAAGAGTGGACAGCCTCACTTTGTTCTTCATTTTAGAGCAAAAGTATCCAGTCTTTCACCACTGAGTATGATGATAGCTGTGAGCTTGTCATGTGCGGCCTATAAAGGATAAAAGAGGTAGATACCTTCTATGCCTCATTTGTTTTGTAGATAATTTTTATCATGAAAGAGCATTTAATTATGTTTGATGCTTTTTGTCCCTCAAAAAACAAAACAAACAAAATACAAACAACAAAAGAAAAAGACAAGAGAATTACTAAGTGATCCAGCAACCCCACTATGGACATATATCCAGAAGAACTGAAATCCGGATCTCAAAGAGTTATCTGACTCCCATGTTCATTATTACAAACTGTATTTACAATAGCCAAACTGTGAAAACAAGCTACATTTCCATTGACAGATGAATGGAAAATAAAATTTGGTATATGCAAAGAATGGAGTATTACTTAGCCTTAAAATAGAGAAATACTACCATAGGTGACAACATAGATGAACCTGGGGACATTATGCTAAGTGAATTAAGCCAGTCACAGAATGAAAAATGTTACATGATTCCACTTATATGAGGTATCTAAAATAGTCAAACTAATAGAAACAGAGAGTATAATAGTGGTTACTTGATGCTGCTGGAGGGAAGGTGAAATGGTAAATTGCTCTTCAAGGGGTATAAAGTTTGAGTTATAAAAGATGAGTAAGTTCTAGAGATATGCTGTACAACATTATGCATATAGTCAACAGTACTGTATTTTGCAATTAAAACCTTAACGGGAGGCTGGGAGCGGTGACTCATGCCTGTAATCCCAGCACTTTGGGAGGCCAAGGCCGGTGGATCATGAGGTCCGGAGATCGAGACCATCCCAGCTCACACGGAGAAACCCCGTCTCTACTAAAAATATAAAAAATACAAAAAAATTAGCTGGGTGTGTTGGCAGGCACCTGTTGTCCCAGCTACTCGGGAGGCTGAGCAGGAGAATGGCATGAACCTGGGAGGCAGAGCTTGCAGTGAGCCGAGATCACTCCATTGCACTCCAGCCTGTGCGAGACTCCATCTCAAAATCAAACAAGAAAGCAAAAACAAAAAAAAAAAAACAAAAATAAAACAACAGCAACAACAACAAAAAAACCTTAACAGAGCTCATGCTAAATGTACTTACCACAATTAAAAAAAAAAAAAAAAGAAAAAGAAAAGAATCTTGCTACTGTATTGGTCTATTCCCCTAAGGATGGGCTTCCTTTCTTTCATGTGCAAATTTCTCAAGTTAATCTAAGCATTCAAGATTGGCTAAATGTGAGAACTGTAAAGAGTTGAAGGACTCTTTACAAATTATAAAATTTGAATAGCATTTAATGACAATGCCATTGATATCTGGTCCTGTAATGTATCATTAAAACTTCTGTCCTGGAGATGAAGACATACAGGAACCCAAAAAGAACAAGGAGAAAATATCTCACTGCACTTTTCACTGTATCTCACTGCACTTTTCACTGTATACTGTATTGTTTCTTTCCAAGCAAAATTCCAGAACTGATTTCCAACAATGCTTTGATAACAAGTTCTAAGGCAATAGATTGTTTCATATGTGATGTACTTTTCTCAAATAACTTTGGGAGATTTGGCTAGATATATAAACCTGGTGACCAAGTATTGAGGAAGTAATACTATTTTATATGCTCCTGATTGAAGAGTCACTTTATTGTTCTTTTTAAGTTTTATAATTTAGCATCATCAATGTGTTTCACATTGCTTTCTACTGTGCCCCAAGCACATTACATATAGAAATTAAAAAATAAAAACATCTGTGTTCTGGATCTACTTGCTAGTTATCAGACCAATTACATATGTTCTTGCTTCTTGCTATTCTAAAGAGAATCCTTGTGTAAATATAGTCATTTTTAATTATACTTCGTGATTTACTTTCAAGGAAAATGTTCCCCCACACACAGATTTATCATTTTCTGTGTTCCACATGCATTTTAATCCCTAAATTACAAAATATTTGTTATATCACAGTTACCTTGTTGTCTAGTAATCTAGTTTTTAGTAACCTAGTTGATATTATATGACAAAATAATGTTTAGTAAGAACTGACTTGGCACTCAGCACATTATTCAGTTCGGTGGGCGATATATAGTCTGAAATAGCCCAAATGTCAATAAGACTTACAGCCTAGCTGGGAGAGGGGCACGATGAAAACATGTAAGAACATACTAAATATGTATTTATACATTGAGGAGTCAATAATTTCTATAGGAACTTCTCCATCATTACAGACATTATGAAGAGCAAGAAAATGTTGTATGGGTACTAAAATATTGGGATATTTAAAAACGTTTTCTTCATAAGGTGCCCACACAGTAATGGATCATCTGGAAAGAAATAAGTCAAGATGCATTCATTATCAAACAAGAATGACAGATTGACAAACAGAAAACACTTTTTCCTGGTAAGTGAATGATAAATGCATACACAATGCACTCTGAGAGCAGAGAGGATGGGAATTAAAATTCAGCCCTCCCTGTGTTAGTTGGTCAGGAAGAACAGCCTTGTAAAGATAATTGTAACCCAAATGCAGAGAGGAGCTTGAGCAAAAACATGAAATTTCAGCTGCAAGAAAACTCCTATCACTGGAGTATAAAAATCAAGACTAGTCTCATAGGAGATAGGCTGGGTATGTAGAACAGGAGCAAGTTCTGTAGTTTGGCAACACCGAATAAATGTGACGTTACTCACGCAGTCTGTAAGCTAGACCTTGCCCATAAGGGCAGGTCAATATGGAGGCTCTTTAAATCACTTACACTCATAGACATTAATATTCTAGGTAATATTGTGATCACTTTTATAGGCTATGGAAATAACCCATATTTATACAACATGATATATCAGAAAATGATGTGTCTTTGCCTCCCAAGTGCATTAAAATGTGCACCTTCCTACCTATTGCCCCTGTTTAGTGTGGGAAGGATGAAAGCTAATGAAGGGAATGGAAGCATACAAGTATACCTTGTGCTTTCAACAAACTGATGTACTTTCTTTCAGTGTTGAGACTGACTTTGGTGAATGTAAGAGTCTTAGAAGGAATCTCTTATATCAGAGCTAAAAATTTGAATAATGTTGTGGCTTCAGTCAATGTTTAAACATTTGTTTATTATAATAGAATTTTGGATAGACTATCTGAAACATTATTTTTATATTCTGGGTTAGTAATTACTAATTTGGGTAATTGCAATTTTGCTATTCCCAAATTACAATTTTGTGTTAGAAGTATTTTCTTTTGTACTTTTCCTATTTCAAATTTCTATGATTGAGTTATATTTGTAAATTTCTGTCTTAATATTGGTTGCTAAATACATATTGTTTCTCATACAAGTTTCATAATATGCATTACAAAATTTACAATGTTATTGATGATACACATAAAGAAACAATCATAAAATATATCAATTTTATATGGTCAGCAGATGGCAGTGTTTCTGAGCTGGTGAGTACACCTTCCTGTTAACCTACCAATTTTGAAGTTTGGGGTTTGAAATATAGTTTTTTTTTTTTATTTTTAAAATTCGAATACTATACCTTTTTATTGGAAAATGTGTTAATGTTTTTGGAAAATTTAAGTACAGTAAATCTGGGGAGCACTTTTCTCATGATTTTGATCCACCTTTGTTTCTTTCAGTTTTTCTTTTTCACCCATCTTGCAGACTTCCTTCCTTCCTTTTCCCTATTTTCCTTTATTCTTTCTCCATATTTTCATTCCTTGACTCTTCTTATATTTCTTATGCCATTATTTTTTGTTGCTATTTAAAACTATTCTTTAAAAAACCCTTCATTTGGAAAGTTAAAATTTAATATAAATGCAAAGCGTTCAATGTAAAGATTAGTCTCGCAAA
This sequence comes from Homo sapiens, assembly GCF_000001405.40. NCBI lineage: Eukaryota > Metazoa > Chordata > Mammalia > Primates > Hominidae > Homo > Homo sapiens. The sequence goes on from NC_000004.12 coordinate 59,247,648, forward strand.
AGAAAGGAGTTTTGTAGAAGCTGTCAGTGAGTCTATGTATGAAAAACACTTTTACTCAGAATAATGCTTTTAAAGTTAGAATAATTGACAGATTATTGTTTGCTGATTAATTTAAATAACCCAAATTATCTAATTTTTACTGTGTAAAAAAATCCTTTTAGGCCGGGTGTGGTGGCTCATGCCTATAATCTCAGCACTTTGGGAGGCTGGGGTGGGTGGATCATCTGAGGTCAGGAGTTCAAAAGCAGCCTGGCCAACATGGTGAAACTCCATCTGTACTAAAAATACAAAAAATTAGCCAGGCGTGGTAGCGGGTGCCTGTAATCCCAGCTGCTGAGGCAGGAGAATTACTTGAACCTGGGAGGCGGAGGTTGTAGTGAACAGAGATGGTGCCATTACACTCCAATCTGGGTGAGAGAGCGAGATTCTGTCTCAAAAAAACAACAAAAAAAGTGTGTATATATATATATATATAGCTTTATTTTGAAATGCACATGGCAATTTTAACTGTTTTAATATAGAAAATGCCATCCTAACGCTTTCAAGATGCTTGGACTTACCTGTATTTTCACAAGCTGTGAAGTGTATTTACAGAGTTAGTTTTGAGCTGTTTGGGAGATATTCCTTTATCTTGGTGTCAAATTATTTTGTTTGTATTTTTGTGTTTTACTTAAGATCCTTCAGGTCTTGCTTTAAGTAAAAACTTCTTGTCCTATAGGGCAATTGAATTTTGTCATGGGTATTTCATAGCTAATGATTGTACATTGGATATTGTTTGAAGCAAGAAAAATGAAGAACTATTTAATGAATAAAGGCTCTATTTGTTTTTATTCTAAAAGCTTACTGTGGTATGTAGGGAAAGGGTCATATTTTAATTAAGGCCATTAGTAGCTATTGATTAACTTTCATTGGTATTTCAAGAGTATGTTTAACTTTTTGTATTTGTGTGCTTCTTATTAAGAAGCTTAACTCAATGAACATGTTTTTATTTAGAATATAGCCAGTTATAAACCCTCCATTTGCTATTCATACAAACATTGTGGTCAGAAGTTCGAATCTTCTATCACTTGCAATTAAGGCATTAGTTACTGTTTGATGGAAAGAAGCAAACTGACCAATCCAAATCTTTGCTTATTGTATATTTAACATTCCTATGTGTACACCTTCTCTGAAGTGCCAAGGAGGACCCTGAAAAACATCTCTGGACATAGTTCAGGGTTGTAGGGAAACTCGTTCCTAGCATTTACAGCAATAGTGAGCAAATTGCCAATACTTGGGCAGAAGAACATAGAGAAGTCCTATAAAATTTAAAATTTAAACTTTAAGTAAAAGCTTATTATTATTGTTTTTACTCAAATTATAAAATACAATACTTTTCTATTTTAAAAGTACATAATAAAGATACTTAACACTTTTTGAACAACTATATCAAGAATTTTAAGTATGAATGTATTCTCATTATCTTCATCCTATAGCTGAGCAAATTGAGGCTTAGGAAGATAAGACAGCTGGGTATTGGTTTATTCTTTAGGGAATGAGAATACATAGAAAGTCTTTAAAAAACAACTAACCAACCAACCAATAAACAAATACACCAGAGGATAGCATGATTAGAGCTAATATAGAGAGAGACCTCTGAGGGCATTGTGTAAGAATCTTGTTTGAAAGAAAGTACAGAGACTATTGGGTGGCCCAAACAGTAGGAGGTAATTCAGATCTGTATAGCGGCAGTAGTACAGAAAATTGAGAAGAAAGTGTAGATACAAGAAACATCAAAGTTCAGCTTGACGTAATTGATTTCCTTTGTGTTGAGAGCAAAAGAGGATGAAATCTACTTAACTTTATAGTAGACTCTTTGAAGTTTTTTCCTGTTTACTCTGACGTCTACTCAAAGGGCCAGGGAACTCAATAAATATAAATACATTGAAATGAAGCTGCTTTTAACACCTTAAAAATTTAATGTGATTTTTCCCCTTAGATAGATCTATAATTAACAAATGTGGGTTGATTTAATATGAAATGGATAACATTATTTGTCTCCTTTGTATCTCCTGAGAGGCACAAAATCAAAATTCACAAAGGCAGGCATTAGAGAATTAAGGCACAACCTTTTTTTTTTCTTTCTGGCTTTGAAAAATATTAGCATTTGAGATAAATAGGTAATTCATACTGGAGTACTCAAAAATTAAAATGATTTAAAAATAATAATACCATGAATAAAATAGAGAAAAATGGGAGAAAGCATAACGTAGACCCAAACCATACGTTAGTCCTAAAAACAAACCCCCCAAAATTGCATGTTATTCTAGTTAACAGTGTAAACAGAGTCTTGAATTGAAAATATCTTTACTACCGTCTATTACTGGTGCAAGCTCATCCTTCCTTTCAACTAGTTAGATGCTTTTGAATAATCTTCATCAGACATATTGAACAGTTCACTCAGCTGGGAAATTATGGACAAGGGACCTGGGAAGAGAAAAAGACTTCTTCATTTGCCCAGTAAGAAGTCAATTGTTAAAAAAAAATTAGATTTTTATTAGAAGATAGAATATTACTCTTATTGAGACATGTATTATCCATAACTCCCTATAATTTCACACATGTAAAAAGAGGAATTATATGCAAGCTAGACAAAAGATCATATACTGAATTCTCACTAGGTACAAAGTACTTTACGTTTTCTCAGTGACCTTATTATTATCCTCATTTTACGGATGAGAAAATCAAGGCTGAAAGAAATTAAATAACATGCATGAGACTTCAAAAAATCTGCCTTTAGATTACTTATAATTACTAAACTGCAACTTGGATAGTTCACTTGTAATAAATGCTAAATTAAAATATTAATATTTAATGTTTAATGTTTGGAATATGTTTTCTGAGGAAAATATTTTTCTTCCTTAAAAAGTTATAATGTTATGAAAATATCCATATATGTTTGTACATGTCAGAGTGATTATGGAAGAAAAAATAGCATTATAGAAGACAATGTATTCTCTACATACATCTGTTTTCTTGTGTATAATTTTGGTTTTTAATGATGTTGCCTGTCTATGAAAAATTAAAGTGCCAATAAATTCCCAGATGGTCACTGATATTTATAAGTCTCTAGATATTCATTATGCTTTAAATGGTAGTAAGATAATTAGTTTTGAAAATATGAATGGCAAGTTGAAATTATATTACCACATACATTACAGACCAAGTGAGAATAACTGTCCACTGCTTTATGACTTATCTAGCTCTACTTTATGGATATATAAGGCTTCCATATGTGCAGAGTAAATGAGAATTCAAGATTTAAATTAATTTTCAAGGACTTTTCTGGAGTTAAAATATAAGAGTTTTATTTTCTTACATTTAAGTCAATGGAAATGAATTCTTGTACAATTATATTTTGGAATACTTTTAAATTGACATACAGATAGCAAAAATGTTATACTTAGAGAAATGCTGTATTGAAACTTTCATACAGCCTTTACTCAGATTCCCATTGATGATACTTTACCACATTTGCTTAATCACCCCTTTCGGGCTCACTCCATATAAATGTCAAGAACTGTGAAGGGTCTGATATTTTATCCTGCTTACAAGCTAGCATGTTAACTTGTCATAGTTGCATAGGTGCTGGCAGAAGTCAAGAGACTTTAGGGTCAGAGACAAATACTTTATTACTCATGACATAGCAGGCAGCATTAGGTTAATGCTCCCATTGGTTTCTCTTGGTCCCAGTGATGGGGATGTTAAAAAGGCAGGTCCAGGTAGACAATTTACATCAAATGGGTCTTTATCATGAGTAAATAATCTCAAATTTACAAAAACATCTATCTTGTACAGATATTGCAACTAAACCCATCCAACATTTATCCAAGAGGGATAAATTAAGTTTCTTATCTTAGTCATAAAACAAATCTCCTTTCTGCTGACTAAACGTCAATACTATCTCTATCTTCCATGGCTATTTGCTATACAAAAATCCCTGCAAGAGAGTGTAAGATAATGTATTTTTCAAGACAGGTAGAAATGTAAAGATTAATGGAGAATTGTCTCCTAACCATAAATACAAATTATCATTCTTCCCTTTTTCTAATCACTGAAAATGGCTCCAGACATCAAGTTCAATTAATCCTTAATTAATACAACAGTGCATATTTTACAAAAACAAGAATATTCTCCTACATTACCATAGCACAAATATGAAAATCTGTAAATCAATATTAATACAATATTCCTAAGCAATGCACAAATTTCATTTACAATTCACTAATGTCCAACAATGTCTTTTTCTTTCTTGTTCAAGATCCAATCTAGAATCACGTGTGTATGATCATGTCTCTTTATTCTTCTTCGATCTAGAACATTTCTCCAGTCTTACCTTGTCTATCATGACTCTGACTCTTTGAGAGAATGTACGACTTTCCATCTGAAGAATTTTTCTCAATCCTGTTCTGTCAAATAATTTCCTCATGTGCAAAGTCAGCTCGTGACTTTTGGGGAAGAATGCTATCCAATAATATTGAGCCTTTCAGTGTGTCACATAATGGGAACAGGACATCTTCCCATTCTCCCACTGGGTCTGTAACTCTAGCACACCAGTTAAGTTAAAAAATTGTCTGCAAATTTTCTTTACTGAAAATGCATAGTTTTTCCTTGTGTAATTTTTAAATACCTAGAGAACAATTACTGTGAATAGGGCTCAGTATTCTTTTATCACCACATTTTTGGCCGCCAGTTTTAACAACCTTGATGCCCCCTACTGAGTTGACGCCCACTATAATGGTGTGTTTTCTATGTCTCTTATTCTTCCTACATATATTGTTATTCTAAAATGAAGATGATATTTTCTTTTATGTTCATACATTTATTAACCTGTCAGTTAATTTATTTATACCTGTATGGAATCTTGGATTACTATTTTATTCAATATTACATAAGCCATTATTACTGATATATTTCTTGATACTCAAACTACTCTAGATTTAGCAAACAGGAGCCCCTTCAAGCTGACTTCTGTCTCTTCTTGACATGTCTTGTTACTTCTTTGGGAACTTTTTAAATTTTTGTCACAAAAATGTGTTGTAGACTCATCTTGTACTTTTCCTGATCCACCCTTGAAGTTAGCCATTCAATGATTTCCTGAAGCACTCTCATTTCCTTTTAATGGGTGATGGTGTTTTGAGACCAAAATCTATGTGCTTGGCATCCTCATTGATACAGAGGTATCACAGAATCTGGGTCATCTAGATGACAGAGCTAAGAAATGTCTATCTCTATATCTAATGTTACATAAATATACATGCATACCTATATTTATTTGTATGTATAAATCTGTAGAGGTCTATTCAGAATATCACCATATCTAATCTAATACCACCTCTCTATTTATATTTGTAAATTATTTCTCTGATAGTGAGAGTCCTGACTCCTATAATATAAATGTATTTATCTAGTTGCTCAATCACCCTAGGTGAACTCAGTCTCCTGGCGATGCTAGCCACTTCTCTGACTGCTGGCAACACTGCCATCTCCTTGGCTCCACTGCCTCCTCAGCCTCCCATCCCATCATCTATTCCTCGGCACTCACCACCTATTTGGTGTTATTGACACCTACTCATCTATACTGCCTATTTGGTCCCTTTAAGGGAAGAGAAATGGAAGAAAAAACTGGAACTTTTTATTGTTATTTTAAAGTAAGCATTATATGTTTAATATTTGACCAGATAAAGTTCTGCAGTTGAACAAATGATATTTAGGGAATAGCCCAGAATCAATAACATTTTGTGGAGAAGCTATTCTGCTCTACATTGCCTAGAACTGTCTTAATATGATTATATATAGATTTCAGTATTAAAACATCAATTTTTGAACTGTTACTGATACCCAACTCTTTTTCCCTCCCAGCTTTGTTACATTAGAGATGACATTCCAGTAAATCAATGAAATTCTGTTCAGTATTGTTCCAGTGGTATGGAGTTTCTGAGAAAAAGCAGAAACCAGTTATTTATGAGAAATAGTGTCTTTGAACCATGACAGGCCATGATATACCTTCACCAGAACTGGGACAGGAGGGTCCCCAGAGTTGCAGATAGAACTCTGAGTAACTTAGATGTTTTACACACACACACACACACACACACACGCACACACACGCACACACACACGTTGGAAGTATCCTGATATCTCTTCAGGAATTGAATATGACTTCCTAAATATATGTATGCTAAAAAGAAAGATTGCATCACTTCTGAAATAAGTATGAATCTTTTATCAAATCCAATTCAACATGAATCGAAGCTTCAGAAAGCAGATATGTATAGATACTATTTTTAAAAGTGTTAATAGCGCACTAGTATAATGCTTTGTGTTTTGAATAATCATTCAAGGAATCTAGGAAAGCTCAAGTAATATTTTGAGTAAAAATATATCAAAGTAAAATTTAAAGGCAAAAATGAAATCAAGGGAAACCGTGTTATTGGAATTGTTGCCCTCAGAAAAGCTTCTTAAATAAGTGTAATAAATGAATGCATCTGGAATGAAGTTCTAAACGTGTGTACACAATGTTTCTAAACCAATAAATGTTGAAGAGCATATATTGATCTTAGAGTAAGATGGCATTGACAAATATTAAGTCCTCAAAAAGGCTAGCTATTACTACTATTTCTTGTTGTGGAAATTGGGAATGTGATTTGGGAGAAAAGGGGTTCATTTTATCTATTACTTACTAGATCTGGGCTATGCACAAATCTGACCAAGTGAATAATAATAATCAGTCAAAGCTACATTGGAAACCAAGATCCTGGCATATACATCAAACAAAATTTATGTGAAAAAAATTAGCAATCTATTACTTTAAAAAGTGAATTGGCATGTTTCTTTGAGTCTTTATTTATTTTTAATCCAAGAATAAATAGTGTTAGTGAACGATTGATGGGGTTGAGGTCTGTTATAACCAATATGTCACAGGTAGGCAGGGCCAATGCCCATGTAAAGTGACTTTCTCCACTGTCAGGCAATAAGGCTGAGACATCCTTTGGCAGGAGTCAGAAGTATGGCATACGGTGGTAGCTTCTCCATCAGAAACATATAGTTTTTACTATGTGCTTAGTCCATGAGGGTGGATATATTTCAATGTGTGCAATGATTTAGGTGACAGTTTTATCAGCACCTTAAATCTCATCAGGCCATTACCACGGGCATTTACATGAGTGATGCAAATGATCTGATTTTGTGTTGCATCCCCAAAAAGGAGTTATCTTTAATCTGCTAGTCTCTAGTCTTCTAAGTAGCAGACAAGGTGGTGTGGGCATTGTTAACAGCTCGATTGTCAACTGAGCAGAGCAACCATGTATGCTTTTGGTTTTGCACAGCTGGGGTGGACATCACTGGGTTTTGGCTTGGCTGAACCGTCAGTGACCCAGGCCAAGGCAATTAGGGGAACCTTGTCAATCAAGGGATCCATTGAGCCAGCAGGTTCATTTTACATGGTAGAGAAGGGTTGGTTGTAACTTTTTAAAATCACTTTGTGGATATCTTATTTTTTCTATTATTTAAGTGAACTGCCAATTAAACAGAAATAAAAATGATAAATTAGATTGTATAATCATCCTAGATATTAACCCTGGAGAGTACTCAAAAATAGCAAAATTTATCTTACAGATTACATAATTATATGCATTTACCCTGTTTCCTAGATAACAGGGGCATCAGCATGTGAATCTGGGACTTCTCATAACTCATAAAAAATGGTAATAACCTTGAAGTTTGTTATTTTCTCTTCTCTTTGCTGAATGTTTTTGCATGTGGTTCATTCCCCCATACACCTCTTTTTTTCAACTTTATCTGCTTTGACATTGTCTTCTTTTTATTTGTCTCATGTGTACCCAAAGAAGTTGTTTTCCATCAAGTGATTTACTTGATGAAATATTCCATTACCCTTATACACATCTGACTTAGTCCTTCTTTTATCCATGTGTGTTTTGTTTTGTTTGTTTCTTTTTCTTTATTTCTGGTATGTGTTGCTTTTTATCAAACAGCATGACTGAGTCTTGACAAGTAACAACCCTTCATCGATTTATTGGAATAAAGTAGAACCAAAAATTATATCAACATCTATAGTTGGTATATTTTTATTACACTGAAAAGCATGGGTTGATAAAAAAAAGTTTTTTGAAAAAATACTAAAGAAGATTAATGCATAATAATAATTAGCTTGTGTCCCTGTAACTTTCAATTGTGGGTTAATTCCTGTATAGACAAGTACTACAGAACATAAGAGTAAAATATGTAAGAATGTCAGTAAATATAGGAAATGTTCCCAGATTAAATATAAAATTATGTTCTGAATTTTTAAAGCATAAGACAAGCATTCCTCTGAATAGAAACTCAAGAATCATTGAGGCAAAGCAGGAACTAAGTTCTATCTCTAGATTCTGCAATAATACAAAAATTCATCTGGCAGAGTTGGGCTAGCATGCCAAAAAGTTCCTTCAGTCATACAGCCACCAGTGGTATCGAATCTAGTGGGGTTACTGCAGTCCCGTTGACTTTGTGACAATATGTACTGGGCAGAAACAAACTGTACTAAACGACTTTTTGGCCATATACTGTAATCATTTTTTTCATCAGTATCACTGTAACTTTTTATTGCTTTCCTGACAAAAACAGAGTTTCTACTTTTGTGTTGTTTCGAAAGTTTGGACTCCTAACAACACAGAATGTGGGATAAAGCAACCTAATAGTGGTTAATTAATAATAAAAAGACTCCTATTTCACATTAATTAATTCTGTTATTTTAAGTGACAGATTAAAATGGAGTTAAGAAATTTCTATTTGTTTATGAAGAAAATTAGTGGTCATACAAATATATATAAAAAAGTTATCTGATATGAACATATGCTTCCATCATAAAGCTTCTCCATTCTTTGCCTGAATATACTTGTTCAAGGATTTCTATACAATTTTCCAAGTTAAGGTAATATTTCAAATATTTCTTTGGATTTTAATTCCAATAAATTAATGCCTTTCTCAAGTTTAATTAGCTTAATTATATGATTATAATGTTTCTTGTGATAGATTAGTATTTCTGTACACCCATTTGTTCCCTAATCATGAAAGACAAAAAAAAAATGGTTTGGTTAGGAGCACTGGGAATGTTTAAAATAACATCTTTGTAATCATATAGGGTGGGTTTGTACCTTCCCTGTCTTGTTTGATAGACATCAAAAGGCTAGTTATTTAACCTAATTGTCCAAATACTTTAGCATTTTTGAGTCTCAGTTTTGCTCTTTGTTAAATTTTACAAGATTAAATGAGTTAAAGTCTGTTGTATATTATGCACGTCTAACATGATCAGTAACCGGGAGTTCTTGTAAATGTCATCACCATCACCAGTGCTATCATAATCATCATATATAAATATCCTTCCTAAACATTCCCTGAGAGGCTTGTGATATCTCAGTTTTAAAAAATGGTTTACAAACCTATTTCTACTGGAATAAGTTAAGTTCTAATGTTAGCACATTGTATGAATCTAAATCCATTCTGCATTGTCAAATATGTATGCAATTGATCTTCATTTCCTGACCTAAGATGCTCTGGAGTAACCACATTCATCAATAAAAAACTCTTATGCAAGACGAGAATGGTGGGTGGAAAGTCTCAAAATAGTTTGTATATTATGTTTGCATCCATCAAGATAAAAGCAGAAAACTGCAAAACACATTTTATTACCTGACAAGCAGGTAATGAAATGTCTACCACTCCTGTATATAAAAATCATATTTTATTAACATAGGTTAACAGAAGGGAGCAACATTTGTGGCATAGCATGAATTTGTAAAGGTCCCTCTTTGTGCATATACCCATAAACTCAATTTAGGACTCATAGAGATTATGAAAAATCTATTGTATTGGCTTGTAAATGGTTTAAAGGCATTCATTAGTACAGCAAACACTTTTGAGAATCAACTATATATCAAGCAAATAATTAGATCTCGGGTATCCATAAGAAATTATACATGTTCCATGACTTCAAAACGTTCACAAGCTAAGAAGAAAGATGACCATCAAAATAACTACCTTGGCAGTAACTAGATCACATCCATGTCCCATTTATTGCAATTTTACTCATGGGCCGAAAAAAGTGTTACATCTGTTTATGTGTCTGTATGTGTCTGTTGCAGGGTTGGTGGTAGAGATTACGAGGAAGAAAAAAGAAAAACCACACAAAGTAGGGGTCACTGTAAACAATACATTCACAAATATACACGAATAGGTGTATATTAGAAAGAACTTTTATTTTTATATAATTCTGTAGAAGTTAAATACAGAAAATATATTAATGAATTAAAGGAAAAAAAATTCAGTGCCAGCCCCAGTAAACAAAGAGGGATTTATTTTTTAGTTGTGTAAAGTGATACAAATATTTCTGAAAATTTATTCATTCAGTAATAGTTGTTTTTTCAAAACCATTTACTCAATACTTAATACATTCCAGCATTGTCTAAATGCTGGAAATACAATGCTAAGCAAATATTTACACATTTGTTGATCTTGCACAGTTTACAGTCCATTGGAGGAGTCAGCTATGAATAAAATGATCTCATAAAAGCATACATATTGATGTATAATTTAAAAAGAAATAAGTACTTTGAAGGAAACGAAGTGATATGATAGGGTGTATCAGAGGAAATAAACGGTGGGAGAAGTCAGGGAAGGTTTCTTTGAAGAAGTGAACATTAAACTTAGATTTTGAAAAATATAAGATTTCTCCTAGAAAAAAGAATAAAGGTGGGGTGAGAACATTATGCTAGGGAAAATGATGTGTTTGCGAAGTTAGGTGGCACATAATAGGATAATAGGTTTGAGAACTTGTCCAAAGTCCAGTGTGGCTAGAGCACAGGCCATGAAAAAAGAGACAGTTTGGTACACAAATATTACGGCCTCATATAATACATATAATGCCAAATATATGTATTTGTTTTTGTTTTTGTTTTTGTTTTGAGCCAGAGTCTCGCTCTGTCGCCCAGGCTGGAGTGCAGTGGCACGATCTTGGCTCGCTGCAAGCTCCGCCTCCTGGGTTCACGCCATTCTCCTGCCTCAGCCTCCCGAGTAGCTGGAACTACAGGAGCTCGCCACCACACCCAGCTAATTTTTTTATATTTTCAGTAGAGATGAGTTTTCACCGTGTTAGCCAGAATGGTCTCAATCTCCTGACCTCAGGATCCACCCGCCTCGGCCTCCCAAAGTGCTGGGATTACAGGCATGAGCCACCACGTCCAGCCCAAATGTATGTATTTTTAAGAGCTGTTAATAGCAAAGAACTTAATAAAGCAAAGGACTTAATAAAGAAGTATATGTGTAATAAAGGAGAGAACTGTGACCAGAGTTACCCTATTGTTCCTGGGGGTAAAAATTTCATAGTGCCAGAATTCCCTGAGAAATGGAATACTAACAAATGACCAGATTTGGAAGGAAATCGAGTGGTATTTTAGAATGATACTTCTGATAATAATGTAGACTGGACATGTGGAACTAGATGGCTGTGAAGGAAGGATGATACTCCCAGTGATGAGGCTGTTTTAGCTTTCTTTTATGTGTAACAAATCATTCCCAAATTCATTTTTATTTTTCATAATTATATGTTTTAGGAATTTGGACACCGCAAGGGTAGCTCAGATCTGTTTAACAGAGTCTGGAACCTCAGATGAAATAAACTAATCTCTCTCTTTCTCACTCTCTCTCTCTCTCTCTCCCAACACTCCCACCTTCCCTCTCTTTTGTTCTCTGTTTTCACCCCTCTCTCTACCCTCATAACTCTTCCTCATGTCTATGTTGGTGATCTTCTCCATGACAACCTCAGCTACTGATATTTCTTACATGAATACTCAGTGCTCCAAGAGGAAGGAAGAAGAATATTCTGGTCTTCTGAAAGACTTGAGCATATTATGCTTACTCTTTTGGTCAAAGTAGTGACAGGCCCACCAGAATTCAAGAATATTTGAAGTCTAGGTTGTGCCTTCTGGTTTCTCACCAATAACTTAATTCTGGGATGATGAATTTGGAAAAAGAAGTTGGTTGTAATTGTTAAATTGTAAAGTCAGTGAAGTCAGTAATCTGCGATCACCTTCAGCACAAACACAAAGTAGCTAAGCTTAGTTTTATTGCATCCTGTCATTTACCCTTTGATGACTGTTCATTTGTATTTTTAGAATCCCATAAGTGAGGTAGCACCAACCAATGTACAAGTCATTCCTTACATCTTGCTGCATAATTCACTCTCTATTGAAGCAGAAGTAACCTCAGCATGTAAAAAAACCCAACATCTTTTTGACACTTCAACATTTTACAAAGTATTAGTAAGCAATTTTAAAAAATCATATATGATATCCGAATTGTACTTGTTAAATGGCATTATTTGCAGGAGGATCTAAGAGAAATACGCAATTCCAGGTTTTGCACATTAATAAATAGATCAGTCATGAATATCTTGCTTGGCCAATGCAAAGAATTGTTCCCCCCCAAATAATGGAAATATACCAGACAAAACTTCCTCGCCATCAAGGAAGTTCTATGAACATTTGGGACAATTTTAAAATTAAGAAGAGTAATGATAGTACTGGGTTATAGCACACTGAAAAATACTTTATAAGTCTAAGAGCTATAAAAATGTGGGAGGGTGGAGAGAAAACCCTTCTCAGCCTATGAATGAAGATTATAAAAGTAGAGAGAATAATAAAATGTTTTTAATCATCATTTTGCATTCACTAGCCTAAAAATTGATTCAGACAAAAGCCCCCAGTGGATTAGAAAGCCATCAATTAAATGTGTTTGTGGTACAGAATATTAATATGTTCTCTAATATCATCTCATAGATCCCCTACTAGTTTCAAAAGGTAAAGAGTATTTTCACAATGAAGAAATCTAGTATATCTCATTTTAATGAAGTGTTCAAACAGCATCACATGCTTTCCGTTTCAGCTCAAAGAGGTAAAGAGCTGGAGAAAATGTTGCTTCTACCAATAATATAATATGAAAAATAGCTTGGCAAACAGTAAATTAATGACTTCTTCTGCACGCCTCAGAGAATTGAATCCACAGGGCAAACAGCTAATCTGAATCTTAAGAGAAACAGTCGCCCACAGGGAGAAACAGGACCCAGGCATTCGTCTGAAACAGAAGACCACAATGCCTTATAAATTTGAATGAATTGTTTGAGAACAAGGGTGGGCAGGGAAGCATGAAGCCTATTATCAGTTAAATTACGTCCACTCGAAATTTACATGTTGAAGTTCCAACCCTCAGTACCTCAGAATGTGGCCTTATTTGGAGGTAGTATCTTTAAAGAAGTAATCAAGTTATAATGAGGCCATTAGTGTGCCCTCATCCAATAACACTGGTGTCCTTACAAAAAGTAAAAATGTAGACACAGAGACACTGAAGAAGGGAAGATGAAACGAAGAAACAAAGGGAGAAGGTCGCCATCCACAAGCCGAGGGTAGAGGCCTGGAACAGGTCCTTCCCTCACAGACCTCAGAAGGAACCACCCCTTTATATACCTTGCTTTTTGACCTCTAGCCTCCAGCATGAGATAATACATTTCTGTTGTTTGAGCCACCCTGTCTGTGGTACTTTTTATAGTGTCCTAATGTAAAGCCACTGAGGGATGTAGTCATAGTGGGGTTTTCACGATCGCACAGACTTTCCCTCAAGGAACTCCACCAGATTCCCACAGGGAAAGTCAGAGAGCATCCTGAGAAAGCCCAGTGGTGGATCTGGCTTAAGGAAGGAAATGGCAGCCACTGCCAGAATCTGACTAAGCCCTTCTCTCCTGTGTCCCTTTTGGAAAAAAATACTTAGTTTTTCTGAGCAAGGGCATCCAAACATGCAGCATCAGAGTTCTATGAGAAGTCTATTGAGACTGAGGAAATGGATCAAAGCTCAACACTCAAACTCCTCACAGATGTGTCTCGCTTATCATTCCTGAGTAACAAAAACATTGATTTGTGGGTTGGAGGGAACTTACCCTCCCACATCGCTCCAGTGAGCAAAACTCAAATAAAAATAATAGTAACATAGAGCTGGATGAACTGCAAGAGCCAGGATCCCTCTGGGAGCAACACAAAAGCATGATCCAAAACCAATCAGAGAAACAAAAATCAGGCATGACTAAGTATCACTAGGGGAATTTGAGTCTCCAGTGCACCAGCCATACCATGGTAACAACAAACTTCAAACCTAACTAACTTCTGACTAGATTAACCCAAACACCCACATTAGTGTCCTAGCAGAACAAAGAAAAAACCATGTTCAACAGCAAACATAAAAATACATTGACATCAGTATCTATTATCTTATGCATCATATTTTGCTTTCAACAAAAAGTCAAAGAATACAAAAAAGCAAGATAAACACATCAGAAGACAAAACAATCATAAAAGACAGATCTAGAAGTATATGGTTGTTAGATATATCAAGCAAGATAAACACATCAGAAGAGAAAAAAATCATAAAAGACAGATTTAGAAATATCAGTCAGGGAATTTAAAATAACTAAAATTGATGCTAAAATTTTTAATAAATCAGGTAGATAACATGCAAAATTAGATAAAAATGCCATCAGAGAGATGGAAATAAGAAAAAATTAAGTGAAAATTCTATAAATCGAAAATTTAGTCACAGAAATAAAGAATTTTTTAAAAGGCATATCTTTGTACTTTACAGTAGAAAAAAATGAATTTGACTTTACATGAATAGAAAGTTTCCAACCTAACATTTAAACACTGAATGAGCAAAAAGCAGAACAGATCATTCAGAAACAGCGAGTCAATATCAAACATCTTGAAACGTATGTAATTTTTAATCCTAAAAGGAGAAGAAGAGAGAATGGGAAAAAAAAAAAACTTGAAAAAAATGAATGAAAATTTGCCAAAATGATTGGGATACCAAACCACCAACTCACAACTCTAAGAGAACATGAAGTAGGATTAGGATCAAATAACCCACATCAAGGCATATAATATTCAAACTACTGAAGCCAAAGAGAAAAAAAAAATTGAAGCCCAGAGAGGGGATGATATTGCCTGCATCTGTTGTTAGAAACCTGCAAGCAAGAAAAAGCTAGTAACATATTTAAAGTATGAACAACAACGACAACAAACCCTGTAAACTCAGAATTCTATAGTGTACATAGCAAAATATCCTTCAAAAGTGAAGGACAAATAAATACTTTTTTTTCAGGCAAATAAAGACTTTTTCAGACAATTAAAACAAGGAATTTATTGTTAGCAGACCTACTCAAGAAATGCTAAATAAAGTTCTTCAGGGAGAAGTAATATGCTGTAGATCAAGATTTATATATACAAAAGAATGTAGAGTATTGAAAATGGACTAAATGGACTGAAAATATAATTAGTTAGTATGTTTAATTGCTCTGAAAAAAACTGATGGCTTAGAGTAATAAAAGTAAAACTGTATTGTGTGTTTACAGCATATGTCAAAGTGAAGTATTTGACAATTATAGCACAAGAGATGAAGGGAGAAATTGGATAGATACTGTTCTAAAGTTCTTAGACTATTTTAGAAACAGTACAATATTTAAAGATAGATTCTGGCTATTTAAAGTATATATAGAAAATCTATGAAAAACATTTAGAAAGCTAATAAAATAAAGATACTGTTACAACAAGTCAAAAGAAAACATGAAATGAAATCATAAAAAATACGTTAACCCAAGTAAGGCAGAAAAATGTTTAAAAAGAAACAAGGAATAAATGGTTGACATAGGTTTAACTGTGTTATCAGTGATAGTAAAGGGGCCACTACAGAAAACAGTTTGACAGTTCCTCAAAAAATTATCATATGATGCAGCAATTTTACTCCCAGGTATATACACCAACATTTCCTAGGAAAAAATTTTAGACTGAAACAAATGTGCCTGACTCTACTACAAATGTCTGATACAACCTCAATATGGGGCACGGCACAGAGGGAAAGGAATTCACTGTAATGAAGTCTGAATCCATTGTTGATGTTTGACTGTTGGCAGTTTTCAAGCCTCGTCATTCTGTGTTCTTCTCTTGTCCCACATCCTGGCTACCTAATAAGAAAGGCCACACTATTCTGTCCTTGATGCCAAAGGAAAGTTAAAATCATGCAAGATCCAGACTACAAGAATACAGAATGCTTATTTTAACCTGACCCCTTAACACTTACACACACACACACACACACACACGCACAGGCACAATCAGTTGCTGCTCCTCAATTAGTTGCTGCTCCCTTCTCTCTCAGGCAATTTTTGAACCTGTTTGAATGTCTTCCCTGCTCTCTGTAGAAAGCCTCACTATGTGAATAATAAATATCTTCAGATCCTTTTGGTTTCTGTGTGGTGTCATCAGTGTCCACATCTTGGGGTGAAAAAGAGTGTCCATGTGTCTTCAAAGTGTGACTATAGTACCACCGACATATGTAGGTTTGAAAAGGGTATTTTCACTGGGTTCTATAAGGATACAGACACAATAAAATGTACATAAACATTGTATTGTGAAGCATAAACTCCCCTATTCACCACAGAGGTAGTGACTCAAAATTCTGAAACTATATGTGTAGCAGGTTCAAACTAACTATACTTTAGCCAGGTTTCTTAATCTCAGAGTAACAATTTACTAATAAGCAGGTAAAGTTTTACAAATAAACAGGTTAGTAAGTTAGAAGGAACTCTGTGGTGTAATTAGAATTGCAAATATTGGTAAGTACTTATTTCAGTGTGTATGTGTACTTTTTAACAGATAGATGGGGAACTACATATAGATACATGTATCAAGTGCATTCATTGTCTGCATACTTGTTTCCTCATACTATATGTCTTAATAAAAGAAAACAGCATTTCTTAGAGAAGTAGCTGATCCTAGAACTTCAGCAGAGAAAATACTAGATTAGCCTGGAGTATCTTACAGTGTCAGAAACTAGGGAGGTGTTCAAAAACAAAAGAAGAGGGCAATGGCAAAGAGACACAGGAAGCAACCTGAAAGAGCTCATAATAATCAAAGCTGGAATAATCTGAGTAACATAATCATAATAACAAAAATATAGTAATAATTATAACCCAAGTATAAAATAAATAACTATCCACACATCCATATTGACACAAATAAATGACTGGAAAAAAATCGTCAAAAGTGAGGGAAAAAGAATAATTCATTTTTACAAAATTCATTTTACAAAATATTTTTACATTATATTGTGTATCTGTGTGTGTGTGTGTGTGTGTGTGTGTGTGTGTGTGTAGAGAGAGAGAGAGAGAGAGAGACAGGACTCCTTTTTTCGAAGGTGGAACTTAACCCTCCCCTTAAGAATAGATTGGACTTAGTGACTCTCTCAAATAATATAATATGGAGTGAGAAAAATGGTAACTTTAAAGTGGACACAACTGGCAGACACCACCTTAACCAAACAATGAGGATTAATATCACCAGTAATAAGTCATGATGATATCTATCATATATCCTTCCCCTTTATGGTATTACTTCCAAAAATCAATAAACCCAGTGTGATAATGAGACAATATCAGACAAACACTAATTGAATGGCTTTCTAGAAAAATGCCTGATCATATTCCTTCAAAAGTGTCAAGGTCGTGAAAAATAAGAAAAAGTTATAAAACTGTCATAGACAAGAACAGACTAAGGAGACATAACGGCTAAATGCAACATTGTATCCTGGATTGGATCTTTGAATAGACGAAAAGGGCCTTAAAGAGAAAACTGGTAAAATCAGAATAAATCAGTAATTTACTTAATAGTATTGTATGAATACTAATGTATACTTTTAGTAAATATTCTGTAAGTTTGTAAGACATTAACAGTACAAAGTTGTAAGTTTTATAATAACTCTCTGTATTCTTTTCAACTTTCTATAAATCCAAATTATTAATGCTTCAGGACTTACCATGAAAGTTACTTCCAGAAAATCTCGTTATCAAGTTGAAAAATCTTAAGTCAAATCATTCGTTGGGTACTGTCTGTTTTCCAAAATAAAAGTGTATTTTAAAAACTTAGCACAAAAATAGTATAAGCTTACATTACATTCCTGTGATTATGATGTAATAACACATAGCACAACCTATACTATATTCTTACCAAAAAAAGTCTCATCTCAAATATGAGAAAATAACAATAATTATCTCTAATTATGGGGAAAGAACAAAACGAATATAGACTTGGCATATTCTATTAGACAACTGGTGTGGGTTTGAGGGAAAAAAAGGCAATACTTTGAAATATTCAAAAATAGAGAAGGTTGGAGTGTGTATTAGTTCCCTAAGACTGCCCTATCAAATCACCACACATTTAGTGGCTTAAAACAAAGTGATTTATTCTTTCATAGCTCTGGAGAGAGGAAGTCCAAAATCAAGGTGTCATCGGATCAGTGCTCCCTTTGTACGCTCCAGAGGGAAATTCTTCCTTGCCTCTTCCACGTTCTGTTGGCACCTGGTGTTCCTTTGCTTGTGGCTGCATTCCCCTCTTTGCCTCTGTCTTCACATGGCCTGTCTTCTCTTCTGTTTCTTATAAGGACGCTTGTCATTAGATTTAAGACCCAGCTAGATAATTCAGGATGATTTTATCTCAAAATCCTTAACGTAATTACATTTGAGAAGACACATTTGCCCTTGTTTTTTAAAGTAGGGTCACATTCACATGTTCTGGGGCATGAATATATGTTTTTTGGGCCACTATGTAAGCCACCACAGGAGAAAGCCAAGGTTACCAGATGTTAAGGAGACATGAAAATTACATGCAGTTGCAGTGAGCTACGCTTGGTTGGATATGGATGGGAGAATGCCTAGGGAGACATTAATGAAACAGTTATGACATTGTAAAATAAAATATATTTATTACATATTATTTATTGTATCAATATTATATTTCTTAAATATAATAATGATATTTTTATTATATGGGGAAGAGAACACTGGTTCTTAGGGGTGAAATGTAGATATAATTGAATTTGAAATAATGTCTATAGCTTATTCTCAAATAGTAAAAAAAGTATTATGTGTGTATAGGTGCACAAGCATGCATGTATAAAACAGAGCCATATGTAATGAAAGAGAGAAATGAAAGCAAGTCTAATTTTAGACAAGTTTTTACTGCATTCTTTTTTTTTTGAGATGGAATCTCGCTCTGTCACCCAGGCTGGAGTGCAGTGGCGCTGTCTCGGCTCACTGCAAGCTCCGCCTCCTGAGTTCATGCCATTCTTCTGCCTCAGCCTCCCGAGTAGCTGGGATTACAGGAGCCCGCCACCACGCCCGGCTAATTTTTTGTATTTTTTAATAGCGACGGGGTTCCATGGTGTTAGCCAGATGGTCTCGATTTCCTGACCTCGTGATCTGCCCTCCTCGGCCTCCCAAAGTGCGGGGATTACAGGCGTGAGCCACCGCGCCCAGCCTTTTACTGTATTGTTTTATTTGATATCGGTTAATTTTTATTTAAAATTATTTAGGAAAACAAAATAATACATTAGTAATTTTCTATCTGTTTTTATATTAAAGAAAAGAACTGTGACTCAAGATTTACAGATAAAATATGGTTGACCTTTAAACAATGTAGTGATTAGAGGCACTGACTCCCTGCCCAGCCGAAAATCCTCAGGTAACATTTTACTCCCCCTAAACTTAACTACTAATAGCTGACTGTTAACTGAAAGCACATTAATTATATATACTGTTGATTAACACATTTTTAATGTTATATGTACTATATGCTGTGTTCTTACAATCAAGTAAGCTAGAACAAAGAAATGTTATTAGGAAAATCATGAGGAAGAAAATGTGTTTATTGTTCATTAAGTGGAAATGAACCATCATAAGGATACTCATCTGCCTGGTCTTCACATTGAACAGGCTGAGGAGGAGGAGGAAGAGAAAAGGTTGTTCTTTCTTTCTCAGGGATGGCAGATATATAAGAGGTGGAGGAAGTGTAAAGGGAGTAATGAGAGACAGGCACACTTGGTGTATCTTTGTGTAAATACTTCACAATTTCTGTTTGACATTTTTGCTTTTTCATGTCTCTAAAAATGTTTCTATATGGTACCAATCCTCATTCCATTGTTTGCTTTAGTTTCGGTGCCCGTATCATAGAAAGATCCATTCACTAAAGAAGTTGAAAGTGATCTTGAATAATTGAAGTCTTTCTGCCAGATTATCTCATATTAACTTGTTTTTCACACTGCTTCGAGTCTTGTTCCTCATCGTCTAGCACTTAGTGGCATTCACAGCCATTAAGTCATCTCCTGTTAATTCCTCTGATGTGGTATTTATACACTTCTGAATTTCCTTATTATCCATACCTAAAACCCTTCATTTCTCACCCTCTTTTTATTTTTACCATATCCACAATATCTTTTATGATTGCCTTCATTGGCTCTGTCATAAATACTGTGAATAGTGCTCAACATCTGAACACAGTTTTCTGCAGCAGAAATATATTATTTCAGACTTGATGGCTTTCTCTATAAGAATAGTGACATTTTCAATGATGTAATCCTTCTAGACTTTGATGATCTCTCTAGCAGATTCTCTTCCATGGAAGTGACAATACTTTCCATAGAGTACCATGTATAATGAATCTTAAAGTTCCTTATAACCCTCCAATCTAGAGTCTGAATTACAGGTTGTGTTTGGAGGAAGGTAGACCACTTCAATGTCTTCAGTGTTGAACTCATGGGGCTCTGGCGGCTAGAGGCATTGTCCAATATCAAAAGAACATTAAAAGACACTTCCTCTGAGTTCCTGATGAGGTACTTCCTGACTTCACTGACAGAGCATCCTTGGAATCAATCCAGAAAAATGGTTTTGACTGTCCAGGCAGCTAGGGTGTATCTTTTCCCTTCAGGGTTTGGGGCTTAGTAGCTTTATAAATAAGGACAATCCTAGTTATAAATCTAAGTGAATTGGCACAAAACAGTACAGTTGACTCTTGAACAATATGAATACGAGGTGAGCTACATAGGTCCACTTATTCACAGATTTATTTTTCAACTAAAATATTGAAGTATTTGTGAGATGCAAAATCTGCATATATAGAGGACTGACTTTTGCTACACACAAGTTTTACAGGGCCAACTGTGGGACTTGAGTATGCATGAATTTCGTTATATGCTGAGGGTCCTGGTCCCAATCCCCCACATTTACTGAAGCACAACTGTAGAGCTAGCTATCCAGTCCTGCCTTAGATCCTGGTGCTCATTTTTCATTCTTACTAATAAATTTCCATTATTACATCTTTTCTTCTAAACTGGGCAGTTTTGTCTTCAATAAAAACCTGCTCAGGCAGACATCCTTTCTCCTCAATGATTTTCATACTGATGTCTGGGAACTTGTCTGCTTCTTCTCCATCAGAAGAAGCTGCTTCTCCTGATATTGTGAAATTTTCTTAAGCCAAACCTCTTTCTAAAATTATTAAACTATCCTTTGCTGGCATTAAACTCACCAGCTTTAGATCCCTCACCTTCCTTTTGCTTTAAATTGTCATGTAACTATTTCACGTCTTCTCAAATCATTTTAAAGTTCATAGGTATGTATTTCTTGTAGAACTCCTTCACTCACATAAAAGCTATATTTTCAATAGGATATTAAAAGCTATTTCACAAAAAGTAGAAGGTTGTTGAACCTGCTGGTATAGCTGCAGCATGGGCTTCACAAATTGTTTTTATTTATTTACAATGGCCCTTACGCTAAATTTCTTTATCTTGAAACGATAAGTAACAACAACTGCAGAGCTCAACCTATGGTACATATCAAGCAATTCAACTTTCTCTTTTAATGTAATGACTTTTCTCTGCTTCTTGGGAACACTTCCAGCATTACTAGTGCCACTTCATATAGATGCCATGGTGTTATTCAAGGTTTGTAATATTGCTCTAAACACAATTAAAGATACATAAAAATCAAGAGAAATCACTTTGTACTGCAATATGTGATTTTCTTGACAGATGAACTGCTCATGAGAAGATGATTAGTGCCACACAGCGTTTTAAGTGGATACTCAAACTACTTGAGCTCAACACAATAGGAATGGGAGATGGCTACAAAATTATTATAGTAATACAGTATGCACTACAGTTAATTTTATGTAGCTATTATTTAATACTACATTTTTGTGCTTGTTTACATTTGTATGTACTGCAGATGGCACCATGTGAGTTCTGACAATAGTTGAGTGCATAAGTTTTGACACATTTAAACTTTTTATAACAGGTTTATATTTATATTTTATTATATAAATGATAGAATAGACCGTTATCTACATATATTTTATGCATTCAAGACATATCTAAACTTTTTTTGATATTTCTAAACTATATGGTTCATCTGTGAGTTTTTTGAAATTGGTACACATCTCCAAAAATTTTTCAATATGTTTATTGAAAAAAATATGCATATAAGTGGATCTGCATAGTTCAATTCTGAGTTGCTCAAGGGTCAACTATACTTTTTCCCCCACCACTAAAATTTATGTAGTTAACAATCTTAGGAATTAGTCAAACCGTAAAGGCTGAAACTTTTATCCACAGAAATTAATGGTTTTTAAAATTTATGCAAAAGATAGCATATTCACTTATTAAACAAATAATATTTGGATAATAACTAAAGAATTATGTGGGAAGATTTACATATCTAACAAACAATAAGATTTTAAAAGCAAAATATTAAGTTTTAGGGAAAACACACAATGTTGAATATGTCAATAAATGTTTTTATCATTTACTTTTGATAATATATCAGACATTCATATATAATTATATTTTAGGATCCAACTAATTAAAAAATATTTCATTTCCTAAAATAGAAAAAAATAGCTGCAGAAAACCCAGTATAGATAGTTCAATTTTGTCCACTCTCTGGCACTTACAGCTGTTGTCTCCTCTGTTCAGCACTAATCTACGTACTTAGTGAACGGTGAGAGAATTGTCATTTATATTACTTAATTATGTCAATTTTTCACATTCCAGGGATTTGCTGAATATTACTTCAATTAATGACTGCAGATACCCTTACATGGAAATATAAGGCAGTTATCGCCAAATAAAGTGCTGTATTGTGTGTACGTTAAAGAATGGGTATGCTTTAGAATATTTGAACAGTTTATTTTTTATTTATGAAGGTCACTAGTGAATATAATCGATCGAAATGTGACTTGTTTTCAATAAGGGTCTTGATTGAGCAATCAATAGACAAGTGCATTTCAGACTGCAATTCCAAAGGTCCTTGGAAGCATTCTATTTGGTGGTTTGAGTCAGAAGAATACAACCCTAACCACATAACAATTTTTTTAAAAGTATGCCAAGGCCTATTTTCTAAAAGGGTACATAAAATTATGAGTTTTTTTTAATTTCAAAAAGCCACTGACTATAAATAACAACATTTTTTTCTATTAAAAAGTTTATGGTTATCCTCTTTCGTTTTCTGTAGCTTTCCATTTAGTCAATTAAAATAAATTAATTGGAAACATTTGAGTTTATCTTACTTACCAAACAAAGTTTATCTTACTTTGAAATATGTACCAAAATTATTGTTATCTAAGACTCTGTGGGATCTATGCATTTCAGTCATTTATGTATTCCTCTTTTGTTTATATCATTTTAATGGAACAGAGATGCACAACTAGGCCCCTCATTAGGGAAGGATTTTGTGCCAGTGTTGCTGGGAGGGCCATCTGCTGTCTTTTTGTTTGAATCTACCATCTTTTTGCGAATGGTCCCAGCTACTTTCCCACCATTTCAGTCTAAAGTAGGACAACTATGACAGACTACTTTAGTCTCAAGCTCTCAGAAGTGTTGGCTAAGAATACAATGAGGCTTCCTTTGCAGCATACCTTTTACCTTTACCCATTCTAGCCCTGCCAAGCCCTCTAACTCTAAACCACATACATGTGGTGAGTCCAAGAGCATTCTCAATAATCATCTTACACACTACGCTGTGTTCCAGACTCTGTTTGTTAAAGAACTTAAAATGCAACAAACATGTTAAAAATCTCATTACTGCTTCATTTTTGTAATAACATTTAATTTAGATATTTTCCATATATTGGCCCTGCTGAAATAGAATATAGCATCTTTCATATGGTGGGAACCAATGAGGAAACTTTCCTTTAACTCCCTTTTTACACTTTATGGTAAGTGGCAGGGGGGGAAAATGCATTAGATCATTTCTAGGCAAAATTGTGAAGCTAATGACCAACTGTTTCTACCTATATGCAGTCTGTTTATTTGACTAGAAATGAGAATCATGGCTTCTTGAAGAGAAAAAAAGTCACCATTCTGCATTTAGCTGTATTCATATATTGCATTTCTGTATTTTTTGTTTGTATTGTAAAAAATTCACATAATAAACAATGTTGTGATGTAAAAAAGAAAAAAAAAGAAAACAAATTGAAGTGACTGAGTCTTCATACTTAGAAATCCAATTCCTGCATTATATGTTTGTTTTTTAAAAAAATTAATTTGCAAATTGCCTTAACCCTTAAGTTATGTTATTTTAAACTACTTCTTGTGTGGAGACATTTTATCCTTTCTGAATATTAAGCTTAGTGCTGCCAGATTTAGTGTAACCTTATAGTATTATCTCAACATATCTGTGAACTGAGGATGGCTGCACAGAACCAAGGTGGAGTAACATGATCTGTACTTACCCTCCCCCTAAAAGAACCTCAAAACAAAACAAATAAAATTGGAATCAATGGTTCTCATTCACTAGATATCAAGCAGAGGCACGGTGACTTTTGAGAGATGAAAAGCAACAGAGGTTAGCCTTACCATCGCTCAAATTTACTGCTTGAGAGAGTTTTCAGGCTTTTGCGCAGGGAGAAAGAACCCATGTGGAACTAAACAGAATTGAGAGAAAAAAAAAATCCATATGAACATCTCAGTAGATGCAGAAACATCATTTCACAAAACCCAACATAACTTTTTTTAAAAACTTTTCAGCAAATTAGGAATACAGGATAATCTTTTTCAACCTGATGAGATGTATCTACGAAATATCTACAGTTAGTACTTAATGGTGAAATTCATCATACTTAAATAAATCACACTTAATGGTGAAATTCTGAATTCCTACACCAAAACTCCCTCACAAAATCAGGAAAAATACAAAGATGTCAGCTCCGGTCACTTCTATTCAACATTATTTTGGAGGTTCTATTCAATAAAATAAAAAGAAAAATGAATAAAACACACATAGACTGGAAAGAAGGAGTAAAACTATTATTATTTCCAAGACCACATGGGCAATTATATAGAAAATCCACTAAGATCTATAAAAAGTTACACAAAATCATAAGTAAATTTGGCAAACTTGGTAGGAAGTTACATCACTGTTTTGAAAATTGTGCTTCTATTTACTATCAATGAAAAAACCAGAAACTAAAATTTTTAAAATACTGTTTACAATATTATCAAGAAATAAATAGGCTGTAGGGATAAATTTGACAAAATATGTCAGAGACCTTTCTATTCAAAACTGTAAAACACTATTAAGATAATTTAAAGGAGACCTAAAAACATGAAAAATATTATGTGCCCCAGTGTCAGAACACTCAAATGTTAAGATTTAAATTATCTCTATTTTTTTTCTGTGGAATCAAGACAATTTCAATCAAAACTCCATTATCATTTGTACAAAGTGGCAAACTAATTCACAAATTCATAGGGCCTTTCAAAGAAACTAGAATACCCAAAACAAATGTGAAAAAGGAAAAATAAATTTATTTATAGTCTCTGACTTTTAGACTTATTATAAAGCTACTCTAATCAAGACAACATAGTATGGTGTAAAAATAAGCAAATATGTAAATGGGACTGAATATCAAGCCAAAATAGAGGCACACTGATATGAATAACAATTTTAACACGTTTCTGATATAACTGGATATACATATGCAAAAAACCCACAAAATTTTTTAAAAATAAACAAAGATATTCTAAACCACATCTCACACTATATATAAAAACTTTACAATTTCTAGAAAGAAAACAACCTTTGTCTTCTTGGAGTAATCAAACATTTCTTAGCTACAACACTGGGAGCACAATTTATAAAATAACAAATTGATATACTGAACCTCATTAAAATTAAGAATTGCTCTTCCAATGATTCTGATAAAAGAATAAAAACACAAACTAGATAGTGGATTACAAAATTGCAAACTATATATTTGATAAAGATTTTTTATCTAGAACATATAAACAACTACCAAAACTCAATAATAAGAAAATGAAAAAACACAGTAAGAAATGGGCAGAACATTTGAACAAACACTCTTAATAAGGTACAAGCCATTGGCAATGATCTTGCCACCACCAGTAGCAGGGCCACTCTGCATTTAAAAGTGCCATGAAGAAAGGGTATCCTCTTATAGTCACCACCTGGAAGCTCCTGTTACTGCTGCTGCCAATTACAGCTACTCCACCTTCCCCAGCATCAGGACCACAGTGTAGACACTACTGCCCCGAATCAAACATTCTGCTAGAGCCTGGGAATTACCCTGTTCTTGCATACAACAGCTAGAACTGACTGGCATGCAATATGTGGGGGCCTGGGCAAAGTTCTCTGTCTTGGCTCTACCCTCCCTGCACCTGAGCAAACTGTCCAGGGGACCAGAGACAAACCTGACCCATTCAACTGATACCTGAGCACTTCTCCACCAAACTGCTGCTACTACCATATCACAGCAGGCACCACACATCCACACATGCCACCTCTGAGCCTGGGGACTGGCCCACCCCGTCCATCATAGCCCCTGCCAATACCAGAATGAACTGCCTAGGAGCCAGATGATTGTCCCACCACAGCTACTGCCATTGCCAACATCATGCCAGCTTCTCAGTATCCTGAGGAACTGCCTACCAACTTAGCACACTGCTGCCACCGGTGGCACCCAAGCAAGGTGCCTGGGAGCCCAAGACCTTATCTACCTAGACCAGCTAACATTGGAGCCAGCATATATCATCCTGACACTTAAGGATGGGCATGATTGGCCTGCGGCTGTCCCCACTAAAGCCTGAGGACTGGTTCACCTGATGTGCCCATCCCCAGCAAAACTGTACCACAGCTTACACTAACAACCACACCGAGGCCACTGAAGAAATCACAAACATTACTGACACTTTTTACATATGAATAAATCATACAGAGTCTACTCTACTGCACAAACACAGAATCACACCCAAAATGCCCTACCCAACCAATGGCATAGATACATATTTGGGAAAAAGCCTTACCCTGTGAAAGCAAGTTCAAAAAAATTGGAAGGAGTCACTTTATGTCAGATGCACAGATACAAACATAAGCACACAATAAACGTGATAGAGCAAGGCAATAGAACAGCTCTAATGGAACACAATAATTATTAAGTAAAGATTCCAATAAATACATTTATATGCTTTCCAGCCTGGGTGACAGAGCAAGATTCTGTGTCAAAACAAAGCAAAAAACAGAAAATTTCTAAAATCCTGGAAAAAATAATTCAAAATAATGATATTAAAGAAGTTGTGTGATACACATAATAACATGGAAAATAAGCAATAGAAAGAAATTTTAAAAATCAGTGTATGAATAAGCAGTTTATCAAAAAGATTGATATCATTAAGAACAAAATAGATATTATAGAATTAAAACATTCATTGAATGAAAGCTTCAACAATAGACTATATCAAGCAGAATAGAAAAATGTAGAAATTAAAGACAGCTCTTTTAAAATAACTCATTTAGACAAAAATAATTTAAAAATAATTTAAAAGAATAAACAAAGCCTATGTGACACATAGAACACCATAATGTGACCAAATATTATAACTGTTAGTGTGTTAGAAGGCAAAGAAAAAGTGAAAAGGAAAAAAAATCTATTTAACAAAATAACTGCTGAAAACTTCCCAAGTCTTACAAGAGATTAAGACATCCAGATACAGAAAACTCATAGATCCCCAAACAGATACAGTTTCAAAATGTCTTCTCCATGGCATATTATAATCAAATTGTCAAAAGTCAAAGACAAAGAGGCAATTCTAAAAATAGCAAGAGAAAAGCATCCAGTCATTTATGAGAGAAACCCCATCAGACTAATAGCAGATTTCTCAGCAGAAACCCTACAGGTAGGGAATGGAATGGTATATTCAAAGATCTGAGAGATCACCACCAAAGATACTAGACTCAGTGAAGTTTTTCTTCATAAATGAAGAAGAAATAATGTCTTTCCTACAGAAAAAGAAGCTGAGTAAATTCATCACCACTAGATGAGACATGTAAGAAACTCTTAAATCCTATAACTGGAAGTAAAAGGACAATATTTATCATCGTTAAATTACATGAAGGTATAAAGTCCACCTGTAGAGCAAACACACAAATGAAGAAAAGATAAAATGTTACCACTACAGACAACCATGAAACCACAATGATAAAGAATATGAGAGAAAGGAAGGAAATTTCACAAAACAATCGAAATCAATTCGTAAAATTACCAGAATAAGCTCTCATATATTAATAATAACGTTGAATATTAATGTATTAAACTTCTCACTTACAAGATATACACTGGCTATATAGATAAAAAACATGACCCATGGATATGCTGTCTGCAAGAAACTGAGATTATCTGTAAAGATATGTATAGACAGAAAGTAAATCATTGGAAAAAGACATTCCATACAAATAGAAACCAATAATGATTAGGAGTAGCTACACTAATGTTAGATAAAACAAACTTTAAGTTAAAAACAGTTCAAGCAAGACAAAGGAGGTAATTATATAATAATAAATAAATAAATTTCAGAAAAATCAGAAAGGATTTAACAAGTCTAAACATATGCCCCCAAAACCAGCACACCCAGATACATAAAGAAAATATTATTAGATCTAAAGAGAGAGAGAGGGATAAACTTCAATACAGTAATAGTTGGAGAGTTCAACATCCTTCTTCTGCATTAGAAAGTTTATTTACACAGAAAACAAAGAAATACTAGCATTTAGCTGCACACTAGACTTCTATAGAAAATTTTATTCAGCAGCTAGAAAACATATCCTCCTCATCAGTATATGGAACTTTTTTTTATGATAGACCATATGGTAGGACAAAAAAGAAGTCTTAACAATGTTTAGAAAATGAAAATCATATCTAATTTATTCTCAGATAGAAATAGAATAGCATTAATATTCAATAACAAGAGGAACTTCAGAAACTGTATGAGTACATAGAAATTATACAATACGCTTCTGAATGACCACTGAGTCAAGGAAGAAATTAAGGAAAAAAGAGTTTTAAAGTTGAAACAAATGAAAATCAAAACACAACTTACCAAAATCTATAGGATACTGCAAAAGCCGTTATAAAAAGGAAGTTTATAGCAATATACACATATTGAAAAATAGAAGATTCTAAATAAACTATCTAAAATGTATCTCAGGGAACTAGAAATAGAATAAAAGAAACAATAAAGAACAGAGCAGAACTAAATAAAATTGAGACTAAAAAAATACAGAAGATCAAAAAAATAAAAATTTGGTTTTATGAAAAGGTATACAAAATTGGAAAATTTTTAGCTAGAATAAAAGTAAAAGAGAGAAGACCCAAATAAATATAATTAGAAATAAAAGGAAACACTACAACTGATACCCCAGAAATACAAAATATCATCAGAGATTAATATAAACAACAATGTACTAATGAGTTAAAAAACATATAGGAAATTGATAAATTCCTGACACATACAACCTACCAAGGTTGAATCAAGAAGAAATAGAAAACTGTAACTAATGAATAATTACTAATGCAACTAAATTAGTAATAAAAGTCTTAGAAGTCCAAGGCGGAATGGCTTCACTACTAAGTTCTTCCAAACTTACACAGAAGAACTAAAACCAATTATCCCAAAGTATCCTAAGAAATTGAAAAAGAAAGAATGTTCCCTAATTCATTCTATGAGGCCAGCACTACCTTGATACCAAAACCAGGCAAGAATGCAACTAAGATACAAAACTACAGGTTAATGTTCCTCATGAACATAAGACACAAAAGGTCTCAACAAAACACTGGCAAGCTGAGTTCAGTAATACATCAAAAAAAATACACCATGATTAAGTGTAACTTATCCCAGAGATATAAGGATTGTCCAGTATACACAAATCAACAAATGTGACATATCACATCTTCAGAATGAAGAACAAAAACTATCTTATCATCTCAGTAGATGCAGAAAGAAAACATTTGATAAAATTCAACACACCTTGATGATAAAAACTCTCAACAAAGAGGCATGAAGGGAACATACCTCAACTTAACAAGGCCCATATATAATAAATGTGCAGCTAACATTATATTGAAATGCAGAAAGCTTAATATTTTTTTCTTTTAAGAATGGAAACAAGATAAGGGAGTCCTTATTTACCGTCTCTTATTCAGCATAGTACTGGAAGTCAAAGCCAGAGCAATTAGGCAAGAGAAAGAAATAAATGTCATCTAAATTAAAAAAGAGAAAGTCGAGTTGTTCCCCTTTGCAGAACATAAAACTTTATGTCTACAAAAAACCTAGACTCCACCAAAATCTCAGATCTGTTAAAAAAAAAATAAGTAAAATTGCAGGATACAAAATCAGCATAAAAGAATCACTAATGTTTCTGTACACCAATAATTAACTACATGGAAAAGAAATTAAGAATCCAAACTCATTTATAACAGCTACAAAAGAATAAAATACCTAGAAATAAATTTAACCAAGAAGATGAAAGGCCTCTACAAGGAAAACAACAAAATTCTGATAAAAAAAATTAGAGAACACAAGCAAAGACAAAAACATTCCATGCTCATGGATTGAAAAAAATTCACATGATCAAAGTACCACACTACCCAAAGCAATCTACAGAGTCAATGCAATCCCTATCAAAATAATAATGGCAAATATTACAGAAATGGAAAAAAAAATCAAAAATTCATGTGAAACAGAAAGAGAGCCCAAATAGCCAAAGCAATTCTGAGTAAAAAGAAGACAGCTGGAGGCATTATACTACCTGACTTCAAAATACCTTCCAAGGCTATAATAATCAAAACACCGTGACATTGATATAAAACGGACACACAGACCAATAGAGCAGAATATGGAATTAAGAAATAAATCCACATATTTATAGCCTACTTAGTTTCAACAGTGGTGTCAAAAACATACATTGTGAATAGAATTCCTTCTTTAATAAATGGTGTTGTGAAAATTGGATATTCACATGCAGAAAATGAAACTAGACCCCTGTCTCTTGTACAAAAATTAACTCGAGATGTATTAAAGACTTAACTCCTGGAATTATAAAACTAGAAGAAAATATAGAGGAAACACCTCAGAATATTGATAGAAGTGAAGATTTTATGGATAAGACCTCAACATCACAGGTAATGAAAGCAAAAATAGACAAATAGGAATATGTTAAATTAAAAAGTTCCTTCACAGCAAAGGAAATAGTCAATAAAGTGAAACAATAACCTGTTGAATGGGAGAAAATAGTTGCCAACTATTCATCTGACAAGGGACTAATATTCAAAACATACTAGGAACTCAGATAGCTCAAGAGAAAAAAAAAGATCCCATTAAAAAACTGGGCAAAAGATGTGAGTAGACATTTTTTAAAAGAAGACATACAAATGGCCAACAGTTATATGAAAATATTATCACTGTCATTAATGATTAGAACAATGCAAATCAAAACCACAATGAAATATTATTTTATTCCATTTATGATGACTGTCATTAAAAAGGCAAAAAGTAATAAACGCTATCGGGGATGAAGACTAAACGGAACTCTTATACTCTGTTTACGGTTATGTTAATTAGTACAGCCACTATGGAAAACAGTATGGAGATTTATAAAAAAAAATTGGTACAGAAATACCTCAGAGGTTTAACTGGCTCACAGTTCTGCAGGCTGTAGAGGAACTACAGAAGCATCTGATTCTGGGGAGGCCTCAGGAAGCGTCCAATCATGGCAGATGGCAAAGGGGGAGCAATTACATCATATGGTAAAAATGGGAGAACGTTAGAGAGAGAGTGGAGGGGGAGGTGGCACACAGTTTTGAATGACCAGATCTCATGAGAACTCACTGTTACAAAGACACACCAAGCCGTGAGGGATCCA
This sequence comes from Homo sapiens, assembly GCF_000001405.40. Taxonomy (NCBI): domain Eukaryota; kingdom Metazoa; phylum Chordata; class Mammalia; order Primates; family Hominidae; genus Homo; species Homo sapiens. Next base: position 59,279,818 of record NC_000004.12, read on the forward strand.
CCCCCATGATCAAAACACCTCCAGCCAGGCCCTAACTCCAGCATTGGGGATTACAATTCAACATGAGATTTGGGCAGGGACAAATAGCCAAACTATATCACTATGTTAATTAAAATAACTCAGGCACAGAAAGACAAATAGTACATGCTCTCACTCACATGTGAAAGGTATAAACATTAATCTCATGAAGGTAGGGAGTAGAATGATAGATACCCTGGATGGGAAGGGCATGTGTTGGGGTGTGGGGGGAAGTAAAGAGAGATTGGTTAATGTATACAAACATTCAGTTAGAAGAATTAATTTCTGATGTTGATAGCAGAGTAGGGTGTCTATAGTTAACAACAATTTATCGCATACTTCAAAATAACTTGAAGAAAGAACTTGAAATGTTTGCAACATAGAGAAATGGTGAATACTTGAAGTGATGGATATCCTAAATACCCCGACTTGATGATTACACTTTCTATCCATGTAACAAAATATTGCATGTACTTCATAAATAAGTACAAATATTGTGTACCATCAATAAAAAAATTTTAAACAGATTTGAAACACACTTCACCAAAGAAGACATATTTATGACAGATAAGTACAAAAAAAACATTTAATATTATTATTAGGGAATTGTAAGATAAAAATCACAATCAGATACCACCATACACCTATTAGAATAGCTAAAACTTAAAAAACTGATCTTATCTGGTGGCGATGGGGATGTGGAAGAACAAGCACTCTCATACGTAGCTAGTAGAAATATTAGAAATATAAAACGTACCACCACATTAGAAAATAATTTATCAGTTTCTTAAAACGTTTAAGCATATCTGTACCATATGATCCAGACATTCCATTTTAAGCCCTTACCCAAGAAAAATGAAAGCATATTTTCATACAAAAATTTTACATAAACTTTCATAGGAAGTTTATTTATCATAGGCAAAATCTGAAACATATCTCATTGCCTATCAAAAGGTAAATGAATATAGTGTGGTACATTCATAAAGTTGGTTAAAAAAAAGGAGCACAAGTGATTTAGGATAAGTGATGTTTTCTTAAGAACTATTGGAAAATGGAAACTCAAGTAGATCAGGAAGATAGTTGAAAATCACCGAACAATACAAAAGATATATCAGCTCACAAATTTCAAGTCTACATTACTGAGGTCTGATGTTACAATGTATAAGATGGTTCAATTAATCAATATTATTTATTTTTCTGTTTATTCATTCATTCATCCTTTCTTTTACCCAACCACTAATTCTGTTCATTTTTTAAATAATTTATGCTTGTATAAGTCAGAGATCTCCAGAGAACAGGAGAAATAGGATATATTATATGCTATTACACATATTACTTCATATATTATATTATATATACATTATATAGGTATGTGTGTATATATATTATATAATATAATATATATATAAAGAGATTTATTATAAGAAATTAACTCACATGATTATGGATGTTGACAAGTTGCAAGATTTGCAGGGTGACCTGGCAAGCTGCAGATCCAGGCAGGAAATGATTTAGTTCCAGTCCAAGTCTGAGTGAATGAAAACCAGAAAAGCCAACTGTAGTTGATGATATATTTCCAGTTCAAAGGTTGGCAGGCTCCAGACCCAGGAAAAGCTGATGTTTCAGTTAGTCTGAAAGGAAGGGAAAAAAATGATGTCTCAGTTCAAAGGATGTCAAGGAGGAAGAATTCTCTCTTACTCAAGGCAGGGTTAGCCTTTTTGTTTTGTTCTGTCCTTTACCTGGTTGAAAGGCGCCTACATACCTCCATTAGGAAGAACAAATTGCTTTACTCAGTTTATTGACTTAAATGTTAACCTCATCCAAAACCACACTCACAGACACAAACAGAATAATATTTGCCCAAATATCTAGGCACCCTGTGACCCAGTTAACTTGATAAAATTAGCAATCACAAACTCAGCCCTTGTCAACTATATGTCAATGGTGTATGATACTCATACACATGTCTTTAAGCCATACTCAATCTCCAAATGATAACAAGGTCTTAATTCTGACTAGCATGTACAGCTAGCCTGTGCACAACTGAAAATGTGCTAACTCCTTTTCAAGAAGAGATGCAGTCCTTGAATGATGTTTTCTTTTCTTCTTGTTATGTTGTACCTTAAATACTATGATGTAAAAATTAACAATACTTAAACACTAATGATATATAGTTAATACATCATGCTCTACATGATAAAGTAATAAGAGAGGGAAGTAATCAAAAATATTATACAAATGCACATACGTATACACATATATGTAATATGTTTACATCTGTGTGTGTGTATATATATATATGCATAAATATACTCATAACAAAATTAGGAGAAAACACTCACGGCAATTACTGGCTTCATTTCTGAAACTGGTAATGTGCTTATAACTGGTATTTATTACTACTTTCCTCCACTGTCCATTTTGTGTTCCCTTTCCTTTCAGCAAGCATTTTATCTGGTCACAGTCTCACACTTGATGAGGTGACCCAAACCTTCACTCTTGAAGGATCTGAGACATTAATAATCCTGCTTGAATTGATTGTAATTTCTTGGACCTTAATCGTAGGTCATAGAGGCACTAGGATCCCCAAATGGCTGGGCAGCCGTCTTGACTTCCAATAATGGAATCATAGTTGTGTCTTCCAATGGAAGCATTTCTCCCTTTGGAACTAAGACCTCTAGGACGGCAGGGCACAAGGTCTTCAAACAGAAAGTTCAAATTTTGTTACTAAGTGATTAGAGGTAACCATAAATGGTGTCACTCCCATTTCCGCCACTTGATTCCTGGACCTGTGAATCTTAGCACCATATATTAGATGCTGATTTAGAGCATATGTAGCCTTCTGGAGAATTTTGCCTCAGCCCATCACGTATTTCCACCTAGCTGGTGCTGTAATTGAGTCTTCAAAGGCTATTCCACCATTCTATCAAGGAAGCTGCTTTAGAATGGTGGAAAACATGGTAAGAACAGTGAATTTCATGAGCATGGGACCATTGTCATACTTCTTTGGCTGTAAAGTGAGTTCATTAATGAGAAGGGATGCTATATTGAATAACATAATGATAAATAAGCCATTCTATAAGTCCAGAGATGGTAGTTCTGATAAAAGCATTGTGTACAGGAAAGGCACATACATATTCAGTGCAAGTATCATTCCAGTAAAGACAAAACATTGTCCTTTCCATAACAGAAGTGGTCCAATGTCATCAACCTGCCACCAGGTAGTTGACTGATCACCCAGGGGAAGAGTGCCCTGTTGCGGGCTCAGTTTTGGTCTTTGCTACTGGAAGATTTGTCACTTAGCAGTGGCTGTAACCGTGTTGGCTTTGGTGAGTAGAAGTCGTTGTTGCTGAGACCATGTATAACCTCCAGTTCTGCCTCCTTGGCAGTTTTTATATGAGCCCATTGGGCAACTAGTCAGCTGGAGGAAGAGGCTGACTAGTATTCACAAAGTAGGTCACCCTATATACTTGATTATTAAAATCCTCTTCTGCTGAGTCACCATTGTAAGCTTTCACACGAAACATACATATTTTCATGACTTTTGCCCACTCAGGAATATCTATTCATAGAGGTCTTCCCCAAATTTTCTTGTGACCAATTTTCCAATAACATTCCTTGCAAGTCCCTGACTATCCGGCAAAATCATTGGCTAGAGCCCACAAATTGATATATAATTGCATGTTTGACTATTTCTGCACTGAAGCAAGGTGCACTCAGGTGCACTGCCTGAAGTTCTGTCTACAAGGAAGGATTTCTTTTCACTACTGTCCTTCAGGGATGTTCCAGAAAGGGGCTGTAGTGTTGCAGCTATCCCCTTTTTATTGGTGCCAGTATATCATGCAGAACATCTGTAAACCAGGTCTCAGTCTTATTTTTCTCAGTGAACTGATCAAAGAACTTCCCATGTAGCTGTAGGTATGGTCTGAGAGAGAGAAGGCAGTGCAGCAGAAGTGGGGACCATGGGCATTTGGGCCATTTCTTCACATAGCTTACTTGTGCTCTTCAGGGCTTGCTCTGGCCTGATTATATACATACCTCTTCCATTTGATAATGGAATATTGTTATGCATAGCCAGCTTTATGGCTTAGAGAGTCAGATAATAACTATAAGATTGGTTTTGGCCAAAACCACAATTACTTTTACATCAACCTAATAGTGAATGGAGGCTCAGGTCTCATGGTAGCCTAGTGGCCCATGCTTAAATGTTCAATCTCTACTAACGCCTGGTAGCAGGCAAAGAGGCTTTCCTCAAAAAGAGAATATTCACAGAGGATGGCAGGGTTTTGCTCCAAAATCCTAAGGGCTTACACTGCAACTCACTTATAGGAGACTCCCAGAGGTTCTTTGAATTCTTCTAACATTTGAGAATTAATACAATAATACAAAATATAGAAAGAAGAAAGCAAAAAATAACCCAAACACTAGTCATTGTTTCTGTATCTCTTCCAGCATTTAATTATGCATATTTTGAATTCATTACATTGCTAAATCATAGTGACAATGACTTAATGTGTATTGCTTTTAATTTGTTTTAAATTATTTATGTTTAAAGTTTTAATATTTTGTTTTGAGACAGGGTCTTGTTCTGTCGCCCAGGCTGGAGTTTAGTGGCATGGTCATGGGTCACAGCAGCCTTGAAATCCAGGGCTGAATCTATCCTCCCACCTAAGTCTCCTCAGTAGCTGGAAATACAGGTGCACACCACCATGTCCAGCTAATTTTTGTATTTTTGTAGAGACAGGGTTCATCGTGTTGCCCAGGCTGGTCTTGATTTCCTGAGATCAAGTGATCTACCCACCTTGGCCTCCGAAAGTGCTGGGACTACAGGCATAAGCCACCATGTCCAGCCAAGTTTTAATAAATATTTTAATGGTAGCATAGTTTTGCTTTTAAAAATCAACTTAATATACTTACATTCATTTTTGCCATCTATGTGTTGTTGCTTTTTATTTTTTTAATTGCATAATTATTAAAAAATTCAAAAATGATGTCACAATATCAGCAACATTTTACCTAAAAATTCATATTACTTTGTTATATGAGTTATGTAAAAATAAAAAAAAAACAAAGAAAACAAACTAAAAGTCCTGAATTTCAATGATCAGGGGTAAATCATGACCTCTCCAGAATTTCATAGGCCTAACATTTCCTTATTGAGTTACACTTAGTTATAAGTTATGACTTTATTATGACACACTCCCAGTTCCTGACCTGATTTCTTTGGCTTTTGAGATGCTTGAAAGACAAGTGAGGGAATAAATAAATAAATAAATACAGCTCAACCAAAAAAAAAAAAAAAAATTAAAACAACCCCTAATGAGGAGAGTACCTGAAAGATATGAGAGTGATTCATTGGTGAAAAGAATGTTGAATTGTGCGTTAGGTGCTTCTTTTAATTGCAAGAAGTTATTCAAGGGAGGCTTTTGTTGCAGATTGATTTCCATGTACACCAAGAAGAGAAAAAATATTGGATAAGCTTAAAAATAAAATAGAGTTAGGTTAGAAGCAAAAATGTGTGATGTGACAGTACCAAAACCTGTTGCTGAGAATCTCCTAGGGACCAAGAATGGAAATTCTTAAGGATGGCAGTTTAGAATTTTCTTTTGAAAAAGAAATAATTAAGTGTTTTGTAACTAAAGATCACGGTTGTAAACTTCTTAATACTGAGAATTTTCAAAGGCAAATTGGGGCATTTTTTAGAAGGGTAAAATGTACACACTTTCAAAATATTTGTCCAATGCTAGAATAGAGTTGTACATATCCTTATAACATGTAAGCTGTGCAGCAAGTAAGCGTCAAACTATAAAAGATTAGATTAATGTGCTAAACAGCTGTCTTTAAATTTTAAATAGCCAGGGGAATATAATTCTGTGATTAATTGAAAACATATTTAAAAAGAATAAAATCTAACTTATGGAACTTCAAAATATCCTTTCAAATTCCCATTTCCTATTTGACTCCCGCAGATTACTTCCATACAGTGCTCCCACTGACTAGAACAGAGATCCTTAGTCAAAAGAGAAATACTAGTGATGAACAGACAACTACTGGGCCTATTTGTGTACTCTGAAGGGAAGTATGGTCACTTACCTTAACTTACATATATGTATAAATATTTATTCATATCTAAGTCAATATGCACCAAATCTTAGATACAGGATTTGTATATGTTTCCCCATTACTACACCGTTAGTTTGAGAAGGAAAATCACAATTAAACCAATGTGATCACATAAAGGAGTCAAAGTACAAGAAATAATATATAGGTCAAACACTAAGATTTCAAAAAGGTTTTACACTTAATTTATCAATCACAGCTTCTCAGAGGCATAGAAGCCATCAGTCTAATGGAATGCAACACACCTTCCCCACTTAGTTTATTATACAGCAATTTAGGGGCCAATTACATTGTTGAGTGTTTCAGTCCTCTGCATCATCACAAGACCTACCCTGGGTCAAGAATATACTTTTTAAACTAATTATCCTCTTTAATTCCTAACTGACATATTCTAAGTATTGTATTTTACTTTCCCATAAACAAGTAACTGGTGAGTACATTGAAACACGTTGTGCTGTAGATTTTTCTGGGGGTATTAGCTGTTTGGCAGCTTCCTCTGAATCATCACAATAAAGGTCATCTTTCATCTCATCTAGGGTGACCCTATGTTAATCAATGTGTCTTCCACTTCCATATGTATTCATTTCAAGAATTTTGAAGGTTTAGTCTAACATCCCTTTTTAAGCTTCATTCAGACATTATGCTAGAGACCAGAGGTAACATGCATAGTGATATGTTAATTGTTTATTGTCAAAATTACATCGGCATAAAAATATTAGCTGAGTGGAAAATCTTATAATTTTAACATGCAGCATATTCTATGCTAATAATCCTTTAAATCAAAAACTTATTTTTGAATTTTTAATAAAGCTAAAATAAATTGATACATTATTTGATGTGATGTTATTTAGCTTTCTTTCTTTTTTTTAAAACTTGCATTTCAATCAGTTGCTTAAAAGGTCATGTTTAATGTCACATTAGCACTTTTGCAGAAAGATTTATTTTTGCTTAGGCTTAGTATAAAAGGATAAAAACTTTCTGGGTGTTCGTTCCAAACAGTACTTTCCAAAAGTTCCCCCCACAGTTTCAGCATGACTCCATTAAGGTGTCCATCTCCAGCCAAGGACACCTAACCACTATAAAACTTTATAACAAAAAGTACTAAGTAATATTTCTTCATTGTGTCTTTCTCTTTTGGCTTTTTAAAATTTCTTACACAGGTAGGTAAACATTAGATATCAATGTAGATACAGGTGTCATATCTATATAGTAATTCTAAGCAGAAAATGTTACTAAGATAATGTTCTCTTAAACTAGATTAGTATTAGAAAATTATATGAATCAATGTGTCTTTCATTTTTTTTTTGAACATCAAAGTAACTCTCATTCCTTGCCTCATTTTTTTTCTCCCACTGGTGAATAGCTTCTCCAAGGATAATTAAAAAAAAAACAAAAAAAACAAAACAAAAAATCCCATAATTTTCTGATGGCCTTACTGAACCTCACTGAAACTGAGTATATGATTGGTGCAAAAGTAATTGAGGTTTTTGCCGTTACTGTTTATATTAGGTTGGTGCAAAAGTGATTGCAGTTTTGCCATTACTTTCATATCTCTTCTGTGCTGTGCAACTGAAATCATTCATGACTTTAGTGAATCAGTCAAGCAAATGGCATGACAATAGTCCCTGCTATTTTTGACATCCTGGCATCATTTCTTTATCATTTACAGTACTCCAGTTTGGTGTTGGTATGCTGCTTACCACGTACTAAGTAATCTATGTAATTTAAACCCTGAAAAATAACAAACTGGCATTTGAGAATCTCTACTTCTCATATCCTGGGCCATTATCATTACTTAAGGATATATGAGGCTTAAGGAACATTTGATCCTGGTTTCGGAGAGAAAAAAGTTTCCTGTTCATTTATAATAATTATCAGGATAAATAATCTCTCTTCCTGATTCATGTTAAACCTGGAAACACGTAGATCTCAAAGACACTGATATACTTGTTGATTCCTCAGGAAGTCTTAGCTTTATGTTTAAATAAATACAATGGGAGACATAAAGAAGAGAAAAAGTTTCATTTCTTCATTCAGTGATGAGGTTCTGGATGATCCTAGATAAATCATAAGAGCCAAAAACATCCCTTTATTTCTTAGACCAAAAACTTTTTACATTTATCCCAACAATGCAAGGATGAGAAAACCTCCATTTCTCACAATTAAAGTATAATTCGAACATTTTTTATTTTTTTCTTATATTTTTTACTAGTTTTTCAAGTTCGACACCTGCTATGTCTAGTTTGGTCTTATAGAGTATATTTGTCTATACTTATTTTATGAACTGATAATATACTGTTTACAAGTTATTTGGCACCAAATAGTAAACCACATGATATTCATATTTAATATTTTCACATGAATATATTAAATATAAGGAACAGATTTTTACTTATCTTTTATATCCTCTATAATACATAGAAGAATGCTATATGTCTTGACAGGAAAAGAAAATTGCTGAATTTCTAAGTTGATGACTGTCACTACATTTTTCATATATTAAGAGCATATTAATGAGGGCTAACACATGCTGCTTTATAGTAAAAATGATGGAACCGTTAAACTAAATTGTACTTTAATTTGTCATTTAATATAGGCAGAGAAAACTGTGATGAGATGGAAGGAATTGCTGAACCTCATATACATCCTTCATCATTCAAAATATATTAATTTCTGTCATTTTAAAGGTAAAAAATCAATTTTAAAAACAGTAAGAATTTAGAGACATAAAGCTATATTTTCTAAGTATTTTAGACAGGTACAATTGATTCTACAATGTGAAATACAGGTTAATAGCATTCAAAAATCATATACTGCCATCCATCTCTTTCATCCTGATGCTGGGGAAAATATGATTACTTAGCATTCTTTTCTTAAACCAAAGTTTCATCCCAGTCCTTTCACAGCTTCCACTCCCACATTTTTATCTTGATCCATAGATTCCACCTCACTGCTTTTGCATTTGGAAAGCTCACCTTAGATTTTTTTTTGTCTTTTCACTTCAATGATATCATAGATGGATATAATAATCATGAACCATGCTTAATTTTTCTTATGTTTGAATTTTGCCATGATAAATTCTGAGGCTAATTTTGTCAATTATAATTGTGATTTTTTTTCTATTTATATGCCTAAAAAACTTGTAGTGATATTTGAAATTTATTTTCTAAGCAGGATATGTCTGGGTCTCTATCATCACATTTCAGAATTTCTTATCATGATGTGTCCATTAAACTTGACCTTCCTCATTCATGTTCATCTGAAGCACTATCTTCAAACTTCTTTATTCCTATGTATTTCTCTATATATACTTATCTATCTCAGTTTTCTAGCTTTCATCGCATCATTTTATTTTGGTCTCTGAAAATCTATCATTTATTCTCTTCAGAAGTGATTTGCAAATTACTTCTAAAATCCTCTTGGTTTTTTGTTGTGGTGGTGTTTTTTTGTTGTTTGTTTTTTAAACTCAAACCTGTCTGTTTACTTAGGATAGTATGCCTTGGAGCTCTCTTAAGCGATAGAATTTTTCTAACATTCTGGACTTTTCATGGCTTGGAAGAGAGCTAGGTGTCCTACTTGTTCCACATTGTCATTTCCGATTTTTTCTCTCCTCCTTCCTTCAACAACCCCACATCCTTGAAGTTTGTGTCATCAGGCTTACACCACTGACTTTACCACTTTATTACTACCTGGTATAACATTCCAGATTATCCCTCTTTTTTTATTTTTTGAACACTTCAGCTTCACTGTGTCACTCCGTATTAGTCCATTTTCACACTGCTATAAACAAATGCCTGAGACTAGGTAATTTATAAAGAGAAGAGGTTTAACTGACTCACAGTTCTGCATGGCTGGGGAGGCCTCAGAAAACTTACAATCGTGGTGGAAAGCAAAGGGGAAGCAAGCTTGGACTTTCTCACATAGTGGCAGGAGAGTACGTGCGAGAAGGAGGGAGTGCCACACTTTAAAACTATCAGCTCTCTTGAGAACTCACTATCACAAGAACAGTATGGGGGAAACCACCCCATGATACAATCACCTTTCACCTGGTTCTTCCCCATCAACACGTGGGATTATGATTCAAGATGAGATTTAGGTGAGGACACAAAGCCTAACCATATCAAACTCTATCCCTCTGCTCTTTTATTCCTTTCATTCTTCTTGCTGACATTTGAAATCAAACGAAAACCCTTGACTCCTAATTTCTTGCCCTCCTAAAGTCCTAGCATCTTTTTAGCAACAAATTTCAGCCAGTTACTTTCTAGCAGGACTTTTTACCCCAAGTCCAAAATCCTCAGTTCAGTCATTTGATCCTATTAGGAGCCTATAATTCACTACTCTTATCAGTTTTAACCAATTCATCACTTCATCCATGTCCTATTTTCTTCCTCCACTTATTTCAGATTCCTCATCTTAGAAATTTATTCAACCCTTGCTTACAGCCTTAATTTTATTATCTTTCTCTCTATCAGCAAAAACCCCAAACCTGGTTAATCTTCAACATAAGGACACTTCATAGAGCACGTGTTCAACTGGATGTCACAGGAGAAAAATCACACAACTTTGTTGTCATGATTTATTGAAATCTTTTTTTCAGTAGACTTCATATGGATTTACTTTATACCTATTGGCTGTATTATTGTGTTCCCAGACAAATATGCTTTCTCACCCTCCAAGGCAAGCACTCCACAGTCCTTCTCTCCACAAACCTCCTATACCCCCTTGCCTACAAACTGTGTCTTTGGGTCATACCTGGGAAAATTTAAGGGATAAGTTGGGAAATACCTGGTTATTCTACCACCAAATCCACCCACCAACCTGTTTTTCTACTTTCTTGCTATTTTCTCTTCTGGTGGAAAAAATGCTCTGGTGTCTCTCTCATGTCAAGTTCTTGGTGCTATTCTGATGTCTGACATTTGTTGCCTTCTATAGCTGTTGCACCAGTATTTCACCCTGCTCCTGTCTCCTAAATGTATCCCTTTTATTACTATTACTTATATTTACATTTAGACATGTCTAAATATTTTCTGATTAAAATCAATGGTCTGCTCCTGTATCTCTTTCCTGATGGTACTATGCTTCTCATTAAGAGCAAGACCTGGCTGGGCGCGGTGGCTCACACCTGTAATCCCAGCACTTTGGGAGGCCAAGGAGGGCGGATCACGAGGTCAGGAGATGGAGACCATCCTGGCTGACACGGTGAAACCCCATCTCTACTAAAAATACAAAAACTTAGCCAGGCGTGGTGGCGGGTGCCTGTGGTCCCAGCTACTCGGGAGGCTGAGGCAGGAGAATGGTGTGAACCCAGGAGATGGAGGTTGCAGTGAGCTGAGATCGCACCACTGCACTCCAGCCTGGGCAACAGAGCAAGACTCCATCTCAAAAAAAAAAAGAGCAAGACCTTGTCTGAGTTGTCTGTTGGTGAATACTCCTGGACCCGAAGTGCCTGCAACAGAATCATACTCCATTTATGTCTTTGAAAGAATAATTGCATGAATAAATGAATTGATGAATTTATGTGTAGTACCTCATATAAATACACATACAGTATTCCCAGAGAATCGCTTCAGAAAAGTTCACAAATGTCAAAAAATTATTAAATTTTATCCAAAAAAAGTATAGACAGTACAAACATATTAATTGTATTATTTTCTACGAGACAACAGCAAGGAAAGAGAAAGAAATTAAAGTGTATTTATTTAGTGTCATAAATTAACAACTGGTGAAATGATTGATACTGTTTACATGCCTCTGATGAGATGGGCTCAGGTAGGTTAAGTCACTTGCCTAAAAATTCCAGAGCTTATTAATTTATGAATTTGCTTGCAAACCCAAGTCTGGGTCATTCCCTTTGCACCACCACGTGGAAATTTATAGCTGAAACAGTGGGGTTTCTTGATGGATTTAAGAGAATGAAAGAGAAAGGAAAATTGGTTCTTCTTCCTCACCTATTTCTTTTATTGTCTCATCTATTTTTGTTATTTGTTAGGCTTAACCTCCCAATCAATCTTTATTTATTTACTTTGTACTTTTGAAGATGAATACATTGTTACTTCTCATTGTAATCTCCACTAACATCTGTATTTCCTTTATAACTTAGTTGACCAATTTCTTTTCTCTGCCTTAGATTATAGCCACCTCCATTGCCTGAACCCTTAAAATGCAAATTACAGCTTACTACATATATTTCTTTTCTCTTTTAATATTCTTGTTTAAAATAGACACATTTCAGTTTATTTGTTGCATTCTTGGAGTGCCTATTTGTAAATTAAGGGGCCATCTTTTTGAAGATGAGATGCTAACTGTTCAAATAATTCATAGGAGAATGATCATTTAATATTGAGCTAATTATTAACCACTTCATTTTAATATTCAAAATACAATGGTCTTAAATGCCATTGATTATGTCAACCTCTGGAAAAATATTAAAATATTAGGAGAAAATAGAACATGTCACAGAAGATATATGATGTTATAAATATTAGAGTCCACCTGAAAAGGAGGTTACATTTCTGTAACATTCCTAAGGTTCTCAAATACTAAGGACATTTTTAAAAATTCAATCAATCACCATTTACTAAAGAATAACACACAGAAATGTAGGGCTGTGTTACAAACAATAGCATGCAGAAAGTGTTAGTTTTTGAGATATATTTTTCATTAGATTATTCAATATATTTTTCAATATCTTTTTTATACACATCTCAGCTAAAAAGGGAAGTATGACTCTCTTATGATTTCAGATATAGTTAGTACTTAAATGAAATTCCCAAGTAATTGGCTAATTTTTCGATTTTTAAACCAGATGGTTTGTGTCACGTAGAGGCAAACATAAGGATTAAATATCCTATAAAACCCATCAAATTCATTTAAATCATTAAATAGTGTTTACTAGATTTTGGCAACATTTTCCTGGGTACATATTTTGTAGCTGACAATTGTAAAACAATGCAGGTATCCTGTCTTATGTTTAAACCAGGAAACCAAATAATTGAATTTTCATCCTAAACTACAACCTTTTTATAAACATATAAAAACATTGTTAGAACATGAGTTCAGTGATGCATCAAGACATATAAATGGTCGTGTGCAGTGGCCTGTGCCTAAAATCCCAGAATTTTGGGAGACCAAGGTGGGCAGATCACCTGAGATCAGGCGTTTGAGACCAGCCTAGCCAAAATGGTGAAACCCTGTCTCTACTAAGGATACAAAATTTAATCGGCTGTGGTGCCGCTACTTGAGAGGCTGAGGCAGGAGAATCACATGAACTCAGAAGGCAGAGTTTGCAGTGACCTGAGATTGTGACACTGCACTCCAGTCTGGGTGACAGAGTGAGACAAAAAAAAAAAAGCCATAATTCTATTTTAATATAGACAATTAAAATAACTAAAAGCTAAAATATTTCTGAAGACAGAGTTCACTTTCTAGCATATATATGGCATGCATATTATATTTCTAAATCTTCTTTTCATTTTAAATTGGAAATAAATTTCCTTGAGAGAAAGAATGTGGCAGACTGGTAAGTAGTATAATTTTGATGAGTACTTGATTAAGATTATGGCCAAGTCTTGGGACACACTAAATAATTTTACCTTGGGTGTAAAAGGTCATTATTTAATTTAGTATCCGGGGATGGAATTAACCATTATATTCTTTATGATAATATCATTTTGTTTTGGAAATCCTAACAGCATAATATATTAATGTTGTATTGGTTTAAATTATTATTTGCCTTTAAAATAATGACAAGTGTCATTAAATGCATAATGTATATATAATGCAGACATAGAATTATGTAATCTTAATTTTGGAGTTAAAGAGGGAACTAGACCATAATGTAGGGCTATTTCACAAGATGCTCTTATTTATTATTATTATTTGCTTAAAATTTAAAACAAAAATCTTTCCTAATATTCACAAATAAATAGGGTTTAGCATCTTACATTTTTTGATGAAAAAAACGTATTATAAATAAATGATAACTATGTTTGTCAAAAATTCCCCGGTTTAGAAATATTTTAGTTTGAAGTACATATCTCAGTGAAAAATCAACTAATTGAGCTAATAGTAGTTAGGCAACTCCTTTTCTCCCCTGATTCATTTCATACTCCCAGAACCAATTACAATAATGAGGAATCAGATGGAACTGGGAAGGTGTGAGTGCATAAAATGTTAGCGTTTCTATTATGGGATTTTCTTACTATGCCTGTCCTATACCCATTCTCTTTAGTAAGACCCTGATACTGAAAACTTTTTCAGTTCCTTTTTCAGCAAGAATTTTTAGAGATGATTCTCCCTAAAGTAAAAGTAATCAACATGGTATCCTACCAAAAGCCATAAACACCCAAAGAGAGAATGTGATCAAGCCCATGGTAGTCTTCTATCCTGGGGCAAGAGACACAAAGTCAGGAAGAGGTGATGTAGGGGAAATTATGCCATTGCCACCTTCTTTTTTTTCATGTGCTTATAACACAGAGTCTTATTTTTATTTGATTTGATTTATTGGTGATACAGTGCTTAATTCAGTTAATTCAGTTGGTACTTAAATGAAATTCCCCAGTAATTGGCTAATTTTTTGTTTTTTCAACCAGATGGTTTGTGTCATGTAGATGCAAACATAAAAATTAAATATCCTATAAAATCCATCAAATTCATTTAAGTATTAAACAGTATTTACTAGATTTTGGCAACATTTTCCTGGCTACATATTTTGTGTATGTTTGTGAGGGATGATATTGGCAAAAGGCAGATAATCACTCATTCTCCCATTGACACACTGAAAAACAACCAGAAGCTGTCTGAATGAATACTGTAGAAATTCTAGACAACAATCAAAAGTTTGTAGCGAACACAAAAGTAATCAATAAAAAGCCATCTTCAAAACAGTCGGAAAGTTTTCTGGTATTTTTACTCACTTTTATCCTCCCCTCCTACCCAGGGTGAGCAATATTCTTGGTCTTAAATGGTAGCAATCACTTCCCAGTTTCCCTCTCTAAACCAGACAGAGTAGAGCAGACGTGGTTTGCAAATCATTGTGTATGTCTCCTCTAACCTGTCTGGAGGACTTATTCATCTCTGTCTTGCATAAGCAGGAATACAAATGTAAAAAGAGGCAAGTACTATTGGAGACTATTCAATGTCATTAACAGATGAATGAATAAAACAAGTGTAGTATGTACATACTATGGACTGTTACTCAGCCTTAGAAAAGAAGGAAATTGTGATACACGCTACAATGAATGAACCTTGAAAACGCTACGCTGAGATGAGCCAGACAAGAACAGACAAATATTGTATGATTCCACTTATATGAAGCACCTAGAGTGGGTAAATTCATAGAGACAGAAAATACAAGGAAATATCCGGAGCTTGGGAGAATGGAAAATATAGAGTTATTGTTGAATATGTATAGAACTTTTCTTGGAATGATAAAAAGGCTTCAGAAATGGCTATCAATGATAGTTGCAAAACATTACAAATATACATAGTGGCACTGAATTGCAAACTGAAACATGATTAAAATGATAAATTCTATGGTATGAATATTTTACACAATAAAAAGTAAATGAAAAAAATGAGTGTGCTAGTGAAAAATAATAGTCTATCAGTAAATTGCAAAAGTTAGCTAAGAAATCACATTTCAATGATGAAGCTCCATGCTGGTCTAGAGTAAAATACTTAGTAATAATTTATTTCCCCTTAAACATTTTTTTAATTATACTTTAAGTTCTAGGGTACATGTGTACAACGTGCAGGTTTGTTACATATGTATACATGTGCCATGTTGGTTTGCTGCACCCATCAACTCGTCATTTACATTAGGTATTTCTCCTAATGCTATACTTCCCCCAGCTCCTCACCCCACGAAAGACCCTGGTGTGAGATGTTCCCCACCCTATGCCCAAGTGTTCTCATTGTTCAATTCCCACCTATGAGTGAGAACATGCAGTGTTTGGTTTTCTGTCCTTGTGATAGTTTGCTGAGAATGATGGTTTCCAGCTTCAGCCATGTCCCTACAAAGGACATGAACTCATTATTTTTTATGGCTTCATAGTATTCCATGGTGTATATGTGCCACATTTTCTTAATCAAGTCTATTATTGATGGACATATGGGTTGGTTCCGAGTCTTTGCTATTGTGAATACTGCCACAATAAACATATGTGTGCATGTGTTTTCATAGCAGCATGATACATAATCCTTCGGGTATACACCCAGTAATGGGATCACTGGGTCAAATGGTATTTCTAGTTCTAGATCCTTCAGGAATCGCCACACTGTCTTCCACAATGGTTGAACTAATTTACACTCCCACCAACAGTGTAAAAGTGTTCCTATTTCTCCACATCTTCTCCAGCATCTGTTGTTTCCTGATTTTTTAATGATTGCCATTCTAACTGGCATGAGATGGTATCTCATTGTGGTTATGATTTGCATTTCTCTGATGACCAGTGATGATGAGCATTTTTTCATGTGTCTGCTAGCTCTATAAATGTCTTCTTTTGAGAAGTGTTTGTTCATGTCCTTTGCCCACTTTTTGATGGGGTTGTTTGATTTTTTCTTGTAAATTTATTTAAGTTCTTTGTATATTCTGGATATTAGCCGTTTGTCAGATGGGTAGATTGCAAAAATCTTCTCCCATTCTGTAGGTTGCATGTTCACTCTGATGGTAGTTTATTTTGCCATGCAGAAGCTCTTTAATTTAATTAGATCCTATTTGTCTATGTTGGCTTTAGTTGCCATTGCTTTTGGTGTTTTAATCATGAAGTCCTTGCCCATGCCTATGACCTGCATGGTATTGCCTAGGTTTTCTTCTAGGTTTTTTATGGTTTTAGGTCTAACATTTAAGTCTTTAATCCATCTTGAATTATTTTTTATATAAGATGTAAGGAAGGAATCCAGTTTCAGCTTTCTACATATGGCTAGCCAGTTTTTCCAGCATGATTTGTTAAGTAGGCAATCCTTTCCCCATTTCTTTTTTTTGTCAGGTTTGTCAAAGATCAGATGGCCAGAGAGGTGTTCCCCTTAAACATTTTAAATGCATTTCCCATATATTATATAAATGAATTTTGAAAGAAAAATCAGTGACACTTCTTGTATAAATGACATGTTCACTATTTCCCACTAAACTCTGAGACTGGGGGTTGTACAATAGTCAATAATAACACTAAGACAAACACTTATTAAGAATATGTGTTTCAAATTATATCACACATTCCACATACATACACATGAACACACATTGACCATACTTATAAAGGAATGGTTAGTATTATTCCAAATTTAAAGATGAGTAGCCAGGTCTAAAAGATTTAAGTAAGATTTCCACATATATTTCGACTTTATAAAATGTGATAGGGTGTTAGCTTTGACTACTAATGTGGAGATACTTAAAATGTCTTCTGAGTTTATAGAAACAATGTAATAGCTACAGATACCTCTTTTGTCGGTCACCACATAATCAAAGGTATTTTGTTATATATTTGACATTGTTTCATTTTTCTGCAAAATGTCCCTAAACCTAAATCTATATGTTCAATACAGGAAGACAAATATACTAACATGCTTGCTATTAAAGTCCTTCTGATTGATGACTATTTTATTCAAAGTAAAGTTTACCCTCTATTTTAAGCATGTTTTTCTTTGCTATTGCCAACACGGTCTATTCTTCCAAAGCATATGATCTTATTGTCTTATTTTTTTTCACATAGGTCACAAGTAATTTATAATATATACATAGTATATTTATAATACATAAACATATATGTTATATAATATGCATTTATATAACATGTTATATGTATATGATAAGTATAGTGCTATTCTAGTCATAGCAATAAAATACTACTTAGGCATGAGAGAGAAAATTTATGGAGTACTTGAAAGAGGAGTCATAGAAATTCATCAAGGAAAAGAGAAATGTATGTTCATAAATGGGTAAAGACTATGGAAAATAAAGTTTAAAATTCAAAGACTGCAAAATCATAGGCATACAAAGAAACAAGTATAAATGAATCTATTGAAAATCATCTTAAACTTAGTACTTTTACAATAAATTATTCAGTGGCTATAATATAGTAATCTTTGTGTGTGTGTGTGTGTGTGTATAATACACACATTAACAATTTTAAATATATCTACATATATAACTATGATATATGTGAATGAATGTGTGCCTTATTTCAAAGTTATTGCGATCTTGTTTGCAAGACAGAAAGACAAATATATTTGTAGATAACTATAATAATTATAATATGCTCTCAATAAATATATGCTCAGAATTTATGGACAAACAAAAAAGTTTCCATCAGAAAGTGTTCAAGAAAATTTCAAGGAATGGTTAATATTTAGGCTAAGAGTAAAGGGATGATTATAGATATTCAGGAATTTTAAGTAAATTATAAATAAGAGAAAGGCAAGTTAAACATTTTGAGCAATGTCATGGATTAGAAAACTACATGGCACATTCAGGAAACTAATGATAAACTCGTATTACCATAGCATCAGATGCCAGGAAGTAAACACAGAATTTTACTGAGGATCAAGGAAGTCCTGATCTGGCAAGTTAAAGAAGTAAGACTTAAAATTATGGGAGCTACTGAGGGATTTAAAGAAGGTCACACTTTGGTTGTAAAGAAATAATTCTCAATTGAATAATTTCACTGTTAGCATGGCAGCATGAAGAGCTTCACAGATTTGTTCCCTAGCCAAAAAGTAAAAATTACTGAAAAAAAAATTCTGACATTTGCCAAAATATTACTAAGGGCATACAGTAAATGAAGAAAGATTTGTTCAACAAATCTACTAAAAGCTTTATTAGAAAAACGAGTGTGAGGCATTTGGACCACATCTCAGTTTCTCCCCATGCTACCTTCACCCTCCACCCTAGCTCAGAATTATGAAAATGCCACTCTAGATGAGAGCATCCACTTCTTCCCCCAGCTCCCAATTGGTGTGCTACAGTATCTGTCCAGGAGGGGAAAGCAGATGAACAAATAAAAGAAAACAAACAAAGCAAATAGCAGGTTTCATCCTGCCCATGGCTACCTGTAGCAGAGGCTAGGTTTCAGGGTGAGTGCAGCTTAGAGGTGAGTAAAAATGCTGAAAGCCAAAGACAAGGAGAAATTTTGAAGACAGCAAGAGAAAAATGATTTTCTACTTACAAGGAACCCTAATAAGAGTAACACCTGACTTCTCACGCATAATAACGGAGTTCACAAGGCAGTAGACTACAAAATTCAAAGTGCTGAAAGAAAAAAATATATAATTAAACAAGAATTCTATATCCCATAAAGCCATCTCTCAAAAATGAAGGTAAAATAAAGATACTTCCTGATAAATAATAACTGGAACAATTTGTTGCCATCAGACCCAAGTTATAGAGAACACTAAAGAAATTTCTTCAGGGTAAAAGCAAGTAAAAGCAGACAGCAATTTTAATCCACTGAAAGAACAAAAAAGCAAATAACACTGCTTAAGGTAATTATCCAATTATAAAATATAGTATAATTCATTCTTTCATTTTAAATTGTCTTAAAATCCATTCTACAATTACATCGATTGTTATGAGTACAATTACATTCATTGTTCAGCCTATAACTTATTGAATAAAATGTACTTGCCAGTAACAGGAAAGTAGGTGGGTGAAAGGCTATTCTGGGATCAGAAAGTTACACAATAGGATAACTTAAAAGACAGAGACAAAAAATAGAAACAATTGATAAAAAATAAGTTAATATGATTAGGGGGGAATAAAAAATATAATAAAAGCTAGAAATACACACTTGCTTTAATTTTTTCCCCAAGGTTCATTAAAAGCATAAAATTTTATAAAGTAATACTTATAGCAATGTATTATTGGGTTTGTAACTTATATGGGTATAATATATATAACAATAATATCACAAAAAAAGGGAAAGAGAATAGAGTTATATAGGATTAACATTTATATGTCTCACTGGAAATAGTATAAACATGAAGCAGCTTCTGAAAGGTTTAAAGCAACCACTAAGAAAATAACACGAAATATATATAATGAAAAGCCATTAAAAGCATCTTTTTGCAAATGTTGGTCAGACTGCTGACCATCGCATTCAGTATAGTAAATTGGAAATATTCTTCAAAATATATCAAAAAGGGCTGGGTACAGTGGCTCACACCAGTAATCCCAGCACTTTTGGAGGCTGAGGTGGGTGGATCACCTGAGGTCAGGAGTTTGAGGCCAGCCTGGCCAACATGGTGAAACCCCTGTCTACTAAAAATACAAAAATTGGCTTTTTGTGGTGGCAGGAGCCTGTAATCCCAGCTACTCCGGAGGTTGAGCAGGAGAATAGCTTGAACCAGGGAGGCGGAGGTTGCAGTGAGTTGAGATAGTGCCACTGCACTCCAGCCTGGGAAACAATATATATATAGAATGAAATCCTGTCATTTGCAGCAACAGCAACATGAATGGAATGTGATGTAATGATGTTAAGTGAGAAAGGCCAGGCACAGAAAAAGAAATATCACATGTTCTCACTCATAATTGGAAGATAACAAAATAAATTTCATAGAGGTAGAGAGTAGAATGGTGGTTACCAGAGGCTAAAAACAAAAGGGAGGAGGAAGAAGAGAAGTTGGCTAGTGGGTATAAAACTACTGTTAGATAGAGAAAATATGTTCCATTATTTGATGGTACAGTAAAGGAATTATAGTTGATAATTTATTGTAAATTTCAAAATAGCTGGAAAAGAAGAAATATAATGTTTCCAACACAAAGAAAAGTGTTTGAAATGATGGATATCTAAACGAGTCTAATTTGATAATTACACATTTTATACATATATCAAAATATCATATATACCCCCAAAATATGTACAACTAAACATATCAGTAAAAAATATAAAATATATATTTAACTCAAATAGGGCCATAAACATAAACGTTAGAGCTAAGACACTTACAAGAAAATGAGTTTTTTGACCTCGGATTTAGCAATGGACTTTTAGATATGACGCCATAAGCATAAGCAACAAAAGAAAACTAAATAAATCAAACTTCAATTGTGAATTGTGAATGGGAGTTCACTCATGATTTGGCTCTCTGTTTGTCTGTTGTTGGTGTATAAGAATGCTTGTGATTTTTGTACATTGATTTTGTATCCTGAGACTTTGCTGAAGTTGCTTATCAGCTTAAGAAGATTTTGGGCTGAGACAATGGGGTTTTCTAGATATACAATCATGTCGTCTGCAAACAGGGACAATTTGACTTCCTCTTTTCCTAATTGAATACCCTTTATTTCCTTCTCCTGCCTAATTGCCCTGGCCAGAACTTCCAACACTATGTTGAATAGGAGTGGTGAGAGAGGGCATCCCTGTCTTGTGCCAGTTTTCAAAGGGAATGCTTCCAGTTTTTGCCCATTCAGTATGATATTGGCTGTGGGTTTGTCATAGATAGCTCTTATTATTTTGAAATACGTCCCATCAATGCCTAATTTATTGAGAGCTTTTAGCATGAAGGGTGGTTGAATTTTGTCAAAGGCCTTTTCTGCATCTATTGAGATAATCATGTGATTTTTGTCTTTGGCTCTGTTTATATGCTGGATTACATTTATTGATTTGCATATATTGAACCAGCCTTGCATCCCAGGGATGAAGCCCACTTGATCATGGTGGATAAGCTTTTTGATGTGCTGCTGGATTCGGTTTGCCAGTATTTTATTGAGGATTTTTGCATCAATGTTCATCAAGGATATTGGTCTAAAATTCTCTTTTTTGGTTGTGTCTCTGCCTGGCTTTGGTATCAGGATGATGCTGGCCTCATAAAATGAGTTAGGGAGGATTCCCTCTTTTTCTATTGATTGGAATAATTTCAGAAGGAATGGTACCAGTTCCTCCTTGTACCTCTGGTAGAATTCGGCTGTGAATCCATCTGGTCCTGGACTCTTTTTGGTTGGTAAGCTATTGATTATTGCCACAATTTCAGAGCCTGTTATTGGTCTATTCAGAGATTCAACTTCTTCCTGGTTTAGTCTTGGGAGAGTGTATGTGTCGAGGAATTTATCCATTTCTTCTAGATATTCTAGTTTATTTGCATAGAGGTGTTTGTAGTATTCTCTGATGGTAGTTTGTATTTCTGTGGGATCGGTGGTGACATCCCCTTTATCATTTTTTATTGCATCTATTTGATTCTGCTCTTTTTTTTTCTTTATTAGTCTTGCTAGCGGTCTATCAATTTTGTTGATCCTTTCAAAAAACCAGCTCCTGGATTCATTAATTTTTTGAAGGGTTTTTTGTGTCTCTATTTCCTTCAGTTCTGCTCTGATTTTAGTTATTTCTTGCCTCCTGCTATTTTTTGAATGTGTTTGCTCTTGCTTTTCTAGTTCTTTTAATTGCGATGTTAGGGTGTCAATTTTTTATCTTTCCTGCTTTCTCTTGTGGGCATTTAGTGCTATAAATTTCCCTCTACACACTGCTTTGAATGCGTCCCAGAGATTCTGGTATGTTGTGTCTTTGTTCTCGTTGGTTTCAAAGAACATCTTTATTTCTGCCTTCATTTCATTATGTACCCAGTAGTCATTCAGGAGCAGGTTGTTCAGTTGCCATGTAATTGAGCGGTTTTGAGTGAGATTCTTAATCCTGAGTTCTAGTTTGACTGCACTGTGGTCTGAGAGATAGTTTGTTATAATTTCTGTTCTTTTACATTTGCTGAGGAGAGCTTTACTTCCAACTATGTGGTCAATTTTGTAATAGGTGTGGTGTGGTGCTGAAAAAAATGTATATTCTGTTGATTTGGGGTGGAGAGTTCTGTAGATGTCTATTAGGTCCACTTGGTGCAGAGCTGAGTTCAATTCCTGGGTATCCTTGTTGACTTTCTGTCTCGTTGATCTGTCTAATGTTGACAGTGGGGTGTTAAAGTCTCCCATTATTAATGTGTGGGAGTCTAAGTCTCTTTGTAGGTCACTCAGGACTTGCTTTATGAATCTTGGTGCTCCTGTATTGGGTGCATATATATTCAGGATAGTTAGCTCTTCTTGTTGAATTGATCCCTTTACCATTATGTAATGGCCTTCTTTGTCTCTTTTGATCTTTGTTGGTTTAAAGTCTGTTTTATCAGAGACTAGGATTGCAACCCCTGCCATTTTTTGTTTTCCATTGGCTTGGTAGATCTTCCTCCCTCCTTTTCTTTTGAGCCTATGTGTGTCTCTGCATGTGAGATGGGTTTCCTGAATACAGCACACTGATGGGTCTTGACTCTTTATCCAATTTGCCAGTCTGTGTCTTTTAATTGGAGCATTTAGTCCATTTACATTTAAAGAGAATAAAATACCTAGGAATCCAACTTACAAGGGATGTGGAGGACCTCTTCAAGGAGAACTACAAACCACTGCTCAAGGAAATAAAAGAGGATACAAACAAATGGAAGAACATTCCATGCTTCTGGGTAGGAAGAATCAATATCGTGAAAATGGCCATACTGCCCAAGGTAATTTACAGATTCAATGCCATCCCCATCAAGCTACCAATGACTTTCTTCACACAATTGGAAAAAACTACTTTAAAGTTCATATGGAACCAAAAAAGAGCCCGCATCGCCAAGTCAATCCTAAGCCAAAAGGACAAAGCTGGAGGCATCACACTACCTGACTTCAAACTATACTACAAGGCTACAGTAACCAAAACAGCATGGTACTGGTACCAAAACAGAGATAGAGATCAATGGAACAGAACAGAGCCCTCAGAAATAACGCCACAGATCTACAACTATCTGATCTTTGACAAACCTGAGAAAAACAAGCAATGGGGAAAGGATTCCCTATTTAATAAATGGTGCTGGGAAAACTGGCTAGCCATATGTAGAAAGCTGAAACTGGATCCCTTCCTTACACCTTATACAAAAATCAATTCAAGATGGATTAAAGACTTAAACGTTAGACCTAAAACCATAAAAACCCTAGAAGAAAACCTAGGCATTACCATTCAGGACATAGGCATGGGCAAGGACTTCATGTCTAAAGCACCAAAAGCAATGGCAACAAAAGCCAAAATTGACAAATGGGATCTAATTAAACTCAAGAGCTTCTGCACAGCAAAAGAAACTACCATCAGAGTCAACAGGCAACCTACAAAATGGGAGAAAATTTTCACAACCTACTCATCTGACAAAGGGCTAATATCCAGAATCTACAATGAACTCAAACAAATTTACGAGAAAAAAACAAACAACCCCACCAAAAAGTGGGCGAAGGATATGAACAGACACTTCTCAAAAGAAGACATCTATGCAGCCAAAAAACACATGAAAAAATGCTCATCATCACTGGCCATCAGAGAAATGCAAATCAAAACCACTATGAGATACCATCTCACACCAGTTAGAATGGCAATCATTAAAAAGTCAGGAAACAACAGGTGCTGGAGAGGATGTGGAGAAATAGGAACACTTTTACACTGTTGGTGGGACTGTAAACTAGTTCAACCATTGTGGAAGTCAGTGTGGCGATTCCTCAGGGATCTAGAACTGGAAATACCATTTGACCCAGCCATCCCATTACTGGGTATATACCCAAAGGACTATAAATCATGCTGCTATAAAGACACATGCACACGTATGTTTACTGCGGCATTATTCACAATAGCAAAGACTTGGAACCAACCCAAATGTCCAACAATGATAGACTGGATTAAGAAAATGTGGCATATATACACCATGGAATACTATGCAGCCATAAAAAATGATGAGTTCATGTCCTTTGTTGGGACATGGATGAAATTGGAAATCATCATTCTCAGTAAACTATCGCAAGAACAAAAAACCAAACACTGCATATTCTCACTCATAGGTGGGAATTGAACAATGAGATCACATGGACACAGGAAGGGGAATATCACACTCTGGGGACCTTTGTGGGGTAGGGGGAGGGGGAAGGGATAGCATCGGGAGATATACCTAATGCTAGATGACGAGTTAGTGGGTTCAGCGCACCAGCATGGCACATGTATACATATGTAACTAACCTGCACAATGTGCACATATATCCTAAAACTTAAAGTATAATAAAACAAAGATAAAAAAAAAATCAAACTTCAGACCAGTTTAACAGTTTATTGCTTCAACAGACACCATAAAGAAAATGAAAAAATAATTTTCAGAATTGGAGAAAATATTTGCAAATAAAATATATAAGAAAAGACTTGCATCTAAGTACATAAAAATATCTTGCAACCAAATAATAAAAGTTATATAATCCAGTTAAAAATTAGTAAAAAAGTCTGAATAGACATTTCTTCAAAGAAGATACACGAATAGCCATCAAATACATAAAAAGATGGTCAATATCATTAGTCATCAGAAAATCCAAAAACAACTATAAGAAACCACCTCATATCCACTAGGATGAGTATAATCAAAAACAAATAATAACTAGTATTGGCAAGAATAGAGTGAAACTGGAACCCACATACACTGCTGGTAGAAATGTAAATTGGCACAGCTACTTTGAAAAACACACTGGAAGTTTCTTAAATGTAATTACTATTTGACCTAGCATTTCCACTCCTAGGAATATACCCAAAATAAATAAACATATGTTCATACACAAGCCTTACACAAATGATTGTGGCAGCATTATTCAGAAAAGCCAAAATGCCGAACCAACCCAAGTGGCCATCAACTGATAAACAGGTAAACAAAACTGGCATGTCCATAAAATGGAATATTATTCCACCATAAAAATGAATAAAGTACTCACATATACCAACCTATGGATGAACCTTGAAAATACTGTGCTAAGTGAAAGAAGCCAGATGCAAAGGTCATGAATCATATAATTCCATTTATGTAAAATGTCCATGCTAACCAAATCCTTAGAGACAAAAGGCACAAAATTGATTTCCTTATGCCAGGGAGCATGGCAGTGTTTGGAGATGATAGCTAAATACTAAAGATTTTCTCTTTGGATTAGTGAAGATGTACTAAAATTGATTGCTATGACTGTTGTATAACTCTGAAAATATACTAAAAACCATTAAATTGTACACCTTAAATGGGTGAATTTCATGGTATATAAATTATATCTCAATAAAACTGTCACTAAAATATTAAATAAATAAAAATGAAAACAAAGAAATAAATCTGGATACCATTTGAGGCCTGATGAAACAGTAGTTCTAAATATAAAAAATATATAAAAGTTCAAATAATAGCAGTAAATAAATAAGATTTATGAGCAATTAATGATAGATCACTGATGACCAAATTAAATCCTATCATAGTTATGAATCTGTGTCATAATGTATTTCCTAAAGAATCATTAGTCATCTATCTTGAACATCTCCAGCTGTAGGGAATTCAATACTAGTGTCAGCATTCACTTTTGAAAATAATAATTTTATAAAAGACTCCTTTTAAGCTACCTTGGCTTCATCAAAATTCAACTGGCTCTGGCTTCATTGAAATTAAATTTGTAGATCACTACCAATATTCTCCTATGCCATAACAATGCTTCTTTCTTCTACTTTCGTTCAGTGCTTTTCATCCTCTGACCTTATTATTTTTTACATGTACTTCTTATGTGTCTCACATAAGTGCATAACACCCTCATTGTGTTCAACTGTCAATCAAATACTGTATATTTTTCTTAATTTTTGAGCTGTTTTTATAGTAAATAACCAAAGTCTATAGTGGGATGTACATCTATAATATTTATTCATTAGTTCTGTTCTACAATCTTCAGTTTATAATTTGAGCCATATAAGTTAAAACTCTCATATAAAAATGAAACTTTATTTACCCCTCTATGGTCTATACAAGTTTTCTGAATAACTAAATTATAATTAATTAAGACAGGAAGTCCTTCTTAACTTACAGTAGACACATCTGTATTATCACCTCTTTTTTTTCCACTTTGATTTTCTCAAACCACTATTTGTTTTAGTATTGTTCTGCATTCAACTATTTCACTTTTCTGAATATTTTTCCTAAACCCAATCATTTGTGAAGTTCATATAGTTGGTACTTTTCTTAAAGTCTCATGGCACACTTTCATGTTTGCTTTTCTTTATATTACTCTCTTTCATCTTGTTAATGTCCCTTTAAAATACAAGCTTATTTGAGAGCTTCATAAATAGTTGCCTTGATCTCTTGAGACACATCCATTTAATCATCACTGAGGATAATATTTGATAGTATTATTTGATCATTTATCTTGAGATTAACAAACCCAGAGGTTGTACATGATTTCTAAAAAATCTTTCTTTTAAATGTATGTGACACAGATGGTACTAATCATCCTACTCCACGGTATCCATGTTAGATATAGAAACAATGATCACATGCTTCTCATGGCACTACCATGTTTTTCTTTTACATGCAGCCCAGCTTAGTACATTAAGGAATCATGCTTAGGCCCATAGGATATACTTGACGTCAATCTACATAATGGGTATCCTTTCCAAATTAGGTGTAAAGTTTCTTAGTCCATTCCTACTAAACGTCATTCTCTCTCTCTCTTTTTCTGTCTGCTGGTTTCACATCCTCTCAATTTTTCTACTATTCTCATTCTTCCATCATGCTGACCATTTCCAAGTAATATTGATTTTTCAAGACTGTGATTCATGTGTTAATTATAATAATAACATCAAATTTATTGATCTTATGTGTCAGATATTATAATAAATGATTCACATAATCACTTGTTTTATAACATGATTGTTAAATGCATTTGTCATTATACTCCCAGGTTTATCAGGACCTGAAGATCTTCCACCAATGAAATCCTCTTGAAATTCTATCTCACTCAGAAATAAATTTTAGTGTAGGCAGGATCATGACATTACCAATCAGGACATTATTGTCATTGATAATCAGATTCAGAAAAGGGAGCAACTGTCTTGTCACCTTTGATTCCCCAAGAGACAATATTAGTGTTGCAGAATTCATTTTTCTTATACTTACAGGAACTTTTAACCAAATATTCTGAAATAGTCTTATGTGTAAAATAAAGTTAACCAAATATAAAAAAAATACCCTTTTTTGTTATTTAAAACTTGATGATGACAGGTGTTATATTATCATTGCTTTATTTCCTGAAATGAGCCCAATAAAGAAGGTTTAGGTGTAATATTATAAAAATAGATTTCCATTGTCTTACAATAATTAAAGAAGCGTACAATGAAGCCATTTATTTTACTAGAGCCCATAGTTCTTCTAGTTAGATGTCGGTAGAGAAATTAACATTTCACCCACTTCTATCTGCTGTTTACAAATAAAAGTTTTATGCCTTTCCAGACAGCAGAGGACAGTCTCTATGTTATTCAAATTCCTTCTGTTTCAAGGGTGAATGAACAGAAGTAATTTTGTACATAATATGATTAAACCTTATCCACATTTTTTTCTTACATTGTATATGAGTCAAAAATTTTTCAAATATCTTTATGAACCCAAGAAATGACATTTTGTTGTTCTTCTCCTTATTCTTATTAGAATTGAATAATAATTATATTCTCTAATTGTCTGGCCTTTGGAAATATACTTAACCACTCCAAGTCTTAGACCCCATTCCTTGTCTTTAAAATAGAAATAGTAATAATAATATTTTTAAGCAGATGCGAGGATACAATGAGATAACAAATGCAAACCGTTTAATAAATCTTTCATTCTAATATAAGATAATTACCCAAAATCTATTCTAACTTTTCATTATTTTATTGTTCCAAAATATAAACTAATGAATTACTTCCAATAGAATATTTCTTTAGAGTTATAAATAAAAAATATTAGAGAAGAAGCTCAAGATCTATTTACATCTTTAGATTACTCTAAGAGGCCAGATCCAAAATATTAGTTATTTT
Organism: Homo sapiens; assembly: GCF_000001405.40. Classification (NCBI taxonomy): domain Eukaryota; kingdom Metazoa; phylum Chordata; class Mammalia; order Primates; family Hominidae; genus Homo; species Homo sapiens. Next base: position 59,308,785 of record NC_000004.12, read on the forward strand.
TATATTACTGGAAATAGCTCTATTTCCAAAACAGAGGACCCTCCTTAGTAAACACAGAAATTCCAATTCCCTCTGCACTGAAGATAACAAAACAACATGCTGCAAGGAAGCCCTAATATTTTTTTCGTTCCCTATTGAGATGATAATAAATGTTTGAATTGCTCACCTAGAAAGATTTTCTTTGAGGAGAAAGTGCTGGGGTCATTTAAAAAGTCACTTGATACTATGCTAGAGAGAGAATAGCTTTTCTCTTGGGTTGGCTATCAATAGATGAAATAGCTTTTTTTCTCTTTCCTTGCCTCATCCACACCCCCGTTTCCCATGCCCTTTATAATGTTCGACAAAAGCATTGCTCAACTGTATCTTGTCTGACAGTGAAGGTACATAAAACACCCATTTTGTTTAAATGAATGGCAGTCACCTTTTTGCTATACTAACTACTACTGCACCACAGGAAACAGCATGGGCTCCGCTTGTATCTCCTCTCTTTCAGCTCATGGTGTCTTACAGGTGATATAAATCACAATCCCCTTTAATCTGATAATCGTTCAACATTAAGTCTCTGTGCTGCATTCGAGTAAGTTCTTGTACTTGTTTGAGACACCTAATGTTTTTAAAGTTGTGTACTCCCTAGCATTGATAAACAACACGTTTTCTTAAAGAAACAAAATGGCCACTAACATTATCTGACATTCTGCAATGCTATTTTCTTTGGAAACAGTCTCAATGACTATCTAATCTCTAACCTTAAGTCATTCATTCATAAAATACTTATTAATTCTTATTAAGTACTAGTCTCATGTTAAGTGCTAGTCATTGAGTAGTAAGCAAGAAACATATAACTGTGTCTTCATTGACCTATCAATGTAGTTATTCATTTTCTCTATGCAGTAAAATAACTTATTCATGTATTTTATGTATTCTATTACATATATAGTTTACATATATTTATTATTTCTGAACCAATAGAAAAACCATCCATTCATGTAAGTCTTTCTTCCTAGAAACTTCATACTGCTACTTTATTGCAAAATGACTTATACACTCAATATGTACAAACTGCCCCAGATTAACATTTAATACCCAAACTGATAATACAGAAACTATGTCAGACCAGAATTAGAATGAATTAACCAATTTATTCCCCCAATGATCATATTAGAAATGGCATAACTGGCAAAATCATACAATCACTGGCTTACATTCTTTTTCATTTGAGATTTACCAAGCAGCATGACCTGAGATGAACATTATATTGCAAATTATTTATTTGGGAGGGAAATCGGGAAATACCTGTAGGGGAATGTGGAAATGAGACAGGAAGAAGGCAGACAATAAAATGTTCACTGTCCAGCAAGTTGCCACCATGAATGAAAAAAAAAAAAAAATCCTTTATCTTGCTGAGGAACTCTGGAATTCAGTGTGGAACATCTGACTCAGAGTTATCACACCTGAAGGGCAAGGCTGCTGAGGCTATAAAGACTTCCATTTGTCCTTGGTTGAGAGCTGCTTTGCCAGAGTTGCTAACTCCCTGGTACTTCTGGCTTGCTGCAATAGTTGATAAAGAGGGCTACAAAGCCTAGAGGAACTCAGGCAAATAAATGTAGGTGCTAGCAATTGGGTATCTGCCCAACATACACTGAAGTGGTAAGGTCATGGAACATAGGTAAGATACTTAAAATATCTAATATCAAGATGTAATGAAATCATCAGCCAAATAGATAAAATGGTAGAAATGACAGCAACAAAAACTAATAAAGCTACTAATATGCGTGATACGTAAGTGGACTGTCCTGCAAATAATTCAGAAGTTATCATTATTCTTACCTTCCCTTTGTCTCCTAGACATATCAAGTATTCATTCTGTGATTCTGTGAACTCTCACAACATTTTATTCTCCTCAACCACCATTTACCAAACTTTATTTTTATTTTATTTATTTTAACTTCGTATAATTGTCTACATTCTTCTGTAGAAAATAAGCTCCATAAGTAAAGGGAGAGAATGAAACTTGCTCAATGTCCTATCCCAGTAATTAACAGTGCCTACCACGTAGTAGGTTCCTTGTAAATATATGGTGAATGAGTGAGTCAATAAGTGCTAAATGTATTTTGCAATGCCATTCTAAAAGAAATATAGGTCAGTGTTTTTAAAATGAAATATATATTAAGAGCCTACATTAAAAATGTCATTAAGTAATATTCATATGTTGCATTAATGCAACAGAAATAGCATTCGTTTCACTTATTTGTTTAATATATAAACCATACCCACTTAGTGGAAATTATTTTAGAGATTTATAGTTTCACGAATTATTTTTAGTTTAAACAATCCACTGGTATTTTGAGAAAGTTACTAAAAGTTTGTCATTGTGATTTTAGAATTTAACCTCTGATACAATGTGATAGCACATACTTTTGATTTAATTTTTCTTTTCAAACTTAGATAAAAATGTTCTCAACCTGAAAGAAGAAAAATACTAAACAGTGAATATTTTATGATATCTAGCTGACGTTATTTTAATGAAAGAATAAACTCTCAGGAAAAGCAAAGGAAATTGGCAGAGCCATTTATTAGCACTTAGCCAGACCTTGATAAAGAATGTTTAATGGTTCATATTGTGCATAACACTGACTTATTCTAAAATTTTTGAAAGTGCTTTGATATGGTAAATGTGTTAATAAATGTTTCAGGTTTAGGTGAATAAAAGGTGTCCTATTTGGGTGATTCTGCCTATTGTATTTCTTTTGAATAATTTGAAAGAATATGTATGTTAGTTTTTAAGGTTGTGAACAGTAGATTAGTTGCTTATTTGTAAGAAGGAGTAGAAGTATGGAGGGAAGATTAAAACTCAAGTTTTCAAAATATATATATATATACATATATAATATAATATAATATATAGGAGATATATATATATCCTTTCTCTTGAAAAGCTTTAAAGATTTGACTTTGATAAAGTAGAAGCTCTTAAATATTTTTAACTGAAATTTACAGTTAAACATATAAATATTTAAAACAGAAAGTGTGTTTTAATCATGTGTACTAACTTCAAAAAGTTGACTTATTTGACAGCATTTTAGGTTTTCCATAGTTCTAGAGATCTTATTGGTTTCCTTAAGTAAAGAAATATGACAAAATGCAATGTTCAATGTCATAAGATAATACAGTTATTAGCAGGGCAGATCCAAAACATATTTTGCCATTCTTTCCCCACAGCCTTGTTACATGAACAATTCATTTTTGTGCCTTATATGAGCAAAAATCTATACCAAATTTAGTTAAAGGTCCAAATCTAGACCATGTAGTACATGGAGTTGAGGAACTTAACCTCTACTTGTTTATTTAACATTTCTCAATGGCAAGTTAATATATCTAATAATGAGCTCATAATCTGTCTTTAAACCTACTTATTTTAAAGCTTTCAGTGTCCTACTAAATGGTACCACCAAGTACAGAGTTATGCCAAAACCAAACTCAGGAGATACCATGACCTCTTTCTTGCCTCACCCTACCTTCAATCTAAAGTGAAGGTACCATGACATCTTTCTCCTGATTCTGACCAATTCTCTCCATCCTGATGGCCATTCACCATACCAAGCCAAACGACTTTAAAACATGTGGGTCAAAAAGAGTAACATATGGAGAAAAATAAGCTGGATAATTTTAGATTTTCATTATCTTCTCACATCATCCCACATCATTCTTAACATCACCAAATCATGTTAAAAAATTCTAATACTATTGTTGTATATATATTTATATTTACATATACATACAGTATTAATCAAATTCCTTACACTTTAAATAAAAATATACTACTATAATAATCCAGAATTGAAAAATTGTACTATATGGAATTCCTATAGCACAAGTTCAACTTCTCAGTCTTTTGAAATCATTGACTAAAATGTAACTTTGCTAGACATTGAATGAATGACAGGTTAAATTCCTTTTGGCTCCCTCATTGGAGATGTAATCACTCACCTTTGTAGCTGCCATATATCATTGATTAGGAGGAATCAAAATCATTGCTAACTCTGGAATATCAACATCAAGAGATTAATCAAATTCTGCAAACCCACAAAGATGGTCAGAAAACTAATGATTTTCCTGAACTATTAGGGATAGACTAACTTTGAATGAATTAAACTGATGAGTATAGAGAGAAGTAGGATGCTGTTCAATATATTTAGGGTGGTTTTTCTAAAGCCTTAAGAAGAAATAGCTTATCTGTATTAAAGCTAGACATTTTAGATTTTACATTTCTAAGTTAGCTGACTCATAATCATTCTGATTTATCATAGATCAGTTATTTCAATAGCCACTCAATCAGTGCTGACAATTACAGCAGAATGAATTCCATAATTATGGATTCGTGTAGTACACTATTGCTTCAAGAGGGAAATTACAACTTAAACTTTGCTGTAAAAAAAGATACAAAGAATAATTAAATGCTTCTCATATAACCTCTAAAAATTTTACTTTCATTTTTGATAAAAATGTTAACAAATGAATGGATGGATAAAATTTAGTCTAGAGCCAGCACCACTACTATTCCAAAAGGTATGTTTGTAACATATTAATCCATGTGTTCTATTTCTGTAAATCTAATTCTGTAAATTGACTAATAGTTTACAATGTTATTTTTAATAGAAAATATTTATAAGTAAATATGAATTTTCATATATATAAACACATATTTAGGAGAAAATCGTGTCTGCATATGGATTCAATGGTTTTTTTTTTTGTTTTGTTTTGATATATGGATGTAACTTAGTAATGGTAGTGTTGATAATTCTCTATAAAAGAAAAATCTGTTTATTTTCCCATAGTACCAAAAAATAACTTTCATTTTTCCTTGAATTATAATTCACTATTTTACTTTAGAAATTGACTATTTTCTTTACATATTATATTCCAATTTGTTTATTCTTTTCTAAAGTTATTAGATATTCTTGTCTCAGAGACCACTTTTTACTCCAATAAGAAATCAAAGAGAAAGCATAATTTCAACTGGCAAGTGACACATTCTTATTACATTCTTGCATTTTCTTCCATATGCTACTTTCCTCTAGGATTCTTGTAAAGAAATCCTGATGGAAAATAGACGAGAAATGTCAAGTGGAACATCTTGATCTCATCTGGCTTTGGTGAACTTTAAAACAACATAGGTCAAAGTATGTTTCGCTCCCACTTTAGCTTTATGCTTGAATCATTTTATTCCATGTGCATATAACCTTTTACTTAACAAATGCTTGCTTAGACCCATAGCCAGCTTTTTACGATAACAATGCCTATGCTTAGTTTTTAGAAGAATTTAAATGGATAATGAGGTTACAGATTTAAAAATACTGTAATTTTAACATTTAAATAAATTGTTAGTCATGTGAGGAAGAATGAAAGTATAACTAGTCATTTTTGAGATAAGTTTTCACAAAGTCACAGAAATTTATCAGAACTATAAAGTTATCAAAAATCATGACACAGAAAGTTTTGGTATTCTTAATCCATTAATTCACCATATTGTTATGGGACACTTACTCTTTGTCAGACAGTATTGTAGGCTTGGGAGATACAATGGTGAACAAGACTGTTCCTGGTAGAGTTTACAGTGTTGTCGATATAAAAAAAGAGGTGAGTATAATACAGTTTTAGAAAGACCAACCATTTTATTGAACCGCAGTATATATGGTATATGACACAAGTTAAAGCAATTGGATCTCTTTCCTGTAATATTTCTAATCAGACTTACTTTGAGGGAAATTAGTTTTTGCTTCATTGCTCATATAGTTTAAATATTTTCTCCAGATCTGTCAGTGGCTATGTTCGTCACAAGAACGAATGAAAAAAATCCAGAGAGACAGTTCAAAAGTTTGCCACAGCATCTGTGATTCTTCTCTTTTTGATTTGGAAAACTTGAAATAAATCATGCTTCACCATCAAACTTATTTATAGTTTGGGGTCAATATCTACTAAGAATCCTGTCTACATAGTTACTTTTACAGCAGTGGCAATATTATACAAATGTATTACTTCCTTCTAGAAGTGCTTACATAGGCATTTTGATGGCAAATATTTGGATTGACCTATACTGGAATTTTGTCAGGTGGGGATTAGAGTAAACGAATGTCATGAAATTGAGCTACAGGAATTAGCAAAGGAATAAAGGACTGCAGTGGATCACATATTTTTCAGTAATTCCTCTGTAGTAATTTATACATCTCTTTCTTCCATATTTCCAAAATTTTATTATTCAGCTATGGAGCATTTCTACAGTAGTATTAATAAACTATCTTTTTTCCCCTTCAAGCATGTTCTTAATGTTTTCTCCATCTCCTTGGTCCAACAACAACCTGGTCCTGCCCTGCAGATACAGCTTTTCGTAAAGCCCTTTCACTGGTATGTTAACCATTTTCTAAAGAGAAAGGTGGGGAGAGACACCCTGTATAATGTGTACCACCACATATCAATCAAAATTACCATGACAAGAATACCAAGGTAATTTTAAGGGAATACTTACTTCATTTGTGCTAGGCACTGCTCTATAATCATCTCATATATACCTTACTTAATGCTAAAGGCAGTCTTTGGGATAGCCTCTAGTTTCATTTGTATTTTATAAACAATAAAAAGTGACACAGCTGGAACTACTTTTTTCAAGCTACTGGCTTCTACATCAGAATCCCTGTGAATATAGTTTGAAATGCTGATTTATTAGTGCTCATCCCTGACCTGCTGTCCAAGATTCTCTGAGGTTGTGGGATGAAAAAGTCTGAATTTTCTGCAAATTCCCCAAGTAATACTAATGCCTCCTAAAGTTTGAGAACCAGTCAGCAAGTTCAAGAGATAGAATTTTAGCCCAAATTTTTTTCAGTAAATCTGAAATCTGGCACTCTTAATATTTATAATAATACAAAATATTATATTTTAACATGAATATCATGGTGTTTGGGTGATTGATGCTCAAGGAATTTAATTTAGGGAATTTGTGATTTTTTCGATCTTTTACATGTTAAAAATAATTTGTATTTGTTTCATCCACAGGAATCATGTACTTTTAGAATACCTAAATTGTTGTATATTTTCAAGGATACTCTCCAAAATGTCTCACTTGTTTAAACAACAGATGGATTATGAATGTTCATAAGTTTACAAACAGTGAATATTTAATGTTCAGAAGTTGATCCAAGCTTTTGCAATCAGATATGGTTGGTGTAAAGTAATAAAAATTATATTTGATTATATTTAATTTTTGCCCCAAAATTTATTTTTGATAAATTTTCCATTTAATATGAGCTTTTAAATTTAAGCATATTATCTCCTTTTTTTTTTTTTTTTTTTTTTTTTTTTTTTTTTGAGACGGAGTCTCGCTCTGTCGCCCAGGCTAGAGTTCAGTGGCGCAATCTCGGCTCACTGCAAGCTCCCCCTCCCAGGTTCACGCCATTCTCCTGCCTCGGCCTCCTGAGTAGCTGGGACTACAGGCGCCCGCCACCACGCCTGGCTAATTTTTTTTATTATTATTTTTAGTAGAGATGAGGTTTCACCGTGTTAGCCAGGATGGTCTCAATCTCCTGACCTTGTGATCCCCCCGCCTCGGCCTCCCAGAGTGCTGGGATTACAGGCGTGAGCCACCACGCCCAGCCACTATCTCCGTTTTTTAAAGAATCATGTTGATAATATTTTTAAATGAACTTTTTGCTTTCTTTTTGATTCATGGTCATTTTGATAACTCAACAATTACATTGGTGTCAACAATGTGACACAGCAATTTCCTGGAGCCTTTGCAGTGAACAGGACAACCTCAATGCCCCATGTAATTTGTTTCTTTTACACTTTTACAGATAGAGAAATCAAAACCAACTTCTTTGTAACTGTATCTAAAATAACAGTTTAAAAGCTTAGAGCAAGGACTTTTGCAAATTACATTAATTAATCCAGCCTGTACAATTGCTTAGGGACTCTAATTTTTCCTAGCTTTTTTTTGTTATTCTTCAATCCTTTTCTATATTTAGTTGATGAGTAGATAAAGAGGTGAAATATAAGAATAATAGGAATACATTAGCAACCTTAAGAAAGGGAGCCTTTGTTAAGATAAGAGTGTGCTTGTAGAGTATAAGTGGTTATTTATTTTTGATTCATCTCATTTCTCTTTAGCATCCAACCAGAACAAGCTCTTTCTTCCCATTTTTCTTATGCCGAAACAAGGCAATTGAAACATCACATACTAACAATTCCTCATAGTCTTAAAATCTTTTATTTCTTATCCTCTATTGAGTGCTGATGACAAGCCATGAGAAGCTCTAGGGAAATTATTGCAGGTGGTGGCTCTGGCAAGGGAAAGGAGCATTGCTCCTAAATAGTGGACTGATCCTGATTGCATGCCTTGTATTAGATGATCCCCAGTCTCAGCAGGATTTTCAAAAGAGATTATTGACTTACTGCCCCAATGTCTCAAGCCAACAACCTGTAAATCATATGACAGAGACCATGGGAAGCTTATTTCTTTGGACAGAAAAAGAATTCAGATTCCCTCAAAGAAGATTAAAACTCCAATTATTGATTTTTGAGATAGCCAAAATTAATAGAAGTTTCTCACCTTCTATTCAGTCAAAACTCAAGAGACATCAGCTGCTGAAAATTTTCCTACTTCTAAAATTCTAACTGTAGAACAAAACATGTTATTTTTTACTCCAAAAGTTAAACCCATGTTTGTTTTTATTAATTTGATTTTGTTCATTATGATTTATACACTATTCTTAAGGAAAACAAATTACGGATACATTCGGGGCATTTTGGTAGAGTTTTTCTAAAATTCAAATTAGTTTCATGAAAATTTATATTTATTGGGCTTAGTTTTCTAGGTGGCTTCTGAGGCAATATTTTGCCATCAATAACTGAAAGAGATGTGTACATGTGGTGTTTTGTTATTGGTTAGTTTAATAGTTCATTGGCTAATATTTGAATTGTATGTGATAGGTAAGTAGAGTTATAAATATGACAAATATTCATATACCTCATGACTACCTGTCTCTTCCAATCTGAGAGCATGCTCCCCAAGTCCTTTTATTATTCAGTTCACCTTAATCTTTATGTTGCATCAAGAATTCCCAAGTACCAATAACCTAGGGTTACTCACCAAGTAGTCCCTCACCTTGTCACAGATTACAAAGAGATCAGTTTTGAATGCAGCAAAACATTACTGCAAATCCTTTTCCATTTACACATTTGAAAAGAAAAAAAGAATTCAGAAGTAGAATCTGAAGTGAGGTTGCATGTACTTATAAAGCATTTGACTCCTTTGTGCTTCCACAATGTGCATATCCTGTCTTTCTGTTACCAGCTTCCTTCAGTAAAAACTTTTTCTATTTTATCTTCCTCTTTCTTCATTTTATGAATCACGCAACATGTATTCAAGTAAAGGCAAAAGTCAACAATTTGAGGCATATTTGCTGTTTATGAGAATCCATAGGATTTAAAATACATTTACAGAGTTATTGTATTAACTTGATAGCAAATGCCTAGGATTTGCAATAATTGTAGATAATTCTCCTTTGTCAGAAATTTATTTATCATTATTTATTCTCCCAGCTGACCAATTATACTATAGGCTTGGGGCCACGGTGAATTTGATCATAGAAAATGTTCATTTTTCCCCTCATTTAAATTGCTATTAGTAATGCTTCAATTAATATTTATCAATTAAAGTCTATGTATTAACAGGCACTCTCAGACATTATAGATCTAATTATAAATGAGATATATTAGTTAAATAAAATATATATTGGGAGGATATAAGACAGACAACTAACCCAGGAAGCAGGGATCCAGTAGTCTTCCTCAAGAAGATGCATATATATAGACTTGAAGAATAAGCAATAATTAGTCAGAAAAATGGTGGGCATAATGTGTGGGGAGAGACAGAATGTCAGTCAGAATAGGTTGTGTTTTATTGTAGTAAATAACAAATGAATATATACCCTAAAAATCTCAGTGGTTTAAACAACAAAATTGATTTATTGTTTACACTGTATTTTCATAAGAGCACTTCCAAAGGACTTATAATTATGATCATCACTCAGAGACCAAAGCAGATCAAGGCTCCAGCTTGACATGTTCTTCTACAGTCAGAGACACAGTGTAAAGAAAACCTGGAAATGTCAGACACTAGTTTTACTCATATAGTCACTTTTATTCATATTTCATTGGCTAAAGTAAGTCACAAGGCTTACTTTTGTGGAAGTATTGGAGTATAGATGTATATATTCTTTTCCCACACAGGGACAGAACAGTTGTGAAAAATAATACACACTTTCTACATAGATATCTAACTGAAAAACCTTCAAGTACAAAGTTCCAGAAATAAGAACACGTGGTGGCAATTTTTCAAAGGAGGCAGCAATTAATTGATTAAAGATAATATTTTGACTGTTACTTTGGCAAGATATGAGACTGGAGAGATAAGCAGAAACCAGATAATAGAGGACCTTGTCACCACCTTGAATTTTATCTTGAGGAAAATGTTAAAATTGATTAGAAATCATCTCATACACTTTCTTCCCAAGTCACATAATTTGAGGCTCTTACTTGAAATTATGAGACCACTACAATGACCACTTGCAAATCTTATAATCCTTCAGCTTAGGTATAAAGAGCATGTGTGCGTGTGTGTGTGTGTGTATTATCTGAAATACATAAAACAGTAAAATTATATGTCCTTGAGTAAAATTAAATTTTATACTATCTGCATTAAACATGTAGTAGTTTTTCAGTTGTCTTTTGCTTAGTTATTTTAGCAGATCGTAAACAGAACAAGCAGCCTGTTCCCTAGGCTTCATTATTTTATAAGCCCTCATTATTACTCCTATTTTTCTCCTTCCTGAAGGAAAAGAAAAGGTGGTTATAAAACATTGTTAATTTCACAAATGCAGTTAAATGCATGATCTACTAGGCTCATAATACCTATTGCATTCCATTTTAGAACATGTTTACCAAAGAACCCTATGTATTTTTGCAGTACTTTATAGAAGCCAAGCATTTTTAAATCACAAAGCGGACTATATTGTTTCTATACACACATACACTTAACATTCAAACTTTTGGTTTGATAGTTCAAAATTCTATTATTGAAACTATCAATGAATACTTTAAACTGGACTACATGATAACATTTAAAATTCAATTGATTGTGAATAAAATTTATATTTTATTTTGTTACAAAACATCAGAAAACCTGGCCACTCAAGACTCACAATTTAGCAAGGTATTAGTTTTCTCTTGCTGAATGTTGACTAATCTTCTGGTTGACTTGTCATTTTTGATTATATACATAAATTTCTATTACTTTTCTGACCTGCGTGAATATTTCCATTTGAGATCCAGGTTATTTCATCCTCTTTTTTCTTTAGGACTCCTTCTGGAGTATCTTAAGGAAAATTTCAGTGAAAAATGATTGATTTCCTCAGAATGCCATTTTTTTCATTGTTTGACTATTTTAATTGTTATAGGTATCCCTATTATTCAACCCAGTTTGAATTAAGTTTATCTGAATAAGAAGAATTTAGATGTACAATCACTATCATCAAACATGTGAAAGAAGATCATGTAAAATAAAGATTAGTTATAGATATTCAGAAATGAAGACACAGACTGATGGGTACAAAAACATATTGTGTAAATATAGGAAGTCATTTATGTTTCTGTTAGGATCTGCTGCACAGTAAATCAGCCCAACATGAATAGCTTAAGACAATAACCTTTTATTTAGTTCCCTGTCCAGTTGGTTGGCTGCCTGGTTCATTTGATCTAGGCAACTTAGCAAATCTCTGTTAGAATCATTCATGCAGTGTCAGTCACTACTCTGATGGTTAGTAGACTGTTGGCTACAGCAACAGGAATGACTTTGCTCTCGTCTCTCATCATCCAGCCAACTTCTCCATATGGTAGTCCCCAGGTTCAAATAGTAGGAAGATAGGATTTTGGAAGTTCTCTTGAGGTATTGAATTGAAACATGCACAAAATCACAAAGCAATTTCCAAGGTCAGCCCAGACTAAAGGTGTAGAAAAGTAGATTCGATTCTCAATAGTAAGCAAGCTGGAAATTACTGTGGTTATTTTTAATCTACCAAGCAGCAATAAATTGTTTCTTATTTACCAGAAAAAGTGACTCTCAATAGCAGATGCAAGATCTGGGAAAATGTTTCCTCAGGTAAATTCACCTATGTGTGTATGGTAAGACACTGCTTCTACTCTGCTCATCAGCAAAACACTTATTATCATTTTCATAACTTTCCTAGAATTTTAGTTAACTCTCCAATGATTTGTTTTTCTCTTAAAATTCTGTAAAGTTTACTGTTCCTGGTAATATAACTGTGGAGAAAATATAAATATGTGTGATCTATCAGCCACTATTGAGAGTGCAACCAGCTCTTTCTAACTTCTCTTCTGATTATTTTTTCTATTTAACTCAAGAGTTTTTATAACAAAGTTTTGCTGTGATGTTTTGCCACTAGTTATTTCACCCTTCCCCTGCAGCATTTCAAATTACTTACAGTTTCACAAAAAAGACCACAAAAAAGCCACATATCCCGCTTTATTTTGATATGGACACATAAACTTCACAAAAGCTAGGTGTGTATATAGAATAGAAGCAGATGAAGCATGACGTGACGTATCTGTTTATTTACCCACTAATAGTTTTTAAAGGGTATATAGCTACTGGTTACAGTCTCTGAGTAGGAACTGTTCTGCCAAATTTGAGAAAACATCCTATTGCAAGCTACTGTTTCCAAACTCAGATTTATGCCAAATTTCCAGAAATTTTTAAATATGTTCCCTGCCTATAAAAGAAATGTTTTCTTCTAGATCCTATTTCCATAATCTCTGATTCTGACCCAACAATTTTGTTTTTTTCTGGATTACAATAAACTATTGGTTTGGTCCAAGGTTATGATCACAAATCCATTTCACTGCATTCCCTTTTGACAAATTTAAGATGTAAAAATTAATAGCTTCAGCTTGGGGTAACTCTATTACTGTAGGACTACATGCCCAAATCACTGCATAGTATATCCTCTTTGACATAACCACCCTATGTTCCCGGTATTATCCAATCTATTTCCCGATGACTGCCTTCTTCCACAAGCTGTTTTTTTCTACCAATAACTTCCCAGTTGGTCCCAAACCCTAATTTGATTCCTCTTCCTCATTATATTTCTCAATGAAGTAATTTCTGAATCTTCTTATTCCAATCCTCAAATCAGCCCGTCTATCCTGTTTGCCATTTTCTCTGCCCAATATCCTACCCATCTGGTTTCTAAATTCGTCTTTTGAAAAATTCCGTCATGTTCAGATAAATATATCCATAATTACATTGATTTTATTGAAGCAAAATTCTGATACTTTACTCTTCTCCTTGAAAAACATGCTGATTCATTAGACAAATATAAAATATCCTTGCAGCCAAAATTCAGTTTGACTTTTCTAATATTTTCCACTCTCCCGTTTACCATATGTATAGTGCATCCCCAAATTCCTTTTGTTTACTTCTAAAATTTTTTTTCCTAGGTTTTTTTTTTACCTTTACTTTTATTATAACCAAACCATATGCATCTTTCCAGATCTATTTCCAAATGCTATCCTCCTCAGGAACTATTTAATACATTTATCTATTTCTCTATTCAATGTACTCATCTATTTCATCTGTGCTTCGCCATTATTGATCACTTTTAATGTGGCTATAACTCATTTGTGCATATGACACTATTCCCATGTCAACAAACTGGTTCAAGTTTTACTTCTCCACAATAGAAAGTATGTATAACAGGCAGACAGGTATAGTATTAATTCAATGAGTCAGTAATATAATTCATTAATGGAGTTAACATTCCACATCAGTCTGCTTATCAGTCCCTGTATCCAGTCTATGCTGTATTCTCTTAACAGACAAAAAATATGCTTCATTTCATGCATTAATTATGTGTGTAACACACCCATCACATACTATGCACTCTGCCTTCTGGTTAATGCTTCACTCATATTTTTGAAAGGGCTAAAATACTCCAGTTTATCTACTGCCTTCTCATAATACAGCATGATGAACAACCTATTGTTGTTACATTTTTCCTTGCATGAAATTGTATGAGACTAGTATGTACCTCTGTACACTGAAAAAGATATTTTTCTTGATATAGGATATGATTTCATTAGAATTTTGGTTGTCACATTGCATTGTTAATTTATACTCAAATTACAAACAGCTAATCATCTTTATTATTATTTTATATACACACATATACATGTATACACATGTGTGTGTATACATGCACACAGATATATATATTCACACATATATGAATGTGTGTGTTTGTGTATAAAGAATTGTTAATAAAGATGATCCCATCCTTCTTTAAAGCATTACATTTTACAAACTAAGATAGAGCTACAGGTATCCCAATTTTAGTTTAGGTATGGTTTTCCTTCTATCTTATTTAAAACTTTGTGATATGATATTTTTGGTTATTGTTTCACTTTGTGTCATAATCAGATGTGAAAAGCACACGTGACCATGACTGGATGTTCTGTTCATTGTAGGACCACTGATGTGTAAAGCAATATTGATTTTTTTGGGAAATATTTATGAAAAAGGAACACAGAAATGCAGAAGAAAAACTACTTTTTAAATGGAATGTATTTTATACTACATCTCAGCCCTAAAAACAAGTTTATGCTTTGTAGTTGTTCATTACTTATTGCATGAAATTGAAATAGTATAAAATAGTTATAAAGCTATCTGCTTGCTCTATCAATTACTAAAAGAGTAGTTTTAAAATCTCATGCAATGGTAGTGTTTTAAAAATTTCTCTTGGTCAGCCAATTAATACTTACTTTAAATATTTTGAGACTGTATATTGTATTAATAAAAATATAATAATTATTATATCTTCCCATGGAATTAAACATCATGTCTTTAAGTAATAAGAGATTTACTTTATACAATTAGGCGTTGAGAGTAATTTTCCTTTGAAAGGATATCTTTTGGGTAGTTACTTCCATTTAATTTTATTTTCAGCTCTATTTAGGTTTGACAAATAAAAATTGTATATATTTAAGCTGTACAATGTAATGATTTGGTATACATACACATTGTGAAATAATTACCACAATCATGCTAATTAACATATCTATCATATAGTTACGTGTGTGTGTGTGTATGTATAACATTTAAAATCTACTAGTAGTAAATGTCAAGAATACTACACAATATCATGAACTATAATCATCATGCTGTACATTGGATTTGCAGAATTTATTCATCCTGCATAACTGATACTTTGTACACTTTGTACACTTTGACCAACATCTCCCCATTTTTCCCACCCCTCAACCTGTGGCAACCACTATTCTATTCTGTTTCTGAGTTTGACTTTTTAAGATTTCATGTATTAGTGAGACAATGCAGTATTTGTCTTTCTGTGACTGTTTTTTTTCATATTAACATAATGTGCAGGTTCATCCATATTATCACAGATGGCAGAATTTCCTTCTTTTCAGGGCTAAATAATATTTCAATTTTTATATAGACTTTATTTTATTTATCCACCCTTAAATTGACACTTAGGTTTATTACTTATCTTGGCTATTGTGGCACTAGGGCAGGCCTGAAGACTTCGGTTTCAGGGGCCAGGCTGGAGCCTAGAGCCATGGGTGTTGGCCTGGTGATAATGTTTACAAGGGTGGGCCTTATGCTGGGGTGAGCGACAAAATCAGGTGCTCATTTTACTCCCCTTTACCAACCCAGAGGGTATCTCTCTTCATGCTTGGGATGGGTTGATATAGGTAATGTGAAACTGTTTTTCCCACCCTCTTCAATATGTTTTTTCTTTATTTCTGTACTCCACCAGGAGCTGCAATCTCTTACTTGCATTGCACAGCTTTTGTGAAGGTATATTAGAGTGTGGTTGGTGGTTCAAGCTGATGCTTTTGTCAAGGGACAAACATTGGAAACTCCTATTTCACCATCTTGCTGATGTCATGCCCCAAATAAATATTTCTGACATACCCCTGCAGTTCCCTAATCTTCTCTTCAGCTGTGTATAATCTGCTAGCTAAGCCATTTGTTGGGTTTATATTCATTACAATTATAATTTTTACATTCAGAACATACGTTTGCTTCTTTATTATGTCTACATGTCACAAGCTCATATTTGACATTTTTGCTTTATCTTTGATAATGTTATGTGCATATTTTTCAATTCTATTTTCTATAATTCCATAATCTGAATTGCAAAAGCCTGTTTATTTTCTGATTGTTGACTCTAAGCTTTTTGTTTTTCTTGAAATTTTGTCTAATACTTTGAAGCATGTTTTGAAGTAAAGTTCTGCCAGGGTTGTTTAACGAAACTTCTAAAAGTAACCTAAAGATTACCTTGATTCACATCATTCTAAATTGAATTATCTGAGATTTTAAAAAATTATATGGAAAACATCAATTGAAAATGTGAATGTGATAGGGCATAGTTGTGGTTATAAATCCTGAAAGGGACTTTTTCCTTGCCTTAACACAGTAATAGGTTTTAGATAGGTAATTGTATTTGTTGTATTTCTAGGAATAGTGGAGTTTATTTCTTATACCCTCTTTGGTAAGCTATGTAATGCTATGAGGTCTCATTGTTATGTGGAGGTTCTATTAGAGTCCCTGGCTGTAGTAGGTCTTAGCTTTATCTATTGCTTCAAAACATTTTACAATTGCCTAACAATGGTTATAACTGTATGAATACCTATCTCTAAATTTGCACTGACCTCTCTATATATAGACAAATCAATACAGATCAATATATAGAAATATACATATATAGATATGTGTTCATAGATAGAAGAATATAGATTTCTTTTTATACAAATGCTCATTCACTTTCTTTCTTTCTTTTTTTTTTTTTTTTTTTTTTTTTTGAGACCAAGTGGCGGCGCTCTGTCGCCGAGGCCAGAGTGCAGTGGCGGGATCTCGGCTCACTGCAAGCTCCGCCTCCCGAGTTCACGCCATTCTCCTGAGTAGCTGGGACTAGAGGAGCCCGCCACCACGCCCGGCTAAGTTTTTCGGGTTTTTTTTTGTTTTGTTTTTTTAGTAGAGACGGGATTTCACCGTGTTAGCTAGGATGGTCTCCATCTCCTGACCTCGTGATCCGCCTGCCTCGGCCTCCCAAAGTGCTGGGATTACAGGCGTAAACCACCGCGCCCGGCCGCTCATTCACTTTCAGTGAGGTCTCGTTCCATTAAACCCATCGTAATTTGAAAATATCATAAATTGAAGATGCATTTAATACATCTAACTTATTGAACATCATAGCCTAGCCTATCCTACCTTAAAAGTGCTCAGAACACTTTACAGCTGGGCAAAATAATCTTGCACAGAGCCTATTTTACAATATAGTATTGAATATCTGATGGAATTTATTGAATCCTGTACTCAATATAGTATTGAATATCTGATGGAATTTATTGAATACTGTACTAAGACAAAATGCTTGTGCAGATACTCAAAGTAAGATTTTTACTTAATTTGTATCACTTTTGCACCATTGTAAAGTTGAAAAATTATTAACTTGAACCACTGGAATTTGTGGACCTCCATATTCAAAACTTCATTGTCATTTTCAGTTCTTATATCTCTTCTCTGTCTTTTAATATTTATTACTAATATTATGACACCTAATATGCAGTGATATTCTAACTTAATGCTAAGTATTTAATGTCATTATCTCATTCAATACTTAAAATACCTCCTTGAAGATATTTTATGATGTCTATTTATATGTGAAGTAACTGAAGTTTTAGGTTACATAACCTGCCAAAGATTCCATATCATCTAATTTTCAAAGCTTAAAGTTGAACTCCGCGTATTTTCCACCAAAAGTCAAATAAGTAAGCATGATATATCTGATTTTTAATAATGATATGCTATTTTATTATTAGTTTAATAAGATATTTTTGAGTGCTGATATAAGAATTGAGGACCATGTGTCCTGATGACAGATCCTTACGTTTTAGAATATGATTTACAATAAATCTCTCTGAACCACAGTGGTTCTAACTGTAAAGGAGGAATCAAATGTGTGTGCATTCTTTCATAGGAAAATTGGGGATTTATTTGTTAATTGGCTTTGAGTTCCTAGGATTAAAGGTTTAAGTACTATCTTTATTAAAGATAAAAACTAATTAAAGTTTTAATCTCAAATAATCTTACAATTAAGGGATGTCTCTTAAATTCATGTAATGGTTAATTTAAATAAACTTGATCTGCATAGTTTTGGGTCCCTCTTCTTTCTCCTTTCCTCTGCTATGATTTTCATTCTAATTTCTGTCTTTAGTCAGTGTCAAAATCATTTTCTTATTCTTTTAGTGGAATATTACAAATACAATTTCTCATATTTAGATCGAGAATAATGGTAGTTTAATTTCAATATGGACAACATGCCTATGTTATAAGGATTCTTCAAGCAAGATTCGGAAATCCTAGTCTAATGACTAATCAAATTTTGAAGGAAAAAGTATTCCTACCAAATCAACAACATTATTTCTAAGCAGATCTAGGAAATTATCATTGGAATAATGAAACCACAACAATTATTAACATGGTTCTAGATATTCTCTAGTTGCCCATTACACTACTTTTTATTCCGTATGAGTTTGGGTAGTAAAACAGATTTGGTACTGGTGTTGGATTCACATGAAAAAATTAAAAATCTTTCACATACTAGGATTTTTTTTCTTCTCAAAGAAATTCAACTGTTTATGGAAAAGTACCCATGATATAGAGATTATCTTCCTTAAGGTATTGCACAGTTGCAGAATTCTAAATTAAATGACAACCCCTAATGTGCTTTGATTAAATAAGGTAATTACTAAATAAAATGTCAGAGATATCATTGAAAGGGAACACCCCACTATACATACATATATATATATTTAGACCAAATTTATTGTAGCCAAAAAGGACTGTTAAGCAATTAATTTTGTTTCCACTCTTCCAATAATAACAAAGTTCTAAAATCATATATATAAATTAACATTTATGAAATACTAATTATGACAAGACATATATATCTGATAATATTGTACATATAAAAGAAACATGACACCTACTTCCACTGCTCTTATAACCTAATTTGGGAAATATAAAATAAGTCTTTAAATTCTTACCCTTTTTATTTAAGTAAAGCCTAAAATGACATAGTTGGAGACTTGGAGCTTGTAGAACAGAAACATTTTACTTTTTTATCTTCAGTGAAGGTTTTTTCTATAGAAAAATTGAATTTAAACCTGACATTTTTATAATGGGGAGGATCTGGGCTGCTACTGTGTTTTAGGCCCGAATTAAAGATTCCCTCTTAGGACATAGCTTCTCCAGTGGGTTCCTAGTACTTCTGCCTGGGTGTCCTCCTATACTGTAGTCTGCTTCAATTCAAGTAAGTGCTCATCTTCCTATGTTGGGCCCTTAACACATAGGTTTACTGAATGTTTGGTTTTTATCAACATTTTCATATTTCACTTGTAGCCTTTCTCTCAATGAGCTTTTGAGCTGTTTAAGCCTTATTCCTGAAAGCCAGTGACTTCACATTCACATTCATGTTCAGAACACAGATGGATAAGTCTGTCTATCCAAGCTATCTACCTGATTAGGTCACACGTTCTAAAATTCAACATAAAGAATAAAACTGCAGTATTTATTAGTATAAGTAAAATATGATCTTTTAAATGTTTTGTTTTTAGTATTACTATCATCCACCTTTTTTTCCCCAAGTGAGATAACTGAGATTTTGCTCTGTTTAATTCTCCCCCATGTTCTTTAAATATGATTGATTATCAAGTTTTCCTGGTTAAATGTTATTTGTATTTCTGAATATACACCTGATATGGTTTGTCTCTTCCCACTCAAATCTTATCTTGAATTGTAGTTCCCATAATCCCTATGCGTCATGGGAGGGACCCAGTGGGAGATAATTGAATCATGGGGTCAGTTTCCCCCAAGCTATTCACGTGATAGTAAGTTCTCATGAGATCTGGTGGTTTTATAAGGAGCTTTTCCCCCTTTTGCTAGGCACGTCTCCATCCTGTCATCATGTGAAGAAGGACATGTTTACTTCCCCTTCTGCCATGATTGTAAGTTTCCTGAGGCCTTCCAAGCCATGCAGAACTGTGAGTCAATTAATCTTCTTTCATTTTTAGGTTACCCGGTCTCGGGCAGTCTTTTATAGTAGCATGAGAATGGACTAATACAATACCCTCTAGTTTGTTTCCACACCCACTGCCATATCACAGAACCTCCACATTTCTACTTGTGCTATTATAATTCATTGTCCTCATCTCTTTTGTTGAAGTCATTTTTTCCAGACCAACTTACACTTCTCACAGTATGTTTGTTAATTTAATATTTCTATATAGAGATCTTTTCATATTATCCCCTGTGCAGATTCTTCAATAACACTCTGTCACCTGTTTAAGATTTATTTTCAACTGCCCATGGTTCACCCATGGTTTTTAATTGATGGTAACACATGAGTTTCTTGATTGCATCTGTTGACTTTTTATCTATGCCTTTACTCATGGCTTTAACCTCTACTTTGCATAAATTTACTATGAACCTTGACTCCTGAAAAATTCTAATTTATTTCTTAATTCTTAGTTTAAGCATGCATTACAGTCTGAGTTCATCTATATCTTTTTGGTTAGATTTTATTTTCCATGGAACTCATTTGTTTGCACTTTATTTCTATGCCAAATATTTAGCAAAAGCATTTGGCAATACAGAAGTTATTTATTTTCTATGTATTGAATTAATTTACTAATCAATTGATGACAACAAGTGACTATGTAGACTATTGCCTAGACTACAAGGCAGTACAGATAAAGGCTATAGGTAAAAGAGTAACTTGGATTGGGGTTAAGACAAACCCCAGACACTGGAGCAGCTGAATCAATTGTAAAACAGCTCTGAAAATGCTTCATACATTTTGCAAAGCTCTCATCAGGAAAAATAAACTAAGACAATTTTCTGGAAGTTATACCTAGTAGGTTAGTGTGGGATAGAATGGGGGAAAAAGTCTAATATGGGAAATCACAAAAATGTCCAGAAGAGAGACTGAATCCTCCTGTTCGTGTTCAGCCTGACTAGCCTGCAGCTGAATGTTAAATTCTCTAGCTATAGTTGATCAAACCAAACTATTATCAAACATCCATATAGGTAGATGAAATTGACGGAAGACCTATCAGCACAGGATCAGGAAAACAAAAGGTGTGTATGTGTTCTAAAAAAGAGTAAAATTTATTTAAATTTAGATTGCATACATATGCAGTTCTCATTCCTGGCCTTTCCAATTGGTAAGATACTTTGCTGGGCACTGGATATTAATCAGAAAAAAGATTATCATATTCCCTTACCTGTACACTTTCTTTCAAGTTGGAAGAGACAGTCAATAATACATTAATATACATGGGTATAGTTTTAATTCTAAATAATGATATAATTAAAGACTGCAATATACTGCTTTGTATGGTTTTCATGTGTTCTCTAAAAGTTCATGTGTTGGAAACTTAATCTTACAACAGCATTGGAAGGTAAGGGACTAATAAGAGGTGATGAGATCATGAGAGCAGAGCCCTCATCGAACATAAATGAATGTGGCTATTGCAGGAGCTGTTTGAAAGTGGATTGTTCTCCTCCTGAATGACTACTGGGTACGTAACGAAATGAAGGCAGAAATAAAGATGTTCTTTGAAACGAACGAGAGCAAAGACACAACATACCAGAATCAATGGGACACATTCAAAGCAGTGTGTAGAGGGAAATTTATAGCACTAAATGCCCACAAGAGAAAGCATGAAAGATCCAAAACTGACACACTAACATCACAATTAAAAGAACTAGAAAAGCAAGAGCAAACATATTCAAAAGCTAGCAGAAGGCAAGAAATAACTAAAATCAGAGCAGAACTGAAGGAAATATAGACACAAAAAAACCCTTCAAAAAATTAATGAATCCAGGAGCTGGTTTTTTGAAAGGATCAACAAAATTGATGGACTGCTAGCAAGACTAATGAAGAAAAAAAGAGAGAAGAATCAAATAGATGCAATAAAAAATGATAAAGGGGATATCACCACCAATCCCACAGAAATACAAACTACCATCAGAGAATACTACAAACACCTCTATGCAAATAAACTAGAATATCTAGAAGAAATGGATAAATTCCTCGACACATACACTCTCCCAAGACTAAACCAGGAAGAAGTTGAATATCTGAATAAACCAATAACAGGCTCTGAAATTGTGGCAATAATCAATAGCTTACCAACCAAAAAGAGTCCAGGACCAGATGGATTCACAGCCGAATTCTACCAGAGGTACAAGGAGGAACTGGTACCATTCCTTCTGAAACTATTCCAATCAATAGAAAAAGAGAGAATCCTCCCTAACTCATTTTATGAAGCCAGCATCATCCTGATACCAAAGTCGGGCAGAGACACAACCAAAAAAGAGAATTTTAGATCAATATCCTTGATGAACATTGATGCAAAAATCCTCAATAAAATACTGGCAAAACGAATCCAGCAGCACATCAAAAACTTATCCACCATGATCAAGTGGGCTTCATCCCTGGGATGCAAGGCTGGTTCAATATAGGCAAATCAATAAATGTAATCCAGCATATAAACAGAAACAAAGACAAAAACCACATGATTATCTCAATAGATGCAGAAAAGGCCTTTGACAAAATTCAACAACCCTTCATGCTAAAAACTCTCAATAAATTAGGTATTGATGGGACATATCTCAAAATAATAAGAGCTATCTAGGACAAACCCACAGCCAATATCATACTGAATAGGCAAAAACTGGAAACATTCCCTTTGAAAACTGGCACAAGAGAGGGATGCCCTCTCTCACCACTCCTATTCAACATAGAGTTGGAAGTTCTGGCCAGGGCAATTAGGCAGGAGAAGGAAATAAAGGGTATTCAATTAGGAAAAGAGGAAGTCAAATTGTCCCTGTTAGCAGATGACGTGATTGTATATCTAGAAAACCCCATTGTCTCAGCCCAAAATCTCCTTAAGCTGATAAGCAACTTCAGCAAAGTCTCAGGATACAAAATCAATGTACAAAAATCACAAGCATTCTTATACAGCAATAACAGACAAACAGAGAGCCAAATAATGAGTGAACTCCCATTCACAATTGCTTCAAAGAGAATAAAATACTTAGGAATCCAACTTACAAGGGACGTGAAGGACCTGTTCAAGGAGAACTACAAACCACTGCTCAACAAAATAAAAGAGGATACAAACAAATGGAAGAACATTCCATGCTCATGGATAAGAAGAATCAGTATCGTGAAAATGGCCATACTACCCAAGGTAATTTATAGATTCAATGCCATCCCCATCAAGCTATCAATGACTTTCTTCACAGAATTGGAAAAAACTACTTTAAAGTTCATATGGAACCAAAAAAGAGCCCGCATCACCAGGTCAATCCTAAGCCAAAAGGACAAAGCTGGAGGCATCACACTACCTGACTTCAAACTATACTACAAGGCTACAGTAACCAAAACAGCATGGTACTGGTACCAAAACAGAGATATAGATCAATGGAACAGAACAGAGCCCTCAGAAATAACGCCGCATATCTACAACTATCTGATCTTTGACAAACCTGAGAAAAACAAGCAATGGGGAAAGGATTCCCTATTTAATAAATGGTGTTGGGAAAACTGGCTAGCCAAATGTAGAAAGCTGAAACTGAATCCCTTCCTTACACATTATACAAAAATTAATTCAAGATGGATTAAAGACTTAAACATTAGACCTAAAACCATAAAAACCCTAGAAGAAAAGCTAGGCATTACCATACAGGACATAGGCATGGGCAAGGACTTCATGTGTAAAACACCAAAAGCAATGGCAACAAAAGCCAAAATTGACAAAAGGGATCTCATTAAACTAAAGAGCTTCTGCACAGCAAAAGAAACTACCATCAGAGTGAACAGGCAACCTACAAAATGGGAGAAAATTTTCGCAACCTACTCATCTGACAAAGGGCTAACATCCAGAATCTACAATGAACTCAAACAAATTTACAAGAAAAAAACAACCCCATCAAAAAGTGGGCAAAGGATATGAACAGACACTTCTCAAAAGAAGACATTTATGCAGCCAAAAGACACACGAAAAAATGCTCATTATCGCTGGCTATCAGAGAAATGCAAATCAAAACCACAATGAGATACCATCTCACACCAGTTAGAATGGCAATCATTAAAAAGTCAGGAAACAACAGGTTCTGGAGAGGATGTGGAGAAATAGGAACACTTTTGTACTGTTGGTGGGACTGTCAACTAGTTCAACCATTGTGGAAGTCATTGCAGCGATTCCTCAGGCATCTAGAACTAGAAATACCATTTGACCCAGCCATCCCATTACTGGGTATATACCCAAAGGACTATAAATCATGCTGCTATAAAGACACATGCACACATATGTTTATTGTGGCACTATTCACAATAGCTAAGAATTGGAACCAACCCAAATGTCCAAGAATAATAGACTGGATTAAGAAAATGTGGCATATATATACACCATGGAATACTATGCAGCCATAAAAAATGATGAGTTCATGTCCTTTGTAGGGACATGGATGAAATTGGAAATCATCATTTTCAGTAAACTATCGCAAGGGCAAAAAACCAAACACCGCATGTTCTCACTCATAGATGGGAATTGAACAATGAGAACACATGGACACAGGAAGGGGAACATCACACTCTGGGGACTGTTGTGGGGTGGGGGGAGGGGGGAGTGATAGCATTAGGAGATATACCTAATGCTAAATGACAAGTTAATGGGTGCAGCACACCAGCATTGCACATGTATACATATGTAACCAACCTGCACATTGTGCACATGTACCCTAAAACTTAAAGTATAAAAATAATAATAAGAAAAAGAAAGTGGATTGTTATAAAGCTAGCTGGGCCCCTGGTGCCCTTTTCTTTCACAGGCACTTGCTTGCTCCTCCTTCCTTCTGCTCTTCCACCATGGAATGGCATGGCCTGAGGCCCTCACCAAATTCTAGCCCCTCAGTGTTGGACTTTCCTGCATCCAGAACCATGTTCTAAATAAATATCTGTTCTTTATGAATTACCCAGTCTGAAGCATTCATTTATAATGACAGAAAATGTACTAACACTGTATTGAGAAATAATCATAGAGGATATTTAATTTAGATGAGAAATCAAGGAAGAACTCTCTAGGAAATGTGCATTCGTACTGAAGTCTAACATAAATTATCCAAACAGAAAGGGCATATTTGTGGGAGGGGGTTAACCTTGTAATGAATAGATGGGATCCTGGGATGGAAAAAAGCTTGGAACTTCTGAGGAATGGCTGAAAATTCAGTGCAGGTGAAGTGTTGAAAGACTAGGGTGGGTGACACCAGATATAGCTGAAAGAATAGGCAAGGGTTTACTATGCATGAGCCAAGACTGTAAGCCATGCCACCACTATACAACTTCCTTATATCTACTAAAAACTGAACATCCTATACAAAAGGGATGTTTATGAACCACTGGGACTTACGGAAAACACAGTAGCAAATGGGAAAATGGCCAGGGACAGAGGAGTGAAGTAAATAAATATAAACTGCAGTTTCATACCATATGAAGCCAATGTAGCCCACAAAGAGTAGAGAGAAGTATCCTGTGTCTCTCAGGTCTTCTTAAGCTTTGTCTTCCAATCAGATCTTTAGAAATATGAACATGTAAATATGTGTATGTGTTCATTTCTTTGGAATGAGTTTATTTGAACTGTAGTTCTTCCTTCAAGTCTAAGCATTCAACTTAAGGATTGTCTTTCAGCCCAAATTGTTGTAAAACTGAGGCATCTCCTCTTCAAATGGGATAGTGTCTAGGCTTTGTCCACACTCCCAAAACAATTAAATTAAATAAAAAATTCTTACAGGGTATCCAGTTCATTTCTTTAATCCACAGAAGAAGAAACTAAAACCTCAAAGTAATCATATCTCCAAACACCTTAGAAAGCAAAAATTAGGCCGATCATGGTGGCTCATGCCTGTAATCCCAGCACTTTGGGAGGCTGAGGCGGGTGGATCATGAGGTCAGGAGATCCAGACCATCCTGGCTAACACAGTGAAACCCTGTCTCTACTAAAAATACAAAAAAAAAAAAAAAAAAAAAAAAAAATTAGCCGGGCGCGGTGGCAGGCGCCTGTAGTCCCAGCTACTTGGGAGGCTGAGGCAGGAGAATGGCATGAACCCAGGAAGCAGAGCTTGCAGTGAGCCAAGATCACACCACTGCACTCCAGCCTGGGCGAGAGAGCGACACTCTGTCTCAAAACAAAACAAAAAAGAATGAAAGCAAAAATTAAATTAAAGACAGAGATTTCCAGTTTTTACAATGAATAAAATTTTCCAGGAGCACAAGAAATAAATATAGAATGACAAGCCAAGATATACTATGATAGAATCACTAAAGTCATAAAAGTTGTTTCTTCTCATCCAGCCATACGTAATGGGAGGATAAAGTCTTATTTTGTTTCAGGCCATGTTGATGATTTATATTGTCTTTGGAGAATTTCTTGGACTCTCTCTCTCTCTCTCTATATATATATATACTATATACATATATAGTATATATATATAATTTCGGCTCTTAAATCATGAATCCCATTTGCTTCTGATAATTAGTTAAATTAATTTTTGTTGCTGTTTTACAGGTACCTTAATGAATGGATGCATTATTATGTAACTGAAAATTATCTAGTGAGTTAAGTAGGATGATAATTTGACCCCTAATTAAGGAAAGCTTTGTTGATGAACAATGAAATATTTATTTTTAATTGCTAGAAACGGGACTGTCAGAAGTTTCTTAAACCTTCTTGTTTATGAATTTCTCTCCATGTAATTATAACTATTTACAGTCAAGTGCTGAACATCTCAAACTAATGATACTGTTTATTAGAGAAAGTCATGTAATGAGTAAGTGTTAAATGTGTCCCTGAAACAAAAGACTTCACATGAAAGTATTATTCTTCCTCTGTCTTTAACCATTGAAAAGTTTTTTGTCCAAGTGATTAGCATGACTCTATCCAAATAAAGGTGGTCTACTCAAGAAATTTACATTCTACTGATGAATAGAAATTCTGCATTACTTAATACGTAAAATGTCACACATACATTGTTTTTGTTTTAGTTGAAGTTTAGTATTGTTCTGTTTATCACACTTATCATAACATGTTTCTTTTTTTTTTTTTTTTTTTGGAGTGGGACGGAGTCTCGCTCTATCGCCCAGGCTGGAGGGCGGTGGCGGCGCGATCTCGGTTCACTGCAAGCTCTGCCTCCTGGTTTCACGCCATTCTCCTGCCTCAGCCTCCCGAGTAGCTGGGACTACAGGCGCCTGCCACCGCTCCCGGCTAATTTTTTTTGTATTTTTAGGAGAGACGGGGTTACACCATGTCAGCCAGGATGGTCTCGATCTCCTGACCTCGTGATCCGCCCACCTACGCCTCCCAAAGTGCTGGGATTACAGGCGTGAGCCACCGCGCCGGGCCATAACATGTTTCTTAAAGTGACTTTTCAATAGATATGCAAAAAATATTTTAAACATGGCATCCCAAACAGAAGTAATCATTAGTTCAAGCACTACAATGATCAAATTTATAATCCTAAATTTTATTTTGTTTTAAAGGGTAGTAGAAATAAAAACAGAAATGCACATAATAGATGATTTCCTTAAGTAAGCTGTAGTAAAGTTACAGCTTACTTGAGAAAATCATCTATTATGTGCATTTGTAATGGTATAGAGTGTTTTTAAACTCAAAGAATGTACTCGACTCTCTATCTTTTAATTTCAGCCCTTTTGAATATCTGTTTTTAGAAATTGATGTAATAATACTTTAATTAAATGCTAGTGAAATATAATAAACACACCATAGGATACTAACTATATATGATTTGCAAAAAAAAAAAAAAAAAAACACAAAAATTAAACCTAATGTTTTCGGTTATATAGCAAACTGAGAAGACAGGGAGAGAGAGAGCGAGAGAGAGACAGAGAAAGGGAGAGAGATGACAGATAATAAGAGTCAGAGAGAGAGAAAGAATTCTAATATTTCTCATAATACAATCGCTTCATTCAGCTACTCAATAGTTAAAAGAAAATGCTTTTCTCATTTCCATATTTGAATCTTTATGTGTTATGGCATTTTTGTTATGTGCTTACTCTTGTGAGGGAAACACACTGTCCCATATTTCTAGTCCACTTAAGTTGGAAGGGATCGTTTCAGTTTTTGTAATAATTATAGATAGTGTTGAATCCGTAAGTTTCCCAAGTTTAAGTTTTAAATATAAACTCTATTATCTGTATATCAAAAATCTCTAGAAACATTTTTTTCCTGAAGTACCAAAAATCGGTGTCAGGCTGTGATACTAAGACATTTATGTCTCTTCAACCAAACGTTTCCATTGTCTGCTACACCAGAAAGAGTTTGATTTCTTTCTTCCTCCTTTTTGGGGCAAAATCTGTGTTTTAGTATTAATTGGATGTATTTTCATCAGGAATAACTGTATGAGTCAATATCTCTAATATGGAATAGATTTTCTGCGAGGCAGAAGTGACTGCTTGTTTCATACTACCTGACATAATTCATTAAAATTGTAGGCAAATATTTCTCCATTTGCTAGTTGAGGTGGAAATAAACAGAAAAAAATATAATATCTGCATCTTTGCTAGATTAAGCCAGCCCTCTTAGAGTAGGGGCTAGTTTTTGCTTGTTTGTTTTTGTTTTTCCTATTCCAGTTAAGCATTGACTGGAATATTCAATTATTTCTTGACTTCACTCCAACAGATATATTGTCCCTATAAATATAACTTGGTAAACATTTCTCCTCTGAGATTTAAGGACTCAACATTCCAGAATCTTAAACTTCTGGGGCAATTAATGACATCTTCTCTAGAAGATGTAAGTATAAAAAAAATTGTACTGTTGTCACCTGGACTGTAGTAAAATAAATGATAATTTCTGGATGATTATAGCAGATGCAAAATTGATTTTCTTAAGTATTATAACACTTCTTCTATAAGTTGTGAACTTCAATATACATATTGGCAGAGACATTGCTTCTGCCACACCTTTATCCTGCTCAAAGGTATTATTGATCTCCATCGCTTGTCAAGTATATTTAAAAGTGCTTATTTATCAATCAGGGTACCTAAAACAGTGTGATATTGTGAATATCAGATAACCTGATTTTTACACAATCTACACAGCAGCGAGTTTGTATCCAATGATATGGACCAATTCAGTAGTACCTAATTGAACATCAAAAAGGAGGTTTTAATCAGATTTTCAAAAGTGTCAAGAATTCTAGGGAGGAAATCATTAAAACATGAGCATTTGGAATGGTAAAATAAATCAAAAGAAGATTGACTAGAAGGTTATGAGAAAGTCCAGAAACTAAACTGAATATGAGAATGGACTGGTTTCAACATGAGAAAAAGATGGATTAAGATCAAAAACATTCTGGGGTCAGAGCTGATGATTTCAGCATACGCCAGTCTCTTGCTGGTATTCTATCACCAGAAAGTAACTGGCTTATGCTGAAATCAGCAGCTTTCACAGATTTCCCTCCATCCTCACAGTAAACTTTGAGAATGGTTAAATGGAAATGAAGATAAAGCTTATTAGATTTTAAACTGTCAAGTTATTGTGAAGTGCAGATGTTGTACTGATCCTCAAAGAAAACAAAATATAGATTCTACTAATTTGGAGAGAGGATTCAAATTTAGTAAGTTAAATGTGAATAATTAGACTAAAACCCTTTGTGCTAAATTCATAGAAGAAATCAGTCACAAGTAAAAAATAAGAGCCCCATGAAGTCTAATTTTGCCTTCTTATCTGAGTGTGTAGTTGCATTTGTCTGAGACCACATCTCAATCAATTCTCAAGTTGTACTTTGTCAAATATGAAAACATTAGAAATCATACACCTTAATTATTCATCTCTACAAAAAGCAAATAGTAGCTGCTTTCAATCTCTTCACAGATTCTTTTTGTAAAAAGGAAAAGGCTATAGTTATGACTTTCCTCTGGGAAATTGATAAATATATACTAATCTTCAGGATCCTGTCTAAAATGTGATAACAGTGTCTATAATCCCTGAGGTTAAGAAACTAACAAAGAACGTACTGTGTGCATATAGGTATGCATATGTATATTACTTAGAAAATAAAGCAGCAGGGTTAAATTTAAATGAAGGATTAGACTGATAAAATATTTTAGAAACTTAATCTATGTATTTATAATGATATTTATTAATTCCAAAACAAATACAATAGTATTTATGCTAGCAGTTATAAATGGCTCTAAGTAAATGTCCCTCTATTTTGCCACAAAAAAATAAGAAAGTGATATAAAAAGGTAAAATAAGAAAATGTCAAACATTTTTTCCAGCATTTCCACAGTGCAATATTTTGTTTCGAACAATTCAGGACAAAGAAACTTGATATGAGACTGACCATACTTCTTACCAATATTCTAGACCCCCTTGCTTATCAGAGAGTTTCTTTTTTGAGGCCCTTAAACACTCCTGGCTGGTATGTATACAGCATATCTATAAAATTATTGACTAGTTAGTGATGAGTTCATTAGTGTGTCAATTTGGGTTCTCCAGAAGGCATACCAAAAGTGAATTCAAAGTAAAAAGTAATTATATGGGGAAATTCATGCAGAGGATAAAGAAGAGAGAAGGGAGGGTAGACATTGTGAGACTGTGAAAGGAGATTAGGAAAGAAGAAGGAATGACAAGAAAAGCCTCAGACTACAATGGACTTTCATCAAAATTTTGACCAGACCCACAAGAAGCCACAGTGTAAAGATTGTTGTTAGAGGAATCCTGTGTTGGGGGAATTGCCCTGGCTTTATATCTCCTCTGTGTTTAGTCACTGCCTGAGAGCAGCCCAGGCAGAGCATGCTCTTGGTGTGAATGCTTAATGGGTTCTTAAAGTGAGACATCTGGAGACTGTGAGCCCATTGTGCTCCTCTAGCAGGATCACTACTGAATTGTAAGGTCTGAGTGATGCACTACTACAATGACTTCTAAACAAAATACATCACAGATTTCCCCCCTCATATTTTGGTTACCTCATTTAAACAAAATTTGTTGGATTTATAGGGCCTTGGTATTGCATCTTGTTGTTTTATTTTGAGATTCTCATAAGCTGTTCCCCCGACAACTGCCAAAGGGTTTGTGGTTGAAAAAATGTTATGAACTTTTGACCTAGAAGACACATGTAAATGGGTAGCATATTGAGTCAAATTTCTCAGTGTGATATCAAGTTTTTCTAAATATTTTCTAATGTGTGACTCTTCTAAAAACTCTTTAGGTTAAATTGAATAAACTGTCTGAATTGTTTGTATTTAAGCACCTCCACAAAATTCTCTGTCTAGGTTTGCCTGTAACTGTGGCATAGATGTCTTGTAAGAATGCTTTCTGCCAGGTGCCATGGCTCACACCTGTGATCCCAGCACCTTGGGAGTCCAAGGCGGGAAGATTACTTAAGCCCAAGAATTCAAGACCAGTCTAGGCAAAATAGTAAGACACTGTCTCTACAAAATAACAATAATGATAATATGAAGGAGAAGCAGAAAAATAATAATAATAAAGAATGTTTTCTATGAGAATGCAGGAAAATCTGTATTTGACTCCAGGCAAAATTATTTGAAATATGAGCTTTTCAAAAAAACTATTTGCACTCTAACTCTTCTCTCAGTTAACTAGCAGAAAGAAATGGAAGGAAGGAAGGAACGAAGGAACGAAGGAAGGAATGAAGGAAGGAAGGAACGAAGGAAGGAAGGAACAATGGAAGGAAAGAAGAAAGGGAGGAACGTAAGGGAGAAGGGAGGGAGGAAGGGAGGAAGCAAGCAAGCAAGAAAGATGGATCCACATGTTTTAAAACATTAAGAAGAAAAAAAATGTTTGAATTTGGAACTTAACTAGACCATTGATTGTGTGTAGAGAAAAGGAATAGAAGGTTCCATCTCTGTTGCTTCTCTCTACAAACTTCCTATTAACATAGACTGTTATGTATCGTAGACAATAGGTCACTCTATAAACCCATTTTATATATATTTGTGTTTATTTACTCAAGTTTATTTTTCCTGAAGTCTCAGTTAAGTATTTAATTCAATTCTTGCTTCACTTAGAAAATCAAGATTACAACTTTCAACAGGAAAAATTAGAAAACTTGCTAAGTCTGAGAAAATGTTATTTCTTTCTGTGGCTAGTGGAAAATAAAGCCTTGGCAGAATAATTAACCATCATTCTTTTGTCTATAATTTTCATTTTTTCCCTACATTTGTCCATTTTAATCCCAATAGCCTTATGTTTATATTCAAAATAATTAGTTGACATCAGGAAGTTCCCTCCTAGAGAGTTCCATTCCTGTTGCTTCTCTTTACAAATTTTCTATTAACATAGACTATTGAATATCACATATAATAGGTCACTGTCTGGTGATTAATTTATGTGTCAACTTGATTGGGCCATGAAGTACCCAGATATTTTATTCATCATTATTATGGGTGTGTCTGTGAGGGTGTGTCTGAATGAGATTAACATTTGACTTGGTCACCGAGTAGAGCAGATTGCCTTTCTTAATGTGGAGGGACCATATCTGATCCATTGGAGGTCTGAATAGAATGAAGGTGTTGAGTAAAAACTAATTCATTCTCTGATAAAATGTCTTCAGGGCTGGACATTGGTATTCTCCTGCCTTCACAATGGAACTTACATCATCAGTTATTTTACTTCTCAGGCCTTTGGACTAGGACCAAAACTATACTGTTGACTTTCCTGGATCTCCAGCTTGCCAACTGCAGATCTTGGGATTTCTCAGCCTCCATAACTTCCTGAGCCAAGTCCTTATAATAAATTCCTCTCTATTTCTAAACACACATGCACACACAGACACACACACACACACACACACACATTCTGTTTCTCTGAAGAAGCTTGACTAATAGAACCTTTACTAAAACAGTGTATTTCAGTTAGTGAGTAATGATATTTGATGAAAAGTTCACCTTTTTGGACTTAATGTGCAGTCCATTAGGGGATAGATTTGATAAAAAGCTAGGAGTGCACAATAGTATCAAATGTGAGGAAAGAAGTCAGATTTCTCATCAAGTATGATTCACATATTTTGGCCTGAGGAGTGAAAAGAACGAAAAGAACTCAAAACTTAATTTTTGTTCAAAATGGATCATTGTTTCCTGATTTACTGACCCAATTTTCCATAGATTCCAGCAACATCTATCTTGTCACTGCGGAAGAAAAAAGGTGCCAGTGCTAAGAAGTTTTGTGTTAAAGATTTGATGAATGAAATACTCAAAAGCTAGCCCTGTCACAAGCAGAATAGATTTCTCTATAAACTTTGATACTGGGGATTTGGGTTTTCTTAGGGGGAAATTTGTTGGTGAGTAAAAATTCTCATTTTCAATGCCTATTTCTCAGCTGGTTTTCCAGAGAGAATGTACAAAATAATTCCATAAAAATAGGAGAGTAATCATTCAATATACTATGAAGTTAAAGACTGAACTAAAGAAAACACAAATATTAAAACAATGTTAAACTTCTGTTTGTACATTTGTTTTTGAGATCTTTACTTTTCTCATAATGTTTAAAGGCATGTAGGAAGGAAGGGTAAATGAATAAATAAGTTTGCACAATTATGCTTAGCAATGTCTAGGCACTTTATATTCATTAAAATAAATATTCAGACCTTGACTTTAGTCACATAATTCTGGAGGCTACCATTCTTGTTGGTCTGCACTGTAATCTTAAAATAGAGTGGGGAAGTAATCTATTTTAGTTTGGAAGAGTCCTAATGCAAGTCCATACAAATAAAATTTCTAGTGAGATTCCTGAAGAAAAAGAGTATTACTTATGGATAGAATCTTTCCATTCATTATCTACTTATTCATTTTTAGTTTTTCTTTTTTAAATCACTGTTCCAGTACCTGAAGATATAAAGAGACAAGTATCCTGCCATTATAGAATTTACATAGCTTAGGGGAAGAAAGACTATAAGTAAACAGCAAAGAAGCAAAATAATTGGAGGCATGGATAAGTGCTATGAAGAAAATGCACAGGCAATTAAATAGATAATAAATTGAGGTGGAAATTACTAGTTTAGGTGGTCAATAATGGCTTTGCTTTCAAGGTACAATTTTAGGGAAAAAAATGAGAAGGATAAAAAGTGACCACCCATTCAGAGACAGCAATGTTGCTATAAACAGTACACTGGGTATGAGACTAGTGAGTGATCAAGTCAGAGATTTGTTAACATCAGAGAATTAAGGGTATTATGCCATACATATTTTGCCTCTTTTTCCAAAAACAATGGGAAGCCACTGATTAACTTTAGGCAACGGAGTAAGTAGAAAAATTAATTTTAAAAGATTAACTCTACATGGGGAATTGATTATAGAGGCAGGGGTAAGAGTGAGTTGATGAATTATGTTACTGGGTTCTTATTTTGTATATCAAGAGGATTATCATTCATTGCATTTAACACTAAAAAGTGGCTCAATATATACTTTTTCAATGAATAAATATGTTTATAAATAAATGAATTGACATAATAATGGATTGAGATAGAGCATTGAGCTTCCACCGAAGCAATGCTCTAGCTACATTTTCATCTTATTACTTTGTCAATATCACTCAAGTGTTTTATACATACTCCACATTGAGAATTTTACAGTAACTTAAAGGTAGACCCAGGAAAAGAACAGAAACCATCAGCTGACCAGGAAGTACTTCCAGTAAGCTTTATTGTTGCTATTATAAAGCATTCTCTTAAAATAGCTACACAAATAATAGCATTGCCAAAATAATACCAGGTAAAAGTGAGTAAATAAGAACAGTCTTTAGCCAGTAAAAGGCACAGTCTTCATGTTTCTGCTCAACTTTGATGTCAATTTTTATCTCAAGTCACAATCTGGTAGTGCCCAAATACAAGAAACCTGTGTGCATACAGAGACATCAATAATCAGTTGGGACAAACATAAGAGAATCAGTATGATTTGGAAAATAAAAGCAGAAAAAGAGTGTGAGCTAAGAAGAACAGATTCAATTCTGTTTGCACAAAGTGACTAAGGGTTTTGTTTCCCCAGTAAGAAAGAATAAAAGATCATTTATGTCAGAATTCCATTTCTTACATTTTATGCCAATGTGAACTATATAGGAAGATAAGTATTTTTTCTCATATCATGTTTTGTATTTGACAATTTCAACAATTTATTCTCATAAATTTCCAAATTAAAGAACCTAAAATATGCCTTCGCTAATTTGTTTGTTCATTAAGCAAATATTTGTAGAATCCTAATAATGCCAAACAGTGTTAGGACATGGGGTGAAGTAGTGAATTGTTGCAGATGCTGTCTCTGCCATTAATAGAATTTACACTCTAATGGCTTATACACTGTAACATGCAATTTCAATATAGTGTGATCAATATTATGACAGAATATAAATAGTTTTGCCCTAACAGAAAAGCGTTTCACTCCAGATTTGTAAAATCAGCTTATATTCTTCCCAGCAAAACTGATATCTATGGTAAACCCCGAAAGTTGAGTAGATTGTAGCCAAATGAAGAAAAAGTGTTAAGGACCATTGGCATAAATTATTTGACAGAAAACTGCACTATAAACAAATAACTTGAAGAAATTAGAAATTAAATGTAATGAATATGTGTCTGGATAAGAAGTAGCATGCTGGTAGAGTGGGTTGCGTGGGTAGGGGTAAAAAAAGTACGTGACAATGAGAAAAGAGGGATGGACAATAGGAAGAGTCTCATTGCTCAGGTCTTGTAAGCAATATTCACATGTTTTTCCTTTACCTTAGTGCTTTGGAAAGCCATGTAAGGGTTTTAAAAAAAAAACATCATATAATCAAACACAATTTTTAAACAATTATTCTGGCTGTAATGTGGATAATTTATTGAAGAATAGTAAAGCAGGGACAAAGAGAATAGAAATTTGGGTACAATAATCTCTTTTTTATTATTCCAGTTGCATGTAATCCAATAAGAGATGATACATGCAAATAAATACTGCAGCACTCAATAAAATAAATAACTTGAATAAAGCATATATCTGTTGGGACTTCTTTCTATGTATACGCCATATTAAATGTTGGTAGAAGGTTTTTTTTCCCCACAAATGGATAATCACTACCTTCATTTCATTTGTTTGTTTGTTTGTTTTACATTTTAATTTTTAAATTTCAACTTTTCTCTTAGATACAGGGGATACATATGCAGTTTTGTTATATGAGTACATTGCATGATGCTGAGGTTTGGGGAACAGATCCCATCACTCAGTTAGTAAGCATACTACCTACTAGGTAGTTTTTCAGTGCACACTCCCTTTTCTTCTCTCCCTCCCCACTGTAATAGTCCACAATGTCTAACGTTTCCATCTTTAAGTCCATGTGTATTCAATGTTTAGCTCCCACTTATAAGTAAGAACATGCAGTGTTTGATTTTCTGTTCCTGTATTACTTCACTTAGAATTATTGCCTCCAGTTGCATCCATGTCTCCACAAAAGTCATGGTTTTATTCTTTGTATTGCTGTATAGTATTCCATGGTATATAGGTACCACATTTTCTTTATCCTCTCTACCATTGATGGGAACCTGGCTTAATTCTATGTTTTTGCTATTGTGAATAGCATTGTAAGGAACACGAGTGCATGCATTTT
The DNA here is from genome assembly GCF_000001405.40 of Homo sapiens. Lineage (NCBI taxonomy): Eukaryota > Metazoa > Chordata > Mammalia > Primates > Hominidae > Homo > Homo sapiens. The sequence continues at coordinate 59,345,616 of NC_000004.12, forward strand.
TGGGAAATGATTTCTTTTCCTTTGGGTATATACCCAGTAATGGGATTACTAGGTTGAATGGTAGCTCTATTTTAAGTTTATTGAGAAATTTTCAGACTGTTTTCCATAATGGATGAACTTATTTACATTACCACGAACAATGTACAAGCATTCCCTTTTCTCTGCAGCCTCATCAACATCTTGTTTTTCTTGACTTTTTGAAAGTCATTCTGACTGGTGTAGGATGTATCTCATTGTGGTTTTGGTTTGCATTTCTTTGATGATTAGTAATGCTGAGAATTATTTCATGTTTTTTGGTCACTTGTATGTCTTCTTTTGAGAAGTGTCTGTTCATGTCCTTTGCCATTTTTCAATCAGGCTATTTGCTTTTGTTTGCAGAAGCTTTAACTTGCCAAATTCTCTTCAAGACTAGATAGTACAAATAAATAAATGAAGGATAATTGGAATATTCAGAAACATCTTTTTAATGTGGAATTTGTGAGATTACTATATATATTTGGTATACATAGATATTCAATTTTCAAAAAGTAGATTTCTTTTGCATTCTTTTAAACAGGTGAAATTATTCTCTTATAATATTCAGTAAGAAATTCACATTCCACCAGCATTTACCAGGAAGTAACTGAAAAATGCAGAATACATAGAAAAAAAAAAGATAAAACTGATAAACTATAATCACTGCAAGGCATCAAGAAATGATTCAATGCACATTTGTAATGATGTGTGTAAAAGTCAAGGAACGTTTTATGCAGAAAACTCAAGACCTCAGAATTGGCTAAAATGGGGAGAATTATTATCTTGTCTTGCTATCCAAACAGCAGGATCTATAATTCTCCTGCCTTTATGCACATGTGAGATGGACTGAAAAGAATCACTGACTTTCCCACATGACATTACCTTTATCTAGCCCCAGAATCTACTATTCTAGAAAACATTGCACTATGCTTTTTCTTTGAAGCACAGATCATTTCTGTTAAAACACCATCCCATAAAATAACAATGCATTTGGAAAGCAACTTTCCTGTGATGAGTCTTCATAATAGTTATACACTTGACCCAGTATTTTCATTTCTAGGAGTTTCTCTCCTAAAAGGGAGGAAAAAATATATTTTATCAGTATATGCAATGATGTTTGTTGCATAGTAATTAACAAAATACAAGGAAAAATGAAGTAAATATTTCAAAGGAAGAAATGGTTAAATATAGTAGTATATATCTATATGATGAACTATAAAAAAAGGATTGGGAAATGAAGATTTAAAATAATTTTATGAAATAAAATATAGTGTCACGTGAAAAAGCAAGACAAAACATATACATATTATACATACGACACTATATTTATGTGTTTATATTATTTTAAAAGTTCCATACACCTTTACACACACACACACTTAGATATTAGAATAACATGCATGCACACACAGATGCTCATTGAATTTGAGTACTAATCTATTAAACTCCTAATGATTTTTTAGCTGTGCAAATTAAGCCAAAACTGTTCTCAGTCTGTATTACTAGTGTTTCCACATTATAATGTAGAATGCAGTATCTAGAAAGTTATCATAGGCTTTTCAAGCTTTACACTGCATTGATATTTTTTCAAAAGTGTAAAATATATTTAATTGTACCTTCCATGCTTAATAGGTCAATATTTCCTAAAACTTTACCATTTTCCATATTCTCTCTTTTCTGCTCTATGCATGCCATTATTCTCTCTTATGAATATCTTTTCTTCCTTGCCGTTTCTAACAAGTCATCTTTCTATGCCTACTATTTACTCATACTCACCCAGTACATTCATCTAGAAAATCAATTTCTTTAGAGTTTAGAATTATGAAGAAATCTTATCTATCCAAGTAATATAATATCAAAATACTAGAAGGAAAGATTGTCATTCTTTTTTTAGTGACATATAAGTTGGTATTTGAACCTAAAATATTATACTTTTAGTAAAGAAGGATTATTTAACACCAAGGTTATGTTGCTTTTTTTAAATTTTGATTTTTGTGTTCTATTGAAGTAATCTACAGTGAAACAATATTACTTGAGAAGTAGATTTTTGTTTGAAATAGTTTACCAATACCTATCACATTTTTGCTGTGTCACCAAATTCTTATATGAAACAACTCAGGCACAATATATCATTATACTCACACCTAAAATCTATCTACACATTTATAGATAAGATAAATGACTTGAAAATAGTGGAACTGGAAGTAGGCTCCTAAAACCCAAAACTTTTATTTTATTTAAACTGTGGCTTAGAAAGATATTTCACTATTTATCTTCTCTAATATTTTTGAATTTTTAAACCACTCTGTGAACTCTGAACCAAGTACTAATGATGCAAAAATATTTAAGTTTTAGGTCTTAGAATCAAGATACCAGTGTTAGGTTGTGAAAAACTTAGTCTCTGTTTTTTTTTTTTTTTTTTTTTTTTGTATTTCCATGACAGTCTGTGTCCTAATATTAATGTAAATTAAATTTACTGCATTTTCAAATTGTAGGATAATTTGCATGAAAGTGGTTTTATATGGGAACGTGTGAAAGAGAGTCTATAAGCCTTAAAACAACACATTTTTTTCATGTTAAAGTTAGTTTAATATATGCAAACACATATGAAGGTAGTTATACCCAGTTATAAGCATATCCTTTACACTCTTTTCTAGAAATTAAGGGATTGTTACTAGCTTCTTTTCTTTTTTTTTTATATTACTTCGAAACTTTAAGAAATACGGAACATTTCATGTCTGTTCCACCTTTGAAAGCTCATTTGCACTCTGTTCATTCATTCCTTCAAGGCGATACTTTTCTCTTACTTCTACTTCTGGTATCCTGATTATACAAATTTCAAAACTTGTTATATTTTTCCAAATATCTTGGATGTATTTTTCAATATTTGAGTTCTTTTTTTCTTTTGTCCTTGTGTTTCTGTTTGGAAAGTTTTTGCTGGCCTATATTCAAGTTCCCAGATGCTTTTCTCATTTGTATCAGGTCCACTGATGGACCTGTCAAAGACATCCTTTATTTCTGTTACCTTATTTTAATTCTAGAAATTATTTTGATCTGCTCTTACAGTTTTCATCTCTAGGCTGATATTACCCATTTGATTTTTCATGTTGGCTACCTTTTTCCATTACAATCTATGCCAGAATTCCTAAGAACATCTCAGAATTGATGATGTACTAGATTTGATGATTTACTAGAAGTACTCACAGGACCTAGAAAAACTCTTATATTCATGGTTACTTTTTATTATAGTGTATTAACCAGGGTTCTCCAGAGAAACAAACAGACCAAATAGGGTATATGTAATATATCCTAGGATATATCCAGGAAAGCTGATGCCATAATTTTAGTCTAAATTTGAAGGCCTTGGAACCAGGAGGAACCAATAGTAAAATTCCCAGTTCAGTTCAAGGTCAGGGGAAGACTAATTTCTCAGCTCAAGCAGGCAAACAGAAAACAAAAGGGGCAAATTCTTCCTTCTTCTGCCTCTTTGTTCTATTCAGACCCTCAATGAATTGGATGGTGCCCATGCACACTGGTGAGGGAAATGTACTTTCTTCAGTCTACCCATTCAAATGTTAATGTCATCCAGGAACACCCTTGCCTCACAGACATACCCAGAAATGTTTAATCTGTGCACCCCATGGCACAGTCAAGTTGACACAAAACATTTTTCACCCCATAAAATGAAATCATGTAAATTAAAATTAGCAAAGGGGAAGGGCACATCAGGAAAAGTACAGAAGAAACCAGGCACAAGCTTGCAGGTGCCTTCTTCAAGTAGAGTTGCACAGACACGCTCAATTCTTTTGTAATTATGTGTAACAAAACATAGCAAGTATTGCTAACCAGGGAGCTTACTCCTTTTTCGGCATTCAGGGTTTTTATTGCAGGTTAGTCACTTAGGTATTCAGTACCTGTGTAACTGATCTCAGCGTCTCAGAGTCCAAACTTCCAGAACATAAACAGGCATTCACCATAGATTACATTGTTGGTGTAAGCTGTCTTATCAAATTGATACAGCCTGGCCCAAGACCTCAGGCATACAAGAATACTCTTATCAGAAATATATATATATATTCATTCCAAGTTACACAGAGCCAGGATCCTGTTAAGAGCCAGTCCTAAAGAGAGACCATTTTTGGGAATCTGCAGATTTGTGCAACCTAGGCCTCATGGGTTATTATTATTATTTTTAACACAGGGTTTTGAACATATTGTTTATAGTCATTTTAAATTACTTGCCTGATAATTCCAATATCTGAGTGATACCCTAGTCTGGCTCTAATGACTACTTTGTCTTTTGAAACTGTGTCTTTTTGTTCTTTGCTTTTTGGAATGCCTTGTAATTTTTTAATCTCTTTGGATATTAAGAGATTAAAAAATTGGCAATCCAACGTTTTGTGGAATCAGTTTGTCCTAAAACCTCAGCTTTGTGATGGGATCAAAAATATCACTAGTTTTTAGTTATTCCATCTTTCTCTTAAGTACAGGAGGAACAACTTCTAAGATCTTTATGTGCTGAAACCAAAACCAGAAATCTATTCACTTATTTCTTAGAGAATAATTACAGTGTCAGTCCCAGAAAAACAGAAGATAGCTTACCTGGAGTTTTAGGTAGATACAAGTGGTGAAAGGAGAATTATAAATGTTGGTGAACTGAAAGAAAAAGGGATACACAACATGGAAAATGGAATAATTCTTATTTTTCACTAATTTTTAAAGATTGGCAGATTAAAGAAAGCCTAGTCAGAAAATTCAAATCAGGAAATAGCCGCCTGCCTAATTTCAATGTCTGGAACAGATTGTTGCCATTTAGCTACTAAGTTCTTCAAAGATCAACTGACTGCAATTATATTGTTTAGAATATAAATGTGTGAAAGTGGATTTTTAAAAGTTAGATTTTGACCTATTATTTCTTTCACCTCTGGAAGCATTAAATGTTAACATCACTTAGTTAATTCTACTTGAAAGTGTAGCTTAAGATAGAAGGGAGGATTTACATATGCATCCATACCCCCAGTGTGGAGAATCAGAGGTGACAGTGTTGTGGTGTGGACTGAAAGAGGGCTCTACCATTTTTTAAAGTTCTTATTGGATTAGACAGCCATTCTTTCAATTTTTCTCTGAATTTTGATGCCAGAGAGATCCACATGTGTATTGGGGAACACACTGAGTTTTCTTGCACCTGTGATTTCCTAGCCAAGAATATGAACACCTTCAAAGCTCAAATCACTGTGATTTGAGCATTTCTGAAAATGGCTAATGACTACATCTTCAATAAAAGAACAGTTACCTATTCACATAAAATAAAAGGCCAGAACTGAAATTAATTGAGAAATGCCAAATGTATCTTTAAAATGTATCCAGATGGTTTTCGTTAAGGATTTAATTATCATGTGGATCAATGATGGATAACAACGTGTATAATCACTAATGTACTCAACCTCATAAATATGTTAAAACATGTAATACTACTTCATTAATGATTACTAATTATTAAATCTGTAAAAAGAATTATTAGAAACTTAAATGCCACTAATAAGCAATCTAATATACACATAGGAGCAAGAAAAACAAACCAGGAAATATATCTTTATTAATTTGCTGATAGCTTGGTGAAGGACTAGTAAAGGTAGTTATTATCTATTTGATCTTTGCTTAGGACAGAGAAAGAGTATACAAGAAGACTATAGGTGACACTGGTTTAGCAATATTGCTGGAGAATCAATCAGGGCAACCTTTTTTCATGTGTGTGTTTGTGTGTGTGTGTGTGTGTAGACACCACAAATTTCTGTGGAGAATTAAATTCCTAACACATGAGGTTTAAATTGCAGTAAAATATCTGATTAAAGCATACATTTCAAAGGATGTTGACAATGTGTGATTCCCTATTTAATGGTGTGTTGGAATTGGCTTTACCTGGCTCATAATACCTGACTGATAAATTTTCAAGAATTTTTGAGGCAGTTGTTAAACTTATGGTACCTTGAAATTGTCCATGGTGGGGTGATTTACATCACAGAAATCAGCAACCTCTATATATTGAGACTTTTCAACTTTTATCCCCGTGTGTTGCCTTAGTAGGGCCCCACGGCAGATTCCCTTCTTTTGCCACACTGGTTGAACAACCAGGTACCTAGTGTCTACTAATTGAAAAAGTCTCTGTGCCACTAACTAAAGGTGAAAAAAGAGCTAATTTTTAGTGGTCTTAAATAAAACTGGGAAATGTTGTTTTTCACTCTTCTTCCTATGTCCTTGTTTGTAAGTCCAAATGTACCTTCCAAGTCTCTGAGCTGTATGAAGACAAAGGTTGAGCAAGTAAATTATGTGTAGAATTTAGACTTTTTAAGCCCTCTTATTTTAAACATAATTTGAATTATCCTACCAATGTACAGAATTGGTATTTTTTTAATGTCAAATAACTGAGAACTGTTATACCCATAAGTTGCAATTGTCATTATTTCAATGTAGAGCAGGTAATGTGAGGAATATTAGTTTATAAAATAAAATAAAATAAAATAAAACAAAATATGTAAGTGCAATGAAACTCATAATTCTTAAAGAACTAATTTGCTTAATCTCATTAGAAATTAGATATGAATGAAACAAGCCAATCAATAGCATGCCCTTTATACTTATGTGGAAAGAATTCAAAATCAGTTGTAGTTTTCTACATGTGAATTTCAAGTCACAAATAAAGGTAAAATTTAGACTCCTAAACAATAGCTGGAATTTTAAACTTTGGAAATCTTTATGTCAGAACCCACAAACTTCAGCTTTTTATATTTTTGTCTGTAACTGTAATTGTGAGTATATTTGGTATCTGCATGCATTTTTATCATGCTCCATGTTGTTAAACATACAAGGAAATTATTTAAATTTCTACAGAGGGCTTCTGTGTTTAGGAATTGTTTCAGCTCATGGTGCCAAATGTTGCAAACCGTATATGTGGAATTTGTGGTGGCCAAGGCTTTTTACTTATTTGTGTGTGTGTGTCTTTGTTAACTAAGTTAGACTACAGAATGATCCATTTTTGGATCATCAGAAATGAATGCTATGTGTCAAAACTTGATTGGGTCCTGCAGTTGAGGGAAAGGAAAAAAATCAGTGATAAGCTGCTAAAGTTATTACCTTAGAAAGTCAATTATCTGCTGTGAGGTAACAACAGTGAACAATTTTCTGGAAATATGAGAGAGAACAGCAGTAAGAAAAGATTAACAAAGCAGTTAGCACAGTATTGATTAGGCCTCCAACTAGCAAATTTAAGCCTGGATCTTGCTAAAAAGGAGAAAAAGTCAACTTACCCAAATAATAGTTTAATGACTATTTGATGAGAAAAATTTTGAGACATTGGATCATATTATTTGGTATAGCGCCACATAAGCTGACCACAACATAAATCAGACATACAGGAACATACCCATATACATGTTTTGATTTTTAAAATTTTTCTAATTCTAGTAATTATTTATACTGTAATATATGCTTAGCATAAGGAATATTTATTTTATTTAATATGTCCTCATTGTCGGTAAAAGTAAAAGAGGTAATGTGAGGTATCTTATGTAATATGTAAGAAAATAGCAAACAACTACATCTCTACATACATGAAGTCTAGTGCATAGATACATTAGGTTGGTGCAAATATAATTGCAGTTTTTTTTGCATTGTTGAAATTTGCCGTTTGACATTGGAACACATTCTTAAATGTGGTTATGTTATACATCATTTTAATATGGTAATCTTATATACAATTTACTGCTGTTTGGGTTACTGTAGCCCTGTAATATGGTATCAAGTTGGGTAGCATGATGACTCCAGCTTTGTTCTTCTTACACAGGAGAAAACAAAACAAAACATAGAAAGTAATTGAGGTTTTTGCATTCTTATAATTTACCACTTGATATTGGAATACATTCTTAAGTAAATGCGGTTATGTTATACATCATTTTAATGTGCGTTTCTCACTTTATTTTTTGGCTATTGATTTATTACTTTCTGTTTATCTAATATTTATTTTGAACTATGGACATGACGTTATAAAAAAAGCAAATTTGAGCGATTTTCTTATTTGAGTACAAAATGGGTTGTAAAGCAGCAGAGACAACTCACAACATCAACAATGCATTTGGCCCAGGAACTTCTAATAAACATACAGTGCAGTGGTGGTTCAAGATGTTTTGCAAAGGAGACTAGAGTCTTGAAGATGAAGAATGTAGTGGCCGACAATTAAGGAACAATTGAAAGCAATCATTGAAGCTGATCCTCTTAGAACTACATGAGAAGTTGCTGAAGAACTGAATGTCAACCATTCTATAGTCATTTAGCATTTGAAGCAAATCAGAAAGGTGAAAAAGCTTGATAAATGAGTGCCTCCTGAACTGAGTGAAAAATCAAAAAGATGGTCATTTCGAAGTGCCATCTTCTCTTATTCTATGCAACAACAACAAACCATTTCTCAATTGGAATGTCACATGCGACAGTGACAACCAGCTCAGTGGTTGGACAGAGAAGAAGCTCTAAAGCACTTCTTGAGCCAAATTTGCACCAAAAAAAGGTCATGCTCACTGTTTGGTGGTCTGCTGCAGGTTTGATCCACTACAGCTATCTGAATCCCAGTGAAACCATTACATCTGAGAATTAATGGTTTCTGAGAAGCATGCTCAGCAAATCAGTGAGATGCACCAAAAACTGAAACACCGCAGCTGGCATTGTTCAACAGAAAGGGCCCAGTTCTTCTCCATCACAATGCCTGACCACATGTCACACAACACCTCATCTGCAGTATTCACCTGACCTCTCACCAACCGACTATCACTTCTTCAAGCATCTCGACAACTTTTTACAGGGAAAATGCTTCCACAACCACCAGGATGCAGAAAATGCTTTCTAAGAGTTCCTTGAATCCTGAATCATGGATTTTTATGCTACAGAAATAAACAAACTTCTTTCTCATTGGAAAAAAATGTGTTGATTGTAATGGTTCCTATTTCAAGTAATAAAGATGTGTTTGAGCCTTGTTATAATAATTTAAAATTCATAGTCCAAAACCACAATTACTTTTGCACCAATTTATAAACAAATAAAATAATCTTATTTTTCATATTTTTGTCTTCTTGGTAATGTGTTAATCATCAATCAGATAATTTTTTTCATTTATATTTTAAATTCAGGGGCACACGTGCAGATTTGTTACATAGATAAACTTGTGTCATGGGGGTTTGTTGTACAGATTGTTCCCTCACCCAGGTATTAAGCCTAGTATTCATTAGTTATTGTTTCTAATCCTCTCCTTCCTTCCACTTTCCACCCTCCACCCTCCAATAGTCCCAGGTGTGTGTTTTGTTTCTCTATGTATCCATGTGTTCTCATCATTGAGCTCCCACTTATAAGTGAGTACATGTGGTATTAGTTTTCTGTTCCTGCATTAGTTTGCTAAGGATAATGGCTTCCAGCTCCATTTTTGTCCCTATAAAGAACATGATCTTGTTCTTTTTAAGGCTGTGTAGTATTCCATGGTGTATATGTACCACATTTTTTTATCCAGTCTTTTATTGATGGGCAGTTGGGTTGATTCCACGTCTTGGCTATTGTGAATAGTGTTACAATAAACATATGTGTCTATGTGCCTTTATAATAAAATGATTTATATTCCTTTGGATATATGCCCAGTAATGGGATTGCTGGGTTGAATGGTATTTCTGTCTTTGGGACTTGAGGAATTGCTACACTGTCTTCCACAGTGGTTGAATTAATTTACACTACCACCAACAGTGTATAAGCATTCCTTTTTCTCCACAACCTCACCAGCATATGTTATTTTTTCTCTTTTTAACCATTCTGACTGTTGTGAGATGGTAAATCACTGTGTTTTGATTTGCATTTCTCTAATGATCAGTGATGTTGAGCTGTTTTTTCATATGATCGTTGGCCACATGTACATCTTCTTTTAAGAAGTGTCTGTTCATGTATTTTGCCCACTTTTTAATGGAGTTGTTTTTCTTTGAATTTGTTAAGTTCCTTATAGATACTGAATATTAGCTTTTTCCCAGATTCATATTTTGCAAATTTTTTCTCCCATTCTGTAAGCTGTTGGTTTACTCTCTTGATAGTGTCTTTTGCTGTACAGAAACTCTTTAGTTGAATTAGATCTCATTTGTCAATTTTTGCTTGTGTTGCAATTGCTTTTGGCATCTTCATCATGAAATCTTTGCCTGTCCAATGTCCAGGATGGTATTGCCTAGGTTGTCTTCCAGGATTTTTAGAGTTTTGGGTTTTACATTTAAGTCCTTAATCCATCGTGAGTTGATTTTTGTACATGGTGTAAGGAAAGGCTCCAGCTTCAATCTTCTGCATATGGCTAGCCAGTTGTCTCAGCACCATTTATTGAATAGTGAATTGTTACCCATTGTTTGTATTTGTCAGGTTTGTTGAAGATCAGATAATTGTAAGTGTGCAGCCTATTTTTGCATTCTCTATTTTTGTTCCTTTGGTATATGTGTCTGGTTTTGTACCAGTACCATGCTGTGTTGGCTACTGTAGCCTTGTAGTATAGCATGAAGTCTGGTAGAATAATGCCTCCAGAGTTGCTCTTCTTGCACAGGATTGCTTTAGCTATTCAGGTTCTTTTTTGCTTCCAAATGAGTTCTAAAATAGTTTTTTTTCTAATTCTGTGAAGAATGCCAGTGGTAATTTAATGGGAATAGCATTGAATCTACAGATTGCTTTGGGCAGTGTGGCAATTTTAATGATATTGATTCTTCCTATTCATGAGCATGGAATGTTTTTTCATTTGTTTATGTCATCTCTGATTTCTTTGAGCAGTGGTTTGTTGTTCTCCTTGTCGAGATATTCCACTTCCCTTGTTAGCTGTATTCCTGATATTTTATTCTTTTTGTGGCAATTGTGAATGGGAGTTCATTTGTGATTTGTCTCTTGGCTGGACTGTTTTTTTGTGTATAGGAATGTTAGCTATTTTGCACATTGATTTTGTATCCTGAGACTTTGCTGAAGTTGCTTATCACGTTAAGAATTTTTTGAGCTGAGATGATGGAGTTTTCTAGATATAGGATCATGCCATCTTCAAAAAGGGATATTTTGACTTCCTCTCTTTCTATTTGAATGCCTTTATTTCTTTTCCTTGCTTGATTGCTCTGGCCTGAACTTCCAATACTATGTTGAATAGCAATGGTAAGAGAGAGCATCATTGTCTAGTGCTGGTTTTCCAAAAAAAAAAAAAAAAAAAAAAAATGCTTCCAGCTTTTGCCCATTCAGTGTGATAAGGCTTTGGGTATGTCATAGATAGCTCTTATTATTTTGAGGTATGTTCCTTCAATATTTAGTGTATTGAGAGTTTTTAACATGAGATAATGTAGAATTTCACTAAAAACCTTTTCTACATCTATTGTGATAATCGTATGATTTTTGTCTATAGCTCTGTGTGATGAATCACATTTATTAATTTGTGTATGTTGAACCAACCTTGCACTCCTGGAGTGAAGCCTACTTGAACGTGGTGGATAAGTTTTTGATGTGCTGCTGGATTCAGATTGCCAGTATTTTGTTGAGGACTTTTGCACTGATGCTCATCAAGAGTATTGGCCTAACGTTTTCTTTTTTTGTTGTATCTCTGCCAGATTTTTGTATTAGAATGATGCTGGCCTCATAGAATGAGTTAGGGAAGAGTCTCTTCTTTTCAATTTTTTGGAATAGTTTCAGTAGGAATGGTACCAGCTCTTCTTTTTGCATCTGATAGAATTCAGCTGTGAATACATCTGGTCCTGGTCTCTTTTTTGTTGCAAGGCTATTTATTACTGCCTCAACTTCAGAACTCTTTATTGGTCTGTTCAGACACTCAGTTTCTCACTGGTTCAATCTTGAGATAGTTTATGTTTCTAGGAATTTATTTATTTCTTTTAGATTTTCTAGTTTATGTGCACAGAGCTATTCATATTATTCCCTGATGGTTATCTGTATTTCTGTGGGGTCAGTGGTAATATGTACTTTGTTGTTTCTAATTGTATTTATTCTCTCTTTTCTTATTAGTCTAGATAGCAGTCTATCTTAGCCATTAAAAAAAAAAGAACTCTTGGTTATGTTGATCTTTTAAATTATTTTGTGTCTCAGTCTCCTTCAGTTCAGCTCAGATATTGGTTATTTATTGTCTTCTGCTACCTTTGAAGTTCAGTTTATCTTGGTTCTCTAGTTCTTTTAGTTGTAATGTTGGTTTGTTAATAGAGTTCTTTCTACTTTTTTGATGTGGGCATTTAGTGCTATAAATTTCACTCTTAACACTACCTTAGTTGTGTCCCAGAGATTCTAGTGTGTTGTATCTTTGTTCTCAATCATTTCAACAAACTTCTTGATTTCTGTCTTAATTTCATTATTTACTCAAAAGTCATTCAGGAGTAGGCTTTTCAATTTCCATGTAATTGTAAGGTTTTGAGAGAATTTCTTAGTCTTGAGTTCTAATGTGATTGTGCTGTGGTCTGGGAGACTTTGTTATAATTTCAGTTCTTTTGCATTTTCTGAGGAGTGTTTTATTTCTGATTATGTGAGTGATTTTACACTAAGTGCATTGACAATGAGAAGACTGTATATTCTATTGCTTTTGGATGTAGAGTTCTCTAGATATCTGTCAGGTCCATTTGATCCAGAGTTGAGTTCTGGTCCTGAAGATCTTTGTTAATTTTCTTTCTCAATTATCTGTCTAACATCGTCAGTGGGGTTTCAAAGTCTCCCACTATTATTGTGAGGGAGTATAAGTCTCCTTTAAGGTCTACCATAACTTGCTTTATGAATTTGGGTGCTCCTGTGTTGGGTGCATGTATATTTAGGATGGTTAGATCTTCTTGTTGAATTGAACCCTTTACCATTAGGTAATGCCCTTCTTTGTCTTTTTTGATCTTTGTTGGATTAAAGTTTGTTTTGTCAGAAACTAGGATTGCAACAATGATATGGTCTGGCTTTCTGTCCCCACCCCAAATCTCGTCATAAATTCTATCCCCCATGTATCTAGGAAAAGACCGGATGGGAGATGACTGGATTCAGTGGATGGTTTGCCCCCTGCTGTTCTCATGATGGTAAAGGAGTTCTGACAAAATCTGATGGCTTTAAAAGCGGCAGGTTTATTTTTTCCTGCACTCTTTCTCTCTCTCCTGCTGTTGCTGTGTTCCTTGCTCTGTGCCTTGCTTCCCTTCACCTTCTGCCATGATTGTTAAGTTTCTGGAGGCCTCCTTAGCCATGTGGAACTGTGAGTCAAACCTCTTTTGTATATAAATTATCCAGTCTCAAGTAGTATCTTTATAGCAGTGTGAAATGGAATAATACAGATAATTGGTACCAAGGTGGTGGGGTATTGCTATAAAGATAACCTGAAGACGTGGACACAACTTTGGAACTGGGTAACAGGCAGTGGTTGAAACAGTTTGGATGGCTCAGAAGAAGATAGAAAGGTGTGAGAAAGTTTGAAACTTCCTAGAGACTTGTTGAATGGTTTTAACCAAAATGTTGATAGTGATATGGACAATGAAGTCTAGGCTGAGGTACTCTCAGATGGACATGAGGAACTTCTTGGAAATTGGAGCAAAGGTCACTCTTGCTATGTTTTAGAGAAGAGACTGGTGGCCTTTTGCACCTGCCCTAAAGTTCTATGGAACTTCCAACTTGAAAGAGAAGGTTTAGGGTACCTTGAAAAAGAAATTTCTACACAACAAAGCATTCAAGAAGTGACTTGGCTTTTCCTGAAGGCATAGTAACATGTGTTTACAAAGAGATTATTTGGAATTTAAATTTATGTTTAAAATGAAAGCAGACCATAAAGGTTTGGAAAATTTGCAGCCTGGTCATGTGGTATAAAAGAAAAATCCATCTACTATGGAGAAATTCAAGAAAGCTGCAGAAATTTGCATAAGTAATGAGCAGCTGAATGTTAATTGCCAAGACAATAGAAAAAATGTCTCCAGGGCCTATCAGAGGCCTTCATGGCAGCCCTGCAATCACAGGCCTGCAGGCCTAGGAGAGAGAAATAATTTCATGGGCCAGGCCCAGGGCCTAGCTTCTCTGTTCAGCCTTGGAACTTGGTGCCCTATTTCCTAGCTGTTCCAGACCCAGCCATGGCCAAAAGGGCCCAAAGTGTAGCTTGGGCCATTGCTTCAGAGGGTGCAAGCCCCAAACCTTGGTGATTCCTATGTGATGTTGGGTCTACGGGTGTGTAGAAGATAATAGTTGAGTTTTGGGAACCCCAACCTAGACTTCAGAGACTGTATGGAAATGCATGGATGTCCAGGCATCAGTCTGCTGCAGGGCTGGAGCCCTCATGGAGAACCTCTGCTAGGTCAGTATGGAAAGAAAATATAGTGTTGGAACTGCCAAACAGAGTCATCACTGGGGAACTGCCTATGGAGCTGTGAGAAGAGGGCCACCATCTTCCAGACCACAGAAAGTAAGATCCACCACCAGCTTGCATAGTGTGCCTAGAAAAGTCACAGGCTCTTAACACCAGCATACAAAAGCAGCCACAGGGGCTGCACCCTGCAGAGACACAGGGTGAAGCAGCCCAAGTCCTTGGGAGTCAACCTCTTGTATCACCATGCCCTGGATGTGAGACATGCTGTCAAATAAGATCATTTCAAGAGCTTTAAGATTTAATGCCAACCCTGCTGGGTTTCGGACTTGTATGGGGCATTCGACCCCTTTGTTTTGGGCAATTTCTTCCATTTGAAGTGGGGATGTTTACCCAATGCCTGTAACCCCAAGCTAGTTATTTGGAAATAATTAACTTGTTTTTGATTTTGCAGGCTCATAGGCAGAAGGAAATTTCCCTGTCTCAGATGACACTTTTGACTTGGACTTTGGGTTAATAGTGGAATAAGTTAAGACTTTGGGAGACTATTGGGAAGGCATAATTGGTTTTGAAATGTGAAAAAGACATGAGATTTGGTAGGGGTTAAGGGCAGAATAATATGGTTTGGCTCCATGTCCCCACTAAAGTCTCATCTCAAATTGTATTCCCCATGTGTAGAGGCAGAGACCTGGTGGGAGGTGAATGGATCATGGAAGCAGTGTCCCCCATGATATTCTCATGATAGTGAGGGAGTTCTCAAGAGATATGATTTTAAAAGTGGCAGTTTTTTCCTGTGCTCTCTCTCCTGCTGCCATGTAAAATGTGTCTTCTACCCATTTTTCTTCCACCATAATTGTAAGTTTTCTGAGGCCTCCCCAGCATGAAGAATTTTGAGTCAATTGAACCTCTTTTGCTTATAAATTACCCAGTCTCAAGTAGTATCTTTATGGCAGTGTGAAAATGTACTAATACACAATTCCTCAATTTTTCCTTTCCCATTTGCTTGGTAAATTTTTCTTCATGTGTTTAGTTTGAGGCTATGTGTGACGTGGCATGTGAGACAGATCTCTTGAAGAGAGGACACCAATAGGTCTTGGTTCTTTATCCAGTCTGCCACTCTATGTCTTTTAATTGTGGCATTTAGCCCATTTACATTTAAAGTTAGTATTGGTATGTGTGGATTTGATCCTGTCATCATGATGCTAGCTGGTTATTTTGTAGACTTGTTTATGTGGTTAATTTATAGTGTCACTGGTTTGTGTAATTCAGTGTGTTTTGCAGTGGCTGGTAACACATTTTCCTTCCTATATTTAGTGCTTTCTTCAGGAACTCATGTAAGCCATGTCTGATAGTTACTAATTTCTTTAGCATTTGTTTATCTGAAAAAGACCTTCTTTCTCCTTTGCTTATGAAGCTTAGTTTGGCCAGATATAAAATTCTGGGCTGGAATTTCTTTTCTTAGGAATGTTGACTACTGGCCCTCAATTTCTTCTGGCATGTACAGTTTCCACTGAGAATTCTGTTGTTAGTCTAATGGGCTTCCTTTCGTAGGTGACTTGGCCTTTCTCTCTGGCTGCCCTTAACATGTTTTCTTTCATTTCAACCTTGGAGAATCTGATGATTACATATCTTGGGTTTGATCTTCTCATGGAGTATCTTACTGGGGTTATCTGCATGTCCTGAATTTGAATGTTGGCTTATCTAGTTAGGTTGGAGAAGTTCTTGTGAATGATATCCTGAACTATGTTTTTCAAATTGGTTTCATTCTTTCCATCTCTTTCAGGTACACCAATCAATCATAGATTCAGTCTCTACATATTCCAATATTTTGTAAAGATTTTTTTAATTCCTTTTCATTCTTTTTCCTCTATTCTTGACTCTCTGTCTTATCTAAGAAAGACAGTCTTCAAGCTCTCAGAGTCTTTCCTCTGCTTGGTCTATTCTGGTAGTAATACCTGTGATTGCATTATGAAATTCTTGTATTGTGTTTTTCAGCTCTGTCAGGTCAGTTATGCTCTTTTCTATCCTGGCTATTATGGTTTTCATCTCCTGCAATGATTTATCATGATTTTCAGCTTCCTTGCATTGAGTTAGAATGTGCTTTTTTTGCTCAGTGAAGATCTTTTTAATCTACATTCTGAAGTCTACTTCTGTCATTTCAGCCATCTCAGTCTCAGCCCAGTTCCAAACCCCTGCTGGAGAGGTGATGTGGTCATTTGGAGGAGAGGGCACTCTGGCTATTTGAATTTTTAATATTTTTGTGCTAACTGTTTCTCATCTTTGTGGAATTATCTACCTTCATTCTTTGAGGTTGCTGACCTTTGGCTAAGGTTTTTGTTTTTGTGTTTTGTTTTGTTTCTTTTAACAGTTTGATCACTTTTCCTTAGGGTTGCAGGGGTTTTCTGGCTGTCTGCTCCAGTCCCTAGTCACCATGGATTTTTCAGGACCTGGAGGTATCATTAGCAAAACAGCAACATTGCAGCCTACCATATCTGCTGGAAGGTCCATTCCAGGCTTGAAACTCCTCTAGGGAAGTCTCATGCAGTCGGGAGGAATAGGATTGGAGACCTACTTAAAGAAGCTGTCTAGCTATGCTTTTGTAGAGCAGCTGTCCTGTGTTGGGGTACTGCTTCTGCCCCTGTTGGCTTGGGCTCTCCAAAGCCTGGAGGCTAGAATGACTAAGTTGCCAAAACAACAAAAATGGCAGCCTACCTCTTCCTCTAGGAGCTCTGTCCAAGGAAGTTTACAAACCTCTGTCAGCTAGAGAACATTGGCAGGCCCCAGGGGAAATCTCACCTGGTAAGTGGGATCCACTTAAGGGAGCGGTCTGTCCACACTTTCATAGAGCAGCTGTGTCATGCTGGGTTACCACTTCTTCAGTCATCTTGGGCTCTCTAAAGCTCACAGGCTGGAACAATTGTCACCGAAACAGCAAAGATGATGGTGTACCCCTCCCATTGGGCACTCCATCCCAGGGAGAAATAAAAACTGTTGGCCAGACAATATGGAAAGGGGTGGCTGGAGGCGCTGGTTTGGAGGTCCCACTCAAAGATGAGGAATGGATCAGAATCCCACTTAAAGAAGCAGTCTGGTCACATTTTGGTAGAGCAGCTGTACTGTGCTGGGGGATCCTTTCTGTCCCTTGTCTATTTGGAATCTCTGAAGCCTGCAAGCTGGAATCTCTGAAGCCTGCAACCCTGCAAGTTGAGTAGTCCAAAGAGCAAAGATGGCAGCCCACCCCTGTCCCATCCCAGGAAGGTGCAACACTGTTGCTGAGGGCTGGCTAGTATACCAAGCCAGTGGGTCTTATCCTGTGAACGCCACGGAAGTGGGGCCCTCAGGACAATGCTTCCCATCCCCCTGGGATGAGCCCTCTTCCCAGGGGTATGTACGGAGGTCCAACCTCCTACCTTGCCTGTGTTGCTCACCTTTGCCAGGAATACTGGAGCCTGTGCATATAAAGCTCTTGGATTTCTGTGCATTCCTGAGTGGCCACTCTGTCAAGACTTCACATAGCTCTGTGTGTCCGAGGGAAGGCCCTGGTGGAGTGGGTTCACGAGGAGATCTCCTGACCTAAGGGTTTTGAAGGTCCATGGGAGAAGCGTGGTCTCTCAGGGTTGCACATTCACTCACCGCTTCCCAGTGGGGGAGGTTCCCCTGGCTTTCTGTTGCTTCTGGGTGGGCTGTCACCCTGCCCTGTTTTTCTCCATTCTCCTTGGGTCATGCTGTTTCCCTGATGGGTCCCAATACAAGTACCTGCATGTTTCAGTTAAAGGTGCTGTATTTCCACACCCCTTTCATTTCTCTCCATGAGAGCCATGCAAGGTAGCTGCTTCTAGGCAGTCCTCTTGGCCCAACCACCACAGATAAATATTAACAAGTCATAAGATGAATTTTAGGAGCATAAACAGTGCAACAGAGACAAATAAATACTTGCAACTTATATAAACTTTAAAATAGTGAGATTTTTGGACGTAAGTCAGAAAGTTTATTTCCAGGAGAATAAAGGGAATAATAAACATTAAAAACATAGAGAAAGATTGGTATAGATGAATCTTTTACTCTACTTTAAAATTTCTGACAGTCTTACATTTGAGAGACTTACTTAAGGGTTTAACTTATCATTAGTCAAAATATCAAGAATGATGCTATGAAGCAATGAATGAAATAAAACAGCAATACTTCTGTCAGTTCCTAAAATAGTAAAACTGAAAGAAAATAGTTAAAAGAAATTAAAAGAAATGTAGGTACACATGTATACGTGTGTTTGTGCGGTGCTGTTTGCAATATGAATGATAGAAGATCATCGTTTAATGAACAAAATGAAGTCTTTCTGAGTAAATAAAATAAATGCACATGCGCATTAGTCAAAATTCCGTTTGTGATGGTTAATTTTTTTTTTTTTTTTTTTTTTTTACACAGGGTCTCACTCTGTCGCCCAGACTGCAGTGCAGTGGCACGATCTTAGCTCACCGCAACCTCTGCCTTCCAGGCTCAAGCGATTCTCCTGCCTCAGCCTCCTAAGTATCTGGGATTACAGTCATGTGTCACTACCGTCCAGCTAATGTTTTTTATTTTTAGTAGAGACGGGGTTTTGCCATGTTGGCCAGGCTGGTCTCGAACTCCTGACCTCAAATGATCCACCGCCTTGGCCTCCTAAATGTGATGGTTAAATTGATGAAGAGATACTGAAGTTTATGTTTTGATATACTTCATGAACAGCTTGGCATCTTTAATGTTAAATGTTTTTAATTTTAATGTTAAAACGTTAATAAGTACAGTGTCAGAGTTAGGGTTTTAATCCATTTGGTTTTCATATGCATATACATCATGGTTTTCAAAGTCTTAAAAATGTGCTTATGTTATTCCAAGGGTATCTCAATCTACATCCTTTTTCTTTTTAACCTTAAATTTCCTTCCAACAAATTTCACTTTCAAAATAAAACCTCCATAACTTGAAGATAAAAGCAAACAAACAAAAGTAATTGCCAAGTTTGATTGAAGGTATATAGTTGCATTTCATATTATACCAATATAGTGCCTGGATAGATGTATTTTTTTAATATGTACTGCTACTGATAGTTATGTGTCAACTTGATAAATGATTTGTATGGAACTTGTCTGCCTTCCAGCATTTTACTTTGACTTGTTTTTATTTGGGATTTCTTTGCCAATCAATAATTTTCACTCTAGCACTTTAGTTTATACATTATCAAATAAAAACTAAAGACTTCTGGACAGATATACTACAAAGATTTAGTACTATAGTCACATTTATGTTTGTGGAACTTAGAAGCAAATATTTATTTAATATTTGAACTATGACCTCTTCATTGATAAAGAGGTAAAGCTTTATAGAAGCCAGGACTATGATACATAGTCATACCATTAAGATTAGCTGTTTAGAGGTAGTTTTTCACATAAACAATCTTGCTTCATGTTTTATAAGTATCCCAGGAAAAGAAAACATAGTTATGTAACAAATAATCAAGAAATGAAGCCAAATTTACATGGGTTATGTTTCATGTTTTTATAAATACATATTTGCATAACTAGTTGAATGCTAACTAAAAATTTCCCATTTCATCTCTTGGCATTAAATTCATATTATAAAAGACATGTACTAATTACATCATCTTTAATAAATCATTATGAATAGGATAAAAATCCTATAAATTTTACTGGCAATATTTATATTAAGCAACCCAAAGTGTGCAAATGAATAAATTAATCAAATTGCTTCACAGAATTCATTTGTTTAATAAAAGTTGATTTGTATTTTTTCTGTTCAGGCTTGGTCACTAATTACAGTATAGTTAATTTTTTGGTGATTGACTTATTTAACTTATAAATTCGTCTAGGATCAAGATGGATTGATATATGAAATGTAGAATGTAAGACAACATATATACATTTCAATATAAGGTAATAGCCACTCTTAATTATCCAAAAAGAAGAAAATGAAAAACATAGAATACATGACAAAATTACAGTAATAATGTCATAATATTGAAACAATAACACAATTCAGAATATTTTTAAATGTCCCAACCTAGATTTGTTAAACTTTTTGAATTAATTGCTAAGAAGTTTCAAAAGTTCATTTCCAGTAATGCTCAGGTCTCAATGAATGCTTGAATTCTCTGTTGTTTTTCTAATTGTAGTGTTCATCCATTTAACAACTATGTATTGAGCACAGGCTGTATATAAAATAGTGTACTAAAGTTTTATTATATAATTTAAGAAATAGAAATGCCACCTCATCATCAAAGTTTGTAAGCTCAATATGAATTGTAGGTACCAGAAATGAAACAGTACTTTCAAGAGGTATTCATTTAGAAGGTAACTAAAAAATAATACAAAAGCTGATATTGAATCATGTCTGCCAGTCTTAGAAAATATTAAAGTACTAAATAGAAGAATGAATGAATGGTAGGTTTCGGTGGAGTGGGTGTGTGTGAAATTGATTTTAGACAGCGTAAGTTTAAGGTGATAGAAAATCAATCAAAGAGAAATAACGAAAAATAACATTATGAAACTTTTTTTAATCATGTGTTGCCTGTTATGTGGCATTTCCATAATGAGGATTGAATGGTATATGTCATGTAATCAAATACTTCATTTTTAGTATTTAGGATAGACTGGAAATTTACTGGCTTAGAACTGGACACATCATTTTCCATTGAATACATCTGTATCATTATGCCTCTATCAAATAGATAAAAAATAAAATTGTTCTTGTTAATGGAAATTTGGTCCTGTACTCTCATGTACTTAATCTCACTACTTATTCATGTAATAGTGTCTGTGTATCTGTAAAATAAGGCAAAATATATTCTATTAAGACAGATGGATGGCCAAGACAATCTAATGAGTTTCCTGTATTTGCAGCTATTTCTCCATATCAGAAATAATATGACTGCATAGAAAAGGTTTCTTTCTGGATAGTTCTTCACCTTTTTTTTTTCACTAACTGCAGTCTCTTAAAAGATAATGAGTTAAACATGATTTCTTTAAATGGAAATTTGTATTATCTTCTAAATTTAAAAAGTCTCAAGTAACAATAGATTTTGACAAATATTCATGTGTTAAATTATAATTGAACCCTCACAGATATTCTCTCAGTGGAACATCCACTAGAACCAGGCATTTTGAGTGCATGAAATAAAATAAACATATAATACACATTTCACTGTTGCATAAAGTGTCAAAACAGTAGTTCATATTTATATGTCATCTCGGAGCACCTTAAACTGCTAACTTTCAGGATCTTAATTAGAGATTCAAAAGAGACAGTTCATTTATTTTATTATTTTGTAGAAACCACTAGTATATTTAGCATCAGGAAAAATCTCAGAAAAGCTTAAAATTAAATAAAAGACAAATATGTTTATAAAAAGAAAAACGGCTGCCAAATAATGCATTTCTATAGCATGTTTACAATTCAAAACCCATCACATAAATATAGTTCTACAAATGTAACCCCATGAATTAAAACAGATAGGAACAGTTTTGGCAACTGACTGGTGATTAGCCCTTCTAAAAAATGTTGAGCAATTTTGATAAATAAATTTTTGACGAAATAAAACTGAATTATTAACAAATGATATCTTTCTGATAAATTTATTTTTTGTTTAAAGGCATAAATTAATAATTATTTAAAATTATTTCCACTGAGTATCTTTGATTTAATTTATTCTGGCAAAATAAATACATATGTAATGATTTTTGAACACTAATCCTCATAATTTACTTTATATAGAAAGTCAGTTATAAGATCTTCTGTTGCAGATCTTAGGAACTATCTAGCCAAACTAAATCAAACTTGTATTATTATTTGAATCTGGACTTTTGTCAACAATTGCAATTTTAGTGCATTTTGTGTTGCTGTAATAGGATACCTAAAGCTAGGTAACTTATAAAGAAAAGAGGTTTATTTGGTTCATGGTTCTGCAGGCTGGGATGTGGTTGTAAAAGCATGATGTGGGCATCTGCTTGGCTTCTTGTGAGGGCCATGTGCTGGGTAAAAATATATTAAAGAAGGTCAAAGGGGAAGAAGATATGTGCAAAAGTCAAAACCTGAAGGGCATCCTGGCTTCCTAACAACCCTCTATGGGAACCAATCCATTTCCCTGAGAAATGAACCCATGTCACCAGAATGAGAACTCCTGGCTTATTACTGCAAGAAGGGCACCAAGCCATTCAAGAGAGATCTGCCCCCATAATTCAAACACCTTCCATTGGCCTCACCTCTCAACACTGCCACATTGGGGATCAAATTTCAAAACGAGTTTTGGTGAAGACAAACTCACACTGTATCCAAACTATTGTAATTGCTCATCACAGAATGACAGAATGTATGTGGTTTAGTGGTACTCTGCTGTACTAAGAAGGTAAGTGTGTGTGCATGTGTGTGTGTGTTTTAGCGACGGGTCTTTGTCACTATGCTAGAATGCAGTTGTGCCGTCATAGCTCAATGCAGCTGTGAACTCCTGGGGTGAAGGGATCCTCTCGGTTCAGCCTCCTGAGTAACTGCGACAATAGGTAAATGCCACCACGAATGTGTGTTATTAAATATTTAACAGCTAAAAATTGAAATACGTTTTCCCTAGTAATAGTTAAATTTGTAAAAATAAAGCAAAACAGCTTATTTTGTTTAGTTTTAAGCTAAATACAAATCTGGCATTTTTGAAAGAAATAAAGCATTTGCTGGTAGTGCTATTACCCAAAAGAATTGATGCTTGGGATATCTTGTTATTTAGAATAAAAGCTACACCTAGAAATATAATTCATAAGAGCTATATGATAATATTTGGCCAAGCAAATAGTTCAAAGATGCATGTTTACATTCATGTGAAGAAAAATACCAAGAAAGTAGAAATGAAGCATAGCATGGTCATTAGGGGATTGGAGTTGCAAAGGGCAAAATATGTGAACCAGGAAAAAGTAAGATGCTTTGAGGAATGAGGTGAATCATGCATCAGTAAGAAGATATGAGGCCAATTATTTCTGATAAGAAGTAGTAGAGCAAAAAGTACACTCCAGGCAAAGAGAATCAGTCCTCAGAACGGCCTCTCTTTCGTTAAAGTAGTTGTATGTGTCTTGGTTATGCGTTAGCGTGCCATTTAGCACGATATCCTCTTATTATTTTGTTGTAGGATTTAATGAGAACTTACCACCTCCTTGTTATGTATCTATTAATTACATGTCACACATGCATCATCTTATGGCAGAACTGTGGCTAGAAAAGTCTAAGGCTTATTAAGGTAACTCTGTAGTTTGACCAGAGAGACCTATCATTAGGAGGTAGAAATATATTACTTGGTTGTAGATTTTCAAATACTACACATTTAGTTATGAAGTAAGTATTCTACCTTCATTCCCTAAATGGAAGGAAGCAGTGGTTTATATAATGGTGATTATGTACAATATTGAAGTTAATCTAAAATTGCTGAGTAAGGGAATTGGATTCATTTTCTGGTGGGGTGATTGTGGGTTTTGATATGTTTTAGTTTGTTGGAAGTTCTTGGAAAGTAGGATTTTCAGTAAGCAGAAAATTTGTGCTTCTAAGACAGAAATTCAATCTACTTGTTTTGGAGTCCTGAATGCATAAATAACAATAAAAAATAATTTTTAGCTAACTTTTTATAAACATGTATGCTATTATAAATACTCCAGATAGTCTTTTATTCTGATCTCCAAGGGCAGGGATTGTAGTATCTATAGTATATATTTAGTTACTGATGATGAAGTTGAAATCAGTTGAGATCAATTTCTGCATGAAGAAGTACAGAAAAGGAGATGACTAGATTTTGGTCAAGTGGGAACAAGATCACGTATGCTATAATGAATTGTATTGGTTTTACGTGCCAGAAATTAAGGTAGACTAAATATGAAGACAATAGACAAACAGTGCTTGGATTCCTAAAATAGATTTTCCCTGAGTATAGAGTGCAAGAAATTGCTTTTCTTTAATAATGTAAGGAAAAGAATATCAAGTTAAACTACCAGAAACAAAATATAAAATTCCACAAAACTAATAAATTTCCAGATATTTTTAGCTTTAGCAAGCACATTTCTATTTAAATTTGAGGTAACTCAATGTATCACAACAAGTATATGGAAGGAGGACATCAAAAAATCTCTGGACATATTTTGATTTCTTTGAATTGCAACATACACAAAGTTTTCAGAGGTGTGGTAAAAGTAAGTGCATTAGGTTTCAAATGCTGATCTATGTTCTTGTTGTAGATTTTCTATTGTCTTAGTAGATCTTAGTAGATCCTAAATGTTATAGGTTATAAGAATCAGATCCCTGTACCTTTAAAATCTAGTAAATTAGTGTGAGTCTAAAGGAATATGCATAAATATTATAATTTTTATGGGCTCTTTAATATTCCGTTTTCCACTTACCTCTTTAACGTTTCCAAAATCAACATTGTGTCCCTTAATGTCTTATAAAGTCTAATTTGTTAGCAGATGATTCCTGAAAAGGTAGCACAGAAATAAAGTATCAGAGTAAAGGGATAGTTGGCACTGACAGTAATAAAATGAGAAGCCTGCTGGTCAATAAAGCTCTATAATATTTTGTTTATTTTTATTACAAAATAGGGCTGTAAATCCAAAGCGATGTTGAAATGCCAAATGAAGAAGTACCAGAAGGTTGTATCCAGAAATTTATCGAGAGCCTAAATCTCAAACCTGAAGAAGTAGTAAACTTTCCCCACAGAAATATGAAGCTTGCATGGAAGCCCTGTTAGGTAGGAAGCGATGTTTCTGCTATAGACTAACCTGTGTACCATGCTCTTGGTCACAGAAAACAGCACATTATTTCTTCTCTCAAAGTCTTGTAGTCTATGGGACAACCCTGTAGTGAACCATCCTGATAACTTAGGTAAGATTAATTAATACTCTGAGTTTCATGTGCTTAGTCAGGAATGCTTTAGTTTACAGGATCATATATAGCTACACCCTGTGCCGGAAAAAAAACCTCAATTTTGACAGCTTCCTTTTGAGAACTGCAGAGAAACCAAGCAGATGCCAGCATTGTGCTTCCTGTACAGCCCGCACAACCATGAGCCAATTAAACCTCTTTTCTTTAAAATATTGCCCAGTCTCAGTTATTTCTTCTCAGCAATGTGAGAACAGATTAATATAGACATTTTATTGATTTAGAGCACTGTGTTTTCTATTTTGCAGCCTGTATGAATAAATAAAAGACTGTTTGGGTCCATATATATAGTGAACTTAATCAGATGCAACTCTTGTCTCTAAATGTTAACTGCACAAGAGGTGGTAACAATAGAAACTAAACTGGATTAGAGTCATATATGTATACAGATATTGAATAGATTTGAAATCTTGTTTTGTATCCTCGTAAAATAGCCAAGAAGGAAGTTGGTGATAATGGAACTGAATACTGGACAGATTATCACTACAATGATTTAGGTTCAAACCAATAAAAGGTCCCAGCTTTTATGGTAGAAGGTAGGAATCTTGGTCACAATAACAGGACTGACATCCATATGTTACAGTTGGTCTAAGATATTATACCTATAAATATCATTAATTTTTGACTAGGTCTGACTCACCTAAACATCAAGATATATACATATCCCACTAGACTTTTCTAAATTACTTTTTGAAAAGATGTAGCAAACACTAGCTGTGGCTAATGATAACCTCAGTAGTAGAGATTCAGTCAAATCATAAACTCAAAAAAAGGAGCAAGACCATAAAGAGACATGAATAGGCCAGCACGGTGGTACAAGCCTGTAATCCCAGATCTTTAGGGGACCAAGACGGGAGAATCACTTGAGGTCAGGAGTTTGAGAGCAGCCTGGCCAACCTGGTGAAACCTTGTCTCTACTAAAAATGTAAAAATTAGCTGGGCACGGTGGTGTGCACCTGTAATCTTAGCTGCTCGGGAGACTGAGTCAGGAGACTCCTTTGAATCCGGAAGCAGAGGTTGCAGTAAGCTGAGATCATGCCACTGCTCTTCAGCCTGGGCAACAGAGTGAGACTCCATCTAAAAAACAAAAACAAGAAGAGACATGAATCATGAATACTTTGGTCTTAACCCCCACAGGGTTTATGTTTCCCACAAAGAAGCTTTGCTCCAGAGAATGCCCTTGTAAACTTCTGCTAAGCATACCAATCTTCAGGATGGTAGCAGAGCTTTTAGTAGAACTTAGAAGTCAAAGCAGGTTTTATCAGCAATACCTTATGCCAAACACAAAGTTCTTGGCCTGCTGATTTGCAAATTTATCTATATTTGGTAAATTATCATTTCACTACAATCGTAATCTGTATTTAAAATTGTCATATGTTTTCTGTTCTTGGGCTTTGTTTGTTTGGATATAGTAATCTATGTCTCCTCTCAAATTGTCTTTCAATTATACACACAGGCAATTTTTAAGCACATGAAAATAATTCAGTAATTGACAATTCATAAACAGGAGACCAAGTCATATCTCTCATTCTGGATGCTGTTTTCTCTTAAGTGGAATGGAATTTTAATCACTCATGAAAAAGTTATATGTTGTTTGATCCATCTGCTTCTTCAATCTTCTCTTAATTAGTAATCACATTTAGACCATGAATGCAGAGATTATCCCTCTTGTGCGTTTATCATATACATATATTTAAATGTTCATATATGTATTCATTATATAAATAATAAAACAGAACATCATATTATCATAGATAATAACAGAGATATTATCACATAAATATCTATTTGTGTGACAGTCCTGGTTTGGCTGCTGTTTAGCCTGGTGGTTATCATGAAAAAATTAGTTAACCCCATCAAAGCATCAATTTTTTTCATATCTAAAATTAGCATAATAATGCTCAATTTTTAAGACTGTTATAGAAAGTAACACAATTAATGCTTATACAATTTCTAGTTTAGTGTCTGCTATAATCTGAATGTTCCTATTTACCTCTAATTATTATGTTAACATTTTAACCCTCAAATTGATGTTATTAGGAAGTGGGACCTCTGGGTGGCAATTAAGTCTTTAGGGAAGAGTTCACATGTGTGGGATTAGTGAACTTATGAAAGAGGTCGTAGAAAAACCCCTTGTCTCTCTCACCTTGTGAGATTACATAGAAGACAAGCTCTCATCCTAAACAAAAAATTGCCTCTGTCTTGAACTTCCCAGCCTATAGAACAATTTCTCTTTTTGTTGTTGTTGTTGTTTGTTTGTTTTGTTTTGTTTTGTTTAAGATGGAGTTTCACTCTTGTTGCCCAGGCTGGAGTGCAATGGCAATATTTTGGCTCACTGCAACCTCCACCTCCCGGGTTAAAATGATTGTTCTGCCTCAGCCTCCCAATTAGCTAGGATTACAGGCATGCAACACCACGCCTGGCTAATTTTGTATTTTTTCTAGGGATGTGGCTTCACCATGTTGGTCAAGTTGGTCGCGACCTCCTGACCTCAGGCGATCTACCCGCCTTGGCCTCCCAAAGTGCTAGAATTACAGGCATGAGCCACCACGCCTGGCCAATTTCTGTTTTTATAAGCTACCCTGTTTATGTTTTTTGTTTACAGCAGCCCAAACTGAATAAGGCAATGTGTAATCAGGATAACCAGTAAAATGAATTCCATAAACTTTGTATTTCTTATACGCATATGTATGTGCTTATATCTGTGAGTGTGTGTATGTGTGTGTGTGTGTGTGTGTGTGTGTGTGTTTACATATCAAAACTGAGATAGTAAACTGGGCTTCTGACTTAAGCATCACCCTTCTTTAGGATTAAGCAAGGTAAGGGTTTGCATCCTGTACTTGATTATTTACTGGTACCACAGAGCTGAGTTTCATCTTTGGTATTCAGACAAAATTTATCACTCAGTATCTGATTAATTTTTGTCCTTTGGAATTATAAATAGACAAATGTGTATATCAATCTCACTTGTGATAATGTCGTGTGTGGAAAATAATCATGGGGTCATATATGGTAAATCCTGTTTAATCAGTGTAATCTCAATACTATGAAGAAGATTTTCATTTAGATTTAGACTAAATATCTGAGTATTCATCTTAAAATATATATTAACATTATATATAACAGTTTGAAAAATCTCTTCATATTCTTTATATATTTAACTTCTGTAATTAGTTGACATGTACACACAAATACCTATATACATAGAACATTGAGTATAGATAAACATTAAATGTGAAAATTATTTATTTTATAACCAAACTAATACAGAAATTTCAAATATTTTTAAAAAAGGGAAATATATTGTAAAACATTATTAAACAGTATACTATTTATATATGTCTAAAATAAAAATATGTCTATAAGATTATTTAATTTTTAACTATGAATATCAAGAAAGAGTAGCAATTATAATTTAGTATAACTCTATTTTTGTATAGTTGTGTGGTATGTCAGCATTCATGACTTCAAAATAACTCAGAAACAATTATTTAAGTTATGTATTTCCATGTAGCTATAGCTATTTCATGGAAAATTCTATGTATGAACTCTATAAGAATGTTGAGTTTCTACACATTCATAATTTTAAAATATCTAATACTGAAACAGGAAAAACTCGCTTATCCCCCTCGCAGGTCTTGTAATGAGGGTGTGACTTGCTTCTTTGGTGCCCCACTGCTCAAACCTCTAGGGGGAGCATGCAGATGGGCAGGCTGTGGGCTCTGACCCCATGGCAGTGTCTAGGGGTGATGTTTGCAGCTGAACTCCCAGCCGGCATGTGTCACAGGGTGCTCTTTTAGTTTAGGGGTCCATAGGCAGCTTGTGTTAGCTCAATTAGACCCCCTGCCTTATCACAAGGACAGAGGGCTTTCTGTATCCCAGAGTTTCTTTCCTTGGTGTACCGGAAGAATCAGATCACACGTGGGCTTGGAGTATGAGTGCAAGGTTTTCTTGAGTGGAAGTAGCTCTCAACAGATGGGGGAGCCAGAAGGGAGATGGAGAGAAAAGGTGGTTTTTCCTTCTGAAATTGGGTTGTTCAGTGCCAGGCTCTCCTCTGACCACCCTGGCCTAACTCCACATCATTCTGCCGTTGATGACCTCCTGGTGTCTGCTGGTACCTGTTGGTGTGCTCTTAAGCCAGTGCATTCCTCTCCGCATCCAATTGCTTGTGTCTCCTTACATCAATGTGTCCCTCTTGACATACAGTCACTTGTGTGCCTGCCTGCTGGTGTCTTGTGACAGGCCAGGGTGGTTTGAGAATTGCAGCAATTGGGTACGAAACAGAAATGTCTGTCCTCACCTAGGTCCATAGGCACAGGCCTGGGGGTGGAGCCCTAGCCAGGGGCCACACCCTTCCCTTCCAAGCACTTCCCTGACCTCTCCTGTATTACATGCCCCCTCTGAATGGGTACATCTAACTGCTATTAGACTATGGATAATGACCAGTCTTAGCTGATTCCTGCTCACAGAGAGTGTTGTTTTGGGGAAAACAGCAGTCAAATTCTTCCCAGAGGTCTATCTAAAGGTTCCTGGCAAAAGGGAGTCATTGTCCGAGGCTCCAGTTGCCTGACCGTTTGGAGTTTGATGGCTTCTAGGCATGAGGGAAAAAAACAAGTTTTATAAAGTTAAGTATGCATGGGTTAAACACGTGTATTATATAAGGAAAGAATTTTGTACCAAAGATTACAACGATAAGAAATGACATATACTAACAACAACATTGTACCCCAAGCTATTTCACCCTGGTGAAAGAAATTAAATCTTGTATAGGAGCCGATACACTTTTAGAAGGGAGATAACAATTCTTGCCATATCTTCAGCAGTTAACAGGTGCACCCTGGGAATTCTGGGGTTTGTAGGCTTGCCTGGTGGCCATTAAAGCTTTTGCCTCTGTCTTGTGTCTCCATTTCTCTATTGTAAAAGACCAAGGTGACCACTTTCAGGAGGCCCTCTAATGTACTATCTGGTCCCAAGGCCCATTTCTGCATGTTCCTTCTGATATCAGGGGCTGCCTGAATAATTTATTCTTTAGGATTAGCTGTCCCTCGACTGAGTCAGGAGATAGAGAGGTGTGCTTTACCAAGGCCACTCTTAGCCTCTCCAGGAAGGCAGTTGATTTTCATCAAATCCCTGATAAATCATTTACAACTTAGTATAATTGAGAGGCTTGGTCTTAGTCCTGCGTAAGCCCACCATTACGCACACCTGAAAGTGTGTCCTCTTCCAGTCTCCCATCTCATCACTGGGATCCCATTTAGAGTCATTCACTGGTACTGTTTATCTTCCAATTGGATAATTTTCACTTCCTTCCCTGATGCTGTATGTGATGCAAAGTTCATCCCCAAATCTTTCTGCTGCTTGCAGAGCAGCCTGCTTCTTAGTGTTGTCAGGATCTGATTCAAAAGTAACAAAACATCTCTCCAGGAGAGTTCAAATATTTGGGTGAAATTCTGGAAAGCCTCTAAATATCTATCAGGGTCATCTGAAAACTTGTCAAGATCCCCCTTAATTTACTTTAAGTCCTGTAGGGAGCCAAAGACCTGAACCTTACTGGGCACAAATGCAATGGGCATTTGTTGGAGGGACAAGAGCGATACTGGGGCTTGCTTACAGTGGGGTTTTTAGAAGCGGGCAAGTGAGAGGCTGAAGCTGGATAGGGAGGTCAGGGTGGACCTAGAGGAGCAGGCCTGGAAGGAGATGGCCTCTCTGCCAGGGTGCCTCTGGGACTTGTATCTTTAATTCCTCAGGTTTGCCTCTTACAGCCTTCCCTGAGATGGCAAATAGGAGAGGTGGATAAATCATACACTATTGGCAAAGGTCTGGATTGCCTTGCAATGTATAGAAAGCCTGCACATAAGGGGACTCAGATCATCTGTCCTCAAGTATACGGAAATGTTTCAACTGCTGGATGATATCAAAATGAATGGTTTCTTCCTGAGGCCAGGACAGTCCTTGTTGTAAATCATAATTTGGCCAAACCTTTGTGCAGAGGGCTATGAGGCATTTTTTCCTCCAGATTCTAAGGTCAAAGCAGTCCCAATGGTTCAGGATACACACCAGAGGAGTATAAGCTGGGGGTGGTGAAGCGAACTGGTTGCCAGTTCTGAAAGACAAGAAATAGAGATGTCCCTCATTTCCCTTTTTTATTTCAGTAAAAACTTAGGGTGTGATGGAGAGAGAAAGAAAGCATCTCCCCTTCACCTTCCACCTCTTATCCCTGAGCCCCGGCAAACTTAGCAGGTGTCAGCCATAGGTACCAAAGTGGCATGTACCCATGAAGCAGGAAAAACCTGGAGAATAGGAATTAATCGCCCACACCTATGCCTGCCTTTCTCTCTGCTGTCGGAAACCTTTGAGTTCCCTGAACCTGTTTATGCCACAGAGCACGGCCTCTTTCTGTGGGGTGGGGGTTTAGTCAGCAGGAATTCGTCCTGCCCGTTTACATTGTTCCTGTTGCCTGGCTTTGGATCCCTCAGACCGGTTTTTTCTTTCTAGGGCCTCAGCCTGAAGCTTGGAATTAAGTTTGGGACTGAAAAAGTATTTTAGTGGTTGTTTATATCTGTTTAGAGCATCTCAAATAAGCCCTGCTGAATTTGCAGTTATCAGCCTGCAGGGGCCATTCCTCTGTTAAATTCCTATCAGAAACAGTGCTGGGTGGGGGAGCCTTTCACTTAGAAAAGGAAAAAAAAAGAGAGAGAGAGAGAGAAACAGTCAAGGGGCAAAAAGGAGAGATCCTAGGGGAAGAAACCATTGCTCAATGCAAGTGTGTCCTTCTAATCCTTATATATTTTCCCTGGTTCAGACTGGGTTGAATTCCTTGGCCAGGTGAGAAATGTTCTGTTGGCATGGGTGGCGAGAAGCACCCATCTGTTGGTCCTGTGGGGTTATGGCTACCATCATGGCTTTCTCCCACCCCATCCCCAACCCGTGGGTTTTAGGTGTAGCATTTGCAAGCTGCGGGCACACTAAGGCGCCCAAGCTGGAAGGAAAATGGGTAACAGGAGGTGCCCTGAGCTCTAAGTGCCTGTGGCTGTCAAGATGGAGGCATAGATGGCATCTCTAGGAAGAGCTGGTTTGATTTGCACCTTTGGCGGCTGAGCCAGATGCTCATTTTATTTAGTAACATTGCCACAGCCAGTTGCAAAGCTCTTAACATTATAAAGAAAAAGATAAGAGTTGTTTCAAACTGTGAGAGAGAAAAGAGATGGAGTTTGGGGGTTTTATTGGCCCAGTTAGGGCAGTTTAAAACCCCATGAAAGGAAACAGAGCCTCTTACCCACAAAAAAGAGAAAGAGGTGGCAGGGTTTTGGAAGAGAGGCAGACTCAATAGTTTCACATTTGTACTCACCTTCCATGATCCTGGACGATCCCCCAGTTGAAACAGGAAAAGTTTCTTTATCACCCTTGCAGGGCATGTGATGGATGGGGGTGTGGCTCGCTACTTCAGTGTCCTGCTGCTCAAACCTCTAGGGGAAACATGCAGATGGGCAGGTTGTGGGGCTCCAACCCCACAGCAGTGTCTAGGGGTGAATGTTTACAGCTCAAGCCCCAGTGGGCATGTATTACAGTATGCTGTTTCACTTTAGCTGTCCATAGGCAGCTTGTGTTAGTCAGCTCAATTAGACTCCTGCCTTATCACAAGGACAGAGGGCTTTCTGTATCCCAGGGTTTCTTGCCTTGGTATACCGGAAGAATCAGATCACACGTGGGCTTGGAGAATTAGTGCAAGGTTTTATTGTGTGGAATTATCTCTCAGCAGATGGAAGAGCCAGAAGGGAGATGGAGTGAAAAGGTGGTTTTTTCCCTCTGAAGTTGGGCTGTTCAGCAACCAGGCTCTCCTCTGACCACCCTGGCCAAACCACATCATTCCATTGTTCGACGGCCTGCTGGCATCTGCTGATGACTGTCGGTATGCTCTTACGCTGGTGCGTTCCTCTCAGCTTCCAATTGCTTGTGTCTTCTTCTGCTAGTGTGCTACTCTCAAAGTCCAGCCACTTGTGTGCATGCCCGCTAGGGTCTCAGGGTTTTTAAAGGCACAGGATGGGGAGATGGCAAACCAGAGTGGTCTTGGGAAATGGAGCATTTGGGCACAAAAACAGAAATGCCTGTCCTCACCTAAGTCCCTGGGCAGAGGCCTGGGGGTGGAGTCTTAGCCAGGGACAATGCCCTTCTCTTCCCAGCACTACCATGCCCCCCTCTTCCCAGCACTACCATGCCCCCCTCCCATATTAATACAACCTATAATATCAATTATGCATATATAAAAATAATGAAGAAGATTAATACGAAGAAAACATGAGTTTTTCAAGGTACATTTTATTATCACTAATTTAAACGTCAAAATAACAGGAGCCTTCAAACCAAACAGCCAACATTATATTGAAAGAGCAAAAGATGGAAGCATTCCCTTTGAAAACTGGAAGAAGACAAGGATCCCTTTCTCACCACTCTTATTCAACACAGTACTGGAAATCGTAGCCAGAGAAATTCAACAAGAGAATGAAATAAAGGGCATCCAAATTGGAAGAGAAGAAGTCAAACTATCTCTGTTTGCAGATGGCATAATTCTGTAAAACCCCGCAGTCTCCATCCAAAAGCTCTTCCAGCTGATAAATGACTTTAGCAAAGTTGTAGGGTACCAAATCAATGTGCAAAAATTACTAGCATTTCTATAAATCAGCAACAGCCAAACCAAGAGTGAAATCAGAAAGGTAATTCCATTTACAATTTTCACAAAAAGCGTAAAATACCTAGGAATACAGCTAATCAGGGAAGTGAAAAATTTCTACAATGAGAATTACAAAATACTGCCCAAAGAAATCAGAGATGACACACAAAAACAAGGAAAAACATCCCATGCTTATGTACAGGAAAAAATCAATACCAGTAAAATGGCCATAATGCCCAAAGCAATTTACAAATTCAAGGATATTCCTATCAAATTACCAATGACATTTTTCACAGAACTAGAAAAATCTGTCCTAAAATTCACATGAAACCAAAAAAGAGCCTAAATAGCCAAGGAAATCCTAAGCAAAAATAACAAAACTGAAGCCATCATGCTATCCAACTTCAAACTATGCTGCAGGGGTACAGCTACCAAAACAGCATGGTGTTTGTACCACAACAGGCATATAGACCAATTGAAAAGAATAGAGAGCCCAGAAAAAAGGCTATGCATCTACAACCATCCGATATTTGACAAGGTGACAAAAACAAGCAATGGGGAAAGGATTCACTATTCAATAAATGGTGCTGGGGTCACAGGCTAGCCACATGCAGAAGATTGAAGCTGGATCCCTTCCTTATACCACGTAAAAAAATCAACTCAAGATAGATTAAGGGCTTAAACATAAACCTCAAAACTATAAAAAACCTAGAAAACAACCTAAGCAATACTATCTTGGATCTAGGAATGGACAAAGACTTTATGATGAAGACATCAAAAGCAATTGCAACAAAAGTAAAAATTGACAAGTGGGACCTAATTAAACTAAAGAGCTTCTGTACAGCAAAAGAAACTGTCAACAGAGTAAATCAACAAATTACAGAATGTGAGAAAATATTTGCAAACTATGCATCTGACAAAGGTCTAATATCCAGCATCTATAAAAAATTTAAACAAATTTATAAGAGAAAAACAATCCCATTAAAAAGTGGTCAAAGGACATGAACAGATACTTCTCAAAAGAAGGCATACATGCAGCCAAAAAATATATGAAAAAAGATTCAATATCAAGCCAACAAATATATGAAAAAAGGTCAAATATCACTGATTATTAGAGAAATGCAAATCAAAACCACAGTGAGATACTGTCTCAAATCAGTTAAAATGGTTGGTACAAAAGTAATTGCAGCTATTAAAGTTTTGCTATTAAAAGTAATTTGACTATTAAAAAGTTAAAAAAAAACAGATGTTGGTGAGTTTGTAGAGAAAAGGGAACACTTATAGTCTGTTAGTGGGAGTGTAAATTAGTTCAACCATTATGGAATGCAGTTGACCATTCCATAAGAACAGAATTACCATTTGACCCAGCAATCCCATTATTGGGAGGACTATAAATCATTCTACCATAAAGACACAAACATGCAAATGTTAGTTGCAACACTATTCACAATAGCAAAGACATGGAATCAACCTAAATGCCCAACAATGACAGATTGAACAGAGAAAATGTGATACATATGCCCCATGGAATGCTATAAAGTCATACCAAAGAATGAGATTATATCTTCTGCGGGAACACGGATGGAGCTTGAGGCTATTATCCTTAGCAAACTAACCCAGGAATGTTCTCACTTATAAGTGGGAGCTGAAAGATAAGAACTTATGAACACAAAGAAGGAAACAACAGACATTGGATCTACTTAAAGTGGGAGGGTGGGAGAAGGGAGAAGAGCAGAACAGATAACTATTGGTACTGTGCTTAATACCTGGGTGATGAAATAATATGAACTGCAAACCCCTGTGATGCGTGCTTACCTATACAACAAACATCCAAACCTAAAATAACCCCCCCAAAACTATATAAAAGGTAAAGTAAAACACATTTAAAATAAAATTTTTAAATTTTTTAAATTATTTTGAGATTTTGCCAGCTTAAAATTTAAATAAAAAGTGTTAAGTAATTTGCCAATCATTTTCAGTAGTTGAAAAAGGAAAATTTTTGAGATTCACTAAAGCTACGGCCCCTGAGGAAGTTCCTCTTAGAAACATGTTACTAGAGCATTATTTTGCATGTTGTTATGCCCCAAAGAGTTAGGGATATGATTAAATATATTATTTTTTACTTTCTTCATCAAATGTCTGGACACACAAAAACCATTAAAATTCTACCTGAAGTCTGACAGTATGTTGAGTCATCGCTTCTATTTTACTTGCTTGCCATAATATGTCTGGGTATAACAACAAAATCATGCTGAATATGACTGAAGAAATATAGAAAGAAAAATCAGTGAAGAAAATGTTTATGCAAGTGTCAATAGCAATGAAATAAACATGGTGGTGGTCAAAAATTATTTAAGAACCATATTGTTACTTGTAGTTAAACAGACATGAGTGGGGCAGGAGAGGGCTCTCCCTCACCCACAAGGAATGCCAGTGCCAGGGAGAGGCCATTTCCTGATGATCCACACCTGTCACGCTAAGTGTTAATTGAATGCAGACACCAGAAGAGGCCGCTTCCCGGGTATGTGCATTAAAAGACAAAATGGCTGAGTGTGACCTTCCAGGGGCACTCCACCAAAAAAGGGAAGAAAGCCTCAGATGGGCATGAGTACAACTTCCTGAACACACTGTGTGTGCTCACTTCCCAAGTATAAGGACACTACACATGTGGGCAGCCCACCCTCAGGGAAGAATTATAGGAAACGGGCGCAACATGCCAGAGGTGGATCAGCCTGTAAAGTCCTCGGATCAAGGTTAAACACCACATTTTACTTTTTCGATGCCCACTTGGGTCTCTTCCGAATGTATTTCCCTTTCTTTCCTGCTCTAAATCTTTTTAGTAAACTTCCACTCCTGCTTTGAAACTTGCCTCAGTCTCTTTTCTGCCTTATGCACCTCAGTCGAATTCTTTCTTCTGAGGAGGCAAGTCGTGAGGTTGCTGCAGATCCATATGGATTGAACTGCCTGTAACTAAGATACTTTCCATCCGTAAGTAATTCCACTTTTTACTTTAAATATTCAGAATAAAATTATAGCATGGTACAATATAACAGAATTGTGTACTGTAAGCAAAAAAATAGTGAGCCATTTACATCATTTTTTGTCAACTAATTTTGAAGTTCCTTGGCAAATACAAGTTATTCAAAGATGATGGAGCAGCAGCAAATAAACATGTAAAAGGATGCTTGAACCAGTGAATGTCTTTATGGTGTGATATATTAATTTCAAATGGCAAGATTTACCAACAAGAACTCCTTTTAAAAATTAATTAATGATTTTATGATTTTTTTTTTAAATTTCCATAGCTTTTTGGGAAACAGGTGTTATTTGGTTACGTGAGTAATTTCTTTAGTGGTAATTTGTGAGATTTTTTGGTGCACCCTTCATCCAAATGGTAAACACTGAACACAATTAGTAGCCTTTTATATATCACCCCCTTCCCACCTTTTCTCCTGGAGTCCCCAAAGTCCATTGTGTTATTCTTATGCCTTTGCCTCCTCATAGCTTAGCTCCCACTTATGACTGAGAACAATACGATGTTAGGTTTTCCATTCCTCAGTTACTTCACTTAGAATAATAGTCTCCAGTTTCAACTGGGTTACTGTGAATGCCATTAATTCATTCCTTTTTATGACTGAATAGTATTCAATTGTGTGTGTGTATATATATATAATTAATATGTATGCATATCAATTGTATATTGATATGGGTAAACAGACAACCTACAGAGTGGGAGAAAATCTTTACAATCTATACAACTCTTTAAATTAATGCTAAAGAGTATGAACATTTTTTAGTAGTTAAAAAGGGGGAACTTTTGAGATTTACCCAAATAGTTGGTTTTCCAGAAACCCTGTAAAGAAATAGTTGAACTACTGTGCTTTGTGAGTAAAATAGTTTTTGGTTGCCACCTGTTATTGTCATTCTTCTACTGGAAGATGCAGAAATTGGTATGCATGCAGCAAAATCAAAGATGCAGATAAACTTTCAGAAATAATTTTGCAATTTTTAATACTAATTACATTCTTTTATTGCTGCATTTCTAGATCCAAAGTAAAGGCTATATTTTTCCTCAACTCTTTATGTAAATAAATAAGAATATATGCAAAAAATATAACAAAAACTTGAGTGTAAGTAAAAATCTTGGTCTGCTTTGGAAAGAGACAATTATACATTCTTAAAGCATCCCATAACTCTTCAATTTGTGCTTTAATCAACTTTCACCATCATCTTCATCATCATCATCATGTCCAAATCTTCAGATCTAGGAAGTGAAGAGGACAGCAGTCCTTGTCTTACAGATTCTATTACTGAAAATCATAAGCATAATAACTTATAATCGGCATCACTTTCAACAGTATCCTTTAGGTGATAAGTTGAGCCAAACAATGCCTTGCTCTTTTATCAACAGAAAATTAGTACAAAAAACTATTTAGTAGCAAAAACGTGCAGTATAGTGACTGTTGAAAGAATTTAGCACACACTTGTGTTGGAAAACTATTGTTCTTGTGCAAAACGTTCAAATTTTAAAAAATAACGCCAAAACATTAGTAATAAAAATGTTCAAATATTCATCTCAAATAAAAAGTTAAATTTATTCTGGTTTCCCATTAATTAAATCAACACCATTGATATAACGTCAATGATGAATCATTGGCATTAACCTCCAAACACAGCATTTTACTACAATATGTATTAGGCACACCTCTGCGTAGGCAGAGATATTTTATTAAAATCTGAAATTTTTTGTCTTAAATTAATACACCTCTCACAAGTTTATATATAGATCTAAGTAATTTTTTGTTATCAGGCTGATTTATTCATAGCAGAAAAGAGAAAATTACTTGAACATAAAAATTTCTAGAAAAACCTGAATCCTTCAGTGCTTAATTGAAAAATATGGCAACATACCCAGAACTCACCAAGGAAAGATATGAGTGTCTCGCAGATCTTAAACCAAAGGTGAAGTGGAGTATGCATTAGCACCCTGATTGCTTTCAAAGGTACAAAAGACTTAAGAACATGCATAACTGTTCTATCACTTAAAAATTATGAAGTATATATCAAGTGACCTTGAAAAGCATCTTGGATTGTTTAGATCAAAGTGATTTTTCAGGAATACCTCTGAGAACAATTAAGGTTAGATTTGCTTTATGTCTTACTAATTTTAGGAAGAGTTATTATAGAATTTATTAATAATTAACATTGCTGATGTACTTTAAAGACAAATATCTGTATTCAGTGTTGAATTGCAGACTGACTTGAATTTTATATGCCTAAAGAACATACAATAGAGGAATTATAAATTATATGAATCTATCTTTAAACTGAATTGGACTTCTTAGATATCCTACATGGAAAGGCTGTGGGGCTTACTATATAATTCTCAACAATGAATTAAAATGTACCAATATTTACAAGTAATGAAAAGAATTCTGGATAAGAAAATCCCTATGTTAAAATACATTTATCAGCTGGAAACATCATATTAATAAAACAAAATTACCAAATATTTGATTTACAAATAGAATTTGCTCATGCTTCTTTCATATTCTGTATAAATTTGTCATGTCCTTTTCTAACTTGTCTTCATTTGTTTAGATAACCTTTGCTTCCTTGCCATGTATTATTTGCACTGTCTTTAGAGTTTTATTGGTTACATACACACACATACGCAAAAGGGATAGCTGTCATCTTCAGAAAAAAATCTTTTAGAAAATAAGTCATCCCTATTTCAGGTAATTTTCATTATTATAATAATAGTAGTAGATGCACTATTTGAAATAAAATTAAGTAGGAAAAATTAGAAGTAAGAGGTAACAGAACAGAGAAAAGAGAGCTAAAGCTTATTTTATGCTAGAAGTAGATTATTTTCCATTCATTTGCTTTTTATATTTTTAATAGTACAGTTTAGAAGAAATATGGAAGCATATATAAAGCATGCTAAAGTCTTGGAATCTCACGCTGGCGCTTGCTAATAGCAGAGATGTGTGATTTGGGAGGAAGAAGTGAGACACATCTTGAAATATGCATAAAATCGAAGAATGAATCTGCATATATGGTACATGTGGATTTTGCTTATGCAGTACACTGTATTCTAAAATGGAGTTATCAGAATGATTAAGGTGCTAAAACTCAACTTTTATGTAATCATAATTATCAGGAGAAATTTAGGTTCTGGTAAATGTGTAAAAGAGGGATGAGTTGATTCTACCAACACCCTTGGAATATAATTAAGTTGCTTAAGCTTATTTATATCTTTAGTATCCAGGTTATTTTGCATACCCAGGAATAGAATTATATGAATCAGAGATGATGTCATTGAAAAAAATCCACAATAGGCTTTCAAAATCATGAGATATAAATATACACATATGAAATATAGATAGATATAATAGGCATATATAGTTGTGTGTTTGTGTATTTATATATTTACATCTGCACTACTTCAGAGCTGAAGCAATTTTGTTTTTCTTGTAAAGGAGAATAAATAACATTGAAAATTTTGTATTAATATCATTAACTACAAATTTCGACATACTTTTCATTATAAGGTATTTTATTCTATTTTTAATATTTCAATATATTATCAATTTTAAACTACTTAGGAAACTTTCAATCACCAATCTACATACTAACTTTTTCCTTTTTCTAATTTACTCATTTCAGAAATTGGTCCCACTCTCTAACCACTTGCTCAAGTAAAACACTTATAATTGAGTCAACTTTTGAGCACCAGATTCTTATATCCAAAAGTGACCTTTTCTCTGAATACTCAAGCAGTGTTCTCTGATTGACACTTTTCCAATGGTGGACTGTTCAATCTCTGCACTGTTCAATATGAGAGCCAATAGCCCTGTGTGCCTATTAAGCACTTGAAATGCAGCTACTGTAAATGAGAAACTAAATTTTTTAATATTTTTTAATTTAAATTTATTTAAATTGAAATAGCCACATATGGTTAGTAGTTGCCATATTGGATAGTGCATTTCTAGACCTATATAACCAACTACCAAATTTATATATTCTCTTGAATATATTATAAGAATCTCAAATTTAATATCCACTGAACTTGGGGCTTTTGGTTTTTCTTACCAAATTGGTTCCTCTCACTTTTCTATATAATTTACTCTTGTTTTTTTTTATTTGCTTACTCTATAGTATTACAACTTGACAGCATTATCATTCTATTGTTTTATACTCCATTTATTGTATTATGGGATTATTTAAGTCTGTTTGCTGATTATAGTACAAGAAATGGGAAAAAAAAGATCTCATCCATCTTTTTTTTTTTTTACCACTCTATCCACAGAACCTAGAATAGTGTTATATAGTCATCACTCAATATTTCTTGAATGAATGGATAAATAAGTGTATTGTTAAAAAATGAATGACAGTGCTATAACCATAGACCAACAGTGCTGAGATTAAAGGTGATAAGTTTGTACCTAGGTATTAATTGTATTAGATCTGCCTTTTATGAGTAATGTGTCCTCAGGCAAATGACTGATTTAGTATCAACTTTCTTCTATGTATAAATAGACTATAAAAATACTTTATAGAGTTATTTTAGTCTGGAATAATATGAAGCTTATTAATGGCATTTAGTCAATAAATGTTGGCCATAGTAAGAATAGTAATAATAATAGTAACTATTGTTATTTCAGTTTTAACTTAGATGTGATAGATGTCCTTAGCCAAGATTCTTAGATTTTCTGGCATCTGTTTCTTCATCTGCTCCATGGAGCAGTTGGAAGTTTGGATCTCTGTTTTTAGAACTAGCAATCTCCATGATTCTGAATATAAGTTCAATCTCTAGTGCATATTTTAAATGAATTAAAACTGTGCTCTAAATGAACACTAATAAAACACATATATATCCCTCTCTATTCAGTATCTTTGATTACTATTTTAGAAAATCAATATTCCTTTGTTTCTCCAGTCTAAAATGCCTCAAAGAATTACAATATTGACCATTTAAGTAATAAGTTATTGCATATTTTCACTTTAATGATTTGAAATTTCAGACTATTGACATTATCCAGTTTTCTTTGAAATTTTATTATATTTTCCCCTTTGAAAATTTTGTCTCCTTAACAGATTTAATTTACAAAAGAATAATACAAGAAGGCATTATTGTATCTGAGTTTAAGAGACCTTAATGTTATTTAATGATTTTAGCTGGCACCTTTATAAGCTGCACCACAGTGCCAATAGATCAAAAACCAAATGCCCTGAAATTCTGATGTACTGTATGTGTTACACTTTGAAAGTAATGAAAGAAAAAGCATATTTGGAGGAGTATGATAGTAGCTTTGCTTTGTACTGAGCAGTAGGAACCCTAACTACTGCACATGCCTGTAAATCATCAAGTTACAGTAACAGGATCTGGCAGGGGGGTAGAATGAACTATTTGCATTAAAAATCTGTCAAGTTAAAAATGCAATAAAAACAAAAAAATCAATAATAATACATTTAAATTCAAACAGTCATCACAGCACTGCACTAGCAATCAGTCATATTTACCACGGCCACGTATGTAATAATCCTCTTGATCCATCTATAATTACTTGCTTTGCCTCTTGAATTATCAACAGCTCTTATGGCTTATTGCCTTGTACTTGCTTAATAAGCATTTGCAATCAATAATCTTGCCACAGAGTAAGAAGCAACCAGCCAGCCAAGCCCAGGGTTTAAATGCCTCACAAGTTATCGTTACATCGGTGTGAACGACAAAGAGGTGGCTGTGCTAATGGGAGAGGCATGCAGTAAAAAGGTAATTTAGAAAATCTGCTTACTGCAATGTGTGGATCTTACCATGGTTGGTGGTGTCTCAGCTATGGGGAACAGTCACCCTTGAAAACACATCTTCAAATCCTTCCCAGAGGTGCTTTTACAGTGATCATCATCTCCAGCAGCTGTCTTCTATATCTTCCTATCAACATAACACATCCAGTTTGCCTGAAGTGCTTTTTGCCTGACTGGAAAAGCAAACAGTTATTTTCTTCATTCCATGGTATATAATGGAGAACAGAAATTTATATGCAAATTTGAG
This sequence comes from Homo sapiens, assembly GCF_000001405.40. Lineage (NCBI taxonomy): Eukaryota > Metazoa > Chordata > Mammalia > Primates > Hominidae > Homo > Homo sapiens. The sequence continues at coordinate 59,388,649 of NC_000004.12, forward strand.
TATTAGTGACACTTTGATGAGAAGAGTTTAAGGACCAATTGTAATTGTCAAAAATGTTTGAAAACCCCTATTAACGCCATTCACGTGGAACATAAAATTGAAGATCCAATAGAGAAAGTGTGTTGTATAGAGAGCAACATCATATTGCTTATTTTATTCAGTCTGTTGAATTGCAGAGATTCACAGATTTTTGTAAAAGAGACAATTGGAAATACATTCATCAGGATAATTTTATTTCATTTTTAAACTTGTAAATGTTAACTATACTTGTTATTGCTATTACTTAAAATTTACAATTTATCCACTATGCAAGAAACGTTACAGAATGTATTTTAAAAACACTGCTTTTGCTCCCACAGAATATGTATTAAGTAACTAACACAGGAGAGTAATCATTTGAAAAATAAGGCTTGGAAGTGCTTATTTGTATTATCACCTGTAAATTAGATCCTAAGTCCAACAAATTACATTTAACATTAATTTTAGCATGGTTTAACACTGTAAAGTGTGTTGTGTGGTACAGTATTAGAAGGTGTCCAGGTATCGGCTGAGGCTTCTTTCCAGGACCATTACACATCAGAGATGAGTGATCTCTTACTGGCCCACACTAAAGTCTCTTCAGGCCCCTAATAAAGCTTTCACCCAGGAAGAGCTGGGTGTGATAACCTCTTCATGTAGTCAGAAACTGAAGCACGGAAGGGTGTTGCCAAGTCTCTCCCTGAGGAATAAAACTAAGGGTACAGGCAAACAGGACAAAAGATGTTCATTACAGAGTGATATCAGGACTACAGAGTTCATTAGAGTGATGGAAATCTCCAATAGTTTCTAGAATGGTAGATTCTGTTGTTACCTTTATATTTCTTCTTAATTCTTCATAGTGATTGCTAATATTCTATTTTAGGAACTTAAGGGAAGAAGAGACGGGAAATTGATGAGGCTATATGTAAATCTATCTTATGGGGGAGTGAAAACTCAGGTATAGGATGGGTTGAATTAGTAAAAAGGGAATTGATTCTCTGAGGTTTTTTATAGGGAGATAAGAAGAGCAGAGGGGATTATGCCAGTTAACATTTGGCTGTTAGATTAAAAAGAAGATATTCACCTTGTTCTTTATGAAAATGTGAATATAACACAATATTGTTGAATCATATATAAATTGTTTTCAATTTAGTATCATATTGTAAACATTATAAAAATAAAAATATTTTCACCAAAATATGATTAAAATCTGTTTTACTGTTCCTTCACGTGGATATGCACTAACTTAACATTTTATAACTTCAGTGATATTCAGTTTGCTCCTAATTTTCACTATTGAAAGTAGTGGTATAAAAAATGTAATGCATAAATTTTGATCCCTGACCTCTCTCTCACTTTCTTTTCCATAGGGACAGTCAAGTTATCATTAATTAGGATGTTAGGTAAGGATTGTGTTTTGCAGATGACCTGTAACAGGTTAAGGATACTCTCTTATACACTAAATGTGATGCATGTTTTTTTTATCATAAATTGGTAGATTTTGTCAAATGCTTTTTCCTTACCTATGGAAATGATATTATGGTTTCTGTCATTTAATCTATTAATATGATATACTACACTGATTTTTTAAAGTATGTTGAGCCAATCTGGAAATCCAGAAATGGGTCTTCTCAGTCATGTTAAATAACTCTTTAATGGGTTGTTGTAATTCTTTTTCAAGTTTGAGGATTTGAGGGTTTCTATTTACAGTAATAATGGGCTATATATTTTTTTGTATAATTTTTTTTTTTTTGAGAAGGAATCTCGCTCTGTTGCCCAAGCTGGAGTGCAGTGGCATGATCTCGGCTCACTGCAAGCTCTGCCTCCCAGGTTCACGCCATTCTCCTGCCTCAGCCTCCCGAGTAGCTGTGACTACAGGCACCCACCACCACGCCCAGCTAATTTTTTGTATTTTTAGTAGAGATGGGTTTCAGCATGTTAGCCAGGATGGTCTTGATCTCCTGACCTCGTGATCCACCCGCCTCGGCCTCCCAAAGTGCTGGGATTACAGGCGTGAGCCACTGCGCCCGGCCATTTTTGTATAATTTTTATCAGATTTTAGTAACAGGATAGTATTGCGATTGGGATGAGTTACTTCTCATTATTTTTGAAAGAGTTTGATAAGCATTGGTATTATATATTATTAAATATTGGGTGGACTTCACCAGAGAAGCTATCTGGTCTTGGGATTTTTAGGGAAATATTTTAATTACTAGCTCAATCTTTGTACTTTCTGTGATTCTTCTCATATTTTCTACTTATTCTGTTTTTTTCTTCGCTTTTGATAGTTTGTGTTTTTGTAATAATTTGTCACTTCATCTAAGTTATCTAATTGGTTTATGTAGAATTGTCCGTACAAAGTTTGTTCCCTGATCTTAATAATAAAAAAGTGAAAACTAATGACAAAAGTATTGACTAAGAATTATTTTTAATTTCTGTATGGTCAGTAATATTTTATTTCTGTAATGTCGTTTATTGTTGAATTTAAGAAATTATGCCTTTTCTCTTTTTTTGCTGGCTTGTCAGTTATATCAATATGTTGGTTTATTCTCAGAAATAACATTTGTTTTAGTTGCTATTCTTCATTGTTATTTCTGTTCTCTAATTAATGTAAAGTTTTGCTCTAACATTTTCCTTTTGCTTACTCAATTTAATTTGCTCTTTTAATTGTTTAGTTCCTTAATGTGAAAGATAGGTTATCCATTTCAGATAATTCGTTTTCTTAATGTGAAAATTTACAACTATAAATTATTCTGTAGGCTCTGGTTTAACTGAATCTTATAAATTTTGATAAATTTTGCTTTTGTTTTCATTCATTTTCAAGTATATTTAAATTTTTCTTCTTATCTGAAATTTCCGGATAGCTTTCTTTCCTTGTCTCATTGGTCATTTATGAATCTGTTGCTTAATGTTCACACTGTGTTGAATTTCCCAAAATTTCTTTGGTCATTAATTCACATTTTCATACCAATGTGTTCAGAGAACACAATTTGCATAACTTAAATACTTTAAATTGTATTGAGATTTGTTTTACAGTCTAACAGTGCATCCCAAAGTGTTCCATAGGGGTTTATGAGAAGTATCTATTCTGTTGTTGGGTGATATGCCAATCCCTACCTTTTTTTCCTTTTTTGATACAGTCTTGCTCTGTCACCCAGGCTGGAGTGCAGTGGTGCAGTCTCAGGGTCACTGCAACCTCCACTTCCCATGTTCAAGTGATTCTCGTGCGTCAATCCCCGGAGTAGCTAGGACTACAGGCCACCACAAACTGCTATTTTTTTGTTTTTTAATTTTTAGTAGAGACAGGGTTTTGCTAGGTTGGCCTGGCTGGTTTTGAACTCCTGGCCTCAAGTGGTTCACTCACCTTGGCCTCCAATTTCTGCTTTTTAATTGCATTGTTTTATGTATTAATATTTACCAGACTAAGGTAAAACTTAAGTCTGCAATTTCATTTACTTTTAATGTCTTATATATTTTTAAGTCTGCAATTTCATTTACTTTTAATATCTTTTATGTTTTTTCTCTATCATCCATTACTGTCTTTTGTTTTGTTAAATAAATATTTTCTAACATATTGTTTTACCACTGTCATTTCTTATACAGTATGTTTCTGCATTTTCTTCTCAGAGATTATTTATATTATTAAAATCTTTTCCGAATTAATAGCAACTAAATTTCAACAGTACAAAAACAACTTTATTCCAATAAAACTCAATTACTGCTCGTCTCCTTTGTGGTTTTATTTTAATATATATTACATATTTATGCACTGTCTTCTCATAAACACATTTCTAATGATTATTCACACAACTGTCTTTTAAATCAGAAGTAGAAAAAATTACAGATAACAGTTATTTAGTTATCCTTTGTATCTATAGTTACATTTATAAGTGTATTTATTCAAGTTATTGGGAAATATCGTGTAGAATCCTTTTGTAGTAGGTTTAACAATTGCTAATTTCCTCAGTTATTGTTTATCTGAATATATAAACTTCTCGCCAATTTTTAAAGAATCATTTTACTGGATATAGAATTCTTGGCTTACAGAATTTCTTCTTTATTTCCACATTTTTAATATATCACCCAAATTTCTCTAGCTTCTCTAATTTGTGGTGAGAAATCAACTGTTAATTTTATGGAGAATTCTGTAAGTGTACTGTGTCATGTCTTTTTTCATGCTTTCAATATTCTCCCTATGTCCTATCATTGGAGAGATTGATTATAATGTGTCTAGGTGTGAATCTCTTTGGGTTTATCCAACCACTAGTACGTTGAGCTTTTTATATATGCAGAATAATATTTTTCACCAGATTTTGGACATTTTTAGTGATTTTTTGAGGAATATCTTTGTGATGTTCTCCCTATTTCCTGAATTTGTATGTTGGCCTCTCTTGCTAGGTTGCGGAAGTTCTCCTGGATAATATACTGAAGTGTGTTTTCCAACTTGGTTCCATTCTCCCCATCACTTTCAGGTACACCAATCAAACGTATGTTTGGTCTTTTCACATAGTCCCATATTTCCTGGAGGCTTTGTTCATTCCTTTTCATTTTTTTTTTCTCTAATCTTGTCTTTATACTTTATTACATTAAGGTGATCTTTAATTTCTAGTATTCTTTCTTCTACTTGATTGATTCAGCTATTGATACCTGTGTATGCTTCAGGTAGTTCTCGTACTGTGTTTTTCAGCTCCATCAGGTCATTTATGTTCTTCTTTAAACTTGTTATTCTAGTTAGCAGTTCCTGTAAACTTATTTCAATGCTCTTAGCTTTCTTGCATTGTGTTAGGACATGCTCCTTTAGCTGGGAGAAGTTTGTTATTACCCACTTTCTGAAGCCTGCTTCTGTCAGTTTGTCAAACTCATTCTCCATCCAGTTTTGTTCCCTTGCTGGGGATAGAGTTGTAATGCTTTGGAGGAGAAGAGGCATTCCGGGTTTTGGAATGTTCAGCCTTTTTGCGCTGGTTTTTCTTCATCTTCACGGATTTTTCTACCTTTGGTTTTTGATGTTGGGGATCTTCGGATGGAGTTTTCGGGTGGTTGTCCTTTTTGTTTATGTTGGTGCTATAGCTTTCTGTTTGTTAGTTTTCTTTCTAACAGTAAGGCCCATCTTCTACAGGTCTGCTGGGGTTTGCTGGAGATCAACTACAGAACCTGTTTGCCTGGTTATCACCAGTGGAGCCTGCAGAACAGTGAAGATTGCTGCCTGCTCCTTCCTTTGGATTCTTCCTCCCAGAGGGGCACTTGCCAGATGCCAGCTGGAGCTCTCCTATAGGAGGTGTCTTTCAACCCCTGCTTAGAGGTGTCTCCCTGTCAGGAGGCACGGGGGTCAGGGACCCACTTGAGGAGGTAGTCTGTCCCTTAGCACAGCTCGAGCTGGGAGATCCGCTGCTGGGAGATCCGCTGCTCTTTTTAGAGCCAGCAGGCAGGAACGTTTAAGTCTGCTGAAGCTGCACCCACAGCCACCCCATTCCCTAGGAGCTCTGTCCCTGGGAGATGGGAGTTTTATCTAAAAGCCCCTGAGTGGGGCAGCTGCCTTTCTTTCAGAGATTCCCTGCCCAGAGAGGAGAAATCTAGAGGGGCTTGCTGAGCTGCCATGGGCTCTGCCCAGTCCGAACTTCCCAGAGGCTTTTTTCACACTGTGAGGGGGAAACCACCTACAAGTCCCAGTAATGGCGGATGCCCCTCCCCCTACCAAGCTTGAGCATCCCAGATCAACTTCAGACTGCTGTGCTGGCAGCGACAATTTCAAGCCAGTGGATTTTAGCTTGCTGTCTCCGTGGGGTTGGGATCCGCTGAGCAAGATCACTAAACTCCCTGGATTCAGCCCCCTTTCCAGGGGAATGTATGGTTCTGTCTCACTGGCATTCCAGATGCCACTGAGGTACGAAAAAAAACTCTTCAAGCTAGCGCAGTATCTGCCCAAACAGCTGCCCCATTTTGTGCTTGAAACCCAGGGCCCTGGTGGTGTAGGCACCTGAGGGAATCTCCTGGTCGGCGGGTTGCACAGATCATTGCTGAGGTATAGTATCTGGGCCGAATAGCACAATCTCCCATGGCATGGTCCCTCAGGGCTTCCCTTGGCTAGGGAAGAGAGTTCCCTGACCCCTTGCACTTCCCTGGTGAGGCGACGCCCAACCTGCTTCTGCTGGCCCTCTGTGGGCTGTATCCACTGTCTAACCAGTCCCAACGAGATGAACCGTGTACCACAGTTGAAAATGCAGAAATCACCCAGCTTGTGCGTTGGTCTTGCTGGGAGCTGCAGACAGGAGCTGTTGCTATTCAGCCATCTTGCCCCTATTGTAGATTTCAACCACAGAATTTCATTCTGGTTCTTTTTTATAATGTCTGTATCTCATGGTATTTTCTAATTGGTAAAGCATCATTCTCATAGGTTCCCTTAGATTTTTAGACAAAGTTCCCTTCTCTTCTTTGGACATAATCAAGGTGACTGATTTAAATCCTTGTCTATTAAGTTCAACATCCGGGCTTCTTCAGAGACAGTTTCTATTTACTCCTTCTTTCTGTGTATTAGACATTTTTTTTTATATAATTTGTGATCTTCTATGAAAAGTAAGATTCAGTAATTTTCCTTGAATAAATAATCCTTGAATTGCTGTAAGCCTTTGGTTAATTCCCAGATATCTGAAAAAGTTTATTGATTCTAACAAGTGTTTCCAGTGTTTTTGTTGCCTTTACAGATAACAAGAATTTGTCAGTCCTTTACTTTGCTATATTTACTGATAGTATTTCCAAAATATTATTATAATTGAGCTTAAATAATTTAGACAGGTTATATAAATGCAATGATCACTTTACTTACCCATATTAATACCTGACCTGCTTGTGAAGATTTTAACTGTATAAACATTGTGTCTATTTATGAATGCACAATTTCTAGGTCAAAATGTGGAATTTATTTTTCTTTTTGAGATGGAGTCTTGCTCTGTTGCCCAGGCTGGAGTGCAATGGGGCACGATCTCGGCTCACTGCCAACCTCTTCCTCCCAGGTTCAAGCAATTCTCCTGCCTCTGCCTCCCGAGTAGCTGGGACTACAGGTGTGCACCACCATGCCTGGCTAATTTTTGTAAAATGTGGAATTATTAACCTGTTAATTTATTATCCAAAATACTATGAAAATGCCCACCTAATCATATACCTACTCAAATATAATTTTATATTGTTTTACATCTTTGTTAATTTGAAAATTTTTAAATGCTTGCATGCTTGGTTAAATTTGTATTTATAACAAGGAAGATTAAATTTTTATGTATTAATATTGATTGTGTTTCTTCTTGTATCGTTTGACCATATACTTTGCCCTTTTTCCCTGCAGTCCTATTTTTTGTTTATTATAGTTGGATTATATCAGATTACAAGTAGCAAATTCCCTATACATACCAAGGATTTATTGAATGACTGCATGAGAAATGTTTAAGAAACTTTATAATTTTTGAAACCTTGAATTTTGAACAATGTTCAAGGTATTATAGAGGCTCTAGTTATACAAAAAGCAGATCTGATGCCTCAATAGTATCTGTAGTAGATTCATCTACTCATGACCTAATGCTTTCATTATTTAGCACTTTATCCATATTTTATCTTCCTATCCTGTTCTTTACTTACTCTCTCGGCCCTTTTCTAATACAAGTCTTCTGCTTTCTCGTGGATTCTAGTGTTGTTTCTATTTGATATTTTTATCATTTTGTGTTCTCTGCAACTGCCCATTTATTTCATTTAATTGTTACTCAAACTCACCAAAGCTTATTTTGTAAGACTACAACTCACTGAATTAATTTTGTCTATTACAAAAAGATTTTATGCATGTCCATCTCATATAAGTTGTTGACTATTATAAATAGCTGCATATGGTAAGATGTCCATTATAAATACTGCATATGGTAATATGTCCATAAACAGGTGTTTTTTTACACCACTATGGTATGGTGAAGTTAAGTTGCAAAAGAAAAAAATAAAATAAAATAAAATAAACTTTCAAATGTGAGTAATAAGCCAAATTGATGAACTGAGATTTTTCATAAAACTTCATCTTTCACAGCATATCTGATATTAATATTTTATTTTCATGAGAACTTACAAAAGAACACACTTAAATTAATAATCTTGTATACTTCACTTATATTATTCTGGTGAATAACAAATTACCACAAGCTCACTTTTCTTTTATATTACATACTACTATTTCATACTTTTTTTCTCTTTGGAGAAGTATAATATTTAATCTGTATATTTTCTATTGACGTGTGTTCAAATTCACTAAGTATATCTGCTTCCAGTAAAGTCTCTGTACATTTGATTGCCGCTTCTATCTCAGTAGTATCTTTCCTTTATTATTTCTTTAATTTTTACTAACACTTTATTAGTTAGTGTGGCGGTGGAAATTGTAAGGGGAAGTATCTGTTGTTTTGAGTATGCACCAGACTTAGATATTTACCTTGTTCCTGTTTACTTTTAACTTACCTAAATCAGGCTTTTGTAACCATCAACACTCTCCCAAACTGCACATAACAAATACTTTCATTTGCAAAATCTAGTAGTGAAGTTCAAATCCTGCTTAAAATATCAGCTGCACCAAACATAACATAATACTCTCTTACAAGATGCGTTCTATGCTTGGTTTCCAAGACTTTACATTTGCATCTTTGTTTTATTTTTTTCCTGGTTGCTTTTTCTCAGTCTCCTTTGGAGGGTGGTTTTCATCTGTAAATTCTATTAACACTAGCGTGTCCGAGAATTCTGCTCTTGATCTCTCAACCTTTAAATCTGTAGAAATTGCATAAATTCCTTAAGTTATTCCTTAAATTATGTCAGTTAATAACTTATAAGCATGTATGTACTGATAATCCCTAAATTTATATTTCTAAGTCAGGCATCTGTCTTGGAATCTAGACTTACATATTCAACTGACTACTTGATATTTTTCAATGAGTGTCTAGTATGCTTCTAAAATTTAATTTTCTACTATACTTAAAAACACACAACAGTGTAGGTAAAACATACAACAGTGTCTGATAAAGTTATTTTATCCTCCAGTAAGCTCCAACTATGTCTGCTCTTCCTGCATCCTGCTCTATGGCAATTTCCTCATTCATTTTAAATATATATGTATATATTCTATTACATATTCTAGTATATATTCTAATATACATATAAAACTTTCTTTTTTCTTTCAGTAACAAATATATTTCAATTAGTTCTGTTGGACTTGAAAGCAGAATACATTAACTTTTCACTATTTCTATTGCTACCATTCTGTTCAAAGTCATCAATATATTGGTCATAATTTTTCTATTGGCTTCTCATTGTCTTCCTGATTCCACCCTTAATCTTCCTTAGTCTATTGTCATGAAAGCAGTTATACTGATTTTATTAAAATGTAAGCTAGATCATATTGCTGTCATGCTCACAACTCTTTAGTTGCTCTCTTTCTTACTGAGAAAAGCAAATTAAAGTTATTGTTATCCTCTAGCTCCTGCATACTTTAGTTTCCATTGTTTATCTGACCTCATCTTCTGCTACTCTATTCTTTCACATTATTCCATGGAGAGTTGCCTCCTCCTAATTTCTGCAACCATACTTGCTCCGTCTTCAGAGCCTTTGTACTTGATACTCTCAAATATCAACAGTGCTTAATCTCTTTCTTAAATACTTTAACTCAAAGATTATTTTCTCAAAAAAAGCTTTTATGGTCAGCCAGCAAAAATTTCAGCCTCTACTTGATGATATCATGTATCCATATGAAATCTCAAGTGTTTCTGTTTGCCAGTTGCTATGCTCAGATTTTCTATTTACCTTATTTGGTAATCATTGCATCATTAGAAAACTGGATGAGTGTAGGAATTTGTTTATCTAGTTTATTGCTGTTTCTCTAGCACATAAAACAGAGGCTGATCTATAATTGAAATCCAATAAATATTTTATACGAATTAGTGTATTTTACTCTATGACCCAATATGGCATTGTCAATTTTTTACAATTAGGGTCTCCTTCATAACCATAACAAATGTCTTTCTACTTAGTTGTTTATGGTGGGCACTTTTCCCTTCCTCTTTGTGTTGCTGTAGAAATCAGGCATGATGTGTGCTCTTCCACCACAGTGAAAGTTAAGAGTGGCAGACTCTACTTCTTGCAAGGGGCAAGCCTAAATATAGAAGGAATAATTTTAATTTTGAGAGGGTTATTAAATAATATATTGTGATCATAATTATATGTAAGCCAAATCCTCCAGTCCTCCTTTATCAATTCTAAAGCTATTACTTTTATCAATACTTGTTCTATACTTTTGTCTCTCAATAAGTCTAGAATTTTCAAGTGGAAGATCAGCGCTTAATGTTGACACTTGAAGTTTAAAATCCATTGACAAATACTGGAAACAGATATGGACTGGCATTTCCTGAGCAAAATAGCATGTCGTACACCACCAAGTATACAGCTTTGATTTTTAGTGCTCTTGTAAATTTGACTTTTGTTGTATTTGTACCTCAGTAGTTTTTTGAGATTTATATTGAGAGTGAATTTTTATTACTGTAGATGTAATCTGTGGGGTACAAACAACATTCTTTGTAAGACCCTCTGACTTAACCAGAACTTACTGTAGATATATGTCCTTTCAATAAACAATTATGGTTGAGACAAAGATTATCAATAAGGAAAAAAACATGTTATTACTTAGTAAAATTCACCTCAAAATATGAAGGAATTGTATATACAAGATTTCTAGGAAGCAATAGAAGAGAAAAAAATTTTTGTTTTTATTTTTAATTTTTTGATGCCTTCTTTCCCTCATCCATATCTTTAGTATGTGATTTTAACCTGCAAAGGCAGTTAAATTCCATGAGCCTACACAGCATTCAGTTGTGTGTTTTGTGCTGTGCAAAGGTAAGCAGTGTTAGAATAACTGTTTGAAATTCTGTTCCAATATATGATATTTTAATCCATAATTAGGGAAAAACGGTGGAAGTATTAATTATTGGAATCATGTGCTTGTCTTTAACACACTAAATCCCACTTGCAACCATTATGGCATCAGAAAATCAGAGTGACTTCTCCATTAGAAAGGTCATTAAATTTCTTTATTCAGTCATTAAAATGAATGATGTATCATATTATAAAAAGTATATGCTGTCCTTATGAGTTAAGATTGAAAAATCAAATAAATTGTTTTAAGTGCAAAATTTAAGTCAGCGCTATAAATTAAAAGCTAATGTTCCTTTTTTAGAAATAAATTTTGCCCATAAAATCAACCATATTGGTTTATAAAAATACATTTCTCTCTTAATATTGAAGTAGGAGTAATCAAAATGTTCTTTATTTCTCAATTTGTCCTTAAAGGAGAGCTTTATATGTTACCCTTCTTAAACATTATCACTAGTTAACATACCTTCTTCAGAGACGAAGCTTCATAGATAATTGGATTTTGTCTTGTAAAATAAATGGAAGATAAATGTTACCTATCGTCTTTTATCTCTGAACCTTCCTAACTAGTTGAACATTCCCTGGCTTGATTTTGATGCAAACAAGCCCAACTTCTATTTCTTCTTAATCTCCAGGGTTATAAGGAATGTTGTCCTTTTCTGATATTTTCTAAGGTGTAAGTTATTAGCAAACCTAGTCAGCCGTGATATGTTATTCAGTGATTAGAAAAGCAAACCCATTACAGTGTTAAACTATTTTGGTGGCTGAGACTGGTTTACTTGAATGTCAGTTTCAAGTTTTGCAAAACTTTAAAAAGGTCCTGATTAAAGAAAAAAAAAAAGCTTCACTAAGTTAGTAAATAGATCATCATGTTTTCTAACAAGCAGAGATTTGGTTTAAGATTCTTATCAGTTTGTTCTCTGGAAGACCGCACAAATCTGAACCCATAAGTGACTATGCAGTAGTGACAGATAAGGAAAATGTAGGAAACTCCGAGATAACCAACCTAAAAGCCCTTGATTAATTACATCTGTGTTCCCACTCTACTTGTATTCTCTACGATAGCTGCTAAAGCTAATAAATTTCTTCTTGCTTTAGGTGTAAGAGAACTAAGACGTTGTTTTCTTTCTGGGAAATTTCAATAGTAAAATTCTATGAGTCGGAGGGAAGCAGCAAGGCCTTAAATAGACTGCTTAGGTCATCATCCAAAACAGTGTCAAAAACCCATATTTTCATGTAATACTTCTAAATGTAAACTACATTACTTCAGATTACCTTTCAAATAATAAAGTTTTTCTGTTCTAAATATAATCATTCTTTTCTCTAATGCACATTATTAAGGAATCATTGTTTGTAAAGTTTTACAGTCTACAGAGTCACTTCATATCCCTATTCTACAGGGGAAAAATTGCATTATAAAACAAGTCATGGGCCTTCAGTTTTCTTTTGTTTTACTTTCCAAGCAGTTCCACAACATATTGTATCTACGTTCACATAGAACTTACAATTTTTTCCCGTTATTTATAATAGTATGACAGGTTTTCATGTATTATAGCTCTGTGGAGGTGTTATGTTTTCTTCTAGCCAAAGTCATTTGCTTGATTCAATACTGATGAACTTAAAAACGTCTATTGTGTATTGGTGTTTCTCAATAGGAGAGGGTTTGGCATTTTAAGTGAGACAATTCTTTATATAGAAATATCCCTTTTGTTGTAAAAGGACTATTTTTCCAAACACTTACCCTGACATTTTATTAGCATACCTGTGTAATTAAAACATCTAAAATAGGTTTCCATTTTTTTTCTATATGACCTTCAGGAGAATGATGCCATCATTGCTTGAAATCACTGCATCTGAAAAGGCTTTTGTTAACGTTCAACATCAATTCATGTTAAAAACTCTCAATAAACAAGGTAGTGAAGAAACATACCTGAAAATAATGAGTCATGTATGACAAACCCACAGCCAACATCATACTGAATGGAAAAAAGCTAGAAACATTCCCTTTGAAAACCAGCACAAGACCAGGATGCCCTCTCTCACCACTCTTATTCAAAATAGTATTAGAAGTCCTTGCCAGGACAGTCCAAAGAGAAAGAGAGGAAGTCAAATTATCTCTATTTGTAGATGACATAATTCTATAGAAAACCCCATACTCTTGGTGCAAGAGTCCCTCCAGCTGATAAACTTCAGCAAACTTGCAGGATATAAAATCAATGTGCAAAAATTACTACAATTCCTATACACCAACAATAGCCAAACCAAGGACCAAATCAGGAAGGCAATCCCATTCACAATTTTCACAAAAAGAATAAAATACCTAAGAATACAGCTAACCAGGGAGGTGAAATATTTCTACTATGAGAATTACAAATCACTGCTGAAAGAAATCAGAGATTACACACACACAAAAAAATGGAAAAACATTTTATGATCATGGATAGGAAGAATCAATACTGTGAAAACGGCCAGACTGCCCAAAGCAATTTATAGACTCAATGCTATTCCCATTAAATTACCATTAAGATTCTTCACAGAACTAGAAAAAACAGTTTTAAAATTCATACAGCCCAAACAGCCAAGGCAATCAACAAAAGCAAAAATTGACCAATGAAATCTAATTAAAGAACAAAATAAACTATCAGCAAGAGTAAGCAGATAATCTACAGAATGGGAGAAAATTTTTGCAAACTATGCATCTGATAAAGGTTTAATATCCAGAGTCTACAAAGAACTTAAACAAATTTATAAGAAAAAACAAATAACCCTGTCAAAAAACAAGCAAAAGACATGAACAGATATTTCTCAAAAGACATACATGCAGCCAATAATCATAATAATCATATAAAAAAGCTCAACATCACTAATCATTAGAGAAATCCAAATCAAGACCACAATGAGATACCATCTCACACCAGTCAGAATGGCTGTTTTAAAAAATCAAAAAATATCAGATTCTGCTGAGGTTGTGGAAAAAAAAGACATTTACACACTATTACTGGGAGTGTAAAGTAGTTCAACCATTGTAGAAGACAGTGTGGCAATTTCTCAAAGACCTAAAGACAGAAATACCATTCGTCCCAGCAATCTCATTACTGGGTCTCTAGTCAAAGAAATACAAATAATTCTATTTTTAAAAACACACACATGAATATGTTCATTGCATCACTATTCCCAATAGCAAGTACATGGAATCAACCTAAATGCCCATCAATGGTAGACAAGATGAAAAAATAATGTGGTACATATGCACCATGGAATACTATGCCACCTTTAAAAAAAACAGATAATATCCTTTGCAGAGACATGGATGGGGCTAGAAGCCATTATTCTCAGCAAACTAAAGCAGGGACGAAAAATAAATACTGCATGTTCTCACTTACAAGTTAGAGATAAACAATGAGAACACATGGATGCCTAGAAGGGAACAACACACACTGAGGCTACCAGAGGGTGGAGGGTGGGGGAAAGGAGAGGATCAGGAAAAATAATTAATGGGTACTGGGCTTAATAGGATGATAAAATAATCTGTACAACCAACCCCATGACACAAATTGTCTATGTAATAAGCCTGCACATGTACCCCTGAATTTAAAATAAAAGTTAAAAAAGAAAGAAAGAAACCACTGCATCTAAGCACAAACGAAATTACAAGACCAAGCCCTCTTCCTACACATGCTTCAAAATCCATATATTGCTAACAGATCCTAGAGATAATATTTGCAATAAAATATTATAAAAGTAACTACTATATTTTGCAACACACAAATATGCTGTCTGCTTGGATTTGTACTCTTCTTACTCAAATTTGAAAATCTTGCTTCGAACTGGAAACCTATGAAATAACAGGTAAAAACCAAAGTTGCTTTTCCATGAGAATCCACTTACAAGGAAATAATGTCACTAAAATTAAGAGGAAGAATTTCTGAGACATGTGAGGGAATATTGACAAGTAAATTTGACAAATTAAACTTTTAGATAAATTTTTTTTTATTCTAAAACATAATCATAAAAATGTGGGTACATGAGGGCTAAGTTGAAATGCAGAATTTTGTTGTGTTTGGTTTGGTTTTATTCCTTTAGCAAAATAAATCTTAATAATCTTCTTTCTTTTCTCTCTTATAAATGCTGGGTTATTTGAGAAATTACTATTTTTTTTTCTTCTTTTATACTATTAACGTTTTGGCAAATCAGTTTGGGATACAAATAGGTTGAAAGAGAATTAAAATAATTGACAAAACCATTTATTCAAAATTCCACATAATTTATTAGTATTAATTAGAATCATTTTTATTATGTAAAACAGTGAAATTAGTATTAGTAAAAGAACATACAACTTGACTTTATCATAAACATATCATTAGCTTTAGACACCCGAATGCATCTTTGATTAAGCAGAAAATCTATAGACTTTTGATTCCTCAGGAAAATAATGGGTTTATATTTTACAATGTTTCAGAATAGTATTGTCTTATCTATGGGAGCATGTAAGAAGTCTTTTTTTTTTTTTTTTTTTTTCAAGACGGAGTCTCACTGTCTTCAGGCTGGAGTGCAATGGTGTGATCTTGGCTCACTGCAACCTCTGCCTCCTGGGTTCAAGCGATTCTCCTGCCTCAGCCTCCTGAGTAGCTGGGACTACAGGCACCTGCTACCACGCCCGGCTAATTTTTATATTTTTAGTAAAGACGGGGTTTCACCATGTTGGCCAGAATGGTCTTGAACTCCTGACTTCAGGTGATCCTCACGCCTCGGCCTCCCAAAGTGCTGGGATTACGGGTATAAGAAGTCTTAAAAGAAGACTTCTAAATTATTAATCAAAAAGAATATGAGGCATCTTCATATATTTTTTTTTTGACAGACTCTTGCTCTGTCGCCCACGCTGTAGGGCAGTGGTGGAATCTCGGCTCACTGCAACCTCCGCCTCCGGGGTTCAAGAGATTCTTCCGCCTCAGCCACGGGAGTAGCTGGGGTTACAGGCGTGCACTATCACACGAGGCTAATGTTTAGCAGAGTCAGGGTTTCACCATGTTGGCCAGGCTGATCTGCCACTCCTGGCCTCAAGTGATTTGTCGGCCTCAGCCTCCCAAAGTGCTGAGATTACAGCAGGTGTGAGCCATCTGCCTGGCCTAACTTCATTATTTTATCTAAAATTTATTGAACACCTTCTATATCCAAGGCATTATCTAACACTTTTAAAAATCTATTTTTATTATTATTTCTATCATCTGTCTAAAAGTTTCTTATTTAACCTTAAGAACAACAATTGAAGGTATCAATTATTTCTCTATTCACAGAGCAGAAAATTGAGGTATAGAAAAACAAATAACTTTTCAAATATCAGAAAAATAGTACGCTTCCAAGCTAATACTTCTGTGTAGATTTGTATGGTTTTAAGTATTTTTAAGCAATATATTATTAAATTTAAGCATACAGTTGACACAATAAATACATTATTGAGGGCCTTGGGTTCTAGGAAACGGATTGGCATTAGTTATCTGTCAGTTGTTTTGTATAGACAATCATGAAAAGTTTTGCTTCTCTACTTTCTTATTTTTGTGATCTTCTTTATACAATATCAGAATTTCCTGAATCATTGAAATGGAAGAAAAGAGAAGATTTATTCTTACTTAATAAATTAATTTCTAATGATTCTCATTACAATTTATGTACGCTTATTGTATGTAACTTGGGCAGCTTTTTGAAAGTGTAAGTTGAAAATCACTTAATGTCATTGAGTTATTATCCCTGTATTTATATTGCTAAACACACTTCCAGAAAAGAGGTTACAAAACCACACACCTCTGCACACCTCTGGCAAGGTATGTAGAGTATGTGGAACACCCTCTCTCTATTTTTTTTTTTTTGAGACGGAGTCTCACTCTGTCGCCCAGGCTGGAGTGCAGTGGCACCATCTAGGCTCACTGCAAGCTCCGCCTCCCGGATTTACGCCATTCCCCTACATCAGGGTCCCCAGTAACTGGGACTACAGGCGCCCACCACCTCGCCCTGCTGATTTTTTAGTAGAGACGGGGTTTCACCGTATTAGCCAGGATTGTCTTGATCTCCTGACCTCGTGATCTGCCCCCCTTGGCTTCCCAAAGAGCTGAGATTACAGGCGTGAGCCACCGCGCCCGGCCCCTTTTTTTAATAAATAATTTTCACAACATCACACGAAATTAGAAGTGTTTGATATTGCATTACAGTGAACTATAATAAATATATTGTAATTTTTAAGGCATGTGAGTAAAAATTTTTGAGGTTGTCCTTTTGTAAAACATATCCAGAACTCGATCATTTCAAACACTGTTGGAATTCATGCTAAGATTTTATTGAATTGAAATCTTTGTGTTGTAAAATAAAAACTTTTTTTCAAAGATTACCAAACATGAGAAGTTAAAGGTTTCACTAACTAAAGACATTCTAAATTAAAGAATCCCTGTGTCACTGTAATGAAACCATTTTAAACATTTTGAATTTTTTAGAGATATTAGAAATAATCAAGTTTCAAAAGCCAAAAAAAATTATGCAAATATATATATCAGTCTATCTGCCCAATTATGAGTCATTTGTATGCAAGAATAAATATTTTTCAAGAATCTTTTACAAATCTTTCATGTAACATTTTTGGAAAAGCATTGTGTTATACTTTCAGAGTATTAGTATTTTGTACTTTAATTTGTCCAAACATGAATTTAAGAATGAAGACCATAAAATTACAAAATTATCATCAATTTTACTTAGTAATTTTTTAATGTAACTGAAATATTATAAAACTATAAATTATTTCATATAATGATTTTGATGCTCATTAACTTATTTATATTTTCTTTTGGATTAAAAGTATACTTGACTTTATTTGATATTAATGAATATTTATAAATACAAATGTACCTAATTGAACTACTTTAAGTCCTTAATCCTTTTTTCCCAGGTCTTAGCCTGACAAATAGTTATGTACATGAAATAACTCTAGGATCTTTGTCATCCTAGTTAAATTTGCATTCAGCAAACAACGTTTGGGCCTATACAAAGACGTAGAATATGAAAGCTATTATGAGAAAAATAGAAAACACTATTTTATAGTAAACAGATTCATCAAAGCCTCCAAGATAAAGTAATATAATAGACCATAATATATATTTATTTATAAAATTATATTATAAATAGCATATCTAATATATAATTTATATAATGTAACATTTATATTAAAATTACATAATAAAATTATTTTAATTATGTTTTTCAAATTTTGATTACAAATAATATATTTGCTTCTGTAACCAAACATATTTTTCAGATTTATTTTTATATACATGCTTATCAGATTGGTTTCTTATGACTAAGAAAAATAAGAAATTTGGCTAGAATTATTAACTTTAAATTAAAAATAAAACATCACTTACAAATAGTTTCAAAATTCTTTTAAATAATGTTATTTTTCCTAGTAAGTAGCACCTAAATATTACTGGCTAAAATTATTATCAAAAATAAAATATAGCTCATAAGCAGATTGATTTTTAATACCTTGTTACTTTTGTCAACGTTCCTAGTAGAATAAATTGTACAAAAATTAGAATACAATTTGAAAAAATATGAAAAGCGATGTAACATACATCTAATTAGGCAATAGTTTAAGAGCTATTGCTAGAAGCTATGAGTTAATATACAATGTCTTATTTCAGTTTCATATTTTTTTATGTAACTTAGACTAGTATTGATCAAAAACATACTTATAGATCAGTGTTGCTGTAAATTTATTTCTTACAAAGGTTGGTTAATGAAAATAATTAAATTTGAATAGAGATAGGAAATCAGAAAAAGTATTATAATCAATGATAAATTTCCTGATTTTGATAATTTTATTTTGGTCGTTTTAAAAAAGGAGGTTTTTGTTCTTAAGAAATGCTAACTGAAATATTTAGGTACAAATAAACAAAAATTTATAATTTTGCTATCAAATTTCTTAAAAGCAGAATGTTTGACAGAGCAAACCATTTGGAATAAAAAGCAAACAGTGTTTGGATCTGGGAAAAGGGTTCAGAGCAGTTTCTTGTAGTATACTATGTAGTAGTGTATTTATAGATTTTTCTTTATGTTTGAAATAATGTCTCCCAAAAACGTTTAAAAATCTAGTCAGAGATGAAGAGAAACACAAATACTACTAATATCACAGATTCAGAAGTCAAAGATTTATTTGCAAAAAACAGGTGAAGACTTTTGAAGAAGTGTTAACAATATAATTGACATTTTGAAGGTCAGTTTATAACAAATGAGACTATACAGATGGGGAAATACACACCATCTTGTGCTTGCATTAAGATACTTTGAAGCAATATATTAAAAGTTGGTGTTTAAAAACACAAACTGTGGAACTAGACTATTGTGGAACTAGACTATCTGTGTTCTAATTCATGTTTTGATTTTTAGAAGCTGCGTACCTATACAAATTATGGAAAAGTTCTTTCAGTCCCTAAATCTGTAAAATTAGAGCAATAAAAAAAATCTAGTTTTTTTTTGTTATGAGAGTTAAGTAAATAAATACGTAAAATATTTAGAAAAATATGTAGTACAAACAGTAGTAGTTATTATTAAACTTGTAAAACTTGAATATTTTCTTTTTTTTCAAACAGAGTCTCACTCTTGTCACCCAGGCTAGAGTGCAATGGCGTGACCTCGGCTCAGCTCACTGTTAACCTTCACTTGCCGAGTTCAAGTGATTCTCCGGCCTGAGCCTCCCGAGTAGTTGGGATTACAGGTGCCCATCACCATACCTAGCTATCTTTTTTTTTTTTTTCTGTATTTTTAGTAGAGACAGTGTTTCACTGTGTTGGTCAGGCTCGTCTTGAACTCCTGATCTCAGGTAATCTGCCCACCTCGGATGCCCAAAGGGCTGGGATTAAAGGTGTGAGCCACCATGACCAGCCCAACTTGAATATTCCCTTAAAGGAAAATTTATATAGTGAATATTTTCTTCAAAAGATGTTTTATAGAACTTACCTACAACCTCTACCATAGTAAAGTGTCTCTCTTTGTAGCATTCTCTACCAAGAAGATAGTTGCAATATGGTCAGAGATATTATATGAAAGTAATATTTTCATTATCAATAAAGTCATTCAACTGTTTGTTCATTTATTGAGTGATCCATTATCTTGCCATCTAAAAAAGAAGATTTTTATATAAAAATTGTATTAGTTCATTTTCACATTGCTATAAAGATACTTCCTAGGACTGCATAATTTAAACAAAAGAGGTTTAATTAACTCACAGCTCTGCATGACTGGGAAGGCCTCAGGAAACTCATAATCATGATGGAAGGTGAAAGGGAAGAAGGTGCCTTCTTCACAAGGTGGCAGGAGAGAGAGAGAGAGAGAGAAGGAGGAAGTAGCAGACACTTATCAAACAACCAGATCTTGAAAGAACTCACTCTCTATATGAGAACAGCATGGGGGAAACAGTCCCCATGATCCAATCACCTTCCACCAGGTTTCTCCCTTAACACATGGGGATTACAATTTAAGATGAGATTTGGGTGGGGACACAGAGCCAAACCATATCAGAAATACCTAAAATAAAAGATACTGTATATAGATTCTCTATGTATTAATTTCACCAAAGCAAAGTTAAAGATGTTTTGTGAAAGATCTTGAGAAGGCTAAGTAGAGAAGACTTAACGGAGAAGATATTTAAGGTGTGTCTTGAAGTGCAGGGTTTTCATAAATTGAGATGGAATTGAAAATCACGCCACATTAGATTGTTTTCCACAAACAGAAGTATCTAGCTGAGAATGTGATTCTCCAAACTACAATAATATTAAAATGATTTTTCTTTTTAAATAAGTTTGGCTGTATTTTATTTCATGTTTCTTTTATAGTCTATTGATCATTAGATTTGTTTTGTTTTGATTTATTTTGTTCCTCTCTTCTGCCACGTTGTGAAGAAGGTGCCCTTTCTCTTTCACCTTCTGCCATGATTGTAGTTTCCTGAGGCCCCTCTAGCCATGCAGAACTGTGAGTTAATTAAACTTTTGTTTAAATTACCCAGTCTCAGGTAGTATCTTTATAGCAGTGTGACAATGAACTAATACAATTCCTAGAATTATAGATATTTAGAAATGAAGATCTCAAGTCTAGTGAAGTTACTTAATGTTAGAATTCATCCAGTGGTGTGGCAGGCCACAAGACCAATGATAGGGAATGCCAGTTCTGAGTTAATGCCATCTAGCAGAGATAATCCCAACACTAAGTGATAAAAAAACAGTTGGCTACAGGAAATATAAAGTGTCTCAGGATAAATTTAACAAGGAACATGACCAAGAAATATGACCTCTATAAACATGCTGTAAAAGTTTATAAGTGATATAAAAGAAGATTTGAATTAATGGAGAGATATATCATATCCTTGAATGAGGAGGCCACATAATATGAAGATGGCTAACTGGGGTTCAATATACTCTAATCTAAACCACAGAGGATTTTATTCCTAAAATTCTCCAAAATCTTTCCATAGTTCATGTAGAAAAGAAGGTAGAACAGCTATTTAATTTGAACAATAAGAATGATTTTTGGAAAATTTGTATGATATATTAAATATTAAGTTTAACTGAGATAAAAATGCAGTATTAAGACGTGAATAAACAGAACAACACACACAAAATTTGCACTGTTAATTTAGGAATTTAACTTAAGAAAACATAAAATGTATGTTTACAGTAACAACTCACAATGGAGTGTTTGAATAGGTGTAGCAACTTTGGAAATAAGTGATTAGATAAACACCTTGCCATATACTGCACATGTATGTGTATGTATATGTGTTTCTATTACTATAACTTTATCTAAAGAATAGACCACAACATATGAATAAGCTGCAAAATATTACATATAAAAATATGTATGCTTAATTGTGTAGACAGAGTTAATAGTCTCAGATAAAAATTATCATAATTATGTAGAAAATACTCATAATCTGAATTATGTAAAATTTTTATCTTGGAATATTAAAATTACAAGTCATAGAGAAAATATTTGAAAAAACATAAACATAAATATAAATATTATACATAATAAATATAATACAACATAAAGAATATTTAATTTATTGTTCATATAAACTGTCCAAGCATATTTTCTTAAAAATTCAATAATCCTATAATAGGGAGATAAGAAAAATATAAATTCATAAGAAAAAATAAACACCTGACTTATACTATTTCATTGCCTACTAAATTACTCACATTTGAAAAATCTAAATAACCAATGTTAGTGAAGATCTTTTGAAACTGTTACTTTTAAAAGAGGTAGCACTATAAGGTGAAAATGTGTTCATAGCTTTTAACTCATTCACCTGATTTTTGGAAACCGATTAAAGACAACTAGACTACAATGCAGTATAAATAATATTGTGATGATCATCATTCTGGTATTATATTCTGACATTATCTTCAAATTATATAGAATGTTAAAGTGGGACTATAAAAAAAATCAAGAATCTTTCTACTGATCCAAATACATGTAATAGTTAAAAATAAGGTTACTAAAACAATGAGAACTCAGCAATGTTTATGAAAGATATTTCGTATGTGCGTATGTGAGGGTTACTTACAGATAATAACATAAAAATGTAATAAAATTTCTTAATTTATTTGAACTTTAGTGTCTTGGCCTCCAAAAACCTAACAAGATTTTTGAGAGCACAAAATACGAAAGAAAAAATGTTTAAGGGACAGTGTAGTCCTATAACACATGAAAAGCACATACAAAGCACCCAGTGGAAAGTCTATAGCAAAAGAAAAAAGAAACTTTTCTTCCCCTCACTTATTCTTTTCATTAGGAAGCACACATCTTATACTTTTCCATATCAGTGTAGACTCAAATAGGAGTAATATTTTAAACATTTTTTCTGATTTGAATAGTATGTATAGAGTTACACTGCAGTTATACACTTTAATCAACCAAGAAAATGTAGCTCTTTAATTTTTCTATAACAGATAATAAATTATTTATCTGTTTTATAATAGGGAAATTCAATTTGCCAATAAACCATATACCAATCTCTTCATGGTTGAGATTCTTCTGTTGCATTTTAAATGTGCTTTTTATTTTTTTATTTTTGTTTTTTATTATTGTACTTTAAGTTTTAGGGTACATGTGCACAATATGCAGGTTAGTTACATATGTATACATGTGACATGCTGGTGCGCTGCACCCACTTACTCGTCATCTAGCATTAGGTATATCTCCCAATGCTATCCCTCCCCCCTCCCCACACCCCACAACAGTCCCCAGAGTGTGATGTTCCCCCTCCTGTGTCCATGTGTTCCCATTGTTCAATTCCCACCTATGAGTGAGAATATGCGGTGTTTGGTTTTTTGTTCTTGCGATAGTTTACTGAGAATGATGATTTCCAATTTCATCCATGTCCCTACAAAGGACATGAACTCATCATTTTTTATGGCTGTGTAGTATTCCATGGTGTATATGTGCCACATTTTCTTAATCCAGTCTATCATTGTTGGATATTTGGGTTGGTTCCAAGTCTTTGCTATTGTGAATAGTGCCGCAAAAAACATACGTGTGCATGTGTCTTAAACAACCCCATCAAAAAGTGGGCAAAGGACATGAACAGACACTTCTCAAAAGAAGACATTTATGCTGCCAAAAAACACATGAAAAAATGCTCACCATCACTGGCCATCAGAGAAATGCAAATTGAAACCACAATGAGATATCATCTCATAACAGTTAGAATGGCAATCATTAAAAAGTCAGGAAACAACAGGTGCTGGAGAGGATGTGGAGAAATAGGAACACTTTTACACTGTTGGTGGGACTGTAAACTAGTTCAACCATTGTGGAAGTCAGTGTGGCGATTCCTCAGGGATCTAGAACTAGAAATACCATTTGACCCAACCATCCCATTACTGGGTATATACCTAAATGTGCTTTTTAGTTAATTTCCATCTTTCTAAAATCTTTCCATCCCCACTTGCCAACTGCCCTGCCCAGAGTTGTAGCTGAGAGTAGGAGACTTACATGAGTATGATTAATGATGGCAGCCAGGGAGCTTGCAGATCTGCCTCAGAAACTCTTGCTCCTCTATGGCTATTGTTGACTTCTCCGTTCTCTCATGGTGTCACTTTCCACAGTATCACTTTTCAGCTCACAGAGATTTTGGCTTGTAAACTGTTAAGCATTTTCTTTTTGAGTGTTAGAAATCAATTGTTTTTTCTATTTACTCAGATCTGTCTCGCCCCTCAGCAAAACTGCCAATTCCTGAAGGCATCACCAATAACGTCACTGGAAACCCATGGTGTGGTTTCTGTCCTATAGCCTTCAGCACCCGAGTCACTTTGACCTCAGCAGTAAGTCAAAACAATAGTGAAAGTCCCTCGTAAGCTGGCAGCACAATCCACATCCTGTCTCCTCAGATAGCAGCTAGGAGTTTGTGGATATCTCCATTCAGCTCCTCCTTGGACACTACTAAATGCCTCCCTATGCCATGCTGAAAACGCTTTCATTATCAACATTAATACTGCCCCTGAGTTATAGTTGTATCTTGCCTGCATAAACTTTATACATGTCATCTATTTAATGAAGTTTTAAGGTTTTCTTCATAAACTTGCTTGTATTTATAATGTTCTTAGTTAGGAATCTTCTCAAATATACTATGTTTAAAACGGAATTCTACAGACTTTGGAGTCAGACAGGTTTAAACGTAAAAACTGCTCCCAATATTTACCTGAAAAACAAACTTGAGAACCATATAACCACGCAGACCTTTAAATGGCAATATTATTATTTGCTTTGTAAGTCTGATACTAAAATTATTTATAATACTATAAAAAGCTAGTAAGAAGAGATAGTAGATACTAAATAATAGCAACTGTTGTTATTCATATTATTATTTTTATTATTATTATTTTGAGATGGAGTCTTGCTCTGTTGGCCAGATTGGAGTGCAATTGTGCAATCTCTGCTCACTGCAACCTCCACCTCCCATGCTCAAGCGAGTCTCCTTCCTCAGCCTCCCACATAGCTGGGATTACAGGCACCCACCACCACACCCAACAGATTTTTTCATTTTTAGTAGAGACAGGGTTTCACCATGTTGGTTAGGCTGGGCTGGAACTCCTGACCTCAGGTGATTCACCCTCCTCTGCCTCCCAAAGTGCTGGGATTACAGGCGTGAGCCACCGTGCCTGGCCTGTTATTAATATTATTAGTATATGAAATTAGGTTTCCACTTTACTTCTGCAGTAGACATTCTGATTGTCAATTAGAAAGTCCACACGGAATGGATCATGAATAAGTCTATTTGTATTCAGACTTGAGGCAGTCTTGCAATTGGGCACATTCTTTCTTGTAGTTTTTCTTCACTCACTCAAATCCCTTCCCAATGGACTCTGTTACTATTTTAAACTTAACTTTTTGATATGTTCGATTAAACTTTTGATAAGCAATGTAACTTTGAGGTAATCTAATGTTGACCAAATTAAAAGCATTACATATGTGTGTTTCCAAGTGTGTGTATGTGTATGTGTAAGCATAAATTTAGTAGTCTAGTATATCATCTCAACAAAGTTACATCTAAATTTTGTACCTAGAGTATTTAGTAACTAGCAATGGTAATTAATTGACAAACAAAAACTGAGGCATAGCAACAAAGGTAAACAAAACAACATCTCACAGTAAACTAACCTTAAATAAATGAAATAATTTTCTAATTTGTTGAAAACATAATAAGGTATTTAATGTATTATTTTTTTGAATAAAAAGAAGTCATTATATAAAACTCGGCACACAGAAAGAGTTTGCAAAACAACCCAATTTCTTTTTCTTGATTTCTCATTCACTAAGCAGCCTTTTAATAGCAACTTATTTTCCAAGTATCTGAATACTGAGAAGGGAGTGTGCTAATACATTTAAGCTAATATTTAAAGTATTCGAAATGTATAGACCTTGTTATAAATGTGCTAATTTACATTTTCATTTTTAAATCAGAATATTGTAATTCTGAATCACATGAATGTTATGATTTGGCTGTGTCTCCACCCAAATCTCATCTTGAATTGTAGTTCCCATAATCCCCACGTGTGTGGGAGGGACCTGGTGGGAAGTCACTGAATCATTGGGAGTGTTTTACCATGGTGTTCTTGTGATAGTGAATAAGTCTCAAGAGATCTGATGGTTTATAAAGGACAATTCCCCTGCACACACTCTCTTGCCTGTCACCACGTAAGATGTGCCTTTGCTCCTCCTTCGCCTTCCACCATGATTGTGAGACCTCCCCAGCCATGTGGGACTGTGAGTCCATTAAACTTCTTTTTCTTTATAAATTACCCAGTCTTCGATATGTCTTCTTTAGCAGCATGAGAATAGACTAATACAATGAATACATTCTTAAAGACTAAAAGAGGTGACAATTCAATCTGAAAATCTGAAAACCATAGCCTTGTCTTAATGGCAGTACCAAGTGAGTAACTTGAGGGAGTTAGGGAGGCAGGTATTTCAACCCTCCACTGGACTTCAATATTTAATGTAGGCAAATAATATTATCTGACCCTTTTGAAAATAAAGCTGTCTAAATAAGCTTTTTAAAATTTCCTTCCTCTACCTTCTAACATCTCTAAACTTCTCATATAGGGAAAGCCCCAAATCCATTAGTTCACAATGCTTTATCTCTCTCACCTTCTGGGCTCAGAGAGAACATACTGGCATTTTTGAGATATACAGACTATTCTTCTTTCCTGAAAACTGATGGGAAAAGCTAGCTTCTCCATACACTCTTTGTCAGATTTTATTTTTAGAACCAGAGATCTCATTAGTATGACTTATCAAGAGAGACTTGTCTCATCAGAGTTATTAAGCATTAAAATTCTACCTGTCTGTCTAATACATACACCTATTGTTGGCCTATTTGAGATATGTTCAAACAATATAAATTAGAAATCAATACAGAAAGGACTATAGTCAATCCCAGAGCTTGCTGTCCACATTGAATTAAAGTAAATCCAATTCAAAGATTTGATTTATTTTTGCCATCTCCTTCATTCATTAAAATTTTACAACAAGGTAGTAAAATAGTTATTTCCATTTTGCTGACCAGCTATTCTTCTCTCACTTCAGTCAATATTATCTGTTTAATTTGCATAAATATTCTTTAATATTAGATTACATACCATGTATAAAGTTATATGTATTTTAAAAATATGTAGAGTCACAAGCTAAAATTAAATATCCAAGAACATGAAGCAATTCCAGCAATAAATTTCAGCTGAAAAATATGGCTAGATATAATCCTATTTTGGGAAAAAAAAAACCAGAAAACTATCTTAAATTCATGGCGGGATCAACTAAACTGAATGTGTTGAATGATAAGAATCTTAGGAGACTAATCTCCATATTTATAAAAATACCTGAACCTCTTTTCAATTACAAAAGTATGTTAATTAACTTAAATGGAACAATACAATTTTTACATAATTTTAAAGTTGTTGCTTATATTTATAAAACCATTCACTAAAAAGATCACAGCATCCAAGATTCAAAGATATTTTCATAAAAATGATACCATGAAATGTAAGTATAATCTTTATTTCATCTCATGCCATACATTAGTATTACTATTTGTAAAGCATCTCAAAGGTCCTTCAGTTTGCAACTGCATAATCTATGTGAAATTTGAATTTGTCTTATACAAAAATGAAATAGTTCAAGGTTACCAAAGTTATTACACTCATTAAATAAAAAACCTTAAAGGTACATCTCAGAACATTTAATTGAATTTCAGTGAAAGAATTAATTAATAAAGGAGCCAATATATCAATCATGATGGTAAAAAGAAAGGAGACACAATAACCTAATTAATAATACAAGTCAAATATTCATCTTTAGAAGTGAAAAAATATAACTATTGGTTCTGGATTGAATCCAGACACTTTTTAAAAATTTGACAATTTTTACTAGCACATTAAAGCAGTCATTATTTACTGTAAATAAATTTATACATGTGTTTAGTAAGCTTTTTAATTCCAGTGAATGTGTTGTATTCATGCATGTCTTTTGGACAACCTTCAGATCTGCATTAACTAATTATTTCATAGTCTAGGCAATGATTTTCTGGCCAAATCATCAATATGTGCAGTGTTATGTATCAACCTATAAATAACGCAGTTAAAGCTCTTTAGGAATTATGGAGGCAGAACTGTGTGAAGGCTGAAAAGTTGAAATCACCTTGTCCAAACTAGAAGAGGTTGAGGGTTTGATTTTCTATTAGCTAATTAAATGCATTTTTATAATAAAAGAAAAAATAATAAAGCCAAAATAATGGTTTTATTTTCGAAGGTGGAAGAGTATTCTCTTAATGGCTTTAATTAAATTTGAAAATCCAGAAAAAGGCTTTTTACTTCTCGAAAAATTTTTCTTTTTATCTTAATGTTTATTTGATAATTTCATGATATATAGGCATACTTCCATAATTTTACAAAACAAAGCCATAATATGTATATAATGGATATATATGTGAGTATATCATCTATTTAGATACTTTATTCATTTGTCTACACTTACACACATATATAAAGTATATATATAAAGTATACATATATAAAGTATATATTTATATATACTTTATAGTAAGACAATTATTTTCATTTTTGGTCATTTTGTTTGGGTTTTCTCTCTACTTCTCTTTCCCTTCCAGCCTTATCAGGCCCTGGCTCCAACACAAGCTGTCCATGCTAATTTTTAAATATTCTTTTATCCTTATTAGCTTTGAGTAAATTTATTTAATTAGAATAAAGAGTTTTCATAGAAATTCTAAATTCAAATTAATATTGCATCAAGTTTGAAATAATTTTTTATGATATTGTATATTCCAGTTATAATGGCAGCATATTTTATAAATATTTTAATATTTTTATTATGCTTACACATTCAAATTAATTTGGAGACATATCTATACAAATAAACCTATGTATTTTTTTTTTTTTTTGCTTTCTGTATCTTCTTTTATTTTCCCTCAACAGTATCTCTGAAAATCATGCAAAACCACAAGTACAAGGATAGTGTATTTTTATGTCTGCCACTATTTTATGGTATGGAGGACCATGATATGATCCACCATTTTCAAACAACACTGCACTAATGTTACCATAAATGCCTCTTACTATTTTTTTTTTAATTTTAATGCATAGGGGATAGATTTTCAAGGAGTGGAATTACTAGGTTTAAATGTATAGGGATTTTTCAGTCTGTAAAGATTTGCTGTATTCATTTGCTTTTCACCAGCGATGTAGGACTAGTTTTTGCTCACATTTTAATATAGTAGTAGATGCTAAAGATTTTTTATTTTGTGTTTTTTTTTTTGTTTGGTTGTTGTTGTGGATTTTTTGTTGTTGCTGCTTTTTGTTTGTGTTTTTTGCCTTACAGTTTAAGATAAGGAATTATTTTAAACTGAGGTACATTTCGTTGACTAATGTCAGTATGGGCAGTTTTTAAACATAATTTGTTACTTGGATTTGATCTTTTTTAAAATCCCCTACTAAAATATTTACATATATGTATTAGATTTTTTCTTATTATTTTGTAAAAGCTCACTACATATTGTAAATAGTTTATTAATCTTGTGTATTGCTATTTTTTTTTCAAAATCTGTTTACTGCATATTGATGTTATTTATGGGGCCTTTTGCTTTGGAATAAGTTTAATTATGATAGCTTTTCGTGTGTGTGTGTGTGTGCGTGTGTGTGTACACATAGGTTCCCTCTGTCTTTCTAAATGATCCCTCTCTTTAGATACATAATAGATAGATGATAGATACAGAAATATAGGTAGGTAAAGATAAACAGATATATATAGATACATAGAGATCATCTAAGTTACTAAGTTACTAGACTTGATCAAGAATTTCTCCCCTGCTTCTAAATTACACACAGCTTCTTCTAGATGTTTTCGCAATAGATTAACTCTTATTTGCTCACATATGTGTATTTAGACTATCAGGAAAATATTTTTCCACATGATGCAAAATAGAAGTTGTATTTTGCTTTCTTCCGCGTGTATAGCTATTTGTGCAAGCACAATTTATTAAACGATATTTTTTCATTTTTACTTTTCCCATTTAAAATATTAATATTATACTTATGCTGAGATCTATTCTTTAATTATTTGTCATTGATCTACATACCAATTTCTATAACAACACTATACTAATTCTAGAATGCTAGCTTTGTAATACATCCATATTTTTTTGTGACATGCCTTTTTACACTCTTCTTTTTTTTTTTTTTTTTTTTTTGGATGGGTGGGAAATGGAGTCTGACTCTGTTGCCAGGCTGGAGTGCAGTGGCATGATATCAGCTCACTGCAAGTTCCTCCCAAGTTCCTCCCAAGTTCAAGCAACTCTCTGCCTCACCCTCCCGAGTAGCTGTAATTACAAGCTCCCGCCACCACGTCTGGCTAGTTTTTTTTTTTTTTGTATTTTTAGTAGAGACAGGGTTTCACCATCTTGGCCAGGCTGGCCTTGAACTCCTGACCTCGTGATCCATCCACTTCGGCCTCTCAAAGTGCTGGGATTACATGCATGAGCCACTGCACCCGGCCCACTTTTCTTTGTAGAGTTTACAGTGGCTTTGGTAATTCTTCAGGTAGTAGCAGATAACAGGCTACTACCTGAAGTAATCTAGAAGTGAAGAACAAAATTCTTTTTTCCTTTTTAGCCTGAGGTAATTTATTTGATTAAAATAAAAAGTTTTCATAGAGATTCTAAATTCAAATTAATATTGTATCAAATTTAAGATAATTTTTTAATGGTATTGTATATTCCAGTTATAAGGCGGCGTATCTTTCTATTTGATATTGCCTCATTTTATTTAATAAGATTTTACAGTTTTCTTTATCCATTTAGAGTCTTTCTTATATAATTTATTCTTAATTATTTTACAATGATCCCTATGGTAGAGGTACCATTTTATCTAAACTCACTTCCTGGCATTTATTGCTAGATTAGGAAAAAAACACAAAACCTTTTTTTCCCCCTTACATTTATTTATAAACAGTGTATACCTTCTATCTAAAGATATGTCTTGTGGGGGTGGTGCCCAGATGGCCAAACAGGAACAGCTTCAGTCTGCAGCTCCCAGTGTGAATGATGCAGAAGATGGGTGATTTCCGCATTTCCAACTGAAGTACCAGGTTCATCGAACTGGGGCTTGCCAGACAAGTGGGTGCAGCCCATGGAGGAGGGTGGGGCATTTCCTCACCCAGGAAGTGCAAGGGGTTGGGGAATTCCCTTTCCTAGCAAAGGGAAGCCATGACAGACAGCACCTGGAAAATCGGGAGACTCCCAATCTAATACTGCGCTTTAGCAACAGCCTTAGCAAACGGCACACCAGGAGATTATATCCCGCCCCTGGCTCAGAGGGTCCCACGCCCACGGAGCATTGCTCACTGCTAACACAGCAGTCTGAGATCAAACTGCAAGGCTTCAGCGAGGCTGGGGGAGGGGCATCCACTATGGCTGAGGCTTGAGTAGGTAAGAAAAGCTGCCAGGAAGCTCAAACTTGGTGGAGTCCACCACAGCTCAAGGAGGCCTACCTGCATCTGTAGACTCCACCTCTAGGGGCAGGGCATAGCTGAACAAAAGGCAGCAGAAACTTCTGCAGAGTTAAATGTCCCTGTCTGACAGCTTTGAAGAGATAGTTGTTCTCCCAGCAAGGAGTTTGAGATCTGAGAATGGACAGATTGCCTCATCAAGTGGGTCCCTGACACCCCAGTAGCCTAACTGGGAGGCACCTCCCAGTAAGGGAGTGACTGATACCTCATAAGGCTGGGTGCCTCTCTGAGACGAAGCTTCCAGAGGAAGGATCAGGCAGCAAAAATTTCTGTTCTGCAGTGTCCACTGGTGATACCAAGACAAACAGGGTCTGGAGTGGACTTCCAGCAAACTCCAACAGACCTGCAGCTGAGGGTCCTGACTGTTAGAAGGAAAACTAACAAACAGAAAGGACATCCACACCAAAACCCCATCTGTATATCACCATCATCAAAGACCAAAGGTAAATAAAACCACAAAGATGGGGAGAAACCAGAGCAGAACAGCTGAAAATTCTAAAAATCAGAGTGCCTCTTCTCCTTCAAAGAAACACAGCTCCTCGCCAGCAATGGAACAAACCTGGATGGAGAACGACTTTGACGAGTTGAGAGAAGAAAGCTTCAGACAATCAGTAATAACAAACTTCTCTAAGCTAAAGGAGGATGTTTGAACCCATCGCAAAGAAGGTAAAAACCTTGAAAAAGAGTAGACGAATGGCTAACTAGAATAAACAGTTTAAAGAAGTCCTTAAATGACCTGTTGAGGCTGAAAACCATGGCAGAAGAACTATGTGACGCATGCACAAGCTTCAGTAGCTGATTTGATCAAGTGGAAGAAAGGGTATCAGTGATTGAAGATCAAATGAATGAAATGAAGTGAGAAGAGAAGTTTAGAGAAAAAAGAGTAAAAAGAAACAAATAAAGCCTCCAAGAAATATGGGACTATGTGAAAAGATCAAATCTACGTCTGACTGGTGTACCTGAAAGTGATGGGGAGAATGGATCCAAGTTGGAAAACACTCTTCAGGATATCATCCAGGAGAGCTTCCCCAACCTAGCAAGGCAGGCCAACATTCAAATTCAGGAAATACAGAGAATGCCACAAACATACTCCTCGAAAAGAGCAACTCCAAGACACATAATTGTCAGATTCACCAATGCTGAAATGAAGGAAAAAATGTTAAGGGCAGCCAGAGAGAAAGGTCAGGTTACCCACAAAGGAAAGCCCATCAGACTAACAGCAGATCTCTCAGCAGAAATCCTACAAGTGAGAAGAGAGTGGGGGCCAATATTCAACATTCTTAAAGAAAAGAATTTTCAACCCAGAATTTCATATCCAGACAAACTAAGATTCATAAGTGATGGAGAAATAAAATACTTTACAGAAACAAATGGTGAGAGACTTTGTCACCACCAGGCCTGCACTAAAAGAGCTCCTGAAGGAAGCACTAAACATGGAAAGGAACAACCAGTACCAGTCACTGCAAAACCATGACAAATTGTAAAGACCATCAACACTAGGAAGAAACTGCATCAACTAAACAGCAAAATAACCAGCTACCATCATAATGACAGGAACGAATTCACACATAACAATATTAACCTTAAAGGTAAATGGGCAAAATGCTCCAATACAAAGACACAGACTGGCAAATTGGTTACAGAGTCAAGAACCATCAGTGTGCTGTATTCAGGAGACCCATCTCATGTGCAGAGACACACACAGGCTCAAAATAAAGGGATGCAGGAAGATCTACCAAGCAAATGGAAAATAAAAAAAAAGCAGGGGTTGCAATCCTAGTCTCTGATAAAACAGACTTTAAACCAACAAAGATCAAAAGAGACAAAGAAGGTCATTACATAATGGTAAAGGGATCAATTTAACAAGAAGAGCTAACTATCCTAAATATATATGCACCCAATATAGGAGCACCCAGATTTGTAAAGCAAGTCCTTAGAGACTTACAAAGAGACTTAGACTCCCACACAATAATAATGGGAGACTTTAACACCCTACTGTCAACATTAGACAGATCAATGAGACAGAAAGTTAACAAGAATATCCAGGAATTGAAATCAACTCTGCACCAAGTGGACCTAATAGACATCTACAGACCTCTTGACCCAAAACAACAGAATATACATTCATCTCAGCACTACATCACACTTATTCCAAAACTGACCACATAGATGGAAGTAAAGCACTCCTCAGCAAATGTAAAAGGACAGAAATTATAACAAACTGTCTCTCAGACCACAGTGCAATCAAACTAGAACACAGGATTAAGAAACTCATTCAAAACCGCTCAACTACATGGAAACTGAACAACTTGTTCCTGAATGACTACTGGGTACATAACAAAATGAAGGCAGAAATAAAGACGTTCTTTGAAACCAATGAGAACAAAGACACAACATACCAGAATCTCTGGGACACATTTAAAGCAGTGTGTAGAGGTAAATTTATAGCATTAAATGCCCACAAGAGAAAGCAGGAAAGATCTAAAATTGACACCCTAACATCACAATTAAAAGAACTAGAGAAACAAGAGCAAACACATTCAAAAGCTAGCAGAAGGCAAGAAATAACTGAGATCAGAGCAGAACTGAAGGAGACAGAGACACAAAAAACCCTTCAAAAATCAATGAATTGAGGAGCTGGTTTTTTGAAAGGATCAACAAAATTGATAGACCACTAGCAAGACTAATAAAGAAGAAAAGAGAGAAGAATAAAATAGACACAATAAAAAATGATAAAGGAGCCATCACCACTGATCCCACAGAAATACAAACTACCGTCAGATAATACTATAAACACCTCTATGCAAATAAACTAGAAAATCTAGAAGAAATGGATAAATTCCTGGACACATACACCCTCCCAAGACTAAACCAGGAAGAAGTGGAATCCCTGAATAGACCAATAACAGGCTCTGAAATTGAGACAATAATTAACAGCTTACCAATGAAAAAAGTCCAGAACCAGATGGATTAACAGCTGAATTCTACCAGAGGTACAAGGAGGAGCTTGTACCATTCCTTCTGAAACTATTACAATCAATAGAAAAAGAGGGAATCCTTCCTAACTCATTTTATAAGGCCAGCATCATCCTGATACCAAAGCCTGGCAGAGACAAAACAAAAAAAGAGAATTTTAGACCAATATCCCTGATGAACATTGATGCAAAAATCCTCAATAAAATACTGGCAAACCGAATCCAGCAGCACATCAAAAAGCTTATCCACCATGATCAAGTGGGCTTCATCCCTGGGATGTAAGGCTGGTTCAAAATATGCAAATCAATAAAAGTAATTCACCATATAAACAGAACCAAAGACAAAAAACACATGGTTATCTCAATAGATGCAGAAAAGGCCTTTGACAAAATTCAACAACGCTTCATGCTAAAAACTCTCAATAAATTAGGTATTGATGGGATGTATCTCCAAATAATAAGAGCTATTTATGACAAACCCACAGCCAATATCATACTGAATGGGCAAAAGCTGGATGCATTCCCTTGGAAAACTGGCACAAGATAGGGATGGCCTCTCTCACCACTCCTATTCAACATAGTGTTGGAAGTTCTGGCCAAGGCAATCAGGCAGGAGAAAGAAATAAAGGCTATTCAATTAGGAAAAGAGGAAGTCCAATTGTCCCTGTTTGCAGATGACATGATTGTATATTTAGAAAACCCCATCATCTCAGCCCAAAATCTCCTTAAGCTGATAAGCAGCTTCAGCAAAGTCTCAGGTTACAAAATCAATGTGCAAAAATCACAAGCATTCTTACACATCAATAACAGACAAACAGAGCCAAATCATGAGTGAACTCCCATTCACAATTGCTTTAAAGAGAATAAAATACCTAGGAATCCAACTTACAAGGGACGTGAAGGACCTCTTCAAGGAGAACTACAAACCACTGCTCAATGAAATAAAAGAGGATACAAACAAATGGAAGAACATTCCATGCTCATGGATAAGAAGAATCAATATCGTGAAAATGGCCAT
This sequence comes from Homo sapiens, assembly GCF_000001405.40. Taxonomy (NCBI): domain Eukaryota; kingdom Metazoa; phylum Chordata; class Mammalia; order Primates; family Hominidae; genus Homo; species Homo sapiens. Next base: position 59,424,205 of record NC_000004.12, read on the forward strand.
ACTGCCCAAGGTAATTTATAGATTTAATGCCATCCCCATCAAGCTACCAATGACTTTCTTCACAGAATGGGAAAAACTACTTTAAAGTTCATATGGAACCAAAAAAGAGCCCACATTGCCAAGACAATCCTAAGCCAAAAGAACAAAGCTGGAGGTATCACGCTACCTGACTTCAAACTATACTACAAGTCTACAGTAACCAGAAGAGCATTGTACTGGTACCAAAAGAGACATGTAGACCATTGGAACAGAACAGAGCCCTCAGAAATAATACCACACATCTACTACCATCTGATCTTTGACAAAACTGACAAAAACACGAAATGGGGAAAGATTCCCTATTTAATAAATGGTGCTGGGAAAACTGGCTAGCCATATGTTGAAAGCTGAAACTGGATCCCTTCCTTACACCTTATACAAAAGTCAATTCAAGATGGATTAAAGACCTAAATGTTAGGCCTAAAACCATAAAAACCCTAGAAGAAAACCTAGGCAATACCATTCAAGCCATAGGCATGGGCAAGGACTTCATGACTAAAACACCAAAAGCAATGGCAACAAAAGCCAAAATTGACAAATGGGATCTAATTAAACTAAAGAACTTCTGCACAGCAAAAGAAACTACCATCAGAGTGAACAGGCAACCTACAGAATGGGAGAAAATTTTTACAATCTACCCATCTGACAAAGGGCTAATATCCAGAACCTACAAAGAACTTAAACAAATCTACAAGAAAAACTGAAACAACCACATTAAAATTGCGTGAAGGATATGAACAGACACTTCTCAAAAGAAGACATTTATGCAGCCAAAAGACACTTGAAAAAATGCTCATCATCACTGGCCATCAGATAAATGCAAATCAAAACCACAATGAGATACCATCTCACACCCGTTAAAATGGCAATCATTAAAAAGTCAGGAAACAACAGGTGCTGGAGTGGATGTGGAGAAATAGGAGCACTTTTACACTGTTGGTGGGACTGTAAACTAGTTCAACCATTGTGGAAGACAGTGTGGGGATTCCTCAAGGATCTAGAACTAGAAATGTCATTTGACCCAGCCATCCCATTACTGGGTATATACCCAAAGGATTATAAATTATACTGCTATAAAGACACATGCACATGTATTTATTATGGCACTATTCACAACAGCAAAGACTTGAACCCAACCCAAAAGTCCATCAATGATAGACTGGATTAAGAAAATGTGGCACATATACACCATGGAATACTATGCAGCCATTAAAAAGGATGAGTTCATGTCCTTTGTAGGGACGTGGATGAAGCTGGAAACTGTCATTCTGAGCAAACTATCTCAAGGACAGAAAACCAAACACTGCATGTTCTCACTCATAGGTGGGAACTGAACAATGGGAACACATGGACACAGGGTGGGGAACATCACACACTGGGGCCTGCCGGGTTGGTTTGGAGGGGGCAGGGATAGCATTAAGAGATATACCTAATGTAAATGGCAAGTTATTGGGTGCAGCACACCAACATGGCACCTGTATACATATGTAACAAAAGTGCATGTTGTGCACATGTACCCTAGAACTTAAAGTAAAATAATAAAAAAATAAAAAAAATAAAGAAATGTCTTGTTAACATCAATTATTTTCTTCACATTATTGATTTAATGAGTTGTATTGATAATTTTTTTAAAGTTAATTGCCTTTCCATAATTTAAATAAAGTGTTCTTCATCCACTATTGTGGCTCCTGTGATTTTGCTTGATCTACTTAGTATTTTATGTGGAATATTTTTTCAGATAAGAATGTCATTTCCATCATTCTAGACATTTAGTATGAACATTGTTTTGGCTTGCTAATTTGGATTGAAGAATTTTATTATATGGATTTGGTGTAGCCAATATAAATAAAAATAAAATTATATTTTTTATAGTGTGCTGAAACTCAGATGTAACATTCTAGTTTGGGTACTCTTTACAATGACAGGTGTTAAATAACCCTCTAATCTCTTCTAGGAATTGGACTGTTTGCATTTTCTACTAATTCTTTGGCCAAACTCATATTTTGGATTTTGCTGAGGAAAGCATCTGTTATCTCCAGACTTTCAATAATCTTTCATGATATTATACATAATAATTGCTTCATTATGTTTAGTTGTGTTCCTAATTTTTTCTTCGTACTTTTGTAAATTTTTTCTGTCTCTTTTTTTCTTATTCAAAATACATACATAATTATTGATTTTACATATCTTTTCAAAATTGCAAATTTGGGTTTTCTTTCTATAGCAGTAGTTTTTCACATTTTTTTCTATTTATTATTATCTTGTTTTTTTTTTTTTCTAATTTCCTAAAGTCAAATAGTAAGGTCATATAAAGATAAATATTTCTTCTTTAATTCAATTTCTCATTAATTTATATTTTTCAATGAATCATTTCTTTTTTGTGTATAACTGACAAGTCATCTATCTCTTTAAGCATTTTATCATCTCTTTACAGGGAAAACATTCAAAATCTTCTATCTTAAAATAAATGCTATATTGTTAATTGCTACAGTCACACTACTGTATAACAGAATACCAGAACTTATTCTTTATGTCTAACTGCATCTTTGTACCCATTGATCAATCTCTCCTGGTATCCTTATTTCCTTCCCACAGCCCCTCAGTCTCTATTCTACTCTTTTTTTCTATAAAATCAACAGTTTTAGATTCCTCATACGAGTGAGATCACACAGTGTTTGTTTTTCTGTGTCTGGTTTATTTAACATAGCATAATATTCCACATGTTAATTCATGTCACCGCTAATAACGGGATTTCATTCTGTTTTATGGCTAAAGAGTATTCCATTGTATATGTATACCACATTTTTTATCCATTCACCTGTAGATCGGCACTTAGGTTGATTCCATATCTTGGCTATGGTAAATAGTGCTGAAATAAAAATGAGGGTGCAGATGTCTCTTCAACATACTGATTTCTTTTCTTTTGGATATACACCCAGTAACAGGATTGTGGAATCATATGGTAGTTCTATTTTTAATTTTTGGAGGAACATCCATACTGTTTTCCATAATGGCTGAACTAATTTACATACACATTAACAGTTTATAAAAGTTCCTTTTTTTCTACATCTTCACCAGCATTTGTTAATTTTTGTTTTTCTGATAATAGTTATTCTAACTGCAATGAGGTGATTTCTCATTGTGGCTTTGATTTACAATTCCCTGATAATTAGTTATGTTGAGGATTTTTCATATATCTATTGGTTATTTGTATGTCTTTTAAAAAATGTCAAATCAGATCTTTTGCCCATTTTTAATTGGATTAGTTAATTTTGGCTATTGAATTGTTTGAGTTCCTTATATATTCTGGATATGAAACTCTGGTCAGATATGTAGTGTAGTTTGCAAATACTTTCTCCCATTCTGTAGGTTGTCTCTTCTCTTCAATGATTGTTTCCTTTGCTGTGCAGAAGTTTTTCAGGTTGATGCAATCTCATCAACCTAAAAAGGTTTTGCTTTTTTCTGCCTATGCTTTTGAAATCTTATTCAAAAAAAAATCTTTGCCCAGTCCAATTTTATGGAGTGTTTCTCCTGTATTTTATTATAGTAGTTTCATAGTTTCAGGTCTTAAACTTAAATCTTTAATTTATTTAGAGTTGATTTTATATATCGTGAGAGATAAGGGTATAGTTTTTTCTTCTTCTGCATGTGGCTATCCAGTAATCCCAGCACCATTTGTTGAAGACATTTTGTTTTTCCTCAGTGTGTTTTTGACGCTTTTGTCAAAAATCAATTGGGTGTAAAAACATGGATTTATTTCTGGCTTCTGTATTTTGTTCCATTTGTCTATATGTCTGTTTTTATGCCAGCATTATCCTATTTTGCTTACTAGAGCTTTGTAGTATATTTTGAAGTCAAGAAATGTGATACCTTCAGCTTTGTTCTTATTGCTCAAGATTACTTTGGCTATCTGGGATATTTTGCATTTCCTATACATTTTAAGGATGCTTTTTCTATTTCTGTAAAGGATTTCATGAGTATTCTGATAGAGATTATATTGAATCTGTGTATCACTTTGGGTAGTACAGACTTTTTGACAATACTGATTGTTTCAAGTTATGAATATGATATGTTTTCATTTATTTGTGTCCTCTTCAATTTCTTCAATCATTGTTTTACAGTTTTCAATTGTAGAGATTTGTCTCCTTGATTACATTTTCCAAGGCATTTTATTTATTTATGTTGTGCAATTATGCAAAATGGAATTACTTTCCTAATCTGTCTTTCAAATAGTTTGTTATTGGCATATAGAAATATTACTAATGTTTGGAGGAAGGATGTTCCAAGATGGCCAAATATGAATAGCTCCAGTCTAAAGCTCCCAGCATGAGTGACTCAGAAGATGGGTGATTTCTGCATTTCCACCTGAGGTATCAGGTTCATCTCACTGGGGCTTGTCAGACAGTGGGTGCAGCCCATGGAGTGGGAGCCAAAGTAGGGTGGGGCATCCCTTCACCCAGGAAGCGCAAGGGGTCAGGGAATTCCCTTTCCTAGCCAAGGGAAGCCATGACAGATGGTACCTGGAAAACCCGGATTCCCACCCTAATACTGCGCTTTTCCAACAGTCTTAGGAAATGGCACACCAGGAGATTATATCCCTTGCCTGGCTCAGAGGGTCCCATGCCCACAGAGCCTTGCTCACTGCTAGCACAGCAGTCTGAGATCAAACTGCAAGATGGCAGTGAGGCTGGGGGTGGGGCATCTGCCATTGTTGAGGCTTGAGTAGGTAAACAAAGCTGCCAGGAAACTCGAACTGGGTGGAGCCCACCACAGCTCAAGGAGGCCTGCCTGCATCTGTAGACTCCACCTCTGGGGTCAGGGAATAGCTGAACAAAAGGCAGCAGAAACTTCTGCAGACTTAAACATGCCTGTCTTACAGCTTTGAAGAGAGTAGTGGTCCTCCTACCATGGAGTTTGAGATCTGAGAACGGACAGACTGCCTCCTCAGTGTGGGTTCCTGACCCCTGAGGAGCCAAACTTGGAGGCATCTCCCAGTAGGGGCCGATTGACACCTCATAAGGCTGGGTGCCCCTCAGAGATGAAGCTTTCAGAGGAAGGATCAGGCAGCAACATTTTCCGTTCTGCAATATTTGCTGTTCTGCAACCTCTGCTGATGATCACCAAGTGAACAGGGTCTGGAGTGGACTTCCAGCAAACTCCAATAGACCTGCAGCTGAGGGTCCTGACTGTTAGAAGGAAAACTAACAAACAGAAAGGACATCCACACCAAAACCCCATCTGTACATCACCATCATCAAAGACTAAAGGTTGATAAAACCACAAAATGGGGAGAAACCAGAGCAGAAAATCTAAAAATTCTGAAGATCAGAGTGCCTCTTTTCCTCCAAAGGAACACAGCTCCTCACCAGCAGCGGAACGAAGCTGGGTGGAGAATGACTTTCACAAGTTGAGAGAAAAAGGCTTCAGACGATCAGTAACAACAAACTTCTCCGAGCTAAAGGAGGATGTTTGAACCCATCTCAAAGGAGCTAAAAACCTTGAAAAAAGATTAGACGAATAGCCAACTAGAATAAACAGCATAGAGAAGACCTTAAATGACCTAATGAAGCTGAAAACCATGGCATGAGAACTACATGATGCATGCACAAGCTTCAGTAGCTGATTTGATCAAGTGGAAGAAAGGGTATCAGTGAATGAAGATCAAATGAATGAAATGAAGCAAGAAGAGAAGTTTAGAGAAAAAAGAGTAAAAAGAAACAAACAAAGCCTCCAAGATATATGGGGCTATGTGAAAAGACCAAATCTACATCTGATTAGTGTACCTGAAAGTGATGGGGATAATGGATCCAAGTTGGAAAACACTCTTCAGGATATCATCCAGGAGAACTTCCCCAACCTAGCAAGGCAGGCCAACATTCAAATTCAGGAAATACAGAGAATGCCACAAACATACTCCTCGAAAAGAGCAACTCCAAGACACATAATTGTCAGATTCACCAATGCTGAAATGAAGGAAAAAATGTTAAGGGCAGCCAGAGAGAAAGGTCAGGTTACTCACAAAGAGAAGCCCATCAGACTAACAGCAGATTTCTCAGCAGAAACTCTACAAGCGAGAAGAGAGTGGGGGCCAATATTCAACATTCTTAAAGAAAAGAATTTTCAACCCAGAATTTCATATCCAGCCATACTAAGATTCATAAGTGATGGAGAAATAAAATACTTTATAGAAACAAATGGTGAGAGATTTTGTCACCACCAGGCCTAGATCGCTAGCAAGACTGATACAGAAGAAAAGAGAGAAGAATCAAATAGACACAATAAAAAATGATAAAGAGACTGTCACCACCAATCCCACATTAATACAAACTGCAATCAAAGAATACTATAAACATCTCTAAGCAAATAAACTAGAAAATCTAGAAGAAATGGATAAATTCCTGGACACATACACCCTGCCAAGACTAAACCAGGAAGAAGTGGGATAGCTGAATAGACCAATAGCAGGCTCTGAAATTGAGGCAATAATTAGTAGTCTAACAACCAAAAAAGTCCGGGACCAGATGGACTCCCAGCCAAATTCTACCAGAGGCACAAAGAGGAGCTGGTACCATTCCTTCTGAAACTATTACAATCAATAGAAAAAGAGGGAATCCTCCCTAACTCATTTTGTGAGACCAGCATCATCCTGATACCAAAGCCTGGCAGAGATACAACAAAAAAGATAATTTTAGACCAATATCCCTGATGAACATCAATGCAAAAATCCACAATAAAATACTGGCAAACAGAACCCAGCAGCACATCAAAAAGCTTATCCATAATGATCAAGTTGGCTTCATCCATGGGATGCAAAGCTGGATCAACATACAGAAATCAATAAATGTAATCCATGATATAAAAAGAAGCATAGACAAAAACCACATGATTATCTCAATAGACGCAGAAAAGGCTTTCGACAAAATTCAAAAGCCCTTCATGCTAAAAACTCTCAATAAACTGGGTATTGATGGGATGTATCTCCAAATAATAAGAGCTATTTATGACAAACCCACAGCCAATATCATACTGAATGGGCAAAAACTGGATGCATTCCCTTGGAAAACTGGCACAAGACAGGGATGGCCTCTCTCACCACTCCTATTCAACATAGTGTTGGAAGTTCTGGCCAGGGAAGTCAGGCAGGAGAAAGAAATAAAGACTATTCAATTAGGAAAAGAGGAAGTCAAATTGTTCCTATTTGTAGATGACACGATTGTATATTTAGAACACCCCATCGTCTCAGCCCAAAATCTCCTTAAGCTGATAAGCAACTTCAGCAAAGTCTCAGGATACAAAATTAATGTGCAAAAATCACAAGCATTCCTACACACTAGTAACAGACAAACAGAGAGCCAAGTCATGAGTGAACTCCAATTCACAATTGCTTTAAAGAGAATAAAATACTTAGGAATCCAACTTACAAGGCATGTGAAGGATCTCTTCAAGTAGAACTACAACCCACTGCTCAGTGAAATAAAAGAGGACACAAACAAATGGAAGAACATTCCATGCTCATGGATGGGAAAAATCAATATCGTGAAAATGGCCATAGTGACCAAGGTAATTTATAGATTCAATGCCATCCCCATCAAGCTACCAATGACTTTCTTCACAGAATTGGAAAAGCTACTTTAAAGTTCATATGGAACCAAAAAAGAGCCCGCATTGCCAAGACAATCCTAAGCCAAAAGAACAAAGCTGGAGGCATCACGCTACCTGACTTCAAACTTTACTACAAGGCTACAGTAACCAAAACAGCATTGTACTGGTACCAAAACAGAGATATATAGATCAATGGAACAGAACAGAGCCCTCAGAAATAATACCACACATCTACCACCGTCTGATCTTTGACAAAACTGATAAAAACACGAAATGGGGAAAGATTCCCTATTTAATAAATGGTGCTGGGAAAACTGGCTAGCCATATGTTGAAAGCTGAAACTGGATCCCTTCCTTACACCTTATACAAAAGTCAATTCAAGATGGATTAAAGACTTAAATCTTAGACCTAAAACCATAAAAACCCAAAAGAAAACCTAGGCAATACCATTCAAGCCATAGGCATGGGCAAGGACTTCATGACTAAAACACCAAAAGCAATGGTAACAAAAGCCAAAATTGACAAATGGGATCTAATTAAACTAAAGAGCTCCTGCACAGCAAAAGAAACTACCATCAGAGTGAACAGACAACCTACAGAATGGGAGAGAATTTTTACAATCTACCCATCTGACAAAGGGCTAATATCCAGAATCTACAAAGAACTTAAAACACATTTAGAGGAAAAAATCAAACAACCTCATTAAAAAGTGGGCAAAAGATATGAACAGACACTTCTCAAAAGAAGACATTCATGAGCCAACAGACACATGAAAAAATGCTCATCATCACTGGCCATCAGAGAAATGCAAATCAAAATCACAATGAGATACCATCTCACACCCATTAGAATGGCAATCATTAAAAAGTCAGGAAACAACAGGTGCTGGAGAGGATGTGGAGAAATAGGAACACTTTTACACTGTTGGTGGGACTGTAAACTAGTTCAACCATTGTGGAAGACAGTGTGGTGATTCCTCAAGGATATAGAATCAGAAATATCATTGGACCCAGCCATCCCATTACTGGGTATATACCCAAAGGATTATAAATTATGCTGCTATAAAGACACATGCTCACGTATGTTTATTGCAGCACGGTTCACAATAGCAGACTTGGAACCAACCCAAATGTCCACCAATGATTGACTGGATTAAGAAAATGTGGCACATATACACCATGGAACACTATGCAGCCATAAAAAATAATGAGTTAATATCCTTTGTAGGGACATGGATGAAGCTGGAAAGCATCATTCTCAGCAAACTATCGCAAGGTCAGAAAAGCAAACACTGTATGTTCTCACTCATAGGTGGGAATTGAACAATGGGAACACATGGACACAGGGTGGGGAACATCACACACTGGGTCCTGTTGTGGGGTGTGGGGAAGGGTAGGGATAACATTAGGAGATATACCTAACGTAAATGACGAGTTAATGGGTGCAGCACACCAACATGGCACATGTATACATATGTAACAAACCTGCACATTGTGCACATGTACCCTAGAACTTAAAGTATAATAAAAAAAGAAATATTACTGATGTTTATATGTTAATTTTTTTAACCTGCAACTATACTAAATTCATTTATTCTACCTGCTTTTTTGGTGGAGTCTTTAGGGATATATATATATATTTTAAATATTTATATATATTTTATATATATATATATATATATATATATATGTCAGTGAAAATAGGGAGAATTTGACTTCCTTCTTTTCAGTTTAGATGTCCTTTATTTTTTCTTTATTTTTTGAAGCTATGCTAAATGAAATTACTTTCTTAATTTGTCTTTCAGATAGTTTGTTATTGGCATATAGAAATATTACTAATGTTTGTATGTTAATTTTTTAACCTGCAACTTGACTAAATTCATTTATTCTAACAGCTTTTTGTGGAGTCTTTAGGGATGTATATACGTATATATTTACATATATATTTATTTTATATGTATATATATTCATGCCATCTGAAAATAGGGATAATCTGACTTTTTTCTTTCCAGTTTTGATGTCCTTTATTTCTTTCTCTTGCTTAATCACTGTAGGTAGAATTTCCAGTATTATGTTGAATGAAAGTGATAAAAGTGGACATTCTTGACTTGTTCCAGATCTTAGAAGAAAAGCTTTCAACTTTTAGCTGTGGGCTGATCATATGTAGCCTTTACTGTGTTGAGGTTTGTTCCTTCTGTACCCAGTTTGTTGAGAGTTTTTATCATGAAGGAATGCTGAATTTTATTGAATTCTTTTTCAGCATATATTGAAATAATCACATGGATTTTGTCCTTGATTCTGATAATGTGATGTATCAGTTATTGATTTACATATGCTGAACTCTGTTTCCCTGAGATGGAATTCCACGTAATCATGGTGAATGATCTTTTAAGTGTGTTGAATTTGATTTACTAGTATTTTATTGAGGATTTTTGCTTTTATGTTAATCAGAGATATCGCCCTATGGTTCTCTTTGTTGTATCTTTGTCCGGTTTTAGTATCAGAGTAACGCTAGCTTCATAGAAAGAGTCTGGAAGTGTTTCCTCCTCTTCATATTCTTATAATAGCTTGAATATAATTGATATTAGTTGTTTTTAAATGTTTAGTATAGTTCAGCAGTGAAGCCATGAGGTTCTAGGCTTTTCTTTGATATCAGACTCTTTATTACTGCTTTGATCTAGTTGCTTATTACTGGTCTGTTCAGGCGTTCCACTTCTTTGTGATTCAATCTTCGTAAATTGCATGTGCCTGGGATTTAATCCATTTCTTCCAGGTTTTCCAATTTGTTAGAGTATGGTTGTTCCTAGTGGTGTCTTATTATCCTTTTTATTTTTGTGGTATCAATTGTAATGTCTGTTTTTGTGTCTCTGACATTATTTCAATTTTCTGGGTTTTTTTAAACTAGAAGTTTGTCAGTGTTATCTTTTCAAAAAAACAGTTTTTGTTTTGTTCAACTGTTGTATATTTTTTCTCTGTTTTGTTTATTTCTGCTCGGATCTTCCTGGGTTTCTTTTTTGTTCCTTATAGTTATTTCAAATTCAGATTGTTTTGTTTTTCTTGTTCCTAGATATGTAATGTTAGGTTGTTTATTTGAGATCTTTTGTCTTTTGATGTAGGCATTAATTGCTGCGAACTTCCTTCTTAGAACTGCTTCTACTGTATCTCATAGGTGTTTGTATGATATTTATCCATATTATTGTTTTCTACATATTATAGTATCACATCTGTTTCCTATCAGTATACAAACTTTATCTGAAATGTATTTATTTACAAATTGTGCTGACGCTTTCTTCACTTTCTATTTATATGTGAATCAGGGAAAACAGTCTGCAAAATAACTGTGTTTTGGACATTTTAGTGTTTTTTTGTGTGTGTGCCGATACACTATCTGTAGATTTTTCCCCACAGACATCCAAATAAATGTGGCATAAATAGATGACAGATCAGTAGACACATAGGTAAGTAGGTATATAGTTATGCAATTTCTCGATACTCTTAAGTTTTTTCCGTGGAATTCATTCACTTTCAAAGGAGTGATATTTAACTCTTTCCATAACTACACGTTTAACAGGTTATCATGGTATTTCTATTAGTTTTATTTTGCATGTTTTGTTGCTATGATATTTGTTGTCTCACAGAAGTGAGCCTTTTGTTATTTAATGATGTTACTTTTTATATTTCTTCACAATTTTGAAATGAAATTTCAATTTATGTGCCATTAATATTGGAATCTCTTCGTCCTTTTCTTTCATTTTATTGGTGAATCTTTAGTGGGTTTATTTTTATGTTTTTCTCTCTTTTTAAAATAAGCTATTATTGTTCTTGTCTCACTTTCCAGATGGTAGTGCTGCTTTGAGAACTCAGGTGAAGGCCTGATTTTCCTTTTTTAATAGATTTTTTTAAATCTTGACACATATGACAGTATTATATTCATGTTAGAATTCAGGAATTCTACAAGTATATGACCAATCATTTTATATATCCAACTCAGGAAGACCCTTTAAAACACAGGATCAATCCTCTTTGCAGCTCATGAATGAAAAAGTTTTCTTAGACATTTATCATTCTTAAGTCTAGAAAATCTCAGAACTGTAGTTTAATGTCAATATGCGTTTTTAAGCAAAAAAGACAAAGATAAACTAAATTATGCATTGCAGTTTTTGAAAAGTTTAGGGATGACAGTTGTGACTTAATTCTTTCAGATGGAGTGCCAAGTAAGATAAGCAAGAGAATACTAAGGACAAATATAAAGATGAAGTGAGAAAAAATCAAAAACCATGCAAATTTTTTTCATAATATATTGTCTAGGGTTTAGGAAGAAAATTCAGATTTTCTTCACTTTTGTTAACTAGTCTTCTAAATATAGACCATGAATTTAGTATTAAATAAATCCAGTTTATGTTATATAATTAAGAAAAGGTGAATATGACAACATGTAATTATTATCTGAAGAACATGAAGGAAATTCAAAGGTTTACCATATACGCAAAGAAAAGATGTGCATTCTAAGCTTGATTTTTGAGATGTCAAATAATTTTTCAATCCAACTGGAAATACAACTGGATGGATAGATAGTAGATAGATAGATAATAGATAGGTAGATAGATAGATAGATTCATAGATAGATTTATAGTTGGTATGGGGAGAAGGATTTTGGAAGATTCTAAGCTTAAAAAAGTAAGTTTGGAGTGATTTGGTTCATATTTATCTTCATTAAGATTGTAATTATCTGGTTAAATTACTTAATCGATTTGACAGACTTAAAGTATACCCGCACACACAAAATTGAGATTGTTTATTTTATGAAAAATGTTCACAAAGTGGAATTTTTTTTCTGAAGCAATTGTATTTTGTCAGGTTTTCACTGAATTATTTTTTACTCATTCAGATACATTTGACAGCTTATGACAAAACCAATGCAGAATCCTTAAAAATCATCAAACTGATGCTATTTTTAGTTAGTCATTTTTTAAAAATTTATATGATTCTCATTCAGCTCATAATTAAATTTTATTCTCAAATGCTACCTCAGACCTTGTACACTGATTACTCATTACTGCAAAAATTACATCTGAAGTATGATAATTTTTTCTGTAATGATTTAGTTACTTAATTTTTAAAAGCATAAATGTACCTGACCTATGTAAATCTTCTGGGTGTTCCAAATCCTTTTGCCTCAGTTAATAGTATGATTTTAAGTAGTATTCATGAATGTAGTGTATGTGTGTATGTACATAGAAAGAGAGAGAGAGATGATAAATAGAATTATTTTAATATGATAAATGCATTCTAGATATTCTTTATATTCCTTTATATTCTCATATTTTATTTTGGAAAAAATATATATATTTTACACATATCTCAAAGTGCCAGTATTTGTGAATATATTTTTACATGTGTATGATAAATATGTTTAGATTACTTTTTCATTCCAAATCAATTACTCACATTTTAAACAAAGCAGGAAATTAAAGTTCTTATTGCTAAAAAATAAAACTAAACACAAATATTTTTAAAAATAATGCAATAAGTAGGATCTATAATTCTGGAGAAAACAAGTCCAAGTAGTGAAATAATCATCTAACCTAATGATGGTAATGTGTATATATATATATATATATATATAAAATATATGTAATATATAATATATATATAATGTGTATATATATACACACACACATACACACATATATATGTGTAAATTCTAAAATGTGATTTCTCTTTATTCTATGTTAATTCATAGTTATTGTATATATTACATATTTAATATTACATATTTAAAAATTAAACTACATACTTTTAAACATTTTAATCTGATTTTTAAATTTGTATTTATTCTAAAGATTGTGTCTTTTTTCTATGGTATCCAGTGATTGTTTTACGTCTACATTTTTGGGAACCTCATCTGGTTATAATAACATCTTTCGGAACAATTGTGAATACCCTCTGTTAAGCTTGTTTGTGACATTCAGAAATACCAACTTTGACCTTGTAATGAGGATAGCTTTGTGTTAATTTGAATAAACGTTATCAGCAGAAAAATCACTAGTGCTCTGTATTCTAAACACAGAACTTAGTTCTGTATTGGCAATTATATAGTCTCAGCAAATCTTTCATGGACTTCAAAACATTACCAAATATTGAGACTGATGGACAAAACTTCAAATTCCAGCTTTGTAATTTTCCACATATGTGCTTTATTTGATCCCAATAACTGTCAGTGTTATTTATTGTATATACTGGTCACTGCAAACAATTGCACCAAGTTTGCAAGACTGTTTTTAAAATTAAATGAGTATTCTGTATAGAAATAGATCCACAATGCATTGTACCTTGTATTAGTATTAGCGTGTGTTGTTAAGATTACAGTCAGAATTAAATTTAGTGGTAGGGCCTAATCTCAAAATATCTGTGTAGTTATCTTTTTACTTTAACTTGGAGAATTTAGAGCATCAAGTAATCCTTAAGCAATCAAAACTGGCAAAAGAATTCTCCCTCTCTTGCTTTCTCATCCTTGGCAGGTATTTACTTTTATCCAGCGATGTATGCATTCATTAGTTTGAGATAACAGAAAATCTGTTCTCTCAAAATTTGCTTTTCTCTCACAACACGGGGCACCAAATAGAAAAAAGCGTAAAGGAAATCACAGGCCTTCTTTAGTTATCAATGTCTTTTTCTTAACGATAAGACACATACTTAACAAAATTATCATAAGATTACTTTAGATATGATTTGTGAAATATCAGTTTATAGTCTCAGCAAGATTCTTTAAGTATTATTTTACCTTAAATAAGTAAATCTTGTCAGTTTTCTTTTCAAATTACAACAATGATATAGTTTGTGTATTTCTCCCCACCCAAATCTCATGTTGAATTGTAAATCTCTAGTATTCGAGATGAGTCCTCATGAGAGGTGACTGGATCATAGAGGTGGATTTCTCATAAATGGTTTAGCAACATCTCCTTGGTGCTGTCCTTGCCATAGTGAGTTCTCACAAGATCTGCCTATTTTAAAGTGTGTAGCACCTCTGTCTACCTGGCTCCCATCTCTGCTCCTGCTTCATCTTCCATCCCGAGTAAAAGCTTCCTGATTGCTCCCCAGAAGCAGATGCCAACTCTATGCTTCCTGTACAGCCTAGAGAACTTTAAGGCAATTAGAGCTCTTTACTTATAAATGACCTAATCTCAAGTATTTATTTCTTTATAGGAATTCAAGAACGGCTTAACGAAAACAGAAAAACATGCTTGTCCACTTATATAAGGTATATAAAATAGTCAAACTTAGAGTCAGAGAGTAGAATGGTGGTTACCAGAGTCTGGGAGAGAAGAAAATAAGAAATTGCTAATCGATGGCTATGAAGTATCATTTATCTAAGATGCATAAATTCTAGAGATTTACTGTAATACATTGTCCCCATAGTTAACAATAATGTATTGTACACTTAAAAGTTTGCAAAGCTATTATTTTCCTAAAGATTACCACTTGCCTCACACAATATGAGGTAGTCAGTTTGGCAAACTGTGTATCCTGCCATATACTCCTATATCTTTCCACTTATTTGTGCGTATTTGTACAAGTGTCTGTATAGATACACACCAGCTTACTTTTCTACTTTTATCTAATTGTAAGCATACTGTAAGCCACATGTTTGCAACTTGCTTTGTATCACTACTTGTGTATGTAATGCACTGTTGTTGATGTTGTTTCAGGTTTATGTGTATTTCTGTTACTAAGATTTTATTTTCTGATTCATAAGTGCCATAAGTTTTTATAACATGTATTTTTGAATATTTTGTAATCACTGTTGTGATTTTTTAACTATTTCTTCTTGAGATGCTCATTATTATGATTGGAAAAATCCATTAGTTTTGTATATTTATCTTACGTTCAACTACCTTATCAAATTTTTTGTTGTCATTTTAATCTAGAACTTTTTGAATTTTCTATAAATCAAATTATCAGAAAAAAAGCATGATTTTTTCTTAAGGACATGGTTGAAACATATGTTAATAGCAGACATCCCTGTGTGTTCCTGATTTAAAATAAAAATATTTGTTTTTCCTATATTAGAGTAAGATTTTCTGTTGCTTTTTCATAAATACTTTTTATCACATTTAAGAAATATTTTTGTTTTCATTTATCTTTACATGTTTAAAATTAGTAATGGCTGTTGAATTTTTCTAAACAATTTTTATAGTTTCTACCATGATTATAAGTTTTCTCTCTTAATTTTTATACAATAAAATATTTTATGTGTATGAATGCAAAAGTTTACAGAATCAATAAAGGTTAGTAAAATTTTTCTGTAGTATATAAATTTACAAAACTTCTGTTACCTATGAATGTGTGTGTGTGTGTGTGTGTGTGTAGTCTTAATTTCTTTTGCTCCTCTTTTTTAAACCAGAAAATTATGTCTTTGGAATTTTTATCAAATACTTTTCCTAAAACATTATTTTATTTATGTTTCCAGAAAACTATTTGAAAACATGCAGCTAAAAATATTCAGTTAAATTTCTAGTTGTATTTGCTTTTTATCAATTCCTTTGCAATTAAGTTATTTTAAAATATATACTCTTAAAGTGTGAACCCTTTTTTATCCCAATAACTATTAGATTAGTTAATTCAATTTTGGTGACATCAATTATTTGAATGATTAGTGAGCTTTTTGGGTGAGCATTGTGATTTTAAACTATTCATTAATACAAAAACATAAGTGAATGATGCTGACATAATTTACTTCTATGGTAATTGTAGTTGTTTATTTTGTGTCTTTAGTCTTGCTGTTATGTAACATTATAAAGAACTGGAGTTTACAAATTTGAAATGCTGGAAACATATACAGCATAGAAATGGCCTTTTGTTATCATACAATTTAATGATAATTATGTACTTGGCCCTAGTTGGTATGGTTTACATATGCCATGAATTAATTTCTATATAATCCAACAACTTGACCAACACTCAGTTATTACATCTTTCTTACTTAAATAGGAAAAAATGTTATGCTTACACATTAATACAGAAAAAAATTCATATGCCAAAAATAGAATGCTTAAATAATCAGTTTTCATTTTCATGATAATATTGGATAAATATATGTAAATTAAAAATTTATGAAATTATAAGAGCTACTTGAATATATTATAAATTGATTGACTAAAATAATTTCTGACACATACAAAATAATCAAATAAAATGAATATAAGGTCCATGAAGTCAGAGTGCTTTCTTTCTTTTCACTATGGCTGCACTCCCATTACCTAGTATGACATCTGACCCATAATTGTTTGTTCAATGAATGAATCTATAAATAAATATGAGCTACATCCTCATTCATAAAAAGATTGAATGAATAGAAAATCAAATTGAATGTCTGGATTTAGAAAGAATTTTTAAGGAACATTTTCAATGATATCATTATAGAAAGTCTGTAGTAGGTTTTGTAGTGTTTTCCTGTTACATGTCAATAATTTAGATTAATGAACTGAGCCAAACACAAATTTTATTGCAGTCCTAATGTATTTTATTATCTTAAATTTACTTTTTATTCATTAGATATAGTAAGAACTGTTATTCAGATTTAATTTCTTTACAATTTGATATGATCTTCTTACATTACTCAGGAGTCCTAGACTTTTCTACAATATAGTAATTAGTCCCCACCTAAATCACACCTTGAATTGTAACAATCCCCATGTGTCAAGGGTGGGGAAAGGTGGAGATAACTGAATCATGGGGGTGGTTTTCTCCATACTGTTCTCATGGTAGTGATTAAGTCTTATGAGATCTTTTGGTTTTATAAATGGGAGTTTTCCCTGGACAAGAGTTCTTGCCTCCCGTCACGTAAAATATGCCTTTGCTCCTCTTTCACCTTTGCCATGATTTTAAGGCCTCCTCGGCTATATAGAACTGTGAGTCCATTAAACTTTTTTCCTTTATAAATGACCCAATCTTTGGTATGTCTTTATTAGCAGCATGAGAATGGACTAATACAATTGGCATGAAGATTTAGATATAGATACAAATAAATAGATACAGCGCTTGGCTTTCACTATTAAAGCACTGTATCTCAACTACTTTCAGATACCTTGATAATTCCATTTATATCTAGTAACTTTCAAAATTATGTACTTTGAAGACTGGCAAAATAAGTAATAATTGATACAATTAATTAAATATGAGCTACTGCTATGGTTTGAATATTCCTCCAAAACTCATGTTGAAACTGAATCCCCAATGTGACAGTATTGAGAGGTGGGGCTTTTAAGAGGTGACTGAAACACAGGGTTCTGAAACTGTCCCCCCAAAAAACCTTAAAAAATTGATAAAGGGGAAAAAAACAAGATTAACCAGGCTTGCAGCATAATTAGCAGTAACCATTAAGCCAGCTCTCCCTTTGAACCAGTTTCTTGTAGCTGGTAGTTGCTTACTACCCTAGGAAAACAGCCCTTGTCACAAGATTCCTTCTTCTTTTTCTGTTCCATACATAAAATCTAAGATGTTGTGAGATGAATAGTTTTCCATTGAGTTTCTCTTTAGGTTTTGTATACCTATAAATTTACCCATGCCAGCTGATCTGAAGAGCCCAGAAGAAAAGTGACTCATGGAAGAATGTAGCATCCACATCCTGATGATTTCATCCCCTCTACCATGACCAATCGACAACCCCAATTTTCCAGCCCCTTGCCCTGAATGGTCCCCTTAAACACTCTTGCTCAGAAAGCATAAGAATGATATAATGGACTTTGGAGATAGGGGGTATGGTGGGAAGAAAGTGAGTAATAAAAGACTATATACTATGTACAGTGTACACTGCTCAGGTGACAGGTGCACCAAAATCTCAGGAATCATGACTAAATAACATCTATGTAACCAAAAACCACCTGTATGCCAAAATCTGTTGAAATTTTAAATTAAAAAAATTCTTGTCCAGAACCTGTTAGCAAAATGGATTTGAGGCTTGAGAATTGTTCCCATTTCCTTGTTTGGCACCTTGTGATCATTAAACTCTTTCTCTACAGCAAACTCCACTATCAGTGTATTAATCTGTTGCTACACAGCAAGCATATGAACTTGGCATCCCTGATACAGTTCTGACCTCATGAACTAATTAATCCATCAATTGGTTAATGGAAAAATTGGTTCATAGAATAATGGGTCATCACGGAGATGAACTGGTAGCATTATAAGAAGAGAATGAGAGTGCTTAACCAATATATGAGCACACCCAGCCCCCTTGCCATGGGATGCCCTGTGCTGCCTTGGGACTCCGTAAGAGTCTCTGCAAGCAAGAAGACTATCACCAGATGTGGCCCTGTGACCGTGGACTTCTCAGCCTTCATAACTGTATGAAATACACTCTTTTCTTTATAAATTATCCAGTTCTAGGTTTTCTATTATAATCAACAAAAATGGACTAAGATAGCCACTATATCTCATATAAAAACACAAAACATGTCTCAGACATTTTACATGTATGTAATATTGTCTCATTAGCAACACAAAATTCTCTAATATAGACACTGTATCCCTTTACTCATAGAGTAAAATACAAACACATGCACTTCTGCATCCATAGCAACTTGATTCCCATGGTCATATAGCTAATGTTACTCTACTGTAACTAATGAAAAACTAATAATAACTTGAACAATTAATATAATTTTGGAATTATGCTAAGTGTTTTAACTCTCACTGTCTCAACTTCTCAATTAATGTTAATATAAACTCAGGTGTTATTTAACTCCATTGTTCCTGGTCTTAACAATTGAGCTGCTGTATGCCACAGGCAGAATTACAGCCTCGCTCTTTTGACTGTAAAGTTCATACTTGTTTCAGGATACAGGATAGATTTAAACATCCTGTTCATGACCTCACACTTAGATGTCATGTGTGAAATCCAAAAGTACAACTGGATAAGATATTATAGAAATTACATGTTTTATATTCAATTGCATAGAGCAATTAATTTAAAATACCTACATGAATAATTATTTACTCACATTAATAAATTCTAAGACCTAGATGTTAATTCAGGTTTAAATAAGTCTGTTAGGTTATTCAGCATATGTATGTTTCTTTTATTTATATTTTGTCTTGGGGAAAACTATCATTATTTCCTTTCATAAATACTTTTGAGTTTCTTTTTTCTGGTTGAATAACACAAAAGAATAAATGTAAGCTTTGCTAGTGTAATGATTCTATTATCTTGTTTTAGTTTAAGTGCAAATTTCATAAAAGGCTCTTCCTAGGAAAATAAAATTAATCACTCCTATTAATCTCTGGAAATTAAAGATCTTCAAGAAGAGAGTAAAAATTGTGGAGCTCATAAGAAAGTTTGAAATTCACTTCAAATGTAATTCTCTTAAAAATAACTTATTTCATTTGATAGGTTAATATTATTATGGGTTTCCTTGACTTACAATATAATATTTATCCTTCATACACATTTTTCTACCTACTTATTTAACAAAACTGAGTTATAATACAGGAAAAAATATTTTTAAATATTTTACCAAGAATGCTTGAAAATGTGATTCAAATGTTTGAATGTTTCTTGTGAAAACAGTTCTTATTTGGGTGTGAGGATATAGCTTTTGATTGCTAATAACTCATCTTTATATGCCAATTGCTTTGCAGTCTAAAATTATGACAGATTTTTTTTAGTAAAAAATCATCTGGCAAAATGTAGATTCACCATTTTAAACACACGCACACACACACACACACACACACACACATATACACACACACACACAACAAAATTGCATGTTTCTCCCAGAAAATACAAACCATGTTCACAGTGGAAATCATAATTCAAATCATGTTGGCTATTTGTCTAGTGGAAAAAAAAATCAAAGATAGAAAAACTCTTGACGCACTACTTGAACACTATAAGTAAATTTGATGAAAAAAGCAACAGGTTTGTATCCCGGTGAGTATATCAGAGACACCTGGGGAAATTTTTCAAAAGAAATATATCCAAAAACCGATAATGCTTTGGCTTTAGCATGTTATGGAGAAGAACACACACACACACACACACACACACACACACACACACACACACACACACTGGCAGTTTGAAAAACGGAGAAAACAATGCAAGAAAAGGCAAAGAAAGCAAGTTTTTCAATTAAAAAATTAATCTATCGTTCTACGAAAATTGAAATTTTAATAAGTGAAAGGAACTCAGCTGGACATAATGGCAGCTCTGAATGTGACTGCAATTTAGCTCATGTAGTGTTTGAATAGTCAAAATTTCTGGATAAAGTGCTTAGCATTCGTTGCTGATTTATTTCTTTTTTCATAAATGACCTTAATGTGAGAAGAGGCAGTCTAGTGGAAAGGATATGGAGATTGGAGTGTATGGGGTTGAGTTATATCCCTGAAAATCTTGGACAAACTGTAGCTTCTCTGTTTATATTTTCCCATGTCTCTAACTCCTCTCAGTTCCAGGCTTTGCTAGAGCTGAAACAACAACAAAATCAAAAATCAGCTGGACATTTAATAAAATGCTATCAGCATATACAAAAATTTGATTATAGTGAAAGAACTTCAGTCAGGTCTTTAGCCTTTGCTTAATCATGAATTAATATGTTGCTCGTTGTACACATCATGACATTTCACCTTTGGGCATCTTAAATTTTGTATTTCTGAAAATTGGGATTTGGAGTAAGTTGATTATACTTAACTAGGAATAAGAACCAAATCACTAATAAAATTTTTCAACATGCCCACCCCACCTCCCTTCTTTCTCAAAAAGTCATAGAGGTTATGTTAATTAATTTGGACTGGGTGGGATTAGGATATACATACACTTTGAAAAAATTCCCCCAGTGTCTCTGATATACTCACTGGGATATGTACCTCTTGACTTCTATAAGGTTCTTTTCAACTCTCAATATTCTATGATGCTGTGGTATTCAAATGGAGCTACAGGAAATTTCTTCTGCCCAAAATGGAGTAACTGTAGCAAGATTTACTCCATCTAAAAAAACTGGAAAAAATTAAACATAAAAATATATGGAAAAACAATTTCAACATATTGTTTATCAGCTAACAAAAGACAGTGATCCCTGAAAGATGGGTTACAGTAAGGTATGACCTAAAATGCTGAAAAACTGCCTAGAATGAGTTTCCAGGCAATATCAAAATGAAGGGGAACTCATAACTTGCAATATATGCAAACATTAATTCAAAATGGATCATAGAACTGAAATATAAAATGTCAAACTAAAAGAGAGATAACTTGTTGTAATATTTGGTTAAGGTAAGAGTTCTTAGAAAAGCACAATCCAAAAAAGAATAATTGATAAGTTGAACTTTCAAAAGATATTTTTAATAAAATGCAAAAATCAAACTAAGAGAACATATTCAAACCAGCTATCTGAAACAGTACTTATAGTTTAAATAACAACACTCAAAATAAAAGAATAAGCAAACATCCTTTTTCCAAAATATGTTAGAAGACATTTCAACAAAGAATGGCAAATAAACATCAGTAAAGACGCCTAACACCATCATATCATTAGAAAAATGCAAAATAAAATCACAACATGATACCACTACACTCTTACTAGAGTGGCTGAAATTTTAAAAGATTGACCTAAGCAAGTGTTGGTGAAAGTGAAAGGTAAATTGAACTTTGATAAACTAGTAGAAATGCAAAATGATAACTTTGAAAAAAAAGTTAGAAGCTTTTTCAATCATTAAACATTTACCTATTATGTGATCCAACGATTTTACTCTGACTTATTTTCCAAAGAAGAATGAAGGCACATTTTCATACAAAGGAATACACATGATGTTCACAGATGTTTCATTTTTAGTAGCAAAAAACTAGAAACACAGAGGTCCAATGACATGGGGATAAATAAACGCATTTTGACCCATTTATATGATGAAATACTGTTAAGAGAATTGAGTGAATTCATGATAGATACAACAAGATGAATAAATTTCAAAAAAATTATATTGAGAGAAATAAGTCAGACAAAAACGTATATGTACTATATTATTAAATTTATGTAAAATTCTAGGAATTGCAACAATTGTATTGTGATGGAAAATAGGTCAGTGGTTGCCTGGGTAGGAAGGATGAAAAGGAAAGATTAAAAAATTACAAAAAGGCATGAGAAAACGTTAGGGTATATTCTCTATGTTGAACATGCTCTCTGTCTTGATTGTGGTGATGGCTTCATGAGCAAATACATATTTCAAGATATCAAATTATATACCTCCGTATGCTAATATTTTGGAATATATTCAGAAATAGTATAATATTCACCTTCATGTAAACTGTTAAATAATGTAAGATTTTCACTCCTGTAAATTTTTATCATTTTATCATTTTGTATACTCTAATATGCTATATATGTAATACATAACATGATATACAAACATATGCAAAGAATATGTATATACACATATATATCTAGTAAGAAATTATATGTATATGTATGTCATTTACTATTTTTGTCTCAAGATTCAGGATTTTACAAGGGCTAAATATTGCCCATAGTATTAAGGATAAATTCCTCCACTTAGCTTTTCAATTCTTTTGTAGTATGAATTGTTTATGAATGTGTACACTGGTCACTTACATAAGCTAAACACATGTCTCCAGAATTCTCTTCATTTGGTAATTCCAGGTTAGCTGGGGTCACAGACCTTTTGTGGATGATTTGCAAGACTGCAGTCAAGCTGCAGTTCATGAATATTGTTACTTATCGGCTGCCTTTCTGGTTGGTGTGGGCAACAGTAGGGACCACACATTTTCCGGTTCCCCAGGTTCCCTCTTAAGCTTCCTCAACAACTAGGCCAATGTTTAACTCCTTAACGAAGGATGCCAATTGCCCCCACAAAGCCACCCATCACTATTTAGAGGTATTGAAAGACCCCTTCAGGTTGCAGGTCATCATCATGTGTTCTAACTTAGCCTTCTAAGGCATATCCTTGCTCTCCCGGATTCCTTTTTGTCTTCCCATCCCACAGCCTCCCCTGAGGACTACAGGTTCTAGAACTGGACTCAGAAACAACAGCCTCATGGAGACTGTTTCACCAACTCCCAAATTACTTACAGTCAAACCCTTGTGGTTCGGTTTCTCTGGATAGTTAAAGATGCACTGAGGCATTGTTCATTATCCAGTAAGGAATGAGGTCTCTTTCAGTGACGTTAGGCTACAAAAGCTCTACATTCATCATATTCAAACATGCCTTTACACCTCTGCTCAACCTGGTCTCTTTACGTAGAGCCAAGTCATTCTCCTCCATCTCCATGTAAAGGAATCCACTTTGCTTTTTTAAAGAACGTCTTTCAACCTCTTCCTTGAAACTATTATAGCCGCATTTGCTTTATTATTCTATGTAATAGACCTAATATTCAATTTAAATTATTTGGGATTTAGGTATACACTATGTAGTTTGTTTGTCTTCTACATGTGATTGAAAGCTGGAAAAAACTTTTATAATTATTTCTGTAGTGCTATTAGAAACACAGTGTGTAAGTCAATCAAATTATTTTGAGTATGAATACATACATAAATTATATTCCAGGTAAAAATTCATTTTCTACTCTAGAAACCCCTCCCCCCAAAAAAACACACACAAAATGTGATCATTCATATAGGAAAGGTCCCCCAACAGAGTCTGGGAGTGGGAAGAGTGAGTGAAGGTCTTGAAATTATGAGAAAAATAATATTGGAAGAAAAACATATTAAATTTCTATACTTCTTTTAAAATAATTTGAGTATTATATCTTACTATTTAAAAAGTGTAGAGTTAGTGATATTACTTCAAAATTAATTTTAAAGCCAAAGAATCTGAAGTATTATATTGCTGCTCTATTTGTTTCCAGATATGATATTATCTATAGGCAAAGAACTGTAAGAAAGTAGACATCCCTGTCTAATGCAAAACGGAAATCCATTTACTACTGTCCTAATAAACATGCATTAATAAACTTAAATTCCAAAAGTTAATGAAAACGTTTAGATCTAATAGATTTTGTTTTAACTTGAAGGGTCTTCCTGATTTACAAAAAGATTTAAACAAATTTCTACATTCTGGTAGAGCAATTATTGAAAAACTGATAATAACAAACATATTTTCAGACTGGCTTTTGTGTATAATCCATTAGGCAGTTTTACGAGCATTTCTGACACATTTATTCATTTCCTTACCATTAATTTGTGAAACATAGCATGAAATAATAACTATGCTTGAGAGTCAAGAAAAAGAGGAAGACAGAATTCAGAAGAGATAAAATAGGAATTTGAAAATAGAAATTTAAAGATTACATATGAGAAAAAATGCAAAAATAAACATAATGTCCCTGGTATTTCTATTTTATCCCTAAAACATCTTAACTCCCCATATACTTATTTTCCATTTCAGGTGCTGAATTCAGATAGATGTTAGTGGATTGACTGTTAAACGAATTAATCATTCTCTTTCAATTCGTACTGCTGGCAGAAGTTCACTAGTAGCTTATACATGAATTAACGTCTTCATTTTATTTTAATGTATTCTTTTAAGTCATTCACTTTCCTAGACCAGAGTTGAAATTAAAAGGTTTTTTCCCTTAAATTCAAATTGATGGCAACACGAGGCTTAAAACAAATTAAGAAATAATTGATGGTTAGCTTTTTATTTTAAGTCTACTCAAGGTAAATACCTAAAAGATGAAATTCCTGAAGGTAGATAGATTAGAAGAATGAAACAAGATAATGTCAAGGTTTTTAAAAATACAATGTTAAAAGACAAAAGAAACTAAAATGATCATAAGGTATTGTTGTATTTTTCCTGGACTGTAGAAACCACCTCCTAAATGATTCTCTGATTTCTACTGTCACTTTTTAAAATCAATGCATGCACTACTTTTAATGCAAATTTAATGATGCCATTCTCATGTTAAAAAATCACTCAATGGGTTACCTTTGCTTTTGTGATAAATTCCAAAATTCTTATTTTGGCTGGTAAGTCCCTGACAATGTAGAACTTGCCTTATTTCTCATTATTCTTCCTTTAATTATGATCTGTTCTTATGGTTAATAAACTGTTGTCTGTCTTAGAAACTTCATAAAGGATTTCTCTCTCCTCTAGAACTTTTCCACTATCTTGTCTTATGACTATGTAGATAATTCATACCTTAGCACTCAACTTAAACCTCATATCAGAGGAGGCCTCCTCAAATTTTCTGACTTCATTAAGACCCCTGTTATATGCCCTCTGGTCATGCTGTATTTTTCCTATATAGTGGTATTTTATTCTCTACTATAATCATTAACTACATTATTCTTAGTGTTACATTTCCAATATTTAATATAGGGCATATAACGAAGAATGTAGTCAATAAAAGTGTGTTTAATTCACAAATGACACTAATTAAACATTTTGATATCTTTATACCATGTTCCGTTTTAAGTTATACTTGTCCTTTTTATGAGAGAGATTTCTTATAAAGTAAAATATCTTTATTTGAAACTCATTACTGACAACTGGCAGATCGCTATGTAAATTCCTATTGCATATAAATCAGCATCGATGTTTACCTGGGAAAAGATGATTTTCAAGACAAAATAGAGTGAACAAAATGGAAAGCAAATTATGATTGTAAGAATAGATGATGTATCTCTAGTGAAAAATTAATTTCTTCGTGTGTTAACTTTTAGGGAAAAAGTAGCAGGAGTTCCATATGTAGTTGGGTAAAAGTAAATTTTTGTCTTCCAGAAAAAGTTTTTAAACATAATATTAATATGACAAGAATGGAATTAAAACCATCAGTGTCAGAGAAAGTAGCAAGACTGAGGTGGTGGCAGAATTTGGGTCACAATTAATCAAAGCAAGTTAACAAAGGCTAACTGCTGTAAAGAGGAATTACAAATATCAGGGATTTAACAAAATAGTTGTTGATAGTCAAGTTCAGTGTGGATTCCCCTGGTAGAACAACCCTCCTGCAAGTGATGACTCTCGGAATTCCAGTCTCCTTGCTTCCTAAAACTCAGATATGTTCAACCAGTGAATTCTAAGGTTGCTTTGGAAAGGGAAAAATTAGCATGGAAAAACATGGGGCAAATTTGGAAGCAGTATGCATCATCACTTTTGCCCTCTTTCTACTGGTGAAAACTCAACTAAATGGTCCATGTAACATCAAGGACTCTGGAAAGTAGACTTGTTATATACACCCAAGAAAATAAAATATATCTAGCTAGCATGTGCCAGAAAACATTAGGAAAGCTGTAAAAGAAAATGAATAGTTAATTATCTTTAACTATTTTTTAATTTTTTATTTTATTTTATTTTAATTTCTGGAGTACTTGTGCAGAACGTGCAGTCTTGTTACATAGGTACACATGTGTCATGGTGGTTTGCTGCACCCATCAACCCATCACCTACCTTAGGTATTTCTCCTAATGCTATCCCTTCTCTAGCCCCCATACCCTCAGCAGGCTCTGGTGTGTGGTGTTCCCCTCCCTGTGTCCATGTGTTCTCATTGTTCAACTCCCTCTTATGAGTGAGAACATGCCATGTTTGGTTTTCTGTTCTTGTGACATGGATGAAGCTAGAAACCATAATACCCTTAACTATTAAGTTTAGTTAAATGTGAACATTTTATTATGAACTACTTAGAAAATCAGGATTTGATTAAATGGCTTAACACAAATTTGCAAAGATTTCCTCAAGTTACCTACTGATAGATTTCTTTTATAAGTTGTACAAAGCATGGTATTTTTATTGACTTCAAATATTTAGCTGCCTTTAGCTATAATGACTGAGGAATATCAGCTGGCCCCAACTGTTTCCTGCTTCCTGAGGCAAATCTTCTTTATATAGGCAAATATTTGGGTGTCAGTGGCAGAACTAGAATGAGGTCTGGGGAAATAGCATCAAGGGGGTGCTGGAGATTCCTGTCATCAGACTTTGCATCTCATATTTTAAATTCTAATTTTATTTATATTTGTTTAATTTTAACTTTTTTTATACTTAGAATTTTTAAGTCTCTCTTCCTTACTGGGTTATCTTGTAGTTTTAACTTGTATTGAGTTTTATTTGATTTTTATAGTATTCATTTTTATCATATAACTTTTAATAACTTTCTCTTTATTTGTAAATCTATGGTTTTAGATGTAGTCCTTGGTCATAGATACTTCGTATAGATTGCCAACAAACTTATAACTTCAACTGAGAAACAATCCATTTCCTCTGTGGATGATTAGTATTATTATTTATAAATATGAGGAAGAGTTCTAAACCATCTCACTCTCTACAAACTTCCACTTACCAGTGGCCACTAATTGAATAACTTCCCAAATCTTCAGGATTGTTTTCCCTCTGGTATTTTCTTCATGTCCTATCTGAATCTCTCATCTCTCTCTCTCTCTCTCTCTCTCTCTCTCTCTCTCTCATTCTTTCTCTCTCTTTCTCTCATATCTATCTATCTATCTATCTATCTATCTAGCTAGCTAGCTAGCTAGCTAGCCATCCATCCCAACCAAAGGCCTACCAGTAGTTAGCAACCGTCAATCACTTACTAAGCTTTTTCTTATTTATCCAGTGTTTCATCTTAGCCCTCTGTGTTGGTTAATACTGAGTGTCAACTTGATTGGATTGAGGGATACAAAGTAATAATCCTGGGTGTGTCTGTGTGAGTGTTGCCAAAAGAGATTAACATTTGAGTCAGTGGGCTGGGGAAGGCAGATCTACCCTTAATCTGGTGGGCACAATCTAATCAGTTTCCAGGGACTATAAAGCAAGCAGAAAAACATGAAAAGGAGAGACAGGCCTAGTCTCCCAGCCTACATCTTTCTGCCACATGGATGCTTCCTGCCCTGGAACACTGGACTCCAAGTTCTTCAGTTTTGGGACTCCAACTGGGTCTCCTTGCTCCTCAGCTTGCAGACAGCCTACTGTGAGACCTTGTGATCATAAATTAATACTTAATAAACTCCCCTTCATATATATATATATATATATATCCTATTAGTTCTGTCCCTCTAAGAGAACCCTAATACACCCTCCTTGCATTCCCTGAAAATCAACGTATCAGATCTAGGTCTTCTGGTCTGGTGTCTGCTCTGGCTTTTTTCATATTACTAGTATAGACCAATGATCACTTTGACCCAGCCTAGCAGAAAATGAGTTTAGACAATCCATAGAAAATTCCCAAGTGGTCAAGCAAAAAAATACCAACCCCTAGAAAGGACAGATTGTGTTAGGAACAAAGAACATGAGAATATAAAGTAGGAAGAAAAAATGTCAATGAAACCTGGAAACTCAAATCTGAACATTTCTATTGATATTGAAAGAGAAGGAATGAGATAAAGAGATATTAAATTGGATTATACATGTTCACTGCCTGTGTGAATAAAAATATGTGAAAGATCTAAGAAATCTCTTTTTAGTTTATTCACAAAGGAAATTTTATTTTCAAAAAACAATAAAGCAATATAAGAAAGCAAGATTGAGAAGATGTGTCACTGCACAGATAATGCAAAAATTCAACTTCACTAATAAGAGATGAAAAATTCACATTAAAACAAACATGAGATGCTATTATCATCACCACATTGGAAAAATTCACTCTGATATTTTCAGTGCTAAAAAGGGTATTGTCTTACTCTGCTAATGATACTGTAAACTGGCCCAAGGCCATTTATCATAGCTTAATTGAATTAAAAACATGAAAATAATTTAAAATTTAGCTACTTCAATTTTTTCTCAATTTCTATTCTAATAAAATATATATTTGAAGAAAAGGTACAATCATGATTGTTTCAAAGAGAATAGGCAATATTACAAAAATAATTGAAATAATACTATATTTAAAATGTTTTTACAAAAATCATTTAATAGAAATATCAGTGACATAGCATGCAGAAATATATGGTAAAAAATGTTGAATTTTCATTACCATATATCAAGAACAATTACTTGGGTTATGTATTTTTTCTTGTTCACAAAACTAATGTGAACACTAATTGTATTGCTTCTAAGTTATGTAATAATGCATTATATTTCTAATAAAATATCTACATATTTGAAAATACATTTTGAATAAATTTATTATATACATCCAACAATATAGTAAGACAAATTTTTTAACCAATAAATACTTCAAAAATTATGTAACATTAATTACTTTACCTTTCAAATTTTCTTAAAATATTTTAGTTTGGATTTTCAACCTGTAAGGTATAACGTTAAGTGAATTAGCATGTGCTAAATTACTATTCAAGATATATTCTATATATTCTAAATATGTTCTTTGTCTTTACATATAAACTCATGCACAGAAAATATTGAGCAAAATACACATCTAATTGTTAAAGAAAATTACATCTGCAGTGGTATCTTGGACTGGAGATGTTAGTTTTATTCATTTGTGTTTAAGATTTGATTGGGTAATGCAGACAGGAGGTCTAACCTTGAGATTAATATCTGAGATTCCTCAATCAGCATTATTAATCACAACGGAAGGCAAGAGAATGAGAATGCACAGAATGTAGTTATAGAAAGAAAATTTTACTATAGAAAAGATAGAATACAAATATTGGGCAAATACTTAGTCATTCGGTAGAGAATAAAAGTTGTTTTGAGAACTAAGAAGAAAGAGCCTGAGGTATACAAGAAATAAATTCAAAGACAATACTAATATTCTTAGATAGTAGGAGGTATATCTTGGGCATGCTGTCATCTCGGTGTCTGGTATACTAGGCAAATTAACAATAAATATTATTGAAGAGTACATGGAGTTTTAAGAAGACCCTCTTGTGGGGTCTTTCCTTATATGGTTTATATGAATATTTTTATTTAGCCTTTGGATCAATTTCAAAATATTTTATAAATAAAAAATATTTTTATTTACCCTTTGCCTGACTGGGATGACTATGTGTCTGTCTGTGTGTGTGTGTGTAGAGAGAGAGAGAGAGGACAGAGACAGAGAGATAGCCTGGGGTAAATGAAAATCTATTTGATTACTTTTAATACTCAACACCCAAAGTAGAATTGAATTGTCAGTTTCATGACCATACTGCAGATAACACAATATGATGCTTGTTAGGGAAATTCTTATTTGGTGAAAAATAGGAGATTTTTAATAATGGGAAGTCTTCCAGTTATACTCTGCCACTATTGCATTGACCTCTGGAAATTTTCTCCTTCAGCTTAGTTATATCCCTGACTATATCACTTATCTAGATGTGAAAGATAACAGGCCCAGTTATTTTTCTTCCTGACAAAAAGAATAGAAAAGTTGGGCTACATTTTAAAAAAAAATAGCTTATGTACCAAATAATTGATTTGCAATAACCAAAAGACTTTAACGTATGGTAGGTCTTTTAAAGAAAGTTGAGTGCAACATCTTAGAAGCAATAAATAAAGTGTAGTTTTCCTTAAAACATATTTTTTTTACCATATCTTATTGTCTTAGCATATACATCTAAATAAGTCATATCTTTTTAATTATTTAAATTAACAAATGAAAGTTGAATGAATCATGTTATCTAAATCTCCATTTCTAACAAGCAATAGTTTCATCATATACAGTAAACTTTGACTTTATTCATTTAACACAAATTAAATCTGGTTTCTATCTATGACATTTAGTATAAATCTTTGCTTCCAGAACTTGATCATTTTTTCACCAAAATACAAAGCACTGCCAACTATCCTCATCTCATTTATCGCAATAGCATAAAATATTTCTCTTCCACCCTAGATTAAGCAATAATCACCTCAGATCTTTAATACTATTTTCCTTCTGCCTCTTTTTCTTATTTTCTCTATATTTGTTCCAAAATATTTCTGTTGATACTATTTTCTTTTTCTAGTGTTATGTTATTCAGTTCATTAAAATCTAAAAACTAACATCGTAGTATGTAATATTCAAAATTTAGTATCACTTAAAGAGCATCAAGGAAGCATAGATGAAGCTATGGTAGGAAGAAAAGGCTTTGTTTTTGGTTGAACTGCATTCATTTAACTTTTACTCTCAGAAATTTCAGGTAAATTATTTTCTCTGTAAAATGGTTTTGGCCTGAGTCTGTTTCCAGAGGAACACATAGTCCATTAGTCATACTATGGGGAATGTTCCCCTGGTACTTTCTTTTTCTGATTTCAAGCTTAAGCTGTTCAGTAAGGCACATTTCTACAGATCAAAGGTCTTTTTCTGTGGCTGCAGGTAAATATAAGAGAGGTTATATCTGGGAAATCCAGATGTGCAAAGAAATGATTCTCCCCCTTATATATTAGGATATATATATATACTTAAAAACATAAATCATATTTATTTTCCCATATGCTTTCTTTCTAATTTTTTTTTATTATTATACTTTAAGTTTTAGGGTACATATGCACAATGTGCAGGTTTGTTATGTATGCATATATGTGCCATGTTGGTGTGCTGCACCCATTAACTCGTTAACATTAGGTATATCTCCTAATGCTATCCCTCCCCCCTCTCCCCACCCCTCAACAGGCCCCACTGTGTGATGTTCCCCTTCCTGTGTCCATGTGTTCTCATTGTTCAATTCCCACCTATGAGTGAGAATATGCAGTGTTTGGTTTTTTGTCCTTGCGATAGTTTATTGAGAATGATGGTTTCCAGCTTCACCCATGTCCCTACAAAGGACATGAACTCATCATTTTTTATGGCTGCATAGTATTCCATGATGCATATGTGCCACATTTTCTTAATCCAGTTAATTATTGATGGACATTTGGGTTGGTTCCAAGTATTTGCTATTGTGAATAGTGCCACAATAAACATACGTGTGCATGTGTCTTTATAGCAGCATGATTTATAATCCTTTGGGTATATACCCAGTAATGGGATGGCTGGGTCAAATGGTATTTCTAGTTCTAGATCCCTGAGGAATCGCCACAGTGACTTCCACAATGGTTGAACTAGTTTACAGTCCCACCAACAGTGTAAAAGTGTTCTTATTTGTTTTTGAAGCTTTCTAAGAGTAGAGAAAAAGTAGGCAATAGGCAGTTATGATTTGTTCTGTTTTGTTGAAAGCTTGACATACTATTTTCAGTGATACACACTTTTTTCAATTGCTACATATTCAAAAAATAAATTCATCTTACAGTCATAGACACTGCAAAAACTTGTCAGACAATTTAAATATTTCTCTGGTTTTGGGGTGCTAATTGAAAAGGTAAATTGATCTAATCTATTGCTCTCTATTTCACTGATAATCATTTTCATTTCTATAGTGCTCAATACTTCTGAGGTTGGTCCGATAATGGCTGATGAATTTATATTTGACTTTCTTGTGGTCTTTAGTTCTTAAACTAAAATAAACCATTAGTAGGTGAAACAAAAAGTGTTCTAACGTTTTATTTTATTGTGAACACTTTTATTATGACTATGTCTTTCCAAAAACAATAATAGTTACTAGACATTATTTGATCTTACAATCAAATATATATCTCACAGAAATCTTTCAATAGTCTTGTGAGATAGGGCTAAGCAATTGTAATCACTCCACTAATTTTGTAAATTATAAAACGGGTTAGGGAGTCTGGCTCTTAGATAACAACTTCATATGATTTTTCAGGCCAGGCTATGAGAAATTGCAAAGGCTTTACCTAGCAGGTCTCAAGGGAAAAGCTGCTCCCCATACAACAGACTTGTGCATAGCCAATGCACTGCTGTATCTAAAGAAAGTTGCAGTCAAGGACTGTGAGGCTAGGACTGGCCAGTTATGCTTTTAGCATATTTTTATTCCTTGCCAGGCACTGTTACTCCTAGGTCTCTGAGGCCTTTGGCCACTGTCCTCTTCAGATTATCTCTGCCATTACCTCCTTATGGTGGTGGGAGGGTGGATTTTCAAGACACTTTCCCCACTTTAACTCAGTACCCAGTACTTTTCCACTCCTAGTCCTTCCCGCTGACCCTCTCCCATCCCAAAGTACATAAAACTGCTGGAGCCTTTTGTTTAGGGTTCCCTCAAGTGAGAGGATTCCCTGAGCCTGAAATCGTCCTGTTTCATGGAAGAAAACAGAACAAGGAAAATCTATGATTATCCCATCACAGTAAATGCTTAAAGGCTTAACGCTTGCATCTTTGGCTCACTCTTCGAATAAGCTATTCTGACACTGGGCAGTTCAGCTTTCTTTCAATCTTTCAGCCAGATGATCCCCTAGAACTAGTATATAAAAATATTAGCTCCAAATTCCTGGCGGAGGTATAAAAGTAGACTGATTCAAACAACTTGGATAGTCCTTTGAGGAAATAAATTTGGTAATTTTTTCTAGTCTTTTTAATTTAGCATTGCTAAAGTACCACTTCAAGAAGACTTGTAGTCCTAGCAGTTTGGGAGGCCTACGCAGGAGGATGGCTTGTAGCCAGGAGTTCAGGACCAGCCTAGAAAAAATATTCAGGTCCTGTCTCTACAAAAAATTTTAAAAATTAGCCAGACATAGTGGCACACACCTGTAGTCCCAGCTACTCAGGAGGCTGAGGTGGGAGGATCACTTGAGTCCAGGAAGTTGAGGCTGCAGTAAGCTGTGATTGTGCCACTGCCCTCCAGCCTGGATGTCAAAGAGAGACCCTAGACCCTGTCTCTAAAACAAAAAGGAAAACAAAACATAAGGAAGTATAATTTTCACCTCTCACCCATGATAGCTCCAAGTCAAAGCACAATAGAGCCTAACAAATCACAGATTAACTCAGTTTAACACCACTTCTCCACCCTACATTTTCACACTGTAATCTTAGTTCTGTATTTCTCAAGAAGAGCTAAACAAATCAAACACCTTGATGACAATACTTTGGCTTGATTTTGTCTTTCCTAATATTGCATTGCAGCTGGGCACGGTGGCTCATGCCTGTAATCCCAGTTACTTGGGAGGCTGAGGCAGAAGAATCGCTGGATCTCAGGAGGCGGAGGTTGCAGTGAGCTGAGACTGCGCCACTGCACTCTAGCCTGGGCAATAGAGTAAAACTCCATCTCAAAAAAAAAAAAAAGCGGCCGGCCGCGGTGTCTCACGCCTGTAATCCCAGCACTCTGGGAGGCTGAGGCGGCTGGATCACAAGGTCAGGATATCGAGACCATCCTGGCTAACACAGTAAAACCCTGTCTCTACTAAAAATACAAAAAATTAGCCGGGCGTGGTGGCGGGCGCCTGTAGTCCCAGCTACTCGGGAGGCTGAGGCAGGAGAATGGTGTGAACCCGGGAGGCGGAGCTTGCAGTGAGCCGAGATGGCACCAGTGCAGTCCAGCCTGGGCGACAGAGCCAGACTCCGTCTCAAAAAAAAAAAAAAAAAAAAAAAAAAAAAAAAAAAAAAGCATTGCAAAAACATGCACTTTGGCTAAGGTTATGTGTGTTTTACTCATCTTTAGTCCATGTCAAACTCTTCCTTTTCCCTTAACGCAATGAAAGTAGCCAATATGCCAATGAGGACTCATTTGGAATTAGCACCTTCAACAGCCAAACAGATTAGTCTTCTTTCCAGTATATTCCACTGCCTCTGTTGTAGAAGAAAACCGAGTTCTTGTCACACAACCAGGAGAGATTAGGCGCGCAGACACTTTGAAGGGTAAGTGAGGGAAACAGAATTTACTGGACGAAAGGGAAAAATCTCAGCACACTGAGAAGGGTTCCTGTTAACATGCCCCATCTCACAGGTTGAATCCTACGTCACCACACGAGAACTGGAGAGGCCAGGCTCCTCCCTGCTACAAATGGCGCGAACTTCCCAAAGCTCCACTCAGTTCCCGGTACTCCCAGTGCACAGGTGGGCATTATTCAGAAAGAATCAGTTGGGAAAATGGGGGGCTTCATCAAGGACCAGCAGTCTGGATTTTCAGCCTTTAGGCTGTTTTAGGCTTGAAGGCAAGGTTTCGCTGAGCCCTTGACTGCTTCCCGTCTGTATCACCTCCGTGAAAGACTCTGTTATTTAAAATTAAACATCTTTATTGGTGTCTGATTTTCTTCAAAATCTTTAAAGTTCCTTAAACAATGATTTTAAATCCTTAAACAAATGATTTTGTTTTTGTCTGTTCTATTTATATTTATCTGCTCTAGTCTGTTATCTCTTCTGTTTCCTTTTTTTTTCATAAATTGATTATGTCTTACTATTCTACCATATCTTCTCCCTTGACTTACTAAGTATAATTCTTTGTTTGAAATGTACGTATGGCTACTCTAGATTTTATAATATTTTAAACTTATCATTTAAAAAAATAATATTACACAACACATATAATTTAAAAAAAGAACACAACAGAATTTAAACTAATTGCTGAAGGGATGTCAATTATCTAATGGAGTGATGGAGAAAAAAATTCAAAATTTATAACCTCCATTTTTAGGTTTTCTTTTAACGTATTACCAATACTTAGATCACATTTAGTCAACAAAACAGAGCATTCATTGATGGCTAAATCTCTGTTATTTAGATTACCAATCTGCCCATAATATGAATTACGTAAAACATTAGTAAATATTATTTGTGTGAAAACAGGCCCAGTCTGAAAACTACGCTATGCAAAGTGCTAGTTGTTAACTGCCATCTTTCAAAGCTAATGTCTGAATTTTATTCTCCCCATCAAGAATCAGAAATAAGAAAGCTCACCTTATGTAAATATTAATTAAACAAGAAATATTATGAGCAATATGTAGGTGCTTAATTCACTCCCTTCCTAGTTTTGTGATTCTTTCCTTGCTGTCAGAATATTTAAAATGTAAGTAAAAAATAAATACAACAGTGTAATTTTGTTTTTTACAAGTTTATTTGTACCATCTTGTGGGGAAGATTTTATAGAAGCAAGGCTTAAACCTCCTTCCTAAGTGGAGGAATTTAATTTGTATATGCATTCTGAATCCTTTTGCATGATAAATAATTAAAAATTTACCATTATTAGAAGTAAGTATCTAATCTGGGTTGACTTATACTTAACATTATAATATTAACATAAATGGTAATTGAGCAAGGCTACCTCTGTTCAACTGAAATAATTTATATATATATATATATATATATATATATATATATATATATTTAAATAGCAGAATGGTTAATAATCAATCCATATTGTTTTTTAACCAGAAACTTTGTGACTCTCATGAGGAACTAATACCAGCTATTTGTAGCTTGATGTTTTTAGGGGTAATTTTATGTTTTCTCTTTAAATTTCGTTAGAAAAAAGCATTCTCAAAGTTATGAAGTTCTAGCCAGTCACTTAGCTAATTGTTTATCAAATCCATCAATCTTTTGAACATCTATATTTTTCACCTGAATTGAAAAAGTTAATGTCCTTTGAATCATGTTATGAGTTTTCTGGTAAAAAGCTAACATGGAATATGCTAACTACTTCACTCTGCTTAGTATTGTATTGTGCATGCTGTTGTCGTTCTGATTTTTATTCCATATCTTTAAATTTCTTACCAGATAATTTCCAGCCCATGGAAATGACCTGTTACATGGTACTATATCTTGGAAATATGTTTTTCTATGAGCCTTATATGAAAACCAAATGTTACTATAAGGGTTTTTGTCTCTCTCTTCCTTTCTCATTATTTTTATTTTTTATTTTTTGAGACAGAGTCTCACTCTATTGCCCAGGCTGGAGTGCAGTGGCCTGATTTTATCTTACGGCAGCCTCAACCTCCTGGGTTCAAGCAATCCTCCCACCTCAGCCTCCTGAGTGACTGGAACTACATGTGTGCACCACCATACTAGTTTAATTTTTGTATTTATTTGTAGAGATGGGGTTTAATTATGTCACCCAAGCTGGTCTCCAACGCCTGGACTCAAGCCATCTGCCCACTTTGGCCTCCCAAAGTGCTGGGATTACAGATGTATGCAACTGTAAGCAACCAGGGTTTCTTTTTTTAACTTACTTTGGCCAATTAAGGCAACTAAGTGAGCAGTTATCAGTAAACTGCTCTAGATATTTTTGACATTTTTAAATGCTTACATTGATAATTTCAAAAATTATTTTTTGTCTTTCCCAAATCTAGAAATGTTTGTAACACCAAAAATCCAAATAAATGTTACAAACTTCTAGAAATATGTTTGGTACGAATTTCTGAAATAAATATGTTTCTGGAAGAATGATTGTAGGATCCTGAGTTTACTTTTAAGGCCTTTTCCTTTTAGTTAAATGTCTTGCATGTTGCTTTGTTTGCATTTATCCTTTCTTTTGTCTTTAAGAAAAAGTTTCTTCTTTAAGCTCTGAAGGTATTGTGGGGTACTATAGAAGTGTACACAATAAAATTTCTTGTTAGAACTTTTCTCTATTTCCACACATAGAGATATGATATTCTCCTATTAGCATAGCATGGCCACTGCTTAGTATAAATGCCAACATTTTCAGCTTAAATTGTGTTATTTTTTCTCTTCAGAAAATATTATAAAATACAAATGACTAAAAATATTTGAAAGAATAAGTGTCAGACTGTGTCAAGAGATAAGCAAGTCCACAAATATGCTTCCTGGTATGTTCTAGACTCTAAATAATTTTTGTCCTACATTCAAAAGATATATGGAAGTAAGTTTTCTTGTTAGGTGAAAAAAAATGCATATTCAGGAAAGTTAGTGTTATGGAAAATAATAGTAAATAATCATAATAGTAATAATAAACATAATTCATTATATATTTTTAGAAGGTCTTTCAGTTTATAAAGAACTTTGGGATGCAACTTCCAATCTGAGTAATTGTAGGAAGAGTGAGATTGTATTACAAGAATGAATTGGCATTTTCTTGATATCTATAACAATATTACACAATTATCTTAGAAATTTTTCCTAACATGGTTTTCAAATAAAGGAGGTTCTACAAAACAAACAAATTGATTGCATTTCAATGGACTGAGATTTTATTCTGGTTTTTGTTAATAAATCTGTGCTTACTATCACACCAGGTTGGAAAACAAAGCAAAACTACATGGAGCAGTTTTACTGCCAAAGGCAGTTTGCAGTGAATTGCTGCAGTGATATTTTCATTTTTCACTCATAAAGCAAACCAACAATAAAAGTGTATTGCAGTCAGTGATACCCCAAGGATCTGGATAAGTACTGCATTCAAGTTAGGCCATCAGTCATTCAACACCATTGAATTCATGTAAATAAATTGTGTGTAGCAGTTAAAAGGAAGAATCAGGTGTGATGTAGGCTGAAGAGAATGATCCCCTAGGGAAGAAGTGAAAAATTAATTTTCCTCAATATAAGAGGCAGAGACAAAGTAAATGAGATCATTTAATTGGAAGCAAAATAAATTACTTCAAAAGAAATACAAAATTGAAAAATAGAGGAAGGAGCTCTTTATGTGAAATATTTATCAAATATAAAGAGAGATTAAACTGCAGGATGAATGACTTTACAATTTACTAATTGGTTTAATTGTGCTTGTATTTTAAAATCAATTTCATTTTATTCCTATATTTTTAGTATTTATGTACTCACATTGATATAAAAATTACATTATTGTAGAATGTAAAATGGATAACGTATAGAGGTACACCTAGCAAAATTCTTTGTGCATATGCAGTTGGTTAAGATGGTCTACAACTAGATTTCTATTTAGGATTAAAGTTGAATCTTTGTCCTCAATACCTACAATTGATACATCTTCTCTTGGCACTTTATGCTATTTTAATGAATGTATGAATAATTTTGGTAGTCTCCCTTTCTTGCTTACCAGTAGTACTTCATATAATTTTCAACATATTAATCGATTCCTAGACTTTCATGTGTGTAAAAATTTCTCCACAAAAATGTGTGTAGTATAAAAATGAGAGGCATAGAAACACATGCTAATGTACTTTTTGAATTTTATTTCATACAATCCCATCATCTATGAATTCAGACAGATAATATGTTCTAATATTTCCTACATGCATTTCTCTAGTTTTCTTGTCTTCTTTGCTTGGTTAAAAAAAGAGAAAAGACTAGAAATGTCTTCATTACATGAAGGTAGTATATACAATCTGGATAGTAAAATAAATTCAGTGTCATTTTTCCAAGATTGCCATAACTACTGCTAGAGTAATTGTTGAAAATATTATGATTTATTTTATGTGAAAAGAGAAAACTTCCAAATCCTTATGGCATTTTCATTTTGGCAGCTATCAGACATTTAAAGAAAATGGATACATATAATCTATGTAAGTATACATATTACATTATTGTGACAAATTTTAAAGAAGATCTTGAAAAAACTGACATTAAATATGATTATAGATTAGAGTACAGAAGAGTACAGAAGATGAAAACATTCATATTTCAGGGAATAGAGTCAATTTTAAAGTCCAAGTTGGAACTTGCCGCTTCTATACCCATTTACCTTATTTTCATAGTTAAAACACTTGATACTGGAAAATCTTGCCAACACTAAAATTGCATGTAATACGTTTTTTAAAAAACAGAGCTCACTTTCTCAATAACATGAATATACATAAATAGAATGTTTATGAAGCCAATGATTAAAACTTTACTTCTGAATATTATTTGACTCTATGGCAAGGATGGGCACAGTGCTGCTCATTGATGAAATCCAGCCTGTTTGTTTAAAGAAAGTTTACTGGAAGGTAGTATTGTCCATTTATTTATATATTGTCTCTGGCTGTTTTCACTATAACAGCAGAGTTTAATAGTTATAATATACTGTAACTATTAACATATGGCCTGAAAAAACAAAAATATTTACTACTTCACTCTCAAGAGAAAGTTTATAGAACTAATAGATCTTAAAACCATTCTATCTAGGTAACCTTAGTGATTGACTATGCTTTGCATTAATATAATCAATAAATATTATAGCACACCAAAATGAGAATCAGATATGGGTTAAAAATAACATGTATTCACCTGAGACTTTTTTTCCAGATGAAGGAAACACGACTATTTCTTTGAGTTTAGGCTTAAGCAGTATTGCATTAAAATTAGTATTGCAGTACTTACACTGGGTTAAACATTGGGAATAATTCTCTAGACTTCACAGGAGATAACCACGTAAGTCTTCAATATTGTTAAGAGACACAGCAAGATAAAGAAAACATAGGCAAGCATGTGAACCTGAGAGACTTGTAGGTGCAATTCCTTCGTCACCTAAGACCTGCTTCATAGGAGGAATTTGATGAATTTTTTTAAAAGCAACAATGCTTTCTCTCAGGTAAACAAAAAACATAAAGTGAATGGCTTCTTCCAAACACCCGAAGAAAACATATCTATCTATAAGAGATTTTCATTACGAAATTACTTAAAGCTTCATAGATCAGAAGCCATAGCTGCAACTTTACCATGTGCCACAAAATTCTTCCAATTCTAAAAAAAAAAAAAAACAAGAGGGATTTAAAACTTTTAGCTGTTTAGACCTTGGGGAAAACCCAAGAGTAGTTTAAGTAGTGATAGTAACACATAAAGTTGTATCCTAGAAGAGGAATAAATTAATTAAAATAATTTTCGGCCGGGCGCGGTGGCTCACTCCTGTAATCCCAGTACTTTGGGAGGCCTAGGCGGGAGGATCACGAGGTCAGGAGATCAAGACCATCTTGGCTAAAGCGGTGAAACCCCGTCTCTACTAAAAATACAAAAAATTAGCCGGGCGCAGTGGCGGGCGCCTGTAGTCCCAGCTACTCGGGAGGCTGAGGCAGGAGAATGGCGTGAACCCGGGAGGCGGAGCTTGCAGTGAGCCGAGATAGCGCCACTGCAGTCCATCCTGGGAGAAAGAGGGAGACTCCGTCTCTAAAAAAAAAAATAAAAAATAAATAAATAAATAAATAAATAAATAAATAATTTTCTAGGAATTTCATAATCTTAATTTTGAACAGTTTTAAAGTCTTTGCTGCTAGTTTTAAAAAAGTTTTAATTTAATAAAAATCGATTATTTATTCTTACTAAATAGTGTATTTGATTTTTAAAGAAGCATTATTGTTTTTTAAATGCCCATCTATGGAGGAGAAAAGTTGCCTCCATGAATTTCCCCATTAGTGCTTTTTGTCGTCAGTCCTTAGATGTGACCGGAATTTGAATCCTTTTTTGGAAGAAAAAGATATGTACAATACAATGGTCTTCCTGATAACGTGTTACAAAAACAAGATAGTGTTGCTTTTAGACACTATATTAGGTATAAAAATGTGTGCCTTCCTGTTCTGACTAGTTGGTAATGTTTAATATGTATATTTTGAAGATATACCATGGATAAATTCAGCTGTAGTTGAAGAATCAAAAAAATAAATTCAGGAACAATTATTATTTCATCTCCTTTTCACTTTATTATTAGCATCATTGTGGGTATTATGCCACCATAGCAACCATTCCTAAATATTTATACATGGAGCAGCATATTTGCTTTCCTTGAAACATGAAGCTAACATATCTGAGTTCCTCGTTTTTTATAAGATCAGATCTCCAAAAGCAAGTTAAATCAAAAAGCAGCTTACAGAGATGAAAGACTCTCACATTGGTGAAAACTCCAGTTATTGAACATACTTATAATATTTCTTTATCAACAGGAGGAACATAAAAAGTTACATGGCAAAAAAAAACACTAATTCTTCTATGTCTACAGACATTGTTTTAATGGCAAATTCTCCAAGGCAAATCAATCACTCCATACTATCAGATAGCCTTCCTTTTAGTGGGTACCTTCAAAATAATTATTTTGTTCTCATATCTTTGATTTAAATAAAATTAATATGCATTTGACTATGACAGAGCTTTAATAGCTATTCTTTCAACTTCTTTGATATGAAAAATAAATATATTTTGCTGTATAATATAAAATGTACATAATTTATTAAAAGTCACTCCTTTTCTCTTTTGAAATGACTGTCCAGAGCTAAAATAAAATAATTCTGTGAGCCATAACTTCTAACTTAAAATTTATTTTTTTTTAATTTTGCCCAAGCAAAGGTTTTGACTTCGAAAATAGACACTGTATATTAAGAGAAGAATATTACAACAATCAGAAGTATTCCTGCCGATAGCAAAATTTCCTTTTCTCATATGGGACAGATTTTTAAATGATCTCATAACGTCCTTTGAATGTGGCTTATAATTACAAAATCAAATGTATTATCTGAAAATATTTTATAAATGTTATTGCAATTCAAATATTAAGTCATGTAATTATGCATGAATATTGTTTTCTTTGTTCTTCGGTAAAGAATCCTCTATGTAAATCTTTTAAGCAGTGTATTTCTACATATCAACTCTTGAATTATTATTCCTGTTATTATTTTATCTGTTATCATTTTTATTTGAACTGCATTATCTGAGATCATACATACAAATCAGGATTAAGATACCATAAGGTCCTTCACACCGAGAGAATGCTATGAATTTGTTACTTTGTTTATAAGACTCTGTAGAGAGATTTCTTTCATGTTCTTTCACCAAAAATTTTACTCTCAACAATAAGTCCTAGCAGCACTAATCAAAATTTATATAAATCTGCCAGTTGAATGTTTTCTGAATAACCCTCTTCTTATAATGAATATTTCATAGCATTTTAAAAAATAAAATGTAGAGAGAAAAACATAAGACTCAATTATCCCTGTGCAGCTTCCCAACCTTTATTTTTCTATGATTTTTGTAGAACTTCAAAGGAAACATCTTTTAAGAAAAGGGAAAATACAGAGTTTGACATTATAAGAGCAAAAACAGGTGAGGTGCAGTAGTTCACGCTTGTAATTCTAGCACTTTGAGAGCCTGAGCATAGGAATTCGAGACCAGCCTGGGCAACATGGTGAGACCCTGACTCTACAAAAAGTTTAAAAATCAGCAATGTGGTGGCATATCCCTGTGATCCCAGCTCCTCAGGAGGCTGAGGTGGGTGGATTGCTTTAGGCTGGGAGGTAGAGGCTGCAGTGAGCCGTGATTGCACCACAGCACCCCTGCCTGGGCAATAGAGTGAGACCCTGTCAAAAGAAAGAGAGAGAGAGAGAACGAAGATAATTTTAATTCATATAGACAGAAATACTCTCTCACACACATACTTCCAGTTTTATATTTCTCACATAATAGAACCTCCAAAGCCAGGTTAGGTATCGGGAATGCTTGATTTAGTGGTTTGATGGTTTTAAACACAAAGTTCCTTGCATTTCCCCTGTCTATTGTCCTAAGTTACTCATTTTTGCCATGAGCCTTACTCTTCTCAAGCCTTCCACGATGGCTGACAGAGAACTTGTCTGGATACAACTGTATCTAGAGGAAAAAAAAAATGCAGTAAGAAAACCATGTGTTCCTTGCACCTGCCAACACTAAGCAGAATACTCACATATTTAACGAGTCCGATTTGGGTCAGCTCCTTCTCAACGAGTCATAAGCTAGGGAAACAGGATTGCTATAATTAGAATTCACTACCTAAACATAACCTGCTGAGCTTGGGATGCGGTTTCAAGCTTTGGAGAAATATAGGAAAAATGCAGACTTTCACTCTCTACATCTAAACTAAGGAAGAAGAGAGAAATAAATGTTAGGTAGAATAATAATATTATTTTAATAGTCTATGACCACATTTCAAATTAACCGCATAATTTTGCCTGATATTTACCCAGATAGATGATTATGATTGAGAGTTATCTACCAAATTTAAAGCACCACACTTTCAGAAAACTTACTGTGGAAAAAAAATGAAAGAAAAAGACTGGGAAAAATTTCATGTATTTCTTTTAATCTGATATAATTTTAATGATTAATAATAACTTTAATTTTTTTATATGTCAGCACTACAGATTTCTATGAAGTTTTATTATGCATGGACCAATCTTGCTTATTTGGGGCCAAATGTACGTACTTTGAAAAATTTTGGCTTTACATTTATAAACCTGCATACCTTCTTCGTTATTACCTTACCATTTCACTTAGAAATAGATACAGTGCTCCATTTTACCTGAGTTCAGCTAAATATATCCTCCAATAAAAATATATTCTCCCTCAGCTAAAAAGATAACTGGGTTATTTTACATTGGCTTTCTTTACAACTCATGTAACATTCATTTTTCAAATTAAACTTTTGGTAAGTAAATTCCACTCATTTTAAACAAA
This sequence comes from Homo sapiens, assembly GCF_000001405.40. NCBI lineage: Eukaryota > Metazoa > Chordata > Mammalia > Primates > Hominidae > Homo > Homo sapiens. Next base: position 59,468,852 of record NC_000004.12, read on the forward strand.
CACAAATGTAAAATTAAATAATGTCAGATTATTTTGCTGATAAGTTTAGTTATCATATTTTTATTACTGTATGTAAAATTTATTAATAAATAATACACTTTAGTAGGATTTTTTTTTCATTACACCATTACACAGAAAGGTACACTTAATCTTTATAGTAAGTCTTGGAAGATATATTTTTCTATCTGATTACAGAAGAGGAGAATTAGTTTCAGAGATATTAATTACCTTGTCCAAACTTGCACAGCCAGCAACTAGTGTATGCAGATTTCCAAACCACAACTACTTGACATTAAAGCCCGTGATGTTTCAGACACATATTTAATGGAAGGAGGTATCAATAAAATTCCAATAGCTACATAAGTGGTGAAACATCATAGATTAAAGTTTTCCTCAGTGCATTCTTTAGGCTATTAATAGCTCCTAACATGATGATAAAATGGTTTAGTGGTCAAATGATCTGGGAATGATGGATTAAAGCATGTTAAATTATTTTATATAAGAACTTCTCAGAGTTTGATATATTTATGTATATTACAGCTTTGAACCCTTAAGTCAGCAATGTAGAACTATATTTAGCAAAATGATTTAATCGTAAAATTTTTGGATGATCATTTCTCATTGATTCTTGGGCAATAAAATTCCAAAAGAAACTTAATGAGTATAACATTATCTGCCAAACTGTATGTTTCTCATCTCTCTATTAGCCTTTCTGTTTGGGCTGGGTACATTTTACTTTCGTATGTGTTTAACTCCACAATTCATTTTTGTATTTGTCTTAGCCTGTTATAATTTAAACAATTTTAAGTAATAAGAAAAAATTATTTTTCCTTGTGCTCTTTATTTTTTTTTGTAGAATTAAATTTCTATGCAGTTTCATTTCCCTTCTGCCTGTTAGTGTCTTTTAAAATTACTTGAAGTAAAGGTTTTTTAGTGATCAATTTTTTCAGCTTTTGTCTGTCTGAAAAAGTCTTCACTTTAATATATTAGTTTTCATTCATATTTTAGTGAGTGTTGTATTTTGGCTAGGTTCTATTGCTATGGCATCAAGCTCACTAACGTTTACTTCTGAAGTATTTAACTTTCTGCTGATCATATTCAGTAGATTTTTCATTTTAGACATAGTGTTTACACATTTAGACATCTCTAGATTTTTGATCTGGCTAATTATTTAATATAGCATACTTCTCTCTAGCATGCTAAATTTCTCCTTCAGAATATTGAACATATAGAATATAGTTATGATAATTGCTTTAATATCCTTTTCTAATAATTCTACCATTTATGTTATTTATATATCAGTTTTAATTGATTGATTTTTTTTTCTTCATCACAGACTATATTTTCCTGCATCTTTGCATGCCTGGTGAATTCTATTAGAGTCCAGACATTGTAAATTTTACCTTATTACAAACTGGACATTTTAGTTTTTATTCCTATAAATATTCTTGAACTTTGCTCTGGAATGCAGTTAAGCTACTTGGAATTTTTTTTTTTTTTTGATGCTTTCAGTTTTTACTGTTAAAATCTGATACACAGGACCTCAGCTGTGTTTTGTCCAGGCATAATTTTTTTCCCCACTACTCAGGCAAAATATTTTCGGTGTTTTAACAAGTGCCTCATTAATTAAGAACTGTTCCGGGCCCTATATAAATTTCTAAGATTGTTACTTTGCTTGTATTGTGTGATATTTTCTGGCCACTGGTGGATTCCTCACAGGTACCCCCTGCTGAAAACTTGAGGGGAACCCCTGTGGATCTCCCTTGTTCTCTCTCTGTGCAGCTCTCACTTCTCCCATCTGTTGTCCTATCTTCAGAGCCCTAGCTCCCTCTCTTCCACTGAATGAAAATTCCTCTTTCTGCCTGAGTTTCCCTTTCCTGTTCTGGGATCCAAAATCCTCTCCAGGAATTAAAAAAGGGCGATTGTTGAGCCCACTTAATTTACATCATGTCTACATGATCACTGATCACTGATCGCTATCCTTTGTGGCCTGATGTCCAAGATATTTAAAGCACATGTGTTGAAAGCAAAACAGTTGAGTTTCCTTACTGCAACCATGTGCTATTGAATTGATTGTTTTCTTCCACCAGTTTCCTGAGGTAAGAACCACCCTAAGGTGCTAAGATTTATGGGGAAATAGTATCAACCACCAGTTTTGCTTTTGTCTAAATTGGGCATTGACACTTTTTTTCTGTAAGAGACCAGATAATACATATTTTAGACTTTGTATGAGTGCCACATATGGTCTACATTATCTCTTCTTCCATTTTTGTTTCAAATTCTTTAAAATTGTAAAAATGATAATTAGCTTATGGTCTGTATGAAAACAGGAGGCAGGCCATATTTTTCCTGTGAGCTATAGGTTGGTGATGCTAAAAAAGTGAGAGGTTTGGAAACTTTAAGAGCATAATGGGTAGAAGTAAAAGGTGCTTTGGGTGTGGAGGGCAGGCTTAAAGTGGGGGCTCAAACTGGAATTACTTTAGCATGTATAGATGCTGATGTGGGCGAAAAAGTTGAGAGTGTCTAGAGTAGTTAGTGGTAGAGGAAAGAGAAGGACATCATATATTTAATGTATATATGTCAGCCTTTCATTATCACGAGTTCCACATCTGCAGATTCAAGCAACCACAGATGGAAAATATTTGAAAAAAGTAAAATAAAACAACAAAAATAACAATACAATAATAAAAAATAATACAAAATGAAAAATTTAGTATAACAACTATTCACATAGCATTTACATTGTAGGAGGCATTACACATAGAGATGATTTAAAGCGTACAGAAAGATATGTGTAAGTAATATGCAATTACATCATTTCACATAAGGGACTTGAGCATCCATGGAATTTGGTGTCAGTGAGGGGTACTGGAACCAATCATCCACAGATACTGAGGGATGATGATGTATACATAGACACTATATTTATATATCTGTACATCTATATGTATAGATCTTATTTATAGAATATATATTTGTTATGAAAATTAAGAAAGCAGTTTCAGAATTTATTTATTAATATTATTTTTCTATTTTCTGTTTCATTAGTTTTACTGTTATACTCATTATTTCCTTATTGCCATTTTCTCAGGTAGACTTATATAAATCAAATAATTTATTTTTTTTCTTTCATAATTGATGTAATAAAATAACTTATGTGCAAGTCAAAGACTTCTGTTTCTATGAAGTAATAAGGCTTTTCTATTTTGAGAATGGAATTATAAAAATGAAAAAGGATAATTTAATATATTTCTATTTTAGGATAAGACATCAAGATCATATCATAACATTCTCATATTTATATTACTGTATGAATATTGTAGTCATAATTGTAGTATTTTTTCAAAAAATGTAGTTTTTAGAAAATGTAAATATGATGACTGTATAAAACTACAATATATTTTCTTCTCTGGAACTGAATTATTTAACATTGAATAAAAAGCTTTAGCCATCAAATAAACTATATATATAAAAACAAATATAAATAAACCATCTATTTTTATGATAGTAATAAAATATGAGAAAAGTTTATTAAATCATTCAAGAAAGCACCTACAGATTTATTCAGAATAGTCAAATAATGGAAATAACACAAATGTTCATTAATTGATGAAAGAATAAACAAAATATGATATATCCATGTAAGAAAATATTTTTCAGCCAATAAAAGAAAATAAATACTTCTATACACTAAAAATGGTGCACATTTTGAAAATATGGTGCTTAGTAAAAGGCCAGCCTGAGCATGGTGGCTCACACCTGTAATCCCAGCACTGTGAGAGGCCAAGGCAGGAGGATCATTTGAGCCAGGAAGTTCAAGACCAGCCTGGGCAAAATAGCAAGACCTCATCTCCACAAATTAAAAAAAGGAAAAATAGCTGGGGATGGTGGCACACACCTATAGTCCCAGACACTTGGGAAACTGAGGTGAGAGACATCGCTTGAGCCCTGAAGGTTGAGGCTGCAGTGAGCTATGATCTCACCACTGCTCTCCAGCCTGAATGCAGACTGAGCCCCCATCTTAAAAAAAGAGAGGCCAGACACAAAGTGTAATTTCATTTTATATGGAGAGTACAGAATAGGCAACTTCATAGAGACAAAGAGTTGATTAGCAGTTGCCAGGAGATGGGGGTAGAGGTAAAAGAGAAGTAACTGCTAATAGCTATAGATTTTGTTTAAGGTTGATGAAAATTTTCTGCAAAAAGTTGTTGGTGATATCTATACAATATTGTGAATAATAAAAAAAGCCCCACTAATTTGTACACTTTAAAATGGTGAGTTTTATGATATGCAAATTATGTTTTTTTAATTAAATGGGTGAAAAAAGAAAGGACCTATTTTTAAACATGCATTTGCTTATTTGAATTTTTTAAGTCTCTTAAAGGGTATAACATTGCATAATTTTTCAGGCCTCATTTCCTGAAGTAAAATGTTACTAAACAAAATAAAAATTGTAAAACAGAATGATATTCTATCTATCTATCTATGTATCTATCTGTCTATCTATTTATCATCTATCTAATCTATCTATCATCAACAATGTATCATCTACTTAAAATGAATAAAGTATAAAAGAAACCACAATCATTCATTTAGTAGCTTTAAGAATCTACGATCTAGCTATTTTCACATTTATATTCCACTTAATAACTTTACTTGTATAAGTGATTTGGCTTTCTGTTTTGTTCATCTTTACTCTATCCCACATTTTAGAATTGTGCAGTCTGTAGAGACATGATGTCCTATTATATTTTCAGTTGAGAAAGATTTGTACGAATGAAAGTTCATGAGATTTGTCTTCAGGGATCCATTCCTATGAATTATATAAAATATAGACTGCTAGTAAAGTGACATTTAGAATACACACACATCTATTTCAAATAATAAACCAAGTTTAACTTATTTAATGTATTCCAATCACATGGAAGTCATAAAAGTAAGTGTGCTCTGAGAAATGAGTGCCATTACAATAAAATATTCAGCAATAAAACCATACACAGCAAAAATATAAAAGCATATAAAGTATTATGCTCTTGATGCTTAATTTACCAATACTTCAGGTCAGCAAAATTTTTGACTATTTATTCCTTTGTTAAGTTTTCTTCTTAGCAAATACTACTTAGAATGCATTTGATCAAAATGATATTCTGTTTTCTACATGGTCATAGGCTGAGTCAAGAGAGACAAAGGACATATTGAAAAATGACTAAATGATGTGCAACATGGTTTAACAAGAATGAATGGACATGTTTTTAGAGCAAAACTACTGTAGCACCTATACCCATGCTCTCTTTCTCAGATAAGTAGTCTTGTGAAATACTTTTTATACATTCCTTTTTTCTCATATCATTTGGAAATATAAAAGGGGAAAACAGAGTTAAAACAGACAGCCTGATCCATTCACTCCCTGCATCAGAGGGGTGCCCCTGGCAAGAAGAAAGAATCAGTTAGTTTAATCTCCTTGTCAGTACAGTAAATTGACTTGTGACTAAATAGACTATTGCTAGAAAGAGGTTACTTATCACTTGAATATTCTTAACAAGGTAACCCTGTTAAAAGTTGCTTATAGAAAATAAACCCAGACTCTAAGGATGTATGGGCATGGTTTTGGAAAATGTTATGTAAGTTGGGCTATAAATAGACAGATTTTACAAGACAAATGCTCCCTAATATCTCGGGCAATAACATATATACTTAGAGATCTCTTTTAATCTGGGCAAAAATTCATGTGTGAAGCAGCAAAGAGAAACATGCAGAGCCACCATTAGTGTCGAGACCTCTCCTTGTATTGTCTGTTCCACCTAATTTCCTATACCCTTGAAATTATTAATAAATTTTGACACCACTTGAGAGCTCTGAATTCTGTATGTCTGAATTAACAATCTAATCTATAGTGTAAACTCAATATGAAATATGTATAATTACCATTGAATGCAAATCCTCCCCTCTAATTAGTGAATTCCATTTTGACAAGCTCAAAGTCACACTTGTTCAAATATTATCATCCTTTAGAAAATAAAAGAAATGATAAAGTCTCAGTAACAATTTAAACTAATGAATACAACAAATGTACATAAAATATATGGAAAATGTAAGTTTTAAAATAGCATCATTTATTCTAGAAATATGTTACATAGCTAGTAAGTTAGCCAAAAATAGTTACAAGCTTTGAAGTATAATGTAGAGGCTCTCCAATGTAGTCTCCCTAAAGTGAAGTCCAATGTGTCCAAAGACAGATTGCTTTAGTATAATTTGTAGTTCTTCAAAAATTTTAGTTACAGAACATGTGAATTCAAAGGCTGTCAGAGATAATTAGATACAGAAAAACCTGGGAGGAGGATTAGAGAACAGAAAAATCAAAGTATGTCAGATAATTATTTGATATTATTACTGTTGTATTTGTTTAATATATACTTGGTGAAAGATAAAGGGAGAGAAGGTAAAGGGCATTTAGGGATTAGTACTATGCTATGGAGGCATCTGTAATAAATAATGCACTGAGTTATTTGCTAGGTAGACTGAGAGGGACAGAGAGTAGCAAATGGGAACCCAAAATCTAACTATAAGCAGACGTAATAATAGGTAATTCTTATTTAACAAGTAACATTATCAAGTGTTTTCCATATATTAACTCATTTTGTGTTCATACAAATTAATGAGGTAGGCTATCATTTGCCTTTCTGAAACACAAAATTACTATATTAAAATAAAGTTAAGTTGCTTAAATTCACACAGCCAAGAAATGGCGTATGTACTGTTCAAACTCTGGTAGTGTCTGCATAACACACACTACTAATGTTACATGGTGCTTGAATAATATTTGCTAAGGCCAATAGTGTGGGTAGGATTTGAAAAATATTCAACATTTGGGTGGAGTACCTAATATAGTGACATAACCAAGAAAAATACATTAAATGGTTAGAAAGATATTTATCAATCCAGAGAAAATACAGATAAGTATAAATTAATTATATGTTGCAGATGACTTCATTTATTGTGTTACATTATGTTTTTTTAAGTATACAGCATTTATTTCAACAAATATACAGCTTTTGAGCATCTATTATCTACTTTATGTGTGATGAACTTGGCACACAATAAAGTATATAAATGTTTAATATTATGATTATTATTTACTCAAATTAAGTTTACTAAAAGTAGGAAGTTATCAGTTATTAAAATAAAAGAAATCAAAATTAGAAAATAATTTCTTACATTGCAGATTGTAATTAGATCCAAGATGTTAGGTTGATGTGTTTATAAAAGTTGAATAAACTATTTGGCATTGTAAACCAGTGTATTTCACTAAAATATAAAATAATATAGCTACTTCGGTGGTAGCTGTGGAAGGCATGCTTTATAATAGCATGAGAAACGGGGTGACCCCTGAGTCCCTGGGAGTATGTAATTGACTTGCTTGTATATTATTTCTTCAGGCTAGCAGGGAACTTAATATATATAGTTGGCTTATAGTTATATCCTTTTATTTTCATGTTGATCTTAAATATTCTATCAGTTTTGAAAATGGAATATTGTATCTCTAAATACTATTAAACTGTCTATTTCTCACACAAATTTTGACCTTTTTGCTTCCTGTATTTGGGGGCTCTCTTATGTGCTTATATGTCAAATATATTATATAGTAGTTATATCTTCCTTATATATTGAATATTTTATCAGTATAAAATTACCTTCTCTGCCTCAATAAACTATTTTCTGTAAATGATTTGTTTGTTTGTTTGTTTGAGACGGAGTCTCGCTCTGTCGCCCAGGCTGGAGTGCTGTGGCGCGATCTCGGCTCACTGCAAGCTCCACCTCCGAGGTTCATGCCATTCTCCTGCCTCAGCCTCCCGAGTAGCGGGGACTACAGGCGCCCGCCACCACACCCGGCCAATTTTTTGTATTTTTAGTAGAGACGGGGTTTCACCGTGTTAGCCAGGATGGTCTCGATCTCCTGACCTCGTGATCCGCCCACCTCGGCCTCCCGAAGTGCTGGGATTACAGGCGTAAGCCACCACACCCGGCCTGTAAATGATTTGTATAATAATTCTATTTCATCTTGTATTATCAAAGTCACTTAAATTATTTCTTGGTTATTGCTTGCATGGTATGGTAGGTGAAATAATGCCCTGATACAAGATATCAGGTCCAAATCCCTGGAACTTGTAAATGTTACCTTATAAGAAAAGAAAAAAAAAAAAAACCAAACTATTTGCAGATGTGATTAAGAAACTTGAGAGGGAGAGTTTATCATAGATTATCTGGACAAGCTGTAAATGCTTTCATAAGCATCCTCATTTTAAAAAGGCAGAGGGAAATTTCTCACACACACAGAAGAGAAGGCAATGTTAAGATGAAGCAGAAAGTCTTTTGAAGACTTATTTTGATGACTGCAGTGACGTAGCCGTAAGTCAAGGAATACCAGTAGTTACCAGAAACTTGAACATATTTACATTCAGAGTCTCTGGAGTAAGTGCAGCCAGCCCTGCAGACACCTTGATTTTAACCAATAATAGTGATTTTTACACTTCTGGCTTCCATTTGGTTGTTTTTAGCCACTAAGTTGTTGGCAGTTTTTTTTTACAGCAGGTAAAGGAAACTAACACATATTGTATATCTTTTTCATTATTTTATATTCTATCTTTGAATAGAAAGTGTTTTTGTCATACACAACATATATGTGAACCATGTTTTTTATCCTCACTATGCTAGAGTGATCTTACTAATCACTACTTTTTAATTAAAATTTTTAACACATTTATATTTTATATAATTACCAATATGGTAGGCCTTGCCGTGTTATCATTATGTCTTATGTCATTTTTGTTCTTGTATTCTTCACTTAATGACTTTGCCTTAAGTAAATATTTTGTAGTATTTATTATAAATACTACAAATTTATATATATTATATATATATATAAATATAAAATTTATCTGTATGAAAATTATATATATAATTTATATATATATAATATATATATAAATATTAAATATAAAATATATTAAAAATTATATATACAAAAATATAAAAAATTAATATTCTTTTAATTTATTTTTTGCTATTATATATTTTCAGGGTTATTTTATTACTGGTTACCTTGCAGATTACAATTCAAATTTAAACTCAAATAAATCTATTACTTTCTAATACTAACCTAATTTCAATAATGTACAGAGGAGTGATGTCAGCAGGAAGGCAAAATATAAAACTCTGGAGTATCCTTCCCACTATGGACACACAGATTCCACATCAATACACAGATGCTGAATTTTTTTGTGAAAAATCCAGAAACAATTTAAGAGGTTCCTGTATGATGGGTAAGCTTGAGAACTGCACCATTGATAAGCTGCATTTAAGTCAGATGGAATATTTGAGTCATCCTCTTGCCATACTTTTCCCCTAGCTCAATACCTCATAATTGAGAGAAGACACCCAGCTCCTGGGTTTTCCAAAAATAGATAAGAGAAAGTCAGGACTCTACATTTATCATTGACTATACATTTATCATTCTGATTTCTCTGGAGGATGTCAATAAACTACTTTCTGTTTTATCTGACTCTGAACACTGACAGCAAAAGGCTCAAGGTTGGGAGTCATTGAGAATAAGATGGCAGTTTGATCTCCCATGCCTGCAGTTGCCATAGGCACTCTCTCACACCTCAGCACACAGAAAGTGGACATAATTACCCAGGTATCAACTTATCCCTAGGGAGAAAAAGACTTGGACTGCCTGTCTAACATTCTAACTGTGTGGCTTGCTACACAAGAGACTGGCTTCTGTCTCACTTGTCAGAGCACTGACAGGACCTGGCATACCCAAGATGTCTGGGAGCTACTGAGAACCAAAAAATATCTCATGGCATGCTGCTCTACCAGTTGATCCATACTAGCAGACACCAGAGAGATCAAGACCTGAAAAAGAAACAATTAAATTCCTCTCACTTGGAATTAACACACACAATTCTAAAAATGATACATAGAGAAGTTTGGGAGGCCCCCATAACCTCTTCCTTAGCTGATATGGTGTCATAAATATGCTCAATGAGCTCAGAAAAATAATGCATGCACAAAGTGAGAACTTCAAAAAAGATATTCAAAATGTGAAAAACAACCAACTGTAAATCTTGGAGCTGAAGAATTAAATAAATAATTGAAAAATTTACTAGATGAGTTTGACAGTGGATTTGCACAAGCAGAAGAAAGAATACACAAACCTCAAGACAGGTCATTTGCGATTATGCAGTCATGAAACAAAAATTTAAATAAAAAAAACACAATGAAAGTGTGAACTTAAGGGACTTTTATGATACCATCAAGTGGACCAATATACACATTATGAAAGTATTCTTTTTGTATACAGTCCATAAGGAGAAGATAAAGAGAAAGGACCAAGAAAGTTTATAGAAAGAAGTAATTGCTAAAAAGTTCTCATGTCTGGGAAAGAAAAAGAACATCCAGATCTAGGAAACCCAATGGACTGAAATTAAAATAAACATAAAGAAATTCATACCAAGACACATTATTGTCAAATTTCCTAACATCAAGACAAGAAATTTTGAAACTAATGACAGAGAAGTGACGTGTCACATACAACAGAAATTCTATAAGACTATTAGCAGATTTCTCAGAAGAAACCTTGCAGGATAGAAGGGAGTCAGATGATATATTCAGACTACTGACAGAAAAATTACCACCAACCATGAATACTACGAGCGGTAAAACTGTCCTTTAAAAATGAATGATTAATAAAGACTTTTTCAGGCAAACATCCTAAGGGAGTTAATCACCACTAGACATGCCTTAGAAAAATATGTGAAAAGAAAATCTTCAAGTTGAAATGCTAAAGAGGAACACAAATACATAGAAAAACAAAACACATTGGTTAAGGTAAATATACTGACAAATGCAGAATACTGTAATACTGTAAACATAGTGCATAAATGACCTTTAATTCTAGTGTAGAAGTTAAACACAAAAGTATAAAATAACTAAAACTGTAAAATACATGAATAATTTTAAAAAGATATGAAATTTAATATGAATAACATAAAGAGTGGGGAGATATGTAAAACATTAGACTTTTTTATGTGATCAAATTTAATTTGCTATCAGCTTAGAGTGTTATAAGATATTTTGTGTAAATTCATGATAACCATAAAGAAAATACCTATAAAGGACACACACACACAGAGAAAGAGAGAAATGAATCAGTATGGCACTACTAAAAAGATTAAAAGAAGCAGAAAAAGAGGAACAAAGGAAAAAAAGACCTACAAAAAAGGCAGAAAATGACACTAGTAAGTCTAACCCTATCAATAATTACTTTAAATCGAAATAAACTAAATTCCCCAATCAGAAGACACAGAATAGCTCAATTAATAAAAAATAAATAAAATAAAACTAAGAAAAAAAAGGCCTAAATGCTGTCTACAAAAAACTCACTTTAGATTTAAGAACACATAATTAAGCTGAAGTGATAGAGAAAATATCCCGTTTAACTGATAACAAAAACAAAGCAAGGGTGGCTACATGTATATCAGAAAAAAAGTAGACTTTAAATGAGAAATTTTCACAAAATAAGGAAGTGTATTATATAAATATTAAAGCATCAATTCAGCAGGAAAATATAACAAACATAAATATATACGCACCCAAGATCCAACCACCTAAATATATAAAGTAAACATTGATAGTACTGAAGTGAAAAATTGAGAGAAATACAATAATACTAGGAGATTTCAACACCAAGTTTCAAGAACGGATAGAACACCCAGGGAGAAAATTAATAACAGATGACTTGAAAAAATCATAGATAAAGCAGTCCTAACAGACATAGACAGGATATCTAAACAGCAACAGCAGAATACAAATTCTTCTGAAGCAAACAGAGAATAGTCTCTGGTGTAAATCACATGTTAGAACACACAAAAAAAGTCTTAACAAATTTAAGAATCTTACAATCATATAATAAAACTAGAAACCAATAGCAGAAAAAAACTAAAAATCTTCAAATATCTAAAAATTAAACACTCTCTTGAATAATCAATAGGCCAAATAAAAAATCAAAATTAGAAAATATGTTGAAACAAATGAAAATTAGGAAACAATATATCAAAATGTATGAAATGCAGTAAAAGCAGTACTAAGAAGGAAGTTTATAATGATAAACATCTACATTCAAAAAGAAAAAAGATCTGAAATAAATGGTCTACCATTAGACCTGAAGAAATTAGAAAACGATAAACTAAACACGAGTTTGTGGAAGAAAGAAAATAACTAAGATTAGGGCAGAAATAAATGTAAGAGAGAATATAAATATTAGAAAAAGTAATTGAACCTGAATTAGTTTTTTTGGAAAGATCAACAAAATTAACAAACCCTTTGTTAGACTAAGGAAAAGGGAAAAATCAAATACATAAAATTATAAATGAGACAGAAGACACTACTTCTGATTTCACATAAATAAAAATGATTGTAAAATATCTTATGAACAATTATATCACAAAAATGGATAATCTAGAAGGAATGGATAAATCTCTAGAAACATACAATAGAAATAGAAAATCTGAATAAATAGAATAAATAGAAAAACTGAAGAAATAGAAAATCTGTATAGACCTATAACTAGTAAGGATATTGAGTAAGTCATCAAAAACTTCACAACAAAGAAAAACCCAGGACCAAATGGCACTGGTGAATGTTGCAAACATTTAAAGGAGAACTAACATCAATTTTCTCAAAATCTTTCAGAAATCTGAAGAGAAGGGAACACTTCCCAACTCATTGTATGAGGCCAGCATTACCCTGAAATCAAGGTCAAAGACACTAAAACAAACAACAGGAAAGTATTTCCTATAAGTGTAGAAACATAAATCCTAAAATACTACCAAACTGAATTCAGTACATCATTAAAAGCATTATACACACTGACGAAGTGATATTTACCCCTGGAATTCTATGATGTCTCTGCATATAAAAATCAATGAATGTGATACATCACATTAACAGACTAAAGGATAAAATCATATAACCATCTTAAAAGATGCCAACAAAGCATTTGACAAAAATTCAATATTTCTTTCTGATAAAAATTCTCAAAAAACTAGGAATAGAAGGATATCACCTCAACATAAAAGGCAGTATATTGAAAGCCACAGCTAACACTCAAAGGGGAAAAACTGAAAAAGTTTTCTTTAAGATCAGGAATAGGATATGTTTGTCTACTTTAGGTACTTCTATTGAACAAAGTACTAGAATGCTATCCAAAAATAAAATATAAAAGGCATCCAAATCAGAAAGGAAGAAGAAATATTATCTCTTCACAGACGACATGAACTTTTAGGTAGAAAACACTAAAGACTCAAAGAAAAACAAACAATTAGAGTTAACAAACAAGTTCACTAAAGTTGCAGAATACAAAATCAACACCCAAAAATCAGTTATATTTTTTTCAGATAATTTATTGTTAATGTAACTAACAATAAATGTAGCAATAAATCAGCTGTTACACTAACAATAAATCAGTTGTTACACTGACAATAAATTATCTGAAAAGAAAATTAAGAAATAAATCTCATTTACAGTAGCATCGAAAAGAATAAATACTTGCATAGTGAAAAACACTGGTGAAAAGAATTAAAGAAGACATTAGGGGAAAGAGGAAATAGGGAGAAGGTAGTCAAAGTAATTAAGCTTTAAAAAAAAAGAAATTAAGACAAAAATAAATGGAAAGACACCCTATGTTCATCCTGTGGAACACTTACTATTACTAAAAATGTCTATGCTATTCAAAGCAAACTGCAGATTCAATGCAATCTCTATCAAAATTCCAGTAATAGAAATAGAGAAAACAAACCTAAAATGTATGTAGAGTCAAAAATATTGTGAAAAGCCTAAACAATATTGAGAAAGACAATAGCTGGAGGCATGACATGTCCTGATTTCAAAATATATGACAAAGCTACAGTAATTAAAACAGCATGGTACTGGAATAAAAACAGTCATATAGGCCAATGAAATAGAATAGAGAACCCTGAAATAAATCCATACATTTTTGGCCAGCTGATCTGCAAAGATGCCAAGAATACGAAATGGGGAAATTATAATTTCTTCAACAAAAAGTGCTGGGAAACTTGGATATCTACATGCAAAGGAATGAAATTAGAGCCTTTTATATGCCATGCACAAAAATTAACTCAAAATGGATTAAATACTTAAAAATTAAGACATGAAATTGTAAAACTCCTGGAAGAAAACTGAGGAAAAGCTTTCTGACATTGGTCTGGAAAGTCATTTCTTGACAACAAAATCATAGGCAACAAATGCAAAATTAGACAAGTGGTACTTCATCAAACTAAACAGCTTCTACCCAGAAAGGAAACTATGAACAAAGTGGAAGGCAATCTATGAAATGGAAGAAATCATTTACAAGCCATATGTCTGGTAAGAGGTTAATGTCTAAAAAATGTAAGACTCTCTTACAACTCAACAGAAACACACACACACACACACACACACACACACACAAACAGACATAAGCAAAAAGCAAAAAATCAATAACCTAAGCAATGGACAGAGGGTGTGGATGGTGTTTCTTCAAAGAGACACAAATGGGCAACAGATACATGAAAAGGTGTTCGTCGTGACTAATCATCAGGAAAATTCAAACAAAGACTACAATGAGATCACACTTCAAACCTATTATGATGGTCATTATCCAGAAAACAAAGAATAACAAGTGCTGGTGAGGTTGTGGAGGATTTGAGATCCTTTTAAACTGGTGGTAAGAATGTGAAATGGTGTAGTTGCTATGGAAAACAGTATGGTGGTTCCCCTAAAAATTAAAAATACGACTACCATATGATTCATTTCTGGATATTTATTGAAAAGTATTAAATTCAGTATCTCAAAGAGATATTTATACTCCCATATTCATTGCAGCATTGCTCACAATAGCCAACACGTGGTAACAACCTAACTGTCCACCAATGAAAAAGTGGATACAAAGTGATATACACATAAAAACGGGTATTATTCATCTTTCAAAAGGAAGCAAATATTATTATATGTAATAATGTGGATAAACCTGGAGGACATTACACTAAGTGAAATAAGCCAGTCACGCAAGGACAAGTAGTATATGATTACACTTATATGAGGAATCTAAGCTAGTCAAATTTACAGGAGCATAAAGTCTAAAGGTGGTTACCAGGATCTAAGGGCAGGGATAAATGGAGAATTGCTTTTCAATGGGTATACAATTTTTCAGTTAAGCAAGATGAAAAAGGTCTAGAGATCTGCTGTACAATATTGTGCTTAAAGGTAACATTACTGTAGTGGATACTTAAAAACTGGTTAAGAGGGTGCATCTCATGTTACATGTTCTTAAACACAATTTTTAAAAAGATATGAAATGCTAACTTCCAATACCTATGAATGTTACTTTGTTAGGAAATAGAACCATTGTACATGTAATGAGATGAAGTCACATTGAGTAGGTTGAACCCTTAATTCAATTTGACTGGTAGCCTTATAAAAAGAGAAGAAGAAAAAAATTTAAAA
The DNA here is from genome assembly GCF_000001405.40 of Homo sapiens. Lineage (NCBI taxonomy): Eukaryota > Metazoa > Chordata > Mammalia > Primates > Hominidae > Homo > Homo sapiens. The sequence goes on from NC_000004.12 coordinate 59,484,416, forward strand.
AATTAAAAAATAAAAATAAATAAAAAGAGAAGAAGAGATACAGAGACAAAGAAATGCAAGAAGAAGATGGCCATTTGATAAAGGCAGAGATTGGAGCGTTGTATCTATAAACCAAGAAATGCTAAGGCACATACCAGAAGCTAGAAGAGGCAAATAAAGATTCTCCCCTATTGGTTTCAAAGGGAGTATGACTTTGCTGATGCCTTAATTTTGGACTTCTAGCCTCTAAAACAGTGGAACAATAAATTTCTGTTGTTCTAAGACCAAAAAAAAAAAAAAAAAAACACAGAAACTTTAATATATCTTTGTTTCCTCTCCTCTTCTTTGTGCTATTATTGTTATACAAATTACATCTTTATATATTTTAGGTCCATCAACATATTTTCATAAATATTGCTGTATGAAGTTATATTTTAAAGCAGATAAAAGAACAGATTTACAAACAAGAAATATGTTTATACTATCTGTTATATTTAACCACATAATTTTCCCTTACTTGTGCTCTGCCCTTTATTTCCTCATGTGGATTTTAGTTACTGTGGATGCTGTGATCTTGTCAGCAGTTTGCTATTGCTTTTGGCAATGCCTTAGAAATAGAGCCTTTTTCACAGAGGTGATTGCTAAGTCAAATCAAATAGCCACAACACCTTGGGAACAGAGATTTTCCAGGTTGTTGCTAATTGGACAAAATATTTACTGTGCTCTGGGGATGGAGCTTTTAATGGAGCTCCAAAAGAGATTAATCCTGTCATTTGGCCACAAGACTGCTGATTTTCATGGCTACTGTGATAAAGAGCTGTAAACAGAAGGTACTGGGAACAGCCACAAGTTGAAATGCCACAGACCCTGCTATCTCATTGAGATTTGACAGTGTGTCTTCGATAGGAGTGTTTCAGTTCAATCTGGTTATCTAGTTAACTTCTAGACTTCTGAAATGGTTGATTTTAGCTGTTTTGCTGGTATTGTTTTTTGTGGAAAGTCATTACCAAGACCCTCACTTGGCCGTTCTGGAGTCAACTTTGATGTCTACATGTTTAAATTTTTATTTCAGAAATTTAAAACATACATAAAAGTGAAGAGAAGTATATAAAAATGCACTCATTACACAGCTTCAATTTTTTTTTAACTATGGCTAGTTTTGCTTTAAGTATAACCCTATGAATTTCCCTTCACTCCTGGTTTTTTTTAAGCAAATGCCAGACACATATCATATCATTTATGACTATTTCAATACATAACATACAAAATAAAGGCTTTACAAACCACCATTATTTAACCCTGCATTTTTATGGAATTAATAGTTAATATTTTCTAATTGTCTCATAATTTTTTTACAATCTCATATCAAGATTCATATAATATCTTTATATATCAATTGATTAAGAGCTCTCTTAGGACTTTTATTGTATAGGCCTGCCTTCCAATACTGTGTTGTCTCTTTCAATTTATTTTATGAAAGATTGTCATACATTTATGTAGATTATTTTTCACAATCGGGACTTTGTAGACAGCAACCTCGTATTGCCATTAAATGTATGTTTATATTCCCTGTATTTCTCATAAGCTAAAGGTTAAATCTAGAAACTCTATCAAGTTTAGGCTCAAGAGTTTTGGCAAAAATGCTTCATAAGCTGTGTTGGGTATTTTCATCAAGTGTCACATAAGACTGTCTGTTTCTGTGATTTTTGAAGTCATTGATATTCACCACGTAGATCTATTAATTTACTAGAGATTGCAAGATACTATTCTATTTATTCAATTTCTTTCCCATTTATAAGCTTGAATATATCTATAAGTAGACACTGCTGTAAGTTGAATGTGTCCCGCAACCCCCAATGTTACAGTGTTGGAAGGTGAGGCCAAGTGAAAATTGGGCCATGAGAGCTCTGGTTTCATGAATGAATTACTGCTCTTATCATGCGAGTGTGTTTCTTATCTTGGGAGGGGGTTCTTATAAAAGAAAGAGTTTGGTCCCCTTTTCTCTCTCTCTCATCCTCTCTTTGCCCTTCTTCTTTACACCATGTGAGGACACACCAAGAAGTCCCTGCACAAATACCAGCTCCTTGATCTTGGCCTTCCCAGACTGCAGAGCTGTGAGGAAATAAATTTCTTTTCTCTATAAAGAACCCAATGTCAGGTATTCTGTTATAACAGCACAAAACAGACTAAGAAACTTCCCTTAATCAACAAGTTAAGTAATCTGAGGTACGTTTTGTGAATGATAAAGAAATCCTGATACTTTCTTATTGTTGGCCAGTCTTAAAAACAATGTGTGTTTTCCTAGTATTCACCAAATGTGACTAGCGCAGGTTTTTGTCGGTTTTTATGTTTGCTTTTGCTTTTGAGTATATTAGGGATTTTTGAATTAAATCTATTTGCTGTGTTTTAAATAATTATCCTACGTATTTAAATTATTTTGTCATTGGCTAGTGGGACCCCATCAACCTGGCTCCTAAACCATTTCGATATGATCTTAGGGTCTTTAATAACTTTCTTTCTTTTTGTCACGTGCTTTGATATCTACCATTTCTCCAAGGGTCTCTGTTTTTGTTTTGTTTGCTGTGTTTTGCTTTTTAAATGAATATGGTCTTCAGAGACTACAATATATATATTAATCAATGCCACCAGACTAGGCATTATTTATAGGACTTAAGAGATTGAAAATAAAAAATATTTGAAATGAGATGTGTATGTATGTTTTGTTAAGAAAAAAAAATGCACAAGTTAAACAAAAAATGAGGCTATATTCAAGCCTACTGAAATAGGGAAGTATGAAGCCAGTTCACTAATAACCAACACCAGAGGAAGACTCCCACCACATGGAGGATAGCAAAAATCATCACTACGCCAACCACTAGGAATTAAAGTACTCTCACTTCCACACTTGTACTCACTGCATCCTGAACTGCAATTTTACCAGTTGCCTAAATTTGGTAAAATCAAACACACTCACATGCACCGAGTTATATGAAGCAGATTTATTACTCACATATAAGCAGCAAGGGAAAAAACAAAAACAAAAACAAAAAAACGCAGGATCTATTGTGAGCTAGTCCCTCAAGGCTCAAGAAAGCTGTCTGAGGCAGATGGGATCCCAAAAGGCAACCTATGCCAGGTTTTATACCTTGGGGGCAAGAAGAATCACTGAGCAAATTTTGAAGAACCCACTGCTTCCAGGGGAGAGAGGAAGGAAGCCCAGGCTGTCTGGGCAGTTCCCCTCTAACTCAAGTTGCTACACTCTTTAGAAGGGACAGAAACATAGTCCAGGCTGTTTCAGGCAGTTCCTCCCTATCTCAGAATATTGCATTCCAAGCACATTCTTTTTTTTTTTTACTTTTGTTTTTTTATTATTATTATACTTTAAGTTTTAGGGTACATGTGCACAATGTGCAGGTTGGTTACATATATACATGTGCCATGCTGGTGTGCTGCACCCATTAAGTCCTCATTTAGCATTAGGTATATCTCCTAATGCTATCCCTCCCCCCTCCCCCGACCCCACAACAGGCCCCAGAGTGTGATGTTCCCCTTCCTGTGTCCATGTGTTCTCATTGTTCAATTCCCGTCTATGAGTGAGAACATGCGGTGTTTGGTTTTTTGTCCTTGCAATAGTTTACTGAGAATGATGATTTCCAATTTCATCCATGTCCCTACAAAGCACATGAACTCATCATTTTTTATGGCTGCATAGTATTCCATGGTGTATATGTGCCACATTTTCTTAATCCAGTCTATCATTGTTGGACATTTAGGTAGGTTCCAAGTCTTTGGTATTGTGAATAGTGCTGCAATAAACATACGTGCGCATGTGTCTTTATAGCAGCATGATTTATAGTCCTTTGGGTATATACCCAGTAATGGGATGGCTGGGTCAAATGGTATTTCTAGTTCTATATGCCTGAGGAATCGCCACACTGACTTCCACAATGATTGAACTAGTTTACAGTTGCACCAACAGTGTAAAAGTGTTCCTATTTCTCCACATCCTCTCCAGCACCTGTTGTTTCCTGACTTTTTAATGTTCACCATTCTAACTGGTGTGAGATGGTATCTCATTGTGGTTTTGATTTGCATTTCTCTGATGGCCAGTGATGATGAGAATTTTTTCATGTGTCTGTTGGCTGCATAAATGTCTTCTTTTGAGAAGTGTCTGTTCATATCCTTTGCCCACTTTTTGATGGGGTTGTTTGTTTTTTTCTTGTAAATTTGTTTGAGTTCATTGTAGATTCTGGATATTAGCCCTTTGTCAGATGAGTAGGTTGCAAAAATTTTCTCCCATTCTGTAGGTTGCCTGTTCACTCTGATGGTAGTTTCTTTTGCTGTGCAAAAACTCTTTAGTTTAATTAAATCCCTTTTGTCAATTTTGGCTTTTGTTGCCATTGCTTTTGGTGTTTTAGACATGAAGTCCCTGCCCATGCCTATGTCCTGAATGGTAATGCCTAGGTTTTCTTCTAGGGTTTTTATGGTTTTAGGTCTAACATTTAAGCACATTCTACATTTATTCTAAGAGCTACAGGCAAGAAGAAAAGTGGGAAAAAAACTGGGTCGATGAAGCCTATCAGGGGCTCTCCAGCAGGGAAAGAGATTGAATACAACTCTCCTAAACAAAGAGGAAGAGTTTTTAAGGGCTGAGGTGAGCTAGTGGAAAAGTACCAGAGGACATTAAAGGCAAAGTTGGTCAATGTCACTAGGAAATCTGAATTTTTAGCAAATTCAGATTAGTACTTATCAAAGTTATGCCCATGCTCCTACAGACTCTGGGAGATAGGGGTGCACTCTCTCTTGATGGTTACATTTCAAATGGATGGTTACCAGGTCTTTGAGGAAGATTCCTAGGTTATAAAACTTGCAAAAGGCTGGGAGATTTACATCTCAAAGGTACAGAGAGAGAATTTACAACTGACAGTTTTCTGAAGTAAATATTCTAAGCAAAGGGATGAGTCTCTAGTCAGGAAGAAACCTAGCTAAGTTCAATCAAGCTAAGGAAAACATTAAGGCTGTCTTGGTCAATACACACACACACACACACACAGGTGTGCACAAAAATACACCCACACACAATCACATGTATGTGACATAATTTAATGACAACATACTAGATAAGTAGATTCTTCTAATTTCAGTGCAAATCTAGGACTATCAGGTTTTTACCTAGTCTCACTGATCTTATAAATATTATTTCCTTTTCCCTTCAATAAAAATCCTAGCTCTCAATAATACTACCATAATGACTCATTTTATTTTTCCAAAACTGCACATATACTGGCTGAGAATGAAATTTATAGAAGTATCTATAATTGCATGAATTTTTTTTAAAGTTGCTTGGAAATTCTTTTTGTTCTTAATTCATTTCGCATTAAGATATGCAGTTAGACTACTGTGTTTCAAAGTAACTTAGAAGAGTTTTTCTCTGTGGGGTACCAACAAGTGTAAAGTCTGCCAAGCAAGATGAATAAAGAATACACTCTAGAGATCTGCTGTACAACATTATGCCTACTGTCCACAATAACGTGAGGTACACTTAAAAATTTGTTACTGGGCAAATCTCATGTTGTATTCTTACCACAATAATTAAAATAAAATAGAATAAAGTTGATTTGTCTTAGTTTACTTTTTATTGTAGAAGATAACCATTTTAATGTCAAATATGTCCACTATTCCAAAGTCAAAACAATAAGTATATATTGAGAAAAGTTTAGTTTCTATGCCTGTCCCTCCCCTTATTATGCTTTCCCTTTATATAGAAATATTTCCCCCTCAATGTTATGGTTTATCGTTCCATTTTTCTTTTGCATTCTATAAGTAACTATGTATACATATGTATGAGTACATATATCCATTTGCATAGTACTCGATTGTGTGAATATAATAAAGTATATTAAATAAATCCCCTCTACTACCAAACATTTGGATATTTTTATTTGAGAGTGTACTTTCCTCACAGTATGTTTGAGTTCTATATATTCTCTCCATATATTTTTTAATACTAAGAAGCAGGGGTAGCCCAAAATAGTCTCCTTACTTTCATCATCCAGAGGTCCTGTTTTTACTGTTGCCTTTTCTAATGGTTAAAAATGTGAGCCTCTTCCCCTCCCCGACTTTACCTAACCCCTCTTTTCCTTTGTCCTTATTGTTCCTCTGCTGCTGGATTTGAACTTTATTCCCAGTGTTTTGTCCTCACTTCAGTGCTTTCTTGAAAAAGAGAGTTTCAATTGATTCATTTTAATACTTTTTAGAGCCACCAAATATTCCCTACTGTATTCCTGTTGTATCCTAGAAAAGCCCCTTCCTGTTTATGTGTTATTCTAAAACTGGCTTGCTGAGCTTTCTAGTCAGTAGCTTATGGTATTTTGAGTTTCTCCAGATTTTTAAAAAGTCACTTTTCTTTGGTTTCTTTCCTGTGGATTTCTTTTATAATTTTAAGAATATCAGAGTTAAATGTCTACAATACACATGGAGTTCTTATGTGACTCTGGTAATAGCATCATTGACATGGCATTAGGAGTTTACAAAATATTTCATCTCATTTCATTTTTATAACCCTAGTGGCTCAAACTGCATGTTCAAATAGTTTAAGATATCTGCCATTGATGTCAAAGAAAGTTCGTATGTAGTAGAATGAGAATTGAAGGCAGCTTCCAACCTGGTAACAAAAGCATGCTCCACACCACCGTGGTTTATAGCTACATCTTGGGTAGAATGGATGCAAACTATTCTGTCGAATTGATACAATTTCCTTATATTTTAGAAACTTAAGGGAACTAGCCCATGAATATCCTAAACCAGTAATGTTCATTATCTCAAATTATAGCTCAAAAAGCTCAAAAGTATATGTGAATGACAGAGCAAATCCCTATCACCATTGAGAACAGGTGATGGACTAAGTCTCCTGTCTCTCAGTCTACAATCCTATATGCTCTAATTAAATTGAAAACATCCCCCGAAGGAAACACTCAGTGAATTCTCTGCTGTTACACTTCACTCATTAAAATATTGTTCTTTTAAGTGAAAGAGCCAGTTACCTTTAGGGAAGACTGCCTTTCTGAATTCCAAAATACCTTTTCCTGCACTCTTTACTACCTAGCATAATATATGGAGAATAAAAATATATGAACCTCACTTCCTCATTCATTGGTTTGTAGTAATACTGAAGTAATTGCATATACCTTAGCATGCACTGGCAAGTTGGATGCTTAGGAATAAGAAGTTTATCCACATTTTCTCGATTGGTATCAAAGAGACATGGAAAAGCATGGATTGTTATGAAATGGTTTCATTATTATGGAGTCTTATCTCTTAACCTTTGATACCATATCCTTGAATTGTGAGCCATAAGACAGCATTTTCAAATGTAACAGAAATAATTGCACATAAAATTAAAATACAGGTTGTAGGAATATAATATGGTAATATTTTGGGTGGTACATGTATCAACAAACTTGTTATACTGAGGGACCATGTACTGGATCACTAGGCATGACTCCTAAAATATAGTCCTATATAGCTAGGAATTACAATTGTGGCTTTATTTTTTGGTCCAATCAGAAGACATAATTCACATGGTAGGTTAAACAGGGAAAGCTTAAAATAGAAATTATAAAGTATAATAAAAGGATAATTTGAGTATACAATAAAATTTTATATGATACTCTAAGACAAAAGAGAGTACTCAGGAAAGGATAGGTTCAAAAGGTGTTCCCACTAGTTCCACGGAGACTGCAGTCCCACACAGGCCTCCCTGCTGCAGCTGGAGTGATGGCAGCATCATTCACAATTGCCAAAGGGTAGAAACAACCTAAACATCTACACAAGGATGAATGAATAAATCAAATGTGATATATACACACAATAGAGTATGATTTAGACTTAAAAGGGAATGAAATTCTGATACATGCTGCAACATGGATTAACATTGAAAACATTATGCTAGCTGAAATAAGGAGTACACGCAAGAACAAATATTGTATGATTTCACTTATCTGAAGTACCCAGGCTAGTCAAATCATAGAGACAGAAAGTAGACTGGCAGTTTCCAGGGACTGGGGGTCAGGAGGATAAGACAGGTCTTGTTTAATGGACACAGACTTTCAGTTTTAGAGGAGGAAAACATTCTGGAGATGGATGGTGGTGATAGTTATGCAAGAATGTGCATATAATTAATGCCAATGAATTGGTACATAAAATAGTTAAAATGGTAAAGTTTATGCTATGTATATTTTATGACAATTTAAAAAAATAAAAGAAAGAAAAAAATACACAACTGTCCCTGGATACATCTGTTGAACAAAGAATGTCATCACTGTGCTTATAGAACCAGGTGGAAGGATGGGAACTATAAAGAATCTGTTTCTGTCTCTTCCCTCTTTCTTCTGTGAATTGTTCTACCTAATTGATATACCTATTTATGTTTCTATATCTAGTTTTGTTTTACTTTATTTTGTTTTTTAAAAAACACAAATGTTTTAATGCACAATTCTAATTGTTGGGATGCGGATTATCATTCCTTTAGTTACTCTAGCTAATTAGGAGGTAATCTATAGGATATACTTTCATAAATTTATTTGTACATTTCCTCTAATTTTAGGGTTCCCATGTTAACAAAAAAGCCACTATATTTTTAGTATAATTATGTCTCAAGTATTTCATGAGACAGAATTATACTGAATTCCTAATTCCTTTTTGAAAGAAATTCAAATTTAACTGAGGGCCCTGTGTGTTATCTGACAACTCTATTTGGAATTCTCTTCATCTTTGCTTTCTTCCTGACATTTTACCTAAATTTCAAGGCTTAGCACAAATATTTCTTCTGTTCTTTGATCCTCTAGACAACGTAGATATGCTTCAAATTCTGAATTTACTTCATAGGCAGTGGGGAGTCAGTCTTGGATTAAAGACGAAATTCTAATATAGATGCTAAAAGATATTTTGTCTTTGCTCTAATTCAATTGATCTATAATTTACCATAATATTGCATTTGTCATTGCTAGTTATTGTCAAAAGGTATAAGTTCTAATCAATATGAAAATATTTAATATCTATATTAAGAATACAATACAGTCTATTTAACATAGAAAGAATAAAGAAGAAAATAAAAAGCATTAGCTAAGATACCTTAATATTTCTATCTGAAAATTTTTCAGGAGTACAGAAAGAACAAGAGTGTGAAGAGCAAAAATAACTATCTAGTAGTCTTTTAAATGAACAGGGTTTATTAGAATTGCATTGTTTCTTGTTATTTCTAATATTGGATTCCCCTCTGGAAAGTTCCCAAGAGGTTTGGCATTTACTAAAAATTAGTGAGGAGAAAATTGTCAGAAAATCTATAGTTGAAGCATAGAACACTTTTCCAGGTAAATATATTTTATCTCATTGGAGAGTCTGAAAAATCCTGGTACTTAAAGTTGTTTAAAAGAGGAATGGCAATGTTGCTTTGTACAATTTTATGTTACATATGAAAGAAAGGAAGTTGTTAAGAATTTGATGATGAGTATCAAGCATATCAAATATATGAGCACTATTAATTTTTTTAAAAAAACCTTTTTATGGACAGAAAAGAATAGGAAATTAAAAAGTAGTGATGGCTGAACCAGCAGACTTGCTAGACTCCAAAACCTCAAACATGCAATGGTATCCAGGAAAAAAGAACCAAACCACTTCCATTCCATTCTTGACGGAGAAATAAAGGTAGAAAATGCTCATAAAATCGAGAATTAACACTCTCCCCTCTCTGAATCCATAAAGACAGTATTTGAAAAAAAAAAAATAAAGGTAATAAAACTATCTGGGGCTGCAGTATAGTTTGAAATCAGGTAATGTGATTTCTCCAGATTTTTTTATTTTTGCTTAGTCTTGATTTGGCTATGTGGGCTCTTTTTTGGTTCCATATAAATGTTAGGATTTTTTTTTCTAGTTCTGTGAAGAATGATGGTGGTATTTTGATGGGAATTGCATTGAATTTGTAGATTGTTTTTGGCAGTACAGTCATTTTCACAATGTTGATTGTACCTATCCATGAACATGGGATATGTTTTCATTTGTTTGTATTGTCTATGATTTCTTTCAGCAGTGTTTTGTAGTTTTTCTTGTAGAGGTCCTTGGTAAGGTATATCCCTAAGTATTTTTTTGCAGCAATTGTAAAAGGGGTTGAATTCTTGGTCTGATTGCCAACTTGGTTGCTGACGGTGTATAGGAGAGCTACTGATTTGTGTAGATTAATTTTGTTTCTGGAAATTTTGCTGAATTCTTCTATCAGGTCTAGGAGTTTTGGAGGAGTCTTTAGTACCTAACCATTTCTTAAGATGGCAAAAGAGCAGAGAGACAATCAGGCTGTGAAATCGCACTATCCTATCTGCAGAAATAGCATGGATAGATTAGATAGATGATAGATATATAGATAGATAGATAGATAGATGATAGATAGATAGAGACATAGATAGAGGTAGAGACAGAGGCAGAGATAGAGATAGAGATAATCTTTGGAATGAAATCACCTAGTCACAACTCTAATAGCTATAAAGGGGGGTACATGTCAGCCAGATTAAGATAACACTACCTCCAACGAACAGATAATTTTGGAAAACAGAGTGCTGAAGCACGCGCACACGCGCGTGCACACACACACACACAGAGTAATTTATTAATACAAAGAAAACTAATATTTTAGAAGCTACTTCATCTAGAGTGAAATATACTGAATTACATTTCAACTATTATTTCCCATTGAGCAACACTGACTCTTGCCAATGCTTTAGCTAAGCCGAACCCCGTTTGAAAATAGCAACTACTTCCTAGCCTTAGAGAATGGCAGAAGAAATGTTCCTGACACACTATTAAGAATCTGAAGTAGGCCTGGCATGGTGGCTCATGCCTGTAATCCCAGCACTTTGGGAGGCCGAGATGGGAGGAACGCCTGAGGTCAGGAGTTTGAGACCAGCCTGGCCAACATGGTGAAACCTTGTCTCTACTGAAAATACAAAAATTAGCCAGGTGTGGTGGTGCACGCCTGTAATCCCAGGTACTCAGGAGGCTGAGGCAGGAGAATCGCTTGGAATCCAGAAGACAGAGGTTGCAGTGAGCTGAGATCGTGCCACTGAACTCCAGCCTGGGTGACAGAGTAAGACTCTGTCTCAAAAAAAAAAAAAAAAAAAAAAAAGAACCTGAAGTATTATAATATGTGTGCCCTTTTCAAGCAGGTGTGTGCCAAATTTGCAAGTCTTTTAATTGCTCAACTCTATTGCTACCACTATAAGGAATGGTTAAAATCAATTTAGATCTGCACTGTCCCACAGAAATAAAATGCATACCTCAAATATAAGCCATATATGTAATTTTAAATTTTCTTGTGGCAACGTTTAAAAATTAAAAACAAAAGTTAATTATATATCATATTTAATCTATCTGAAATATTATCATTTCAACATGTGATCAGAATGAAACTAACCAATGAAATATCATACATTCTCTTGATTGCACTAAATTTTTGAAGTTGATTGTGTATTCTATACTTATAGCCAATCTCAAATCAGTATAGCCATCTTTTAAGTGCTCACGAGCCACAGGTGCTTAGTGAGTACCATATGAAAAAGTGATGATTTAGATTTTTTAAATGGTAGTATATTTGTGCCAATGTTCAGAAATACTAAAGAAAGTAAAAGACAAAAAATGATTTTTCATTGCTCTTGAAATAAATCCTGTTTTGGTAATATGATGATCAAGGTTATTCATGCTCTGTCTCTCTTACATTTCCCTAGTTACTCTCAGTCTTTTTTTTCTGTTTTGGCCACTGATCCTTTTACAGGTTTTGGAACGCACCATACTTCTCCCCACCTTATAGATACACAGGGCACATGGTGCTTACTTTTCCTGAAACAATTCATATCCACATTTTTTCCTTGCTTCCTACTCACCTCTCAATTTTCAATTCAGAAAATTTTTAGTTTAATAAAACTATGAGAGTCCGGGCGTGGTGGCTTATACCTGTAATCCCAGCATTTTGGGAGGCAGAGGCGGGCAGATCACCTGAAATCGGGAGTTTGAGACCAGCCTGACCAACAAGAAGAAACCCTGTCTCTATTAAAAATACAAAATCAGCTGGGCGTGGTGGTGCATGCCTGTAATCTCAGCTGCTTGGGAGGCCAAGGCAGGAGAATTGCTTGAACCCGGGAGGCGGAGGTTGCAATGAGACGAGATTGTGCCATTGCACTCCAGCCTGGGCAACAAGAGCGAAATTCCGTCTCAAACAAACAAACAAACAAACAAAACTATGAATACAGGGAGACATTAAGTCTCATATTTCATATTTTAAAGCAAAGTTTAAGTTTCCTTTATAATATCCAGAACACTAGTGATGTTTTAAAAATTAAGATTATTTCCCACCACTTCTAAAAGCTTACAGAGACTATACATCATATGTAGAATAAACCCTAAATGGCTTATATTGTCTCCAAAATTGTATAATTTATACTCTGTCCCTGCCTTTCACACCTCATTTATCTACCACTTTGCCCATGCTTCCTTCATGCTAGCCTCCCAGATATTCTTTCTGTTCTAGTAATATGATTGGCCCTTTCCAGTCAATATGTGCTGCTCTTCTCTGTGCCAAAATGTTCTTGATCTAGTCCTTTTATATGCAATGAGGTAGCCACTAAGCCACTATTCAACTTCGAAATTAAATTAATTAAAATTAAATAATTAGGTATTCATATTGCAAGATACACACACACACACACACACACACACACACACACACACACACATATATATATAGGCACAGACCTTACACCCTTCACAAAAACTAACTCAAAACGAATGGTAGATCTAAATGTAAATACAAAACTATAAAATTTCCAGAATATAACATAGGAGAAAATCAAGACAACCTTTGATTTGGTGATGACATTTTAGATACAACAGGAAAGACATGATCCATGAAAGAAAAAAATGATAAACTGAATCTCATTAAAATTAATTTTTACTTTCCAAAAGACACTGTCAAGAAAACAAGTAGATAATTGGGAGAGAATATTTGCAAACGATAGATCTTATAAAGGACTGTTAGCTAACATATACAAAGAACTCTTTCAAAACTCAGTAATAATAAATAGTCTAATTATAAAAATATGTGCCAGAGACCTTAGGACATGATGAGATGTCTGTCTCACCAGGAAAGATACACAGTTGGCAAACAAGCATTGAAAAGATGTTCCACATCATATGTTGTTAGGGAAATGCAAATTAAAACAGCATTAAGATATCACTACACGCATATTAGAACAGGCAAAATCTAGAACATAGACAACACCGAATGCTGATGAGTATGTAGAGCAGCAGGAGCTGCTACTCATTGTTTATGGGAGTATGAAACAGTATAGCCACTTTGGAATACAGACTAGTGGTTTCTTACAAAAGTAAAACTATTCTTACGTGACCAGCAATCATAATCCCTGGGATTTACCCAAAGGAGCTGAGATCTCATATTCACACAAAAACCTGCGCCTGGATATTTGTAGCAGTATTATTCACAACTGCTAGACTTGTAAGAAAATAGCATGTCCTTCAGTAGTTGAGTAAGTAAACTACGGCACATCTAGACAATGGACTATTATTAAGCACTAAAAAGAAATGAGCGTCAAGCCATAAAAATGTGAGAAGGAGGCCGGGTGCGGTGGCTCACGCCTGTAATCCCAGAAGGCCGAAGCGGGCGGATCACGAGGTCAGGAGATTGAGGTCATCCTGGCTAACATGGTGAAACCCCGTCTTTACTAAAAATACAAAAAAATTAGCCGAGCATGGTGGCGGGTGCCTGTAGTCCCAGCTACTCAGGAGGCTGAGGCAGGAGTATCACTTGAACCCGGGAGCTGGACGTTTCAGTGAGCCGAGATCGTGCCACTGCACTCCAGCCTGGGCAACAGAGCGAGACTCCATCTAAAAAAAAAAAAAAAAAAAAAAAAAAAAAAAAAAAAATGTGAGGAGGAAACTTAAATGTATAGTACTAACTGAAAGAAGCCAATCTGAAAAATCTGTAGACTGTGTGATTCCAACTATATGACATCTTAGAAAAGATAAGACTGTGGAGACTGTAAAGCAATCAGGAGTGGTCTGAGGTCGGAGACAGGGAGGGATGAATAGGCGGAGCACAGAAGATTTTTAGAGCAGTGAAACCACTCTGTGTGGTACTGTAATGGTGAATACACGTTACAATACACTTGTCTAAATCCAATGAGTGTACAGCACCAAGAGTAAACTATGGACTTTGGGTAATAATGACGTATGAGTGACTACGATGCATGTAGGTTCATCAGCTGTAACAAATGTATCACTCTGCGGGGGATGTGAATAATCAGGAAGGCTATGCATATGTGGGAGGCATGGGCTATCTCTGTACCTTCTGCTCAGTTTTGCTGTGAACCTAACACAGCTCTAAAAACTGAAGTCTATTAAAAAAATAAATAAATAGATGTAAAAGCTCAAATACTTAGTCACATTGCCCTTGTTGTAAATGCCCAATTGCCACTTGTGGCTAATAACTAACAAATAACATCCAACAGAATAGTGTGAAAAACATTTCTATCATAGACAGTTTAATTGAACAGCTCTGCTCTAGACCAGAAATCAGCAAAGATTTTTTTCATAAAGAGCAGATAGTAAACATTCTTCAGTTTGCAAGCCGTACAAACTCTCTCACAATTATTCAACTCTTCAGTTTTAGCATTAAAGTAGCGATAGTCAATGTACATAAATGGGCAAAGCTGCGTTTCAATAAAACTGGGTTTACAAAACAGGTGGCAGGTTGGATTTGGCCCACAGGTTATAGTTTGTCATTCTCAGATCTACACATTTCTGTGACTAGTTTCTTAATGTTAAATTCTTTTCAATCAAAATTTACCGTGCTATTGAAGCCTTTACAGAACACTGTCTAAATTTTCCTTTCAAAGTTCTAATTATCTTAATTACTTTTAACCTCCACATTCTATTTGATGTTCTTCATAATATTTATTAATACCTTTATTATTACCTTGATTTGCTATAATTATTTAAACTTCATTTTTATATTGTTTTTTTTTTCCTGTGCAATATAAGTCCAATAGAGACAGGACACAGTCTGTCTTTCATCATTTTGTCCCAGAGACATAGAATACATTGGCATGTTTCACCAATAAATCTTTGATGAATGATGCTCAATATAATTATATTTAACTTATTATTGTTTCATCTGTTATATTATATATATTCCTCCATAAGACTGTAAGCATAACAAAGACAGAGATAAAAAATTTCCGTGTATCACTGAGGCCCAGATTTTAACAAAGGACTTGGTGCAAATACTATCTTTTCTCAATTATAAGACTCAATCTAATATAATATTCAACATCAGTTAATTACACGTAATAGAAATAGAACACTAATAGAGTATTTCCCTCTTATTTAGAAAGGATACGTTTCAAGGCCCCTAGTGGATGCCTGAAACCCAGGAAAGTACCAAATCCTACATACGTTATTTTTCTTTTTGTATACAGTAATGAATGGGTAGTATGTACACCATGGATATGCTGGACGAAGGAATGATTCACATCCTGGGCATAGTACAGATTTCACCACATGACATGCAAGTTAAAACTTATGAATTTATTAATTTATTAATTTTTTCATTTAATATTTTTGAATCTCAGTTGACGTTGGGTACCTAAAGCTGCAGAAAGCAAAACTGCAGATTAAGAGGAACTATTATACATTAAATGTACACATATCTATGAGATGCATTGTCTTTTAGAAACACAAAATGTGAATAAAGTGGTGGTTAAAGTAGAATAACAAATAAAGCATGTCTGTTTTATGTAATAGTAGTTATCAAAGTTTAATCATTTTTCTGCCACTGGGCATCTTTAGTGAAGCTTGTTGCTTTGTCTCTTTAATAACATTACAGGACATAGATAAATTGTTTTTAATTTGAAACAGTTGACCAACATACATACACATAGAAACTTCTGTTCTCATTTAAGTTTTCCCTCTGTTTGCATCCGTACGCATTATAGAAAACACAAAAGGAATTGCCCCAGTCTTTGTAGGAACTGTATTTATTTAACATGTTTGTCCTCTCCCACTTTTTCATGCTAATTACAATAGCTTTTATGAAATAAATTTCTCTTTTATTTAAAACGGTAAAATATATAGAGGAAGAAAGACACTAGTCTCTTCTCTTTCTTCCCTGATCAAAGGGTAGATCAACAAAATATGCTGTCAGTTACATAGGTAAGATCTCAGGTTTTTTCTGTCTTCTAGTAAATGTTAGGGATCCTTTGTTTTTTACAATACAGAGAAAACACTATATTTGAGTGAAAATGAATTTCAGGAATATTACAAATTTAAATGTGTTCCTTCTCTGCTTTCAGGAGTATGCCATCTCTAGCAATTACTTTTGTTTTATGGGATTCTCTTTCTACCCTCAAATCCAGTTCAGTCACATTGTATATTGTATTTTTCTTTTTTCTTTTTCTTTTTTTTTTTTTTTTTGAGGTGGAGTTTCATTCCTATTGCCCAGGTTGGAATGCAATGGTACGATCTCTGCTCACTGCAACTTCCGCCTCCTGGGTTCAAGTGATTCTCCTGCTTCAGCCTCTCGAGTAGCTGGGATAACAGGTGCCCACCACCACACCCAGCTAATTTTGTATTTTTAGCAGACATGGGGTTTCACCACGTTGGCCAGGCTGGTCAACAACTCTTGACCTCAGGTGGTCCTCACGCCTCGGCCTTTCAAAGTGCTGAGATTACAGGCGTGAGCCACCACACTCGGCCCCCTGTTCTCTTCTTTCTCTGTTGTTTTCATGTTTATTAACTTACAATCATGACTTGCCAATGCAAAATGTACATAGAAATGCCTTTTGGTTCAGATAAATATTGTACAATAGTATATTGCACTAAATATTTTTTCTACTCCACATTTTAAAATTAAGGTACAAGTTTCATACAGAAAGTTTCACCTTTTGCAGTGCACAGTTATGCAAATTTGCACAAATGTATACAGTCATCAAGTTGTCACCATAATCAAGATAAAGTCTAGTTTCATCACCTCAAATATTTGTTCTTTCCTTTATTAAAGAAAATTTTCACTGTACAGAGTGAAAAGAGACTTTATTCAAGATTGTTGCAATAGGGGTAAAGACTACTGCATAGGAAGGAAAGATTGAACACAATTTCACTGAAACAAAAAGCAGAAAATTGTCTAAGAGCTGGAGTGAGCTAGTGGAAAAGTACTGAAGGACATTAGGGGGAAAGTTGGTCAATGAGGTTGATCAATGTGATTGGGCCATCTGTGTTTGCTAATTGGTACTCATGAAAGTTAGTCTCCTGCCCTCCCACAGGGACTGAAATATTGGAGCTCTATATTTCTTGCTGATTACATTTTAAAGAAATAGCTCCCAGGTCCTTGAGAAAGATATTCTAGGTTGTAAAAATGGCAACAGGCTGCTAGGAGAGGATTTACATCTCAAAAGGACAGAGAAAGAATTTACAACAGCAAGTTTTAAAAGTAAATGCTCTAAGAAAAAAGAGGCCTATAGTCAGGAAGAAACCTGTCTAAGATTTAGTCAGGCTGAGGAGAATGTTATGGTCTTCTTGGTTACCTTTGTGTAATCAACTGTCTCTTTACTCCAGTCCTCCAGGAATCATTGAGCTGTTTTGTGTCTCAATAATTTTGTCTTCCCATGAATGGAATAGCAATGAAATCACATAGTCTATAGCCTTTGAATGTGCGCTTTAAACTTTGTATAAGGCATTTTAGAGGCATGCAGGCTGCCAGGTATATCAGTAGTTTATTCCTTTTTCATTCTTGGGTAAAATTCCGTTGCATAGATTTACTATATTGTGTTTTTACATATCCCAGTTGAAGGACATTTGGGCTATTTCCAGATATAGGCAATTATAAATGAAGCTGCTTTAAATAATCACTTACATGTTTTTATGAGACCACAGATTTTTATTTCCATTTAGAAACCATAGATTTTCATTTCCGTTGGGTAAATACCAAGGAATTAGATTGCTGGGTCATATAATATGTTTAACTTTATAAGACACAATCAAACTGTTTTTCAAAGTGCTTGTATGTTTTGCGTTTCTGTCAGCAATCTATTAGTTTTAGTTGCTATGCCTTCTTGAAAGGATTTAGTTTTTTTTTTTTTTTTTTTTTTTTTTGGGATGGAGTCTGGCTCTGTCACCCAGGCTGGAGTGCAGTGGAGTAACCTCTGACTCCCGGGTTCAAGTGATTATCCTGCCTCAGCCTCCCAAGTAGCTGAGATTACAGGTACCTGCCACCATGCCGGGCTAATTTTTTTTTTTTTAATTAAAGACAAGGTTTCACCATGTTGGCCAGGCTCACCTCGAACTCCTGATCTCAAGTGATGCGTCCACCTCAGCCTCCCGAAGTGCTGGGATTACAGTTGTATGCCACTGCACCCAACCCTGACTTAGTATTTTTAACATTTTATTTTATTTTTCATCTTAGACACTTTAGTAAGTGTGTAGTGATAACTAATCATATAAATGTGCAGTTTTCTGTTGGCTAATGATGTTCAGCAAATTTTTATTTTGTTTAATAACCACTTCTTTTGTGAAGTGTCTCAGATGATTTTGCCAATTTTTATTAGGTTATTTGTTTTTTATTATTTATTTTTTAGTATTCCTTTTGTAATTTAAAAACAAGTCTTTTATTAGATTTCTAATTTCAAATATTTTTCCCTATTGTTACTTGTTTTTTTTTTAATTCTTTTAAGAATATCTTTCTGAGTGACATCACAGGATTACTAACTAGAAGCTACTGTAGCTCTTTCCACCACTGCCCCCAACAAAACAAAATACAAAACAATGAGTAAATAACTGCTTTTCAACCAAAATAACATAAGGAGGGTACTGAAGAACAACAAAGAAGCAGCAGAAATTCTATAAAGCACAGAAACCCGGGATGGCCACATAGAGAAAGAAAGAAAACACCTTACCCCCGCCACCTCATCTCTCCAGTTAGGATTAGATCAGAACCAGAGAGACTTCTCCGTGAAGGAAAAATTTAAACGAAACTATCTCAATAGCCCAAATCACCACTAGAGAATCCTCAAATCTTCACTACAGAAGACTCCTGGTGTTTTCACAGGCACTGAACCCAGCTGAGGGAGCTTTCTGTAGTTCACTTCCAGAGAAGGAGCCAATGCTCTACCCCATGCCCCCAGTGTGGTGCATGCTGCTATTGCTCTGCACCATCTTGGAATTTAAGCCACTGCTAGAATGTGTCCTGCCCCATGGGTGAGTAACCATTGCATCCTTCCATCCCTGAGGCTCAGCTTCCACTGCACCCAGTAACATACTATTTCTGAGGAGGTCTGCAGCTATGCCCTACACTCTAGGGCCGAGCTATCACTGAGTCACTTGATCCACCCATCCCATTTGCCCATGCACCTTCTCCTTGAGGTTCAGCTGAAGAGACATGGCAGCTCAAACTACCAGAACAGTCACACCCACAGCACTACAGCTGAGTCAGCACTCTTCCCTTCAGGGGCTCAGGTCTTCTATAATAAACACCAGAGAAGTCAAATTCTGTTACTACAGCAAAGACACCCTTCTTACAAGAGTTGATTGCTGTGCTTTTAGTTGACACTTTTAGCCTGTTTCAGAGGTTAAAAAGAAGCTCTCTGTTGTTCAGGTTAAGCCTCTTAGGCAGGCACTGTGTTACTGGGTTTTGAAGCTGAGCATTTCTCAATGATTTTGCCCAGACATTTGCAGTAGGTCTAAGAATAGCATTAATTTTTTCACTCAACCAGAGATAGGCAATCTTTTATTTTCTTCTCACCCATAGTTGCAATGTGTTTCTACTATCCTAAAAGTGTAATAGTATTTACTTTTCTTTTCCCAAAGGTTAACTTTTATGGAGATTAGCTTTTATGGAAGCAATAACATTAAGTTGAATAATTTTAAGATCTTGTCTTTCTCACTAGATAACTTAATCATCTAACTAAAACATTCTTAAGAATCCATTATGGTCTCAATAATATGAGAAAACAACCTAAAATTAAAATGATACAAATTTTTTTTCCCAAAAAATTATTCTTTATCTGTTAAAATTTTTATCCCACACTTCAAAACCAAATGTGTCTTGGCCTGGTGGATCATTCAGATATCCCATATAAAGGCCAATCTCATTTTCATAATCACCGTGACATTATTTAGAAAAGCACTAGAGGTACAGTAGAATAGTAACACTAGATGCAGTAGAATAGTTGGTGGTGATGGCATTCCATTGGTAGTGCTTTCCTGTACCTCTGGAGTATATTTTGCAATGATTTAAAAACTAAAGATATTTATAAAATTTAAACACTGGTGAGAAGCAGATCTGAGAACTGAAGGCATAATATATTTGTTAAAAGCAGTTCATTATTTGACATCATGGAAACTCACTGAATAATCCCCAGTTCCCCTCTCCAGTGAAGTAGGAGTCATAATTTGGAAATGAACAAATGATAAAGAAAATGGGTACTGATCAGCCTAGTCTAATAATACAGAAAAATTTACCTTTTCTGAGATTAATTTTCCAAGGATTCACCCCACTGATATATTTCAGGAAGAATATATTGTTCTTTTTTGGAGAAGATATAAGTATACTTATTAGAGATACTTAAATTATCTGCAACTTTGGGAATTCAGGAATGACAAGGGTTGCTACATCAAACAAATACAAAAGCAATTTTTTTTTTTTAGGTTTTAAATCAAGACACTTAATCTGTTGATTAACAATGGCAATCTTTCTAAAGTAGTAAATTATCCAGACTACATTTAATAATATAACAATTTGAGTAAATTATCAGTCACTTCTAATGACAAAAATCTTAAGTTTATTTCTTGTCAGTTTCGTTAGCTGCTTTGAATTATTTTCTTCTTCCTTTTAATATAAAATTGCCATGTACTTAAGATATTAAAAAGCGTATCAAAATTAGTTCCACCATTATGGAAAGCAGTTTGGTGATTTCTCAAATAATTTAAAACAGAGCTATCATTCAACCCAGCGATTCTCTTATTAGGTATGTACCCAAAGGAAAATAAATTGTTCTATCATAAAGACACACACACCTGTATGTTCATCGCAACACTATTCACAATAGCAAATACATGGAATTGACCTATATGCTCATCAATGGTAGACTGGATTTTTTAAAAAAGTGACACATACACTGTGGAATCCTACACAGTCATAAAAATGAATCAGATCATACCCTTTACAGAAAAGTGGATGGAGCCAAAGGCCATTATGCTAGGTGAACTAAGACAGGAACAGAAAACCAAATTCCACATATTTTTATTAATAAATGGGAACTGAACATTGAGTACATAAAACCAACAGATCTTGTAATAATTCACTCACCTTCACAAGAACAGCATGGGGGAAAACACCCCTATGACCCAATTGCCTCCACGTGGTCTCTCCCTTGACACATAGGGATTATAGGGATTGCAATTTGAGGTGAGATTTGGGTGGGGACACAGAGCCTAACCATATCAGTACACATACACACTGAGGCTTACTTCAGAGTGCAGTGTGTGAGGAGTGTGAGGATCAAAAAATACCTATTGGCTACTATGCTTGTTACCTGGATGATGAAATAATCTGTATACCAAACTCCCATGACATGCAACTTACTTGTAAAACAAACCTGCACATGTACCCATGAACCTTAAAGTTTAATAAATGAGTATCAGTGAATGAGATAATAAAAATGTTAGTTCAAAATATCAATTCTCATTAGTTTTTTTATACTAGCCATCTAATTATGATTTTTGATACAGGGCTAAATGTTTTTACCACTACTCTTTGGTTTTCAAAATTGATAAAGTAAAGAAAGAGGAAAGTATGCTTACTACTTACTGCCTTAAAGCAAAGTTCTGCTTTAGGCATTTATTTGTCTTCATATTAATTGATCATGGCAATGATAAATCTTCACATAGAAAAGTTTAAAGCAACAGTTCTAGAAAACTGTGATGGCTTATTCTGAGCAATATAACAAAAAAAAGATCTCTTTCAAAAGGCTGTACACATACGTATAAAGACGCTTTTAGATAATGACTAAGTTAAGCAATATGAATTAGTTGGTTAATTCATAGCTCGTGAAGACATTTACAGTAGCAAAGCTAATCATTTACTTTAATTAAATCTTTCTTCATTAGGCACATTTGTGACTATTAGTAAGAGATAATGCACTGAAATGTTATAGACATACGACACGTTTATTAATACTAGAAATCTAGGCATAAGAATAATTTCACATGTTAATATTTAGACACTCACACATATACAATCAATACTTAATTCTATAAATGGACATTTTCACTCTAAATAAAACACAAATATTTAAACTATCAATTTTCCATAACTGCAAAGCTTTGCCTGTGTATGATCATTAATAGAAAAAAAGATGAGCATTAAATTATAAACATACAGTCTGGCAACAGCTCCATTGAAAAAAGAATACTTATGAGCAAGGTCCTAGTCTTATCTTACTCCTAAGGCTGAGCCATAAACTACTACATTACAGTGCTTTATTTATATTAACTCTAAAAGAAGAAACAGTGGGACATTTTGACCCTTAAAAAAATAATGAGAGCCATTCCCTCCAGGTTCTTTCTTTATCTAATGTGAGAGAGAAGAAAAAAATGGCTACCAGTCTAGTTAGTTTAGCCACTGGAAAATTAGATTCACACCTCCTCTTTATAATCCCCACATGATTTGTTATAAACTTAGTTTAGATGCCCAAAAGTGTAAATGAATTTGAGTGAGCATTGTGACGTCTTCATTTATCAAATTAATGGACCACGAACTTAGCAATCAGGAGATGGCCTGAAGAAAATAGGGCCCCAAAAAAGCAAGTTTTCCTTTGTGATAAGAAGTAGAAATTCTGAACCCAGAAGACATATCTGCTTTTGGAAAAGTGCCAGAGTAACGGTGCCTGAGAAATCAGTAGTAAGGTGACTTTTCAATGTAGAAGGAAAGTACCATAGAGGAAATAGAATTCATGATGAATGCATTCTGTCTTAGACCATGTCTAATACCTAATTTGATAGGAACTGTTTCTTCTCCTTCTTCTCCCCAGAGGTCTTCAGTAACTTCTACCAGTTCCCTAATCTACACTAATCGAAATCCCTTTACACCCAATTACATAGTTGCATCACAGAAAGAGCTAAAAAATTATACTCAATCGGACGCTCAGGAAATTTGGAAATGTATATGTACATGTAATGGCAACATTTTCCTGGTTAAGTCATTCCCTTCATGGTCTGCGATGCTATGTTGAGCAGATTCAGAACTATTTCCCTTAGGAAAGTCCTGATTCTGTGTTGAGGATTCTTGCTACCCACCTTATTCAGTGGAGAAGCCTAGCCTCCAATTATGAAAAGAATATAAATCATACCTTATAAGTAATTTGTAAATTTAATTTTTATTCAAAACTCAGTCTAGTGTGAGACAGTAGTATCTGAAGCAGATCAAAAGTAATCAATTTTAAGGCAATGAAAGTTAGTGATAATTTTTAAACGAGTAAATTAAAAGTTAAACTTATAACAGAAGTTTCAGACAGAATTCAGGGCTCTTTCTACACCATTTATCTCAATCACAACTCCAGATACTTCAAAGACTATTGAGATCTGTGTATTGTAAGTCTTTTGTCAAATAGTAACATTAGGCCTGTCAACAACTGCCTTGAATGTCCAGCTATTTAATATCAGCTAACTTTAGCTGAAATATGTTATTTCAAAGGACCATTCTAAGGTGTAAGTTAGCCATTCACTCCTTAATATATTTAGGCAAAATGGTCTTACACACAAGAAGCTGTCTTCAGAGCATTTCTAACTACCAGAGTGTGTCTAGAACAGACCTTTCCAGCAGTATTCTGTGGCATACTGGGTGAGCTCCATGGATTAGAGATAGAACAGCTAAAAAATGTGCAGTCCAATCTGAGAGCTATTCAAAAGTGAAAGTAATGCTAAAATTATTGTAATTTAATAATTGTGAAATGTGATTTAATACATTTTATTTTATTCTCTATATATTTATTTTCAAAATAATTTCCTACAAAATAAAAATACTACGTTACTATGTACATTAAAGCAATAAAACATCTTAATGTTTGATATGTTTTGCCTTGTGTCCCCACGCAAATCTCCTTGAATTGTAATAATCCCTATATGTCAAGGGTGGGACCAGGTAGAGGTAATTAGATCATGGTGTCAATTGCCCCCATGCTGCTCTCCTGATAATGAGTAAGTCTCACAAGATCTGATGGTTTTATAAACGTCTGGCATTTCTCCTGCTTGCACTCATTCTCTCTCCTGCCGCCCTGTGAAGAGGTGCCGTCCACCATGATTGTAAGTTGCCTGAGGCCTCTCCAGCCACACTAAACTGAGTCAGTTAAACTTCTTTTCTTTACCTAATCTTAGGTATTTCTGGGTATATTCAAAATTTCTTTTGATTTAATTAATTTCTGAGTCATTTATATTTATTTGTTGATAGTATTTATCTAACCACTTTATTTTACACTTGTTATCAATATCTTAATATTTAGTAACCTGTAATATTTATGAGTTGCAGTTTATGGCTTATATACTTGAAAATGATTATTTTGATAGATTCTTCTCAGTAAATACTGAGTATTTACTCAGAAAATACTCAGTAAATACTGATACTGGTATTGATATAGTTTGGCTCTGTGTCCCTACCCAAATCTCATCTTGAATGTTGAGGGAGGGACCCAGTGGGAGGTTATTGGATCATGGGGGTGGTTTCCTCATGCTGTTCTCTTCATAGTGAGTGAGTTCTCAAAAGATCTAATGGTTTAAAATTGTTTAGCAGTTTTCCCCGTTCTCTATCTCTCTCTCTCCTGCTGCTGTGTAAGACCTGTCTTGCTTCCCCTTTGCCTTTCACCATAATTGTCAGTTTTTTGAGGTCTCTCTAGCCATGTGGAACTCTGAGTCAATTAAACTTCTTTTGTTTATAAATTACCTAGTCTTGGGTAATTCTTTACAGCAGTGCAAAAATGGACTAATACAGGTACTGATATGATACACCTTGTAAGCTCAGATCAAAGTCTTCTAAACAAAAAACATTCTTAATTGTAATTTTTTTTGTCTAAAAGTTTCAGCCTAAATATTTTCTTAGCTATTATATTTTTGCCTTCAATCAGTGTTCCCTAGTTCAAGAAATCGTTTATCAAAACCCATATTAATTCATTGTTTCTATATTGATTCTATTCAATGTTTCATGAAATTTAGATACTACCAAAGTATAGGCACTCTCAAAACTATTATTTTTTTTGTAGTGTACCATATCAGAGTGAACCTCCTTAGGCTGCCTTTTCAGAACTATGAATTTAATTGTAAAATTAATATTGCCTATTCAGCTGTATTAAAGATTGATCTAGAAGGATCTTACCTATCAATGGCTGTACACTTCATCATATCTGCAAAGCCCTTTCTGATATATAAAGTTACATAGTCACTGGTTCCAGGGGTTTGAGGGCTGACATAATTGGGGGCCATTGTTCTACCACATACAATTATAGCCATGCATTGCTTAACTGCAGGGTTATGTTCTGAGAAATGCTTTGTTAGGTGATTTCACCCTCGTGGGAACATCGTAGAGTGTACTTACCTAAACCTAGGTAGTATAGCCTATTGCTCCTGGACTACATACCTGTACAGGATGTTACTGTTCTAAATACTGTAGGCAATTATAACACAATGGTAAGTGTTTGTGTATCTAAATATGGAAAATATATGGTAAAAATACTGTATATAACTTTTGCGTATGCAGTCCATCATTGACTGAACTGTCATTATGCAGCAGATGAATATGTTTTTATAAAAATATTTATTTTTAAAACATATTTTGAATGAAATATGGTATATTTAATTTTTAAATATTATCAGGAAAAATTTTAAGGACATGAATCTTAGTGATAATTTTTTTTTTTTTTTGAGACGGAGTCTCGTTCTGTCACCCAGGCTGGAGAGCACTGGCACGATCTCGACTCACTGCAAACTCCGCCTTCCAGGTTCACGCCATTCTCCTGCCTCAGCCTCCCTAGTAGGTGGGACTACAGGCGCCCACCACCACACCCAGCTAAGTTTTTGTATTTTTAGTAGAGACGGGGTTTCATCATGTTAGCCAGGATGGTCTCGATCTCCTGACCTCGTGATCCGCCCACCTTGGCCTCCCAGAGTGCTGGGATTACAGGCGTGAGCCACCGCGCCCGGCCTCTTAGTGATAAATTTTTAAGTGGGTAAATTAAAGTCTCTTTTTTTTTTATTCATTGGCACTTCAATATATTGACTCTTCAATAATGTAAAGCTCCTCCTTCAATCCAACCTCTCTGAATTTTCTTTCAAGTTTCAGTGGGCCTAAATTCCTTTTATTTTTTTAAAAAAATCTTTTTACAGTAATTTTAATGAGATTTGGTGGAAGCAAAACTCTCAGTGCCAACAATGTGTGAGGAGGGTTAAATCAGGGAACATACTCACGCATTTCACAGTATTAAAGAAAGAAAAGTTATGTGTATTACTTGATTGTGTACCTATTCAAGTAACATGGGTGGTAGGGGAAGAAAAGAAATATTTAAAAATAAGAAATATGAGCTCTTACAGAATGTAATTTTTAATTAAGTGCATTGTGTTTACAAGTTACTCTCTAGATCTGTTCAAATGAAAATTTTCTATATCCCTGGTCTAATAGGGTAGCCACCAGCAACAGGTGGCAATGCAGCACTTGAAATATGGTTTGTATGACTGAGGAAGTGAATTTTAATGGAATTTTTTAAGTTTAAATATACATAGCCATGCACATCATGGTCACTGATTGAGGCAGTGCAGGTCTACTTAAAGAATCAGAAAAAATTATATTTAATCCTTGTAATACATTTTTAAAAATATTTAATGTGTATTTTATGGAGCTTTAGGCTAAGTATATATGTCTTTTTAATGTAGGCTATGATATAGAATTTTGTCCTTCAGAAAATTTAAAATCACATTCAAAATCACAACAGGAATGTATAATAGCAACCAACTTCATCAAGCGAATCATATTTTCCCTTTTTTTTCTTTCTTGCAATTTTAATGTCTTCTTTTTAAGTTAATGTAAACATTTTCTTAAGAAAATGGAAGATGAACCGCAGCAACAATATAACTGGCTCAAATGCTTCAGCACTGAAAACAAAGCAAAGCAAAGCAAAACAAAACAAGCAAAAAGCCTCTTATAAATAAATGTTACAACCATTAAGTGTTTATCCATAATGCTGATTCACATAGTTTATCTGCTTTGCATTTGAAATTTTTTTATTATTTATTTATTTATTTTTAAGATGGAGTCTCGCTCTGTCGCCAGGCTGGAGTGCAGTGGTGCAATCTCGGCTGACTGCAACCTCCGCCTCCCGAGTTCAAGTGACTTTCCTGCTTCAGCCTCCGGAGAAGCTGTGTCTACAGATGCGCACCGCCACGCCCAGCTGATTTTTTTGTATTTTTAGTAGAGATAGGGTTTCACTATGTTGGCTAGAATGGTCTCAATCTCCTGACCTCATGATCCGCCCACCTCGGCCTCCCAAAGTGCTAGGATTATAGGCCTGAGTCACCATGTCCAGTCTGATTATGAAATTTATTGTGGATTTTGTGATGTAAGTTCATAAAAATGCAAAAATTGCCCTTTTCTTTCCTTGAAGGCATTATAAAATCATCAGCTGCGGTAACTTTTGTTGCTATCATTACCATCAAAACAACAATGCATCTTGAATTATTTTAATATAATGACTATTTTTGTAAATTTTATTTCAGATCATCCATTCAACATTCATCTTTAATAATCCAACAATTTTCTTTTACCGGAATTCAGTTTTTTAAGATTCCATTTCCATCTCAATGTAAAATAAACCATCCAACAAACAAATAAGTAAACTACAAATAAATAAAACTCCCAAAATCCAGTATTAAAATATTATTGTTTATGCCTTGGATATCTATTCTCCTGGGGCATAAGAAATTATTTAATTGATAATCAAGTTAGTATTGTGCCTACGTCAGAAATATCTTGAAGAGCTACAAACTAGTCTACACCCTGTCAAATAAGTGCCCCAAGATATAATAAATTAAACTAACTTTTTGATTAAAAACCAACTTAGTGGTTAATTATAATTATGTGTAGAGGAACAATTGGGTATTTATTGTATGGATGTTTCACATTTCAGTCATGGCTAAAAATCTAGGCATTAGCATCATATAATGACAATTACATGCACACATCAAGCTTCAGTAATATGCCTCAGTCTTCCAAATTTTATTTTAGGTAAAGTTATGCATATATAAATTTTAATTGGTATAATATTGTTGATATTGAAATTGCATTCCTATGAATTTCTTATTTTACTTGTTCCTAAATTAAGAGTGGATATAAACATGTAGGTAATTATGCAAACATATACTTGAATCAAATTCTTATATAATTTTAGCTTAAAATTTAGCAATAAGCATCATTATATAATCATATTGAGAGAAATTTTAGCAATGCTTTGAAGATAATCACAAATGTTTAGAATTTTAGAATAGTTTAGTTATATAATACATGTCCTCTCATCTGTAAATGAATATTCAGTTTGTGGCCTAAAGCTAGTGTCAGACTTTTGGAGTTTATATATTTTTTAATAACTGTGAGATTTTTAAATTAATATATTTACATTCTCTTTCATGGTTCCTCTAGTGATCAACAAAATATCTGTTGAGTTGATTATTTACAAAGTTGAGGCTCTTGCTATTCAACATTCCTGATTTCAAAGATTTCCCAAATAGCTTTTACCACTACTAACCAAAGTGTATTATCTAACACAGATGCTAACAATTTTAATCCTCATCCAATAATTTCCTTTCTATTGCATACTCAGTAAGCAACAAGAATTCTAGTTCATCAGAAAGTGGTTGTGTAGTTCAATGAATGCTATTTAATTGCCATAATTTTTATAGCATTTTTCCCCTGAATATATGTCTATTTGTTAAACTATAAACAATCAATTGACTTTGTTAAGTAGTCCAAAAAGGAAGAATACTCTAGCCAATGTGAACAGATGAGTATATAAATATGTAAATGTATAATATTGTTTATCTTTTAATGTAAAATTTGGAAAAATGCTATGAACAGAGAGAGAAAGTCAGAGATACAAAAGAACATTACAAAACTGTCCTCTTGTACTAATGATACCTGAAGAAAATAAAATTACTGTCTATAAAACATTGCCTTGCAGGTGGCAGAATGATTGTGCTGTGTACATATGTCTTTTTAGATTGGATAAATAGCATAATTGGATCATGTGAGAAGAGAAAAGGAGGTTCACAAATCACATAAATTAACCCAGAATAAGTTATTTGTAGTGATCTTTCATCTAGTATGCATAATGGCTAGCTTCTTATTTCTACTTGTGTGTTTTCTTTAAGGCAATTTGATAAGCGTTTACCCAAAAAATTATCTGAGAGGAACCTCTTTTATGAAGCAATGCACATTTTGTTTTTGACCTTTTTCTTCATCTAGTTAAAGAGTAGGACAGCTAGAAATGTTTCTGCTCATAAGAAAGATGACAGTGATACAGGGATTTTAATAATGAATAGCTAACATCTAACAAAATTTGATTATTTAACAAGAATATTGACAAGTTAATATCAATTTTATCCTGTGTTGTGTTTTTCCTAGTGATTTGCCTATCGCTGGTAAAAATCCACTCATCCATGTCTATCTAAAATCCAACCATCCATGTCTATCTGAACTCATTTTCGAACTCTTTCCTTGTTATATATACTACATTTAATGAGGAAAAGATGCATTGTGTGGTTTGATATATTTTTTAACATGCTCATTTTACTTAGACAAATCTTGTCCCATCTTATGTTCTGCTATTTGCAGTGCTTTTTGATCTTGCTTTCTTCCACATCATGATGGTATGAGGAAATATTTGATGTGAAAGTATGTGTGTGTGTATTTCCTACACTGTCTGGTATAGTGCTAAAACAGCAATTATTAACTGTTCCAAAAATAAGAATGTACACATATACACGAACATATAAATCCGTAATAAATTATGTCACATGAATAGAACTGATCAGCAGAAGTCACATTGCTTCTATGCATAATAACAATAGTGATAGCTGTTGTATAACAGCAATGTAATAGTAGCAATAGTTTGATCATGTAAGAGAGTTAACTTTTGAGTCAATAATCAACTTTTTCCTAGAAATATTTAAATGATAGAACGTAAAATGCAAAATGATTGCTACATCAGAAGTTTTGTCAGCAGCCACATGATCTAAGAGATACAAACTTTGAATAAATAAGTAAATATCCAGAGAAATCATATTTGCTATTAAAAAATAAATAAAGCCAAACATAACTCCATGTGATTCTGTGAGTCCTTCTTATTTTGAAAATACTAGGGTTTAAAACAAAAATTAAATGTTTGTTATATTACACTGTCATTGTGTGTGTGTGCATGCAAGTACATAAAGAGAGTGAGAGACAGAGACAAAGAGGCAGAAACAGAGAGAGAAAGAGAGAGAGAGAAAAGACTACACCATGATTTAATATAATGTCATAATCAAAGTTTCAAGATCTGCTTATTAGAGGTCCAGAAAAATCTTAAGTCAAAGGAATAAAGGAGAACAGGACAAACACTGGGACAGCAGGGAGCAATTTTTTTCACCTGGGAAACCAGACAAGCAAAATGCACATCCCACTGTGATGGCCTTAGTAATAATGGGCTTTTCAATCTAAGAAAAAAGAAAAGGATGTAGAGTTGGAGATTTTGGAAAGTAGCAAGACTCAGCTACCTGCAGCCTTTATTAGGAAATTGCTTTCAATACAAAGGAAAGAGTTTGGATTGAATCTTTCCACCCAGAACCTGCTGACAGGCACTAGGCAAATGATAAGACCCCTCCTCCAAAGCTGACATATTAGAGCTGGAAATGGGGAAAGCCAAAAGCAAGTCTCAGTCCAGGAATTCTGGTTCAAGTCATCTCTACATTTTAGAGTTATAACTACTGTTATAGTTGTGTGTGTGTGTGTGTGTGTGTGGTGTATGCGTGCATATGAATATATGTGTTTGTAAAGATTAGATTATTTACATGTGTTAAATACAAGTGGTTTTTTAACAAATATTTCCAACAAATGTTTCTATGAGATATACAAGAAGGACTGAAACATTTAAATGAGAAATTTTTTGAGTAGCTGCCAGTAAGAGTGGAGTAGACTTGAAACTGACCTATAAAGGAAAGTATCAGTTATTTCCACCTTCGAAGTAATGCCGTTTCTTTTTTGATATGTACTCATTTTCAGGTATTCTTTGCACTTTTTTTTTTTACTAGGGATTTTGGGATATCTACCCTGACTGGAAAAAACAAAATATTGTAGCAATTTCCCTGGGCTCACCTAAATATGACAAGTGTAAGTTACCAGTATTTCTGATTAAAATATTGTTTTATTAAGTTGCATTTTTCAAAATGAAAAAGAAAAGAAAAATTAAATGTACAAAAAATACACTGAGTACACTGAAATCAATATGGGAACATTTTTATAGTTAAAAGCTTTAATCTTATAATTGATATCCAGGACTAAAAATTGCTGAGAATAAGAATAAACTAAGCACAGCCAATATGTTAGTTTAATGCTTCTCTTGTGATAAACACTTTTATTACCTATTGTTTCTCAACACAGTATTGTGAGGTGGGTCTCATTTTATTCTCATTTTTTACACAGGAGAAATTTGGCTCAAGGAAATAAAACTACTAAGCAAGAAACTCTGACGAGTAACATATAGTATTTAAAAATTGTTACACAAATGTGTTTTATATAAACAGTAAGGATTTTCTATTTAACAAATATTTATCAAGTATTTTATATACTTGGAACCTTGTAGATAGTTGTGTTATATGGATAAAACAGATTTGATGTCATCTCCAATACAACCTATAAGTCTAACAGCTTAATTTTAGTGAAAATCAAATTCAATATGTGAAGACTATAATAGAGAGAAAATGCACCTAACTTTATCTTGCAGATAATGAAAGATATTCTGGAAGATGAGGATTCTAAGTTTAGTTTTAGAGTAATGAGTAAAACTAAGCAATTAAAAATGTTTAACAGCCTGAAATCTCCAGCCAGACTGCCTGGGTTTATGTTACAGTTCCCAGTTCACTAGCAGGGTTTGTTTAAGCTAATTAGAAAATATGTGCCTCAGTCCCCTTATGTGTAAAGTGGGGATAATGGGCCATCTTTCATAGGCCTGCTGTTAGATTTAAAGCATTTACACATGCATGTTGCTTAGAACAGGGTTAGGTATAGAGTAAGAACTACAAAATTTGGTTATTATTATTTAAGACATGATATGCAGTAAATTCATAGCACCCACTAAAATATGTAAGTGAAGTCCAGGAGGAAAAACAACAACATGTTATGTTTATAGAGCCACAGAAATTCAGTGAATGTACATGGAAGATGTGGAGTGGGTAACGGGGCTACAGGTAGGTAGTAAAGGCTAAAGTCATAGTGTTACAGGACCCCTGGGGTGTTGCTTTTCTGGCCAGAAACTTCTGTTGTTGGTGGCACCTTTGCTTGACTTTTGCTTGGGCCCACTGGGCTCAATCTGCCTACTCGGCCTGGTTCAGCCTACAAGCCTGGATCCCACACCTCCAAGGGCAAGTCAGGCATGGAGCAGCATGGGGTGTGTGAGGAGCATGGGGTCCAGCCACTGCACACAGTCAGGCATGCCTGCTGCTGCCATGGGTGGGCAGCTCCAGGTGCTGGCGTGGGCTCCAGCTCTCTACAAGGCTACAGCTGGACAAGACACACCACAAGCAGCTTCCCCAGCTGGCACCAGTGAATGTGGTGGCACCTGGAAGTTTGGTGATGGCAAGAACCACAAGGCTCCTAAAAGGGAGTCACACCCCTGGCTTGGGGAGCTCCTAGGTCTGGGATGCCTGAAGGGCTGCAGCTCTTCTCTCCACTTTGCCTGCGACATGGTGAGCAAGGTGCATGTTTCAGGCCTGATTGTGCTACAGGTCTTTCAGCCTCGCCATGCAGCAGGTCCTGAGTTCTTGTCCTGTGACCAGGAAGAATGAGGTAAGCAGACAAGTAGAGGATAAGCAAGATGAAGAGGAGCTATATTGAGCAATAGAACAGCTCAGAGGAGACCCACAGTGGTCAGCTCCTCTCTGTAGCCAGGGTGTCTGGATGAGTGTCCAGCTCTCAGCAGAGAGGGTAGTTCCTCTTTGTAGCTGGGAGTCCCATTGTCTTCATGTTGTCTCCCATTCCTCTCTTTATCTTCTCTCTGTCCAAGACCCGCCCCCTCACCACCCCAACCACCACCCTCACTCAGTCTGGCTGAGTCTGGGGGTTTTTAAGGGCCTCAGAGGGGAGGAAGTGCCTGCTGATTAGTCCATGAGTGGCCATGGGTAGGCCCAGGAAAAAGGGCCACACGTTCTCACTCCTGTCTGCCCACTGGAAAAGGCAGCCCTGGCTTCAGGCCCTCCCCAGCTTAAAGGTGGGGCTTCACCAAGGACCTGCCCTTTTCCACCCAGAAGCTTGTCTGCCTCCCACTGCTGTTCATGGTGTCCAGGCTGCTTGTGCAGAGAGGTGCCTGCAGGCCAATGCCAAGTTGCCCTCAGTCCCTCCCCAACCTCAGCCTCTCTCCCATGCTTGTCAGTGACCAAAGTCTAGAGGGGACAGAGGCGGCAGGGTGCTGGCATATCAGGGCTGCTTTGAATGTGCACACACTGGGCTGGGTTGCAACAGTGCTTGAGTTTGGCCTCAAGCCGGCTACCAGATCAGAGCAGGCATCAACACTGGGGAGAAGCTGGGCAGCAGGGCAGGCACTTCCAGCCCTGCAGGGGCAGGGGCCTTCCTGGGCCCCTGAGAGTGCAGAGATGCTTGGATCCACAGCTGTGGCAGGGTGGCTGCAGGGGTACCTGGGAGGGCTGGGCTCCTGCTTGCTCCTGGCTCCCAAGAGCACAGGTGTGCACCGGTCTCACCCTGGCTTGGGTGGTTGCCGTTGCGCCTGAGAACTCCCTCCCCGCCAACTTGAAAGGGGCGGGGCTCATGCTTGTCCCCGGGTCCCACCAGCTCCGTGAAGCACCGCACCACCCCAAACTCGGCTCCACCTGGGGCCTCTCTCTGCCTTCCCCTCTCTTCCTGAATGCTCTGCTTCCCCGCCAGACTCAGCCTGGTCCCATCGCGGCAGTCCTCGGTGCAGGCTCTGGTGATTGTCCGCCTATTCTCCACACCCTCCCAGCAGTGGCCGCAGGGCCCGGGTCCCGATCCCCGAGCAGCGGAGGCTCTGGGCCTGGGAGTGGGTCCCGCTTGACTGTGAGAGGGTGAGGGCAGCACAGTAGGCTGCCTCCAGGTTGCAGGGCACAGGGGTCCTACCACTACCGCTGTTGCTCCTGCAGCCCCTCCTGCAGCCCCTCCTGCAGCCCCTCCTGCACCTCCCCTCCTGCAGCCCCTCCTGCACCTCCCCTCCTGCAGCCCCTCCTGCAGCCCCTCCTGCACCTCCCCTCCTGCAGCCCCTCCTGCACCTCCCCTCCTGCAGCCCCTCCTGCAGCCCCTCCTGCACCTCCCCTCCTGCAGCCCCTCCTGCACCTCCCCTCCTGCAGCCCCTCCTGCAGCCCCTCCTGCAGCCCCTCCTGCAGCCCCTCCTGCACCTCCCCTCCTGCAGCCCCTCCTGCAGCCCCTCCTGCACCTCCCCTCCTGCAGCCCCTCCTGCAGCCCCTCCTGCACCTCCCCTCCTGCAGCCCCTCCTGCAGCCCCTCCTGCAGCCCCTCCTGCAGCCCCTCCTGCACCTCCCCTCCTGCAGCCCCTCCTGCAGCCCCTCCTGCACCTCCCCTCCTGCAGCCCCTCCTGCAGCCCCTCCTGCACCTCCCCTCCTGCAGCCCCTCCTGCAGCCCCTCCTGCAGCCCCTCCTGCAGCCCCTCCTGCACCTCCCCTCCTGCAGCCCCTCCTGCAGCCCCTCCTGCAGCCCCTCCTGCAGCCCCTCCTGCAGCCCCTCCTGCACCTCCCCTCTACAGCTGGCATGTTGGTAGCGGCCGCTCCGGATGGCCGGTTGCTGCCATCAACAGAATGAGGTAAATGTTGCCCTAGAAAACTTCAACTCTGTAATAGAAAACCATGGAAAGATTTCAAGTTCTGACATTGGAGGATTTTCTGTTTTTAATACATTGACCTGAGGAAAGACAATTGTTTTGTGCGTAGCACACTAGGGAGAGTAATATTTAAGGTGCTCCTATAATAGTCTAAATGAGAAGGATGAGAATTTAACATTTGTGCAATGGTATTAGATATAGATTTTAAAAGGGGATGAAGAGAAAGTTTTAGAAATAGGAACAGAAGTATGTGAATGTTTCAGTCAGGTGTAAAAGAAAGAGAGGAATTGAGAATTCCTTTATGCTTTTAGTTAACATTGATATAAGTCAATTATGTAAAAAAATAAAATAAAGAATACAACAGGAGCCAAATTCAGTTGAATATGTGCTTGGCTTGAGATTCCTGAATAGCGTGAATGAGGATGTCTGGTACCAATTTGGATAACAGATACTCCCTGAAGCTGTTTAGCCATTTATTAGGTTCTAGATTTTTGTTTCATGGGTTTTTTAACTTACAAAATATGCACAAAATATATTCTGCAACAAAGGAAATATCTCAGGTTGAGCATATTCCATTGGAATTTTTTTCAGTTTTTGTTAAGGGGAATGGTGCCAACCTCTAATTTATATTATGGACACTCTTTGGATTCTTAATGAAAATAAACTAAAAACATGCAAGCAGTGCTTCAGAATAAATATTTTTGTCAGATGTTTCAGTGAACTTTTAGGAAATGTGTTTTGATCCTATTCAACTCAGGGGCAGATGACACACAGAAACAAAGAAATTATCTTAGGTTGTTTCTAGAAGAATTCCTTTTCCAACTAAAAATTCCTCTACCTTACCATTCCAATTTAGCAAAATAAAACACTCAACTACTCTAGTTCTGAGCATTTTAAAATCTCTTTTTATTATTTCCACTACTAATCAAAATGGAAACTTTAGGTATATGTTTTGGTTACTAATTACCTGAAGCAATTTTACATTATGTGGTCATTTTTATGATTAAAATTGTATTCAGAGAATCCATATAAAGTGAATACAAAAAGCTTCTATTCAAAAGCTCTTTGCATTTTTATTTCCTTTATGCTAATTTTGTCCACCATTGCAGTCAAATTTCACTTACTGAATTTGGCAAGAGCTAAATGCACTCTACTGTGTTCTTTTGACATTTTATTTATTAAAATATCTGGGTACAGATTAATTTACTTTGCAAATATTTATTGTTGTTTCACCTGACTTAAAATGGGAGCTGCAGGCACTTTGATAAATGAATCAGGAGGTAATCTGGCTTCTCCAAACTTCTTGGAATTACTTTTGTCTGTTACTGAAATGATATCTTGTAATTTTCTGCTAGTATGTCCCTAGGGAAACTGCAACTGATATTCCCATGAATTCCATTTCTACAAAAACAGCTCTATTTTCCTTTGCTGTTAGTGAAGATACAGCATTGTCAAAAAGTTATAAAGCTCTGAAGCATTGTCTTGTAGCTCATGGTTTAAGGTTATACGTAAGTGATCAAAATTAATGAGGATGGACTGGAATGTGAAGAGGCAGGAAAATGGGTCTGTTTGTTAACCAATGGAATATTGTTACAGGATAAGTCTTTGCATGTGGTTGTGCTTCTAGCCACTTATTGGGGACTCCATTTATTACAGCATTTCCTTAACTGTTTATGATTCTGACAATTACATGGACCTATTTTTCTATCAGGATACCGGTCTCAGATACAAAGCTCTCAGTTTTATCAGTATAACATGAAAATATTTAGTTAAGGTTCAAATCATATTTGAAAAAAGTACATATAGATGACATGTTGCTGTTTGGGTAGGTGAGACAATAATAGGTGAAGCCTTCTGTGGGATAATACAGAGCCAAGTTAAAAATGAAAATTTTAGTTGACTGAGAAAAGTTATGGATTTATCTAACAAATCCATCAAGTCCACTAGTTGGCTTCCATATCAAGGGTGGTTTTGTCCAACAACTGCTTGCTCTCTTCCATCAAAAATTGCACCAGTCACATTATTTTACCCTTCTATTCAACAGATATTTATTGAGAGCCTATAAACCATTAGGTCCTCTCCTAAACCTTGGATATTCAGCAGCGAACACGAACATGGAAAGTCCCTGCTCTCTGTTAACCAGAGATTGGGGAGAGTATGGGGAGGGGACAATAGAGACAATTTGATCAATAGATACAAAATTACAATTAGAGAGAAAATATAAGTTATTATGTTCTATTGCACAGTAGGGTGAGTGGTTAACAGCTAGATATTGTATATTACAAAACGGCTAGAAAATAGGCTGTTTAACATCTTTACCACAAAGAAATGATCAGTGCATGAGGTGATGATAGAGCTAAATACACTGATTTGATCATTACACAACATATGTATGTATCAAAACATCAAATATACCTTAT
Organism: Homo sapiens; assembly: GCF_000001405.40. Classification (NCBI taxonomy): domain Eukaryota; kingdom Metazoa; phylum Chordata; class Mammalia; order Primates; family Hominidae; genus Homo; species Homo sapiens. The sequence goes on from NC_000004.12 coordinate 59,522,011, forward strand.
ACATGTGTACAGTTACAATGTATCAAATAAAAATAAATTTAAAAAAGAAGAAACTCTCTGCTTTCATGGGAATTACAGCCTGCTTAACAAAAGACTATGGAGAACAAAAGAATGAATTAAATGAATGAGTGATCAGAAACAAACAAAAAAATAACTAAGTGGAAAAAGCGTGAAAATAATGTATTATTTCAAATAGACTAGTTAGGGAATGTTCCTTTGACTTGGTGATGTTTTTAACGGAGACATAATGAAGTAAGAGAGCAAGTCCTAAGATATTCGGAAGGAGAATATTTCAGGCAGAAACAACAATTTCAAAAACTCTGAGGCAGAATTCCAGAAACAGCAGAAAGAGCAAGTGGCTAGCTATAGTAAAGTCAGGAGGAGAGATGAAGTCAGAGAACAACAAGATCGTGCAGTGCTTGGTGGCCAATGAATGGGAAGGCATTGGCTCTTACTGAAGAATGGGGAAATCTCCTGGAGGGTGTTTAGCAAAGTGATAGAGGGAAAAGGTTTTTAAAAGATTACTCTGGCTTCTATTATAAGAAGCAACACCACAATTTAACTTTATGTAGGATTTTGCCAGATACCACAAAATATGAACAACCAACCAGGCATGCTCATCCTCATGCATTTTTGTTGTTGTTGTATACTGTATTTCTATTTTAATTTTCAGAATTGGATTTTTAGTTTAAGATCTTAAATTGAATTACCTGAGAAACATTAATCATATCTTCATGAACTCAGTATTTGCATAGTCACATAACAAATCACTTCTCAGGTGAGAACATACCTACCCGTTTGGGTCTTGGTTATGCGAGACCCTGGGAAAATCCACAGTGCAAGGATGTCAAAAGCCCTTGACCATCACATTTATTACACTTCCCTTTAATTCCCTGATTTTATTAAAAACAGCTATTTTTTGTCACTTACAGCTTTTTAGTTTTAATAGATTCAGGGGGTACATGTGTAGGTTTCATACATGGATATATTGCATAATGATCAGGTTTGGGATTCTAGTGTGCCCATCATCTAAATAGTGATAATTGTGCTGGATAGGTAATTTTTCAACTTTCAACCCACTCCTACATTCCCCTCCTCTGGAGTCATCAGTGTCTCTTATTTCTATTTGTATGTCTATGTGTGCTCATTGTTTAGCTCCCAGTTATAAATGAGAAACTGTGGAATTTGATTATATTTTTTCTGAATTATTTTACTTAGGAAATGGCCTCCAGCTCTATCCATGCTGCTACAAGATACTATTTTTTTCTAGGTAGTGTTCCATGATGTATATATACCAAATTATCTTTATCCAATCATCCAATGACAGACACTTAGGTTAGTTCCACAACATTGCTATTGCAAATAGTGTTGCAATAAACATACAAGTGCAGATATTTTTTGAATATAGCAAATCTTTCCCTTTGGGTAGATAACCAGTAGTAGGATTGCTGGGTCAAATGTTAGTACTAGTTTAGTTCTTTGAGAAATGTCCATACTGTTTTCCATAGAGGTTGTACTAATTTACATTTCTACCAACAGTGTAGAAGTGTTATCAGTTTCCCATGCCCTCACTAACATCTGTTGTGTGTGTGTGTGTCTGTGTGTGTTTTGATTTTCTAATAATGGTCATTCTGACTGGTGTGACATTGTATCTCACTGTGGCTTTAACTTGCATTTCTCTGATTATTGGTGATGTTGATTGTAGTTTCATATGTTTGTTGGCCCACTTTTATATACTCTTTTGAAAAATGCCTCTTCATATCTTTTGTCCACTTTTCAATGGAGTTATTTGTTTTTTTCCTCATTGATTGTTTGAGTTTCCCATAGATTCTGGATATTAATCCCTTGCCAGATGCATATTATTCAAATATTTCCTCCAATTCTGTTGTTGTATGTTTACTCAATTGTTTCTTCTGTTGTGCGGAAGTGTTTAATTTAACTTTCATTTTTCTACTTTTATTTTTGTTGCATTTGTTTTGAGGTCTCAGTCACACATTTTTTTTTCCCTAGGTCAATGTCCAGAAGAATTTTTTCTAGATTTTCTTCTAGGATTTCTAGGAATCCTAGAAGGTCTTACATTTAAGTCTTTATTGCATCCTGAGTTAATTTTTGTATATTGTAAGAGAGAGGTGACCAGTTTCTGTGACTATCCAATTAATCCAGCATCATTTATTGAATAAGGTGTCTTTTCCCCATTGTATATTTTTCTCAAGGTTGTCAAAGATCAGTTGGTTGTTCAATATGTAGCTTTATTTCTGGGTTCTATATTTTGTTCCATTTACCTATGTGTCTATTTTTGTGCGAGGATCATACTGTTTTGGTTAATATAGCTATGTAGTATAATATGAGGTCAGATAATGTGATGATCACCTTTGTTCTTTTTGCTTGGGATTACTTTGGCTTTGGGGCTCTTTTTGGTACCATATACGTTTTTGGATTTTTTTTCTAATTCAGTGAAAAATGACATTGGTTGTTTGATATGAATTGCATTGAATCTGTAGATTGCTTTGGGCACTGTTGTCATTTTAATGATATTGATTCTTCCAATTTATGAGCATGGGAAGTTATTCCATTTGTGTCATCTATGATTTCTTTCATCAGTATTTTGTAGTTCACCTTGTAGAGATCTGTCAGCTCCTTGGTTATATGTATTCCTAGGTATTTTATCTTTGTGGCTATTATAACTGAGATTGATTTATTGATTTGGTTCTAAGCTTGAACATTATTGGTACATAGAAATGCTACTGATTTTTGCATATTGGTTTTGTATCCTGAAACTTTACTGAAGTCATTTATCAAGTCTAGTGGTCTTTTGGGAGAATCTTTTGAGTTTTCTAGGTATAGAATCTTATTGTTAGCAAACAGAGATAATTTGACTTATTCTTTTCCAATTTCAATGCCTTTTATTTCTTTCTTTTTTCTGATTGCTCTATGATATCCAGCACTATGCCGAATAGGCATTATGAAAGTGGACATCATTGTCTTGTTCCGTTTCTTGGGAGGAATGCTTTGAAGGGTTGTTGGATTTTATCAAATGTTTTTTCGGCATCTATTGACATGATTGTATGATTTTTGTTTCCATTTCTACTCATGTGGTGCATCAAGTTTGTTGATTTGGGTATGTGGAACCATTCTTTCATCCCTGAAATGAAACCCACTTGACTTGATATATTATCTTTTTAATGTGCTGTTTGATGCAGTTTGTTGGTATTTTGTTTAATATTATCGCATCTATGTTCATCAGGGATATTGACTTGTAGTTTTCTTTTTTTGCTGTGTCTTTGCCTAATTTGGCTATCAGGGTGATACTGGTTTCATAAAATGAGTTAGGGAGAAACCTCTCTACCTCAATATTTTAGACTAGTTTTAGTAAGATTGGTACCACTTTTTTACTGTACATCTGACAAATTCAGTTGTGAATCTGTCTGGTCCTGGATTTTTCTTTGTCAGGAGACTTTTTTTTTTTTTTTTTTTTTTGAGATGGAGTCTTCCTCGGTCACCCAGGCTGGAGTGCAGTGGCACAATCTTGGTTCACTGCAACCTCTGCCTTGTCAGGAGACTTTCTAATCACTGCTTCAATTTTATTACACATTATTGATCTGTTCAGGGTTTCTATTTCTTTTTGGTTCAATTTTGAGAGGTTGTACATTTCCAGGAATTTATTTATTGATGCTAGGTTTTTAGTTTGTGTGCATAGAGATACTCATAGTAGTCTGTGATGGTCTTTCTTATTTCTGTAGTATCAGTTGTAATATCACATTGATTCAAAATTTTTGAATTTCCTTTTGTTTTTGTGTGAGAATTTTTTCTCTCTTGAGAGTGTGACATGTGTATGTTGGGTGTGGTCCTTTAGCTTTGTGTCTTTGTGCTTTTGGGGAGCCAAGTCTCTATATATGTTCCTTGGTTATAGATAGCCTTAGTGTAGTGGGTTTTTTTTTTTTTTTCAAATGCTGGTTGTTTGTAAGTTGTAGTAGCAGTAGCTGTGCTTGCTAGCAGTCACAATCTCCTCCACAGAGAAAGAGGCTGAGGCCTTGGAGATTTATCTTATACCCTGGGCTGTGCACTTCTGTCAGCAGGAATTATATTTGTTTATGAGTGCATGTATGGCAGTGAATGATCTTGGACTACATGAATGAGGCCTATAGAAATGGCAGAGAAACAAAATACAAGAGTCTGTGTCTATGACAACATGATGCTAGCCCATTATTCTTAGATGGATTACTCTCACACCCCTAAATTAGAGAGACAAACTAGCATTTTATTTAAGCCACCTTTACACTGGGGCTTGGTTGTAACAGCCTATTTATATCTTCATGATTATACCCAATAGAGTTTCTAATAAATGCATTTATATTTTCAATAAAAATGACTATCATAGACAAGAAGACCTTAAGTACAGGAAACTTAAAACACTATTGTAACTTTAAAATGCAGGTTAAGAAAACTTTACTGCCTTCTCTAGTGTGATAAGATCACCTTTCCAAGGGAAACAGCCTTGTCAGTTTTCTAAAGTTTAACATTTTTTACTTAAAAAATTTAGATGAATACATGAACATCTCAGTCTATACAGTCAAAACTCTGCAAACAAATGGATCCTAACCAGTCACAAGTTTTACCTCACTGATCTGTATTTAGATCTTGGAGTTGTGTCAGATACTTGACTTTGGTTTGACCCAAAACTATTTTTTAAAAGTTTAATCAGAAGTCTTTGATTGAAGAAGAGTTCTTTGTTGCTGTTTTATTTTCTCCCCGTTTAATCTTTTAAGCACGGTCCTACATTTTAACAGGGTTGAAAGAACTTTAGAAAATAATCATTTAAAAATGTTTTAAAACTTTCCAAAAGTAATGCTATTATTCCAGTTTACTGGGCATGATTCTACTCCCCTGGGGTTGCAGTCAGTGAAAAAAGTCTATGTAATGTGCTACATCCATCTCAATTCCGCCTTCACTTATTTGACTTGGCACCAATTTATAACCTCTGGTTTGCTTTCTTTTTATAACCAACATTTCCAAATGCATATGCACTAACACACACACACATACATACACAGTTATTTTAGTTTAATCTGTTTTCTATATAGGTGCATATATGTTTGTATCCATAAGAATCCAGAGACTGAATAATGTGTTTTGGTCTTATATTTTTTCTATACAGTGTCTGTAGTACTTGACATATTTTAATAAACATTTGTTAAATTTAATTACATTTGTATTAAGAAGACTTTGGTTCAAAAATGTCATACCAAAGTGTTTTGACTGAATTTTGGAGAAATACTCAAGCAGATGAAATTATTAGTTTTATGTATCAAGGTGCACGCTTTCAGAGACAAAATAAGTAAGGGTCAAGTTATTCATATTTAAATATGCCATCATCTGAAATCTTTTGCCTGAATTAATTGTCTAAATAAATATGGGCTACTCAGGTGGAGACAAATTCTAGTGCTAAAAATGTGCCCTAGGCATATATAAGTTATTTTGTATAATAACCCTAGTGTAGTTAACTTGAGTCTCACTCATGATTTGCAACCATAACAATGTTTATATATTACATATTCTGACACAAGATAGTGATAATTGTCGTAGGGTAAGTTTTTGAAAAAAGATTAAAATTATTTCTTAGCCCATAATTAAATAAGCATAATATACTGTCATCATCATAGAATTTGTGATTTATAAGGAAATAGTATGATTCATTCTTTTAATTACATTAACAAAGAAACTGAAGCTTAATAAGGTTTACTAATGTCTAAGAGCAAATACACACTTGATGTGACAGCCAACAGTTTTAAAGAATAACTATCATTTATTGAGCATGTACTATATTCCAAGCACCATATCAGATGCTTTCTAGGGAGATAGTTTTTTGTGTTGATTAACAGCAAGGGATCTGGAGACAGGTTGCTTAAACATTAATCTTAACTCTTCCATCTAATAACCGTGTAATACTGGGCAAGTTACTCACTTTTTGCCTCACTTGACTCCTCTGTAAAATAATATTTATATTAGTATTTTACTTACTAAGTAATTGTGGGGATTAAATAAGTGAACATGTGATAAACAGTGTTTTATATAGTGTGGGTCACTCATAAGTATTAGATTATTATTAGCTATTTTTATTAAATAGATCAAATTCAATGTTCAGAACAATAATTAAACATATTACCTCCATATTTTATATTAAAATCCTGAGCTCTTAGAGGGTAACTTGCTTAAAAGCATAAAACGTAAATGCATTTTAGCTGGAATTCAAATGGTATTTTAAATTGAAAGCTTTTTTTTCAGTCTATCAACCTGCTAATTTTTGTGCTCCTACTTCCAACTATTTTCCTGGAAAGTGTCCTTCAACCTGGCTTATGCAGTTGATAGCTTTTCTTTTTGTGACAAACAGCTAAATACTGTAATCAAACATAATAAAATATGATGCTGAACACCTGGATTTTTCAAATTACTGAAAATAATCTTAACCCATCATTTTTTTGAATGGAGCAAAATATCACAAGGAAGATTTTTATTGATTTTTTTTATTTGCTTGCAGTTTCTGTGAATTTTTTTCTGATAACTATATGTTCCTATTGCTAATGGAGAAAATTTTTGAACTTAGAATTAATATAATGTTAACTAGAATATTTTTCTTTTAAAATAATTTGAGCTATATTTTCTGATTTCTCAACATTGGTGCAGTAATTTTTCTTATAGCATCAAAAATTTGATGATTTCAGAAACGTTTATTGCCTAAAATGTGTTATAGCAAATAATATCTTTTTACTTTTGATCATCAATGTAGAAACATACATGAAAACAAAATAAAAAGTAATATAAATATGTGTTAACAAAGAAATAAAATTCTTAAAATAAATATCCTTATAGATCAGTGTAATGAATATTGGTAATTCTTAATGATTATTAACTAAAGCCTCTTATGAATTATTTAGTACAAAGAGCAGGTAAACTGTTGGCATAATTCTATTAATTTTGAGAAATTTCATGAAGTTCTCCATAATTTTATGTTAATCTAACTATATCTAAACACATGCATTTTTTTAAATTATTATTATACTGTAAGTTTTAGGGTACATGTGCACAATGTGCAGGTTAGTTACATATGTATACATATGCCATGCTGGTGTGCTGCACCCATTAATTCATCACTTAGCATTAGGTATATCTCCTAATGCTATCCCTCCGCCCTACCCCCACCCCACAACCATCCCAAGAGTGTGATGTTCCCCTTCCTGTGTCCATGTGTTCTCATTGTTCAATTCCCACCTATGAGTGAGAACATGCGGTGTTTGGTTTTTTTTCCTTGCGATAGTTTACTGAGAATGATGATTTCCAATTTCATCCATGTTCCTACAAACGAGATGAACTCATCATTTTTTATGGCTGCATAGTATTCCATGGTGTATATGTGCCACATTTTCTTAATCCAGTCTATCATTGTTGGACATTTGGGTTGGTTCCAAGTCTTTGCTATTGTGAATAGTGCCGCAATAAACATATGTGTGCATGTGTCTTTATAGCAGCATGATTTATAGTCCTTTGGGTATATACCCAGTAATGGGATGGCTGGGTCAAATGGTATTTCTAGTTCTAGATGCCTGAGGAATCGCTGCAATGACTTCCACAATGGTTGAACTAGTTGACAGTCCCACCAACAGTGTAAAAGTGTTCCTATTTCTCCACATCCTCTCCAACACCTGTTGTTTCCTGACTTTTTAATGATTGCCATTCTAACTGGTGTGAGATGGTATCTCATTGTGGTTTTGATTTGCATTTCTCTGATGGCCAGTGATGGTGAGTATTTTTTCATGTGATTTTGGCTGCATAAATGTCTTCTTTTGAGAAGTGTCTGTTCATGTCCTTTGCCCACTTTTTGATGGGGTTGTTTGGTTTTTTTTGTGTGAATTTGTTTGAGTTCATTGTAGATTCTGGATATTAGCCCTTTGTCAGATGAGTAGGTTGTGAAAATTTTCCCCCTTTTTGTAGGTTGCCTGATCACTGTGATGGTAGTTTCTTTTGCTGTGCAGAAGCTCTTTAGTTTAATTAGATCCCATTTGTCAATTTTGGCTTTGGTTGCCTTGCTTTTGGTGTTTTAGCCATGAAGTCCTTGTCCATGCCTGTGTCCCGAATGGTAATGCCTAGGTTTTCTTCTAGGGTTTTTATGGTTTTAGGTCTAATGTATAAGTCTTTAATCCATCTTGAATTAATTTTTGTATAAGGTGTAAGGAAGGGATCCAGTTTCTGCTTTCTACATATGGCTAGCCAGTTTTCCCAACACCATTTATTAAATAGGGAATCGTTTTCCCATTGCTTGTTTTTCTCAGGTTTGTCAAAGATCAGATAGTTGTAGATATGCGGCGTTATTTCTGAGGGCTCTGTTCTGTTCCATTGATCTATATCTCTGTTTTGGTACCAGTACCATGCTGTTTTGGTCACTGTAGCCTTGTAGTATAGTTTGAAGTCAGGTAGTGTGATGCCTCCAGCTTTGTTCTTTTAGCTTAGGATTGACTTGGCGATGCAGACTCTTTTTGGGTTCCATATGAACTTTAAAGTAGTTTTTTCCAATTCTGTGAAGAAAGTCATTGGTAGCTTGATGGGGATGGCATTGAATCTATAAATTACCTTGGGCAATATGGCCATTTTCATGATATTGATTCTTCCTACCCATGAGCATGGAATGTTCTTCCATTTGTTTGTATCCTCTTTTATTTCATTGAGCAGTGGTTTGTAGTTCTCCTTGAAGAGGTCCTTCACATCCCTTGTAAGTTGGATTCCTAAGTATTTTATTCTCTTTGAAGCAATTGTGAATGGGAGTTCACTTATGATTTGGCTCTCTGTTTGTCTGTTATTGGTGTATAAGAATGCTTGTGATTTTTGTACATGGATTTTGTATCCTGAGACTTTGCTGAAGTTGCTTATCAGCTTAAGGAGATTTTGGGCTGAGACAATGGGGTATTCTAGATATACAATCATGTCATCTGCAAACAGGGACAATTTGACTTCCTCTTTTCCTAATTGAATAGCCTTTATTTTCTTCTCCTGTCTAATTGCCCTGGCCAGAACTTCCAACACTATGTTGAATAGGAGTGGTGAGAGAGGGCATCCCTGTCTTGTGCCAGTTTTCAAAGGGAATGCTTCCAGTGTTTGCCCATTCAGTATGATATTGGCTGTGGGTTTGTCATAGATAGCTCTTATTATTTTGAGATATGTCCCACCAATACCTAATTTATTGAGAGTTTTTAGCATGAAGGGTGGTTGAATTTTGTCAAAGTCCTTTTCTGCATCTATTGAGATAATCATGTGGTTTGTTAAGGGCAGCCAGAGAGAAAGGTCGGGTTACCCACAAAGGGAAGCCCATCGGACTGACAGCGGATCTCTCTGCAGAAACTCTATAAGCCAGAAGAGAGTGGGGGCCGATATTCAACATTCTTAAAGAAAAGAATTTTCACCCAGAATTTCATATCCAGCCAAACTAAGCTTCATAAGTGAAGGAGAAGTAAAATACTTTACAAACAAGCAAATGCTGAGAGATTTTGTCACCAGCAGGGCTGCCGTAAAGCAGCTCCTGAAGAAAACACTAAACGTGGAAAGGAACAACTGGTACCAGCCACTGCAAAATCATGCCAAAATGTAAAGACCATCGAGACTAGGAAGAAACTGCATCAACTAACGAGCAAAATAACCAGCTAACATCATCATGACAGGATCAAATTCACACATAACAATATTAACTTTAAATGTAAATGGACTAAATGCTCCAATTAAAAGACACAGACTGGCAAATTGGATAAAGAGTCAAGAGCCATCAGGGTGCTGTATTCAGGAAACCCATCTCACATGCAGAGACACACATAGGCTCAAAATAAAAGGATGGAGGAAAATCTACCAAGCAAACGGAAAACAAAAAAAGGCAGGGGTTGCCATCCTAGTCTCTGATAAAACAGACTTTAAACCAACAAAGATCAAAAGAGACAAAGAAGGCCAATACATAATGCTAAAGGGATCAATTCAACAAGAAGAGCTAACTATCCTAAATATATATGCACCCAATACAGGAGCACCCAGATTCATAAAGCAAGTCCTGAGTGACCTACAAAGAGACTTAGACTCCCACACAATAATAATGGGAGACTTTAACACCCCACTGTCCACATTAGACAGATCAACGAGACAGAAAGTTAACAAGTATACCCAGGAATTGAACTCAGCTCTGCACCAAGCGGACCTAATAGACATCTACAGAACTCTCCACCCCAAATCAACAGAATATACATTTTTTTCAGCACCACACTACACCTATTCCAAAATTGACCACATAGTTGGAAGTAAAGCACTCCTCAGCAAATATAAAAGAACAGAAATTATAACAAACTGTCTCTCAGACCACAGTGCAATCAAACTAGAACTCAGGATTAAGAAACTCACTCAAAACAACTCAACTACATGGAAACTGAACAACCTGCTCCTGAATGACTACGGGGTACATAACAAAATGAAGGCAGAAATAAACATGTTCTTTGAAATCAATGAGAACAAAGACAAAACATACTAGAATCTCTGGGACACATTCAAAGCAGTGTTTAGAGGGAAATTTATAGCACTAAATGCCCACAAGAGAAAGCAGGAAAGATCCAAAATTGACACCCTAACATCACAATTAGAAGAACTAGAAAAGCAAGAGCAAACACATTCAAAAGCTAGCAGAAGGCAAGAAATAACTAAAATCACAGCAGAACTGAAGGAAATAGAGATACAAAAAACCCTTCAAAAAATTAATGAATCCAGGTGCTGGTTTTTTGAAAGGATCAACAAAATTGATAGACCGCTAGCAAGACTAATAAAGAAGAAAAGAGAGAAGAATCAAATAGACACAATAAAAAATGATAAAGGGGATATCACCACCAATCCCACAGAAATACAAACTACCATCAGAGAATACTACAAACACCTCTACGCAAATAAACTAGAAAATCTACAAGAAATGGATAAATTCCTCGACACATACACCCTCCCAAGACTAAACCAGGAAGAAGTTGACTTTCAGAGTAGACCAATAACAGGCTCTGTAATTGTGGTAATAATCAATAGCTTACCAACCAAAAAGAGTCCAGGACCAGATGGATTCACAGCCGAATTCTACCAGAGGTACAAGGAGGAAATGGTACCATTCCTTCTGAAACTATTCCAATCAATAGAAAAAGAGGGAATTCTCCCTAACTCATTTTATGAGGCCAGCATCATCCTTATATCAAAGCTGGGCAGAGACACAACCAAAAAAGAGAATTTTAGACCAATATCCTTGATGAACATTGATGCAAAAATCCTCAATAAAATACTGGCAAACCGAGTCCAGCAGCACATCAAAAAGCTTATCCATCATGATCAAGCGGGCTTCACCCCTGGGATGCAAGGCTGGTTCAATATACACAAATCAATAAATGTAATCCAGCATAGAAACAGAACCAAAGACAAAAACACATGCATTGTTTAGAGAGAGAGCCTCATAAATGAAGCCATAGAGTTTATTGCGGAAATCAGCAGTACAATTCCCATATCACTTGTAGAGTCAGCAGGAAGTATCAACCTTCTTTGGAATTTCATCACTGATAAAATGAGTAGGCAACAGAACGAATACTTCTTAAGTCTTTTCTTTGATAATTCAGGAGGAAATAAATGGTTATACTGGAGTGACCGTATGTTACAGAATGAAAAATGAATATCTTCCTTTACTCAAATTCATCTTTAGTGTAATTTTCAATTTAAAGGGTTAAAGTTGGCTGGGCCAAAGGTTGGAATTTATATCAATTGATTGTTCACAGTCAGTTACAGACCAAACTTCTTGTTCTATTCTTTTCCCTCTTCTTACTATTGCACTTGATTAGACTTTAAAAAAAAAAAAAGGATCAAGACATTTATTTTTTTTTAAATACTTATGATCAGTCTGAAACACGTATTTCTCTTTATTACAATTCCTTATGTAATTAACAATGAGAGCAGATAGTAAATTGTCACTTTTGGGTCTTCAATTTTTTCGAGCAGCGTTGGAGACATGATAAGCTAGAAGTAATGTCATATTTAAAATAAAGCATGTTGAGCAAATTATTGGCACATATTTGGAAATTTTATATAGATTATTGAATACATTAGCCATTCCAGTTTAATATGAAGTTTTATAAGAGATTATTACCATCATAAGATTATTTGCTTTTTAAAGAACATTAATATGCAAAGTATTTTATACTAAAGCACTCAAAAATTAGTAAATTAATAATATCTAAAAGAAACTTGTGGAACTATGTGTTACTGTAAAAAGAATCTTCATGGCAACATAGATTGAGAGATTATTATGTTATCAAAAGGTACAAATTACTCTGGATTTCAAGGTCATTTATTTAATAATCCTAGGTCCTTGTCCAACTTTTGGTTTCTGTTTTCTTCATAAACCTCCTTTGGTTGCTCGTTTAGCTCAGCCTCTTTGCTATCTCTTTACAGTGGTAAACTGAATAATGACTCCCAAATCCTGGGGATTCGTTTTCTAATCCCTGGAACTTGTAAATTTTACCTCATATGGAAAAAGAAGATCTTTGCAGATACAATTAAAGTGTCTTGAAATGGAGAAATTATCTTGGAATTATCTGCGTGGGGCCCTCGGTGCAATTGCAAGTGTCCCTCTGAGAGAAGGGCACAGAGAGATTAAAGCAAATGGAAGAGAGAAGTCTATGAAACAGTGGAGGCAGGGATTAGAGTAGTTCAACCACAAGCCAAGGAATGTCTGTACCATTGGAAGCTAGTTGTGCAAGAAACAGACTGTTCCCAAGACCATCCAGGGGAAGTGCAGCCCTGATGACACTTTGGGGCCCAGTGATACTTATTTTATATTTTCAGCCACAAAAACTATGAAAGAATAAAATTAAATTGTTTTGAGCCACTAGGTTTGTGATAATTTCTTACAACAGTCACAGGAAATGAATGCATATGCTCCCTCCTGTGCCAGTTTTCCCCCATTTAGGAGTGTGTAGCATTTCCCCTTGACCTGGTCAAATTGCACCTGTTCTACAAGAATCATTCATCCTCATTTCAACATTTGCCATAAGCTCTCTCTTGCCATACCATTCCTCAGTGATTTCCTCTTTCCCAAAAGTTCTATGGCACTTTTTTTTGCCACACAAATTGGTCATTAGTTTATGACCTGTAACTGATATTCAAGTAATTTTTAATCATTTTTTTAAAATTTTTATTAAACTTGCCTTAATTTATGATATATTTATTATTTCCATAGAGACTGTGGTTTCTAAATGTTGATCACATAAAAGACATTTAATATATTATATCTCAATTGTAAAGCTTTCTAACATTGCATTATTCTTTTTCCATTCTCTTCTCTCCATTTATATGTTTTTCTTCATATCATTGTACATTTTCCTCTTTATCTTATTCTCAATCTTCTATTTTAAATAGAAATCATGGTTTTCTTTTTTGATTGAGAATTCTTTTGTTGGTTTTGAATGCCATGTTTGAATTTGTATTCTCAACATTGGCAGACTCTTCAGTGATGAAGAGTTTTTGCATGTTCAAGAGAATACAAATTTGAATCAATATATAGCTGGCATTTAGGAGATTATTTGAAGCTGTGGCCACATAACAATATTGTTTGTAAGCAAACTACAGACTTCATTTCCATTGGGCTCTTTTGTGTACAAAAATATGACTAAAGATGAAAGTATCAGCTTGAGCAAGGCCCCATGCACATGTCACCAGTTAAACCACGAAGAAATCAGTCTTCCTGACCACTTTAAGTCCTTGGTTTCTAAAATTAATAGACCAAAGGAAATTCAATGTGGGTCTTTGTGAAGTGCAATTCCAGACATAGGAAGCCAACCCTGTTATAAGGGGAAAAAAATTGCAATTAATCACTTCTTTGGGACAAAAGAGCAGAGCTTTTTAAATAAATTTTACTGTCCCAATAGGCCAATTAGTCAAAGAGAATTAAAAAAATGATTTGACTCATTGACATCATTTTGACAATATATAAAAATTTGGTCTTTAGGTATTATATAGCAAACTTATTTGGCAAATATTCTCTAAATCTGATTGTGAGTTTAGTATCATATAGATATAACCATAGAGCACACACAGAGTTGTGCACACATATGTATGTCTACCTGCATTCAAAACAAACATGTAACATGCAGCTTACAAAGAAATGATGGAATAAACAACTGCATGAAACTTAAATGATTGGTAGGAAGGGAAAGGATTTACCTTGCTCTTCCTTAATTATCTGTCATTGTTCAACTGTAATTATAAAGCATTTAGTAACATATATATGATGGAAAGGAGAGGAAGGCTCAAAACAAATGTTATAGAGGTGCCAGCAAAAGCTATGAGACAGACTCTTGTTGTAGAGTGGGCACTTTATGAAGAACGCAAATAAAAATCTTGGGAGGAAGTCTCACTTCTTCAGATGTTTCACTTAAACTAGAGAAAATGATATGCATAGCAGCAGCGTGGTAAACACAAAAAAAGCCAAAGATTTAGAGTGAAATATTTTCAGACATAACCATCATGAATGATGCACATGCCACAAATTTAATGTTTCTCTCCGCAAAAGTTATTTTGATGCCACCCTACCCAAATCCTTCCACCCTATTTTTGTCAGTTTCTTTAGAATTTCTCATCTGTTCTTTTCCATTTCTGAGTCATTTGCAATTTTCTGCCACAACAGCTTTATCCACAGTGTTAAAAAGTAAAATACATATGCTGAAAATTTTATATATAAGTGTATACTAGAACTATTGATTTAAAATTCATTACACATCAACCAGAAAGATAATTTAGCACTGTATGGTGTTCTGACTTCAGAAATAATTTTCCTCTGATTAGTTTGTCTTTTTCTATTTGTTTTTACTGTTGCTACAAATTTATATAAACTTCTTGTTTACTTGGTTCAGAAGTTTGGAAGTTCTGGTTGCCAAGAGCTGACCCATTTCTTTCGTTTTTGTAAATGAGCACCTCAGCCATAAGTGTGCTGTTCATATCATTATTTATGCTTCAAGGAACTTGGGAACTCAGTCCCAAGACCCTGAGCTCTTTCTTTCAGGAATATGTTGCTTTTGCTAAGCAATATATGTGTTATCTCTACTATTTCAGACTCCTTGCTTCTGCACATCAAAGCATAGAATTCATCTCACCAGAGAAGTCAACAAGGAAGAGGAAAATGTAGTTTAAATAGCAGAGAAAACACAATTTTCATTTTTAAGGAAAATGCATGAGGTTGGCCTTGCTAGTCATAGAAATTGAAAATCTCAGTAGTCATGTTAGATATCCCCAAGTCAAATATCTCCAATGAAACTTAGCATGTGTGGATTTCCTAAACTGGAAGATAACTTTGCAGTCTTAGGTGAGGTGTAGGAATTTGTGATCATGACTCATATCCTTTCAGAAGTAAGTCACCGTTTCATTTTTACAGATTTTTCAGATGGAAAACTGAAGCAATGAAAAGGGAAGGTTTTAAGCTGAACTTGTTTTGGTGAAGCCAGAGTGCAATGGAAAATCTGCCTTTTTCTGGGGCTAATTGATTACTTTTCTAGCTTTGTGTATGAAGACAGAATGAGAATTGAAGCCTTAGGACGTATTCAAGTACTTTGCCTTGTTTACTGAGACATCAGTAATACTCACAATCTTGCTTCATCTTCCTGTGTGAAGCACCTGTGTTTTACTCCAGAGCAATTTTAGGCTACATGTTCCCTGTTTAACCACCAAGAACAAAATATCAAAATGAGTTAGTGTTTTGTTTTAACTCTCTCTACAACTCCTCTAACTCCACAGCCATACAAGTGTGTGTGTGTGTGTGTGTGTGTGTGTGTGTGTGAGAGAGAGAGAGAGAGACAGAGACAAAGACAGAGGCAGAGACAAACAGAGAGAAAGAGAGATGTAATAATAAATAATGGTCAGTTTCTTATCATGTTACTCTAGGGAAGGAAGACCTAGAAAAAAATTTATTTGTGTAGTATTTCATCCTGAGTCTCCTCATTACTAACATCTCTCCGAGTTTCAATTTTAGGCTGCTCACTCTCTCCATAGTCTTCTCACACTTGTCAAACTTCTCCCCAGGTCACCTATACAACCTTCAGACAGCATTCTAGGTTCCAGTAAGTATTTCTATCACTTTATTTACACTGTTATTTATTTATGGCCAGATATTTCTATTTTACAAGTTAATCTATCATCTAATTTTGTTTTTAGTGATACCAAAAATTTTTTTCCCTCATGACTTCTGCAATAGCCAGGCATCACTAGATTATATATTCCCAATAAAAGGGTTGTTATTTTGTTGCTTTTTTTTTCTGTCTTTTCCAATGATGGTTGAATAGAGGAAATGGCAGCAGAGTAGAGGCTAAATAGAACTAAGGTTTTAGAGTAACTTTGGGAACAATAAAATTAGTCAAGTTTTAATGAGCCTTTGGGGTTGCATTCTTTCTGGTAAGGTACGGCACCTGAGATGTGTGAGAGAGAAGGTAATAAATGTAAAGTTATAAAATGTTTGTATTATGAGGGGATCTGGAAAAACAGCCCTAGCAAATGGTTAGTTTCCTTATTTAATTAAACCTTACTAAGTATTTTTTATGAAAGTATTTAAAGCTTTTCTTATCAAAGTCATATAAAATATTTAAGTATCTCTAGAGTTGGAGCAAATTGAAGTCTGAGACAGATACATTTATGACAGTATTGTTCAATGTAGATAAATTCACCCAATGGAAGAAATATGCATGAAGTAAATAAGAAGTCCTCCCTAGGATAATGCAGTACAAAGCTAATAATGGGTATTCTAATTTTATATTACAGTTATGTATTACAGCTAAATATTTATATATGTGTAGTTTTTCCTTTTCTATTGCTGACTAGTTTTCTTTGAGTACATCACAGTTTTTTTATCCATTCATGTCTTGATAGAAACTTAGATTGTTCCACATTTATGCCATTAGAAATAAAAGTGTTATAGACACATTTTCTACAAGTCTTTTCATTAAGAAATGTGTTCACTTGTCATGGGTAAGTAACTGGGCATGAATTGCTGTGTCATGAAGTAAGCGTATGTAGATTTTTATTAAAAAAACTGCAAATTGTTTTTCAAAATGTTTTTCCCTTTTTCAATTCCCACCAGCTACACATGAATCTCTACATCCTTACCAATAATGAGTATTGTTTAAGCCATGTAAGTGTGTGTGAATGGTAGCTTATGGTGGTGTTAGTTTCTAACTAACGATATTGAGCAACATTTCAGACACATATTGGCCATGCTTATGCATCCTTTTATAAACAACCTGCTCAACGGTTTACCCATGTATTTATTAATTGGATTGTGTAGCATCTAGTTTCCAAAAATTGTTCCCAGAGAAATACCTTTCCCAGTATTTATGTTTTGGGTAGGCTTCACTCACATAAAATCCCATATGGCCCAGTGACTCATTTTAACCAACTGAATGTGGTAGAAGTAATGTACCAGTTGCCGGTCTAAACGTTAACAAGGACTGAAATCTTCTGCTATGGTGCTCTAGCATGCCAACTGCCATGTGCAAAAATCAATTATCCTGGTGGAAAAAAGAGGCCAGGAGGAGCAGATGCCACCTGGGTAGAAAAACCAAGTGGCGGAGAACTAAGGATCAGACTTTAGTGTGAGCTGTTTTGGCATTCTAGACCAACTAATTTCCATGGTGACTGCAGCCCCTATTGCTTTCACACTGGCAAGAGAACTTCCCAAATGAAGTCCACGCACAGTTTTGAGAAGGAATAAAATGGTCGTATTAAGCCATCATATTTCAGTATGGTTTTTAACATAGCAAGTTAAGTTGCTTGTATTTTCATTCTTTCATTCTAGAGACATAGAAATCCTTTATATATGTTCGATATAAATCTTTGCTCACATACATTCATTACAAATATTTTCTCCCTGTAGTGGCTTGCTTTTTTATTATTCGTTTTTACTAGGGCAGTTCAATGAGGACATTTTCAACATTGATGAAACAGAGTTTATCATTTTAAACAAATGGTAGCACATTATCTTTCTGAAAAAAACCTTACTTACCTACCTATGAAAATAAAATAAAAATAATCCACATTCTTTTTTATTCTTTTTCTTTTTTTTCTTTTTTCTTTTTTCTTTTTTTTTTTTTTTTTGGAGACGGAGTCTTGCTCTGTCACCCGGGCAGGAGGACAGGAGGAGTGCAGTGGTGCGATTTCGGCTCACTGCAACCTCTGCCTCCCGGGTTCAAGCAATTCTCCTGTCTCAACCTTCCAAGTAGCTGGGACTACAGGCACACACCACCACCCCTGGGTAATTGCTTTTTTGTATTTTAGTAGAGATGGGGTTTCACCGTATTGCCCAGGCTGGTCTCAAACTCCTGAGCTCAGGCAATCTGCCTGCCTCCGCCTCCCAAAGTGCTGGGATTACAGGAGTGAGTCACTGCCAAATGGTTAATGTTTAAGCTAAAACACTTTTATCTTTAGATGTATGAGCTAGCTATTAACATTTAAATTTTGTGTATGGTATGTGGTAGAAATGGAGGGTTTTTTATTTCTTAAAGATATCTAGTCTTTTAGCAATATTTATTCAAATTTTGTAATTTTTTCAATAAATTAGCTTTAGAACTTTGTTACAAAGTTATTTATCTCTTTCTTTTAAAATAGCATTTGTATTACTGTGTTCTGCTGGCTCAGCTTTTCTGAGTTTTTTTAATTCCTTATGATAACTTTATCTTGCCTTGATTTCTAAAGTGTGTATATTTCCATTGATAAAAAAATTATTGAGCCATAGTTTTTTTATTTTAGCCCTATAAAGACATTCTATTATCTTTTCCTTAGCATTGTTTAATGTCCCACTTGTGGATTTTGAAACAATTAATCATGCTTGTTGCAACAGGAGCATTTAAGATTTAATAATTTATATTTTGTAATATTTTATGTCTGCCAAATTACCATCTTTATGTTCTGGGATTCTGAATAACACATATATTGACAATCTAATATTTTCCCATAGGTCATTGAAAATCTGTCCTATTTTTTGCATCTTTTTCCATTAGCATATATTTTCCAGTGGAATAATTTTTATTGGCCAACCTTCAAGTGCACTGATTCTTCCTGCCATACTGCCCATTTTCCTCTTGAGCCAGCCAGTGTTTTTCCCCAGCTATTGTATTTTGAGTTCTAAAACATTCAATTGATTTTTAAAGATATTTAAATTTCTCTGTTGAGATTTCTTATCTAATCACTAATTCTGGCATCTTTTCTATAAATGATAGAATAAAATGACTTTTTCCCCTAGACATTGGTTTGTTAGTTGCAAATATCAAGGTAAATGTCAGTCAGTTTCTGATAGTTTTGATTTTTTAAATTTGGCTCCCTGTTTATTTACTTATTTGAATATTTCATTTTAAAAGGTATTTTAGACATTTGAAAATTCAATTTTTAATATTTTTATAGCATTCAGTACAAACTCTTTCATATATCCACCAGCTAATTAAAGAAGTAATTACTCATATTTCATCAAGGTTTGAGTTAATTTTAAATTGGTATTTATAAGACTGAATTTCCCTCTGGTTAGCCTAACCCTAATCTTATGCAACAACCCTGAGAGGCTAATTTGTTTTATTTTATCAGTGTTTGTGCCACGAGGGGAATTGGCTTAAGTTTTTTCTTTGGATTCAGCAATTCAATGCCCACAAGTGCAATGAACTATGAGAAGTGAAAAGGTGTGTATTGCATATCTGTCCATTTCTCCTTCTATGCAAACTGCACAATCAATTGCATTGCTTGAGGTTCTGCCCAGTGGGAAGATTTCCCTTCACCACTGTCCTTCAGGGATGTCCTAGAAAGGGGCTGTAGTGCTTCAGCTGTCCACTTGCAGGTGGTGCATGCATACCATGCAGAGCCATCTGTGAACCAGGCCCTAGTGTTTTGTTCCTCTGTCAGCTGATAAAGGGAGCTCCCCATGAGGCCACCTGGGCAGGCTGGGGGAAAGAAGGCAGAGTGGCAGGAGTGGAGACCATGGGCATTTGAGCCACTTCCTCATGTGCCTTCAGGACCTGCTTGAGCCTGGTCTTGTATATACAACTGCCATTTGATGATGGAATGCTGCTGTGCATGACCCACTTTATGGCTAGATGGGTGAGAAAGCACTCAGTTCATGATAGGCAGTTCAGGTCACATGGTGACTTGAGGACCCATAGTCAAATGATCAGTTTCCACCAAAACCCAGTAACAGGCCAAGAGCTGTCTCTCAAAAGGAGAATAGTTATCTGCAGAAGATGGTAGGACCTTGCTCCAAAATCCTAGAGGCCTCCACTGTGATTTACCTATAGGGGGCCTGCCAAAGGCTCCAAACAGCATCCTTATCTGCCACTGACACTTAAAGCACCATTGGATCTGCTGGGCCATATGGCCAAAATGGCAGAGCAGCTTGCACAACAGCCCAGAACTGTTGCAGGGCCTTTTCCTCTTCTGGACCCCGATCAAAACTGGCAGCTTTTCGGGTCACTTGATAAATAGGCAAGAGTACCACACCCCAATGAAGAATGTATTGCCTCCAAAATCCAAATAGACCCACAAGGCATTGTGCCTCTTTCTTGGTTGTACGAGGAGCCAAATGCAGCAACTTACCCTTCACCTTAGAAAGAATATCTTGACAGGCCCCACACCACTGGGCCCCTAGAAGTTTTATTGAGGTAAAAGTTCCCTGAATTTTAGTCATATTTATTTCTCATCCTCTGGCAGGCAAATGGGTCCCCAGTAAGTCCAGTGTGTTTGCTACTTCTTGCTCACTGGATCTAATCAGCATAATGTCATCAATATGATGAACCAGTGTGATATCTTGCAGAAACGAAAAGCAATCAAAGTCTCTCCAAATAAGATTATGACACAAAGCTGGAGAGATGATATACTCCTAAGGTAGAACAGTAAAGGTATTTTGCTGGCCTTGCCAGCTGAAGGCAAATTGTTTCTGGTGGGCCTTATGGAAAGGAATAGAGAAAAAGGCATTTGGCAACTCAATGGCTGCATACCAGGTACCAAGAGATGTGTTAATTTGCTCAAGCAATTAAACCATATCTGGTATAGCAGCTGAAATTGGAGTCACCGCTTGGTTAAGCTTATGATAATCTGCTATCATTTTCCAAGATCCATCTGTCTTCTGCACAGGCCAAATTGGAGAGTTGAACGGGCATGTGGTGGGACCCACCACCCCTGCATCTTTCAAGGCCTTGATGGTGGCACGAATCTCCACAATCCCTTCAGGGATGAAATATTGGTTTTGATTTACTATTTTTCCAGGAAGAGGAGTTCTAATGCCTTCTATGTGGCCTTTCTCACCATAATAGCCCTTACCCTACCAGTCAGGGAGCCAATGTGTGGGTTCTGCCAGCTGCTAAGTATGTCTATGCCAATTATGCATTCTGGCACTGGGGAAATGACCACAGGATGTGTCCAGGAACCCACTGGATGTACTGTAAGTCAGACCTGAGCTAAAACTCTATTAATTATCTCACCTCCATAAGCCCCTACTTTTAACTGGAGGACCACAAAGACATTTCGGGTTCTCTGAAATCAGTATCAGCTCAAAGCCAGTGTCCAGTAGTCCCCGAAATGTCAGATTATTTCCCTTTCCCCAGTGCACAGTTACCCTGGTAAAGGGCTGGAGGTTTCCTTGGGGAAGGATGGGAGAAAGATTCACTTCATAAATTGTCGGTAATATAGTGGGGTCCTTCCTCAAGGGACCTGGACTTCCCTTCATTCAAGATGTTCTGGTTCTGTAAACTGGCTCAAATCTGGAATTGATTGAGGGGCCATGATTCTGTTTTTAAAATTCAAATTAGTCTTTTGTCCATTGGACCTAGATGATTTCTGCTTGTATAAATTAAGTAGAAATGCAGTAGGCTTCCTATCAATTTCACTTCTATGAACACTGTGATTAAGTAGCCAATGCCAGAGCTCTGCAGGAGTCAGACTACTCTGATTGCTGCTTTGCCTCTGCTGTCCATTATGGTAGCTAAGCACACTTTCCTTTTGATGGCTGAGTGCTGTCACTTGGCCCCTGCCACCTCGGGATTCAATTATTCCCATTGTATTTAAATTTTGTATTTGAGTAACTGAGGTTCCCACTGTTAGAGCTGACATACAGAGAAGAGCAATTACAGGGCTCTTCAAAGATGCAGGTGCTGCCCTCACAAACCTATTTCATAAAGCATTAGTCAAGGGTATATCCTCTGGACCCTCCCAACTGGGATGAGCAGGTCAAAAGTGATTAATCCACTCCACCATCCCAATCTCCCTAAGCCTTTGGATCTCTTCCTCTATATTAAACCAAGGGAGTTCAGGCATTACCAGCTCATTCACAATGGGAAATCTTTTAATCCATATCTCATCTAACCAAGCAAATAAACTATTAGAACCTTTTGTTTTTCAAATTACCAGAGCTGCAACATTAAATGCAGAGTCCCTGCTTAGTGGGTCCAAATCAATAAATTCAGACTGATCCAATTCTATGTTCCTTCCACCATTATCCAACACCCTTAATATCCATTCCCATGCCTGGTCTCCAGATTTCTGTTTATATAAATTAGAAACTCAAGCAGTTATTTTTTAGTGTAGCACACCTCCTCATGGGTCACATTCTCAACCTCACCTCTAGAGGTCTAGTTATAGGCCTAGAAGCAAATGGGTGCTTTGTGGGGGGCTGCTGAGGAGAATCAACATTATCTTGCCTGGAAACTGCCTCAGGCAAGGCCATCGCTTTTGGCTCAGGCAGCACACAGTTTATCTCCTCAATCAAAGGTGAAAAGCTTGGGCGAAAGCATGGGTCAAAGGTAAAAAGCATGGCAGCATGAGTTGGAGAGGGGATGTTGCCTCTACTGGGGATAGGGAAGATTTTTCTTCGGCCACAAAAGGTTCATCAGAGTTTACAAGCTCAGTGTCCTCAGCTTCATCAGTGTCCTCCCACACGTCCCCATTCCAAGTTTTAGGGTCCCATTTTTTTCTAGTCATTGCATTCAGTTTAACAGTAGACAACTGGTGAGGCTGTGCATGCACCTTTCGTTGCAAGTCAGCCTTTCTCATGATAAGAACTTGTATCTGTTTTTCCACATTTTCAGCTCTTTCTCTATAGGAGATAAGACTCACTCAGGGCAATCTTAGCAGATTTGAGGCTCAGTGTCTGCTTCTGAAGCTGGGAGACAGAATCCCTGATTTCATCATTTTCTTTAATCACTTTGTTCACTGAACTTAAGAGCAGCCAACCAGCTTTATTATGTTCCTTGGTTCTCCACTTATGATCAAAGGTATTATGTATAGAATCACTAAACTCCTTGCCTCTCACAAGCGATGAATCAGGAGTATTAAATGCATTTATTTTGCATAGCTCTATAAACCATTCACACCAAGGATTATCAGTGTTCTCTATACTATTAGAAGTAGAGTCCTTGCCAGGCGCAGTAGCTCATGCCTGTAATCCCAGCACTTTGGGAGGCCAAGGCAGGCTAGGTCAGGAGTTCGAGACCAGCCTGGCCAACATGGTGAAACCCCATCTCTAATAAAAGCACAAAAATTAGCCAGGCATGGTGGTGGGTGCCTATAATCCCAGCTACTCAGGAGGCTGAGGCAGGAGAAGCTTGAACCCGGGAAGCAGAGGTTGCAGTGAGCTGAGATCACATCACTGCACTCCGGCCTGAGCAACAAGAGTGAGACTCCACCTCAAAAAAAAAAAAAAGTCCTTAGCATTTATGGGTCTAATTATATTAAGCTTCCAACTCCAGAAACCCCTAAACCAATGAAAGAACTCCATCTTTAATATTCTGTTCCTCTAGAACCACTCCTGGTACCAAAATTGGCATTAGTCAGGGTTCAATAGAGGGACAGAACTAATGGAATATATATATGGAATATATATATATATATTCCATTCCTATATATATATATATATATTCCATTCCTCTCTCTGTCTATATATATATATAAAAGTTTATTAAATGTTAATTTACAGAATCACAAGGTCCTACAATAGGCCATCTGCAAACTGAGGAGCAAGGTGAGCCAGCCTGAGTTCCAAAACAAGAACTTGGAGTCTAATGTTCAAAGGCAGGAAGCATCCAGCATGGAAGAAAGATGTAGGCTGGGAGGCTAGGCCAGTCTCTCTTTTCACATTTTTCTGCCTGTTTATATTCTAGCTGCACTGGCAGCTGATTAGATTGTGCCCACCCAGATTAAGGGTGGGTCTGCCTTTCCCGATCCCCTGACTCAAATGTTAATCTCCTTTGGCAACACCCTCACAGACATACCCAGGATCAATAATTTGTATCCTTCAATCCAATAAGTTGACACTCAGTATTAACCATCACAGATACTTACATTTAACTACTCCCCAAACCTTAGAGCTTGTTCATCAGAAATGTTTGTTACTTTAGTTTCCTCTTTTTTCCTCACAACTATTGAAATTGTTCATAAGCTAGAATTTAATTTGCAGAATTATATGCCAGAAAAAGTATAGAAGAAAAAGTACAATTAAAAGAAACTGTGAGATAAATTAATATGCTTTGATGACATAAAATAGTGTGAGGGAACTAACAAAAGAATAAAGATAATTTTTGGAGGTAAATGAATACTTCCAGTGACATTTGAATAATGGAAGCAAATAAAAAAGATAAAACAAAATTGAGAATGAGTTAAACTTTATTTGATAAGATAAAGAAATACACATTAGAAGAGACATCAAAAGAAGAAAGAATGGATCTGTCTATACTGCCTACACTATACAGTACTCCAGGTTTTGTTGCAAATGTTTTCTTATTTATTTCACCTTACCATCTTTTAACTTAGCTATCGGTGTCCCTATTTTATTGTAAACAAAACTACGTCTTTGAGCTATCAAGCTACTTCCTTAAGTAACATCACAACTAAGTAACGAAGTTGGAATTCAAGCAAGATTATTGTAATAAAAAAACTCAATGTTATTTTTTCTCATATCTGTAAATGTAAAAATTAAGATGCTTGAAACAAAATATTCAATTTTTTAAAATTAATTTTAAGTATGCAAAAAACATATAGTGAACCCACTTAAAATCCTAGCAAAGTTTTCCATGATACATTGTATTTTTATATCAGTCATGAGCATTATATATTCATGTAAATTCTGGACAAATTTTCTTATGATTTCCAAATAAAAAATTATACATAATATATAAATATTAAACTTTAAATGTTATGCATGCACATTTAAACATTAGTCATTTTAAGTGAACTTAATTTTGTAATTTAGAGCATTCAAAATGTCACATTTTGCTTCATTTTATTTTTATACATCAATCCTAACCAAGTGCTATTGCTTTGCAGTAGGCACAGGTAGAGATGTTTTTAGTGTTTTTAAATTTGAAATCAGTTGGGTATCTTGAAAATATGTCTGTTCTTTATTGCAAAAATTATGTAAATTAGGAGATTTAAAGTATCAGTAGCATTTTAAAAATCTCTTACTTTTATGACAAATAATAATCCCCTTCAATTTTCATTTTCTCACTTATTACACAGTTGATTAAAAGGGAAGGCAAGCATTAGGTGTGTATTGTTCTGTGCTATTACCAATAGTATGCTATCTCATGGGTTCCAATATTTTTCAAAAGTAATAAAATTGTTTGGTTGCCTTGTTATGTATCTCTTAAGTCAGGTAGATATCTAATATAGAAAAAATATAATTAGATACCCTTCGTCAGAGAGTAAATCATTCCTTCAGTGAAACTTTTAAACAACCTACCATGTGATGTTTTCTGTAACAGAAAGTGGTGAACAAAATTTCCACAGTCACCGCTCTTAAAACTCATACTGGGTAACATAGATATACAAAAATATTGCAATAATTATTTAAATAATTATGTTTGTTTATGCTTTAAAGGAGTACATACAGGATTTTGTATAAGCCTAAATCCAGGAAAACTAACTTAGCCTTTCGATGGAAAAAAAAAAAAAGGCTCCTTCAGGTAATATTATTTAAAATTAGACCTGAATGATTAGAAAGGGTTAACTACATAAAGAGAAGAAAGCCAAAACTTTCAGACACGTGAACAGTCAAGGTGAGAGAAAGCAAGATGGATTTTACTACTGAAGGAAGAAAAACATGATGGGTTATAGATATTGCAGGAAGCCCAAAATGGCTTGAGAAAAGAATACAAATGAAGGACTGAGGCGAAATGGCTTAGGCAACATGAGAAGAGCTCAAGTCATGCAAGAAATCCTAGGGTCTATTTGGATCTAGGAAAATCCTATAGGATTTATAAGATTTTCACTTAAATCAACACTGGATATCTATTGAAGAGTGTTATATCAAGGGGTGACATGATGAGGCTTACATGTTAAGAAGTGTACATTGGGTTGGGGTAGGGGAATAAGGTGCTATGTGAAGGCCAATTATAATACTACTACTATTGCTGTTTCTAAAGTGGTGCTGTGGTAATGAACTTATACAGAGATTCCCTAGCTAAGGATATTCTAGTTTTCATCATCTCAAATTGAAGCACTATTATGCCAAGAGCTTGCACACAGCTAAATAAACTTAACCAGGTTTCTTGGCTGTTAAGCAGAGTCATGTGACTGGGTTCTAGCCAATGAAATACCTGTGAGAGTGATTGGCACCTCTTCCAGTCTTTGCTCATAAAACTATCCCACATGTGCTCCTCCCTGCTTCTCCACAGGAAATGTAGCAAACTGATGACTATGGCAGAGCCCATATCAGGCAGAATCACTGACAATTTTTTTTTTTAACCTGTCCAGTATTATGAAGAGAGCAAGAAGTTTTCTATTGTGTGACACATTTAGGGCCTACTTGTTACATCAGTGCTAACTAATACATGAATTTGGATTTAATTTTAAAAATCAGTTTATTTTGTACACAACTTTAAAATAGCTGAAGTTATTTGGTTATATGCCACTTAATTTTTGTTTTCTCTAAGCTAATAATTATCAATTATATAAGCTATTTTTTATTAATTATAGTGGCAAAGCACTTCACTATGCTGTTTACATGTATTGTTCACAATATGCTTTTATGATATTTGCCAAAAATCAGCTTCACTGAGACATAATATATTGTACCAGTTTCTTAAAACTGCCATCGAAGATTAACACAAACTGCATGGCTTAACAAGAGAAATTTATTCTTTCACATTTCTGGAGGCTGGAAATTTGAAATCAAGATGTCAGCAAGTTTGGTTCTTTCTGGAGGTTTTGACGACAAATTTGTTCATATTTCTTTCCTAGCTCCTGGTGTTCCTGAGCAATCTCTGGCACTCCTTAGCTGGCAGTGACATCATTCCAAGTTTTCTCTCTCTTATAACATGACATTCTCCCTGGTCATCTCTGTATCCATGTGTCTTCACATAGCCTTCTTATAAGGACACCAGTCATTGGTCACCCTAATCTAGTATAAACTCATCTTAGCTTGATCATATCTACAAATATATTATTTGCAAATAATGTCACATTCACAGGTACCAGAGGTTAGAGCTTCTAACATCTCTTTTTGGAAAGCCAATTCAACTGAAAACATATACATACAACAAAATCTACAAATTATAAAAATGCTATGTTTGAACTCTGGCAAAGAAAAACCTTGATATAAGTGCCATCCTATTTATGTTATGGAATACTTTAATCACCCCCAACACTCCTGACACTTTGCAATCAGTGTGCCACCTCCAACCACCGTACCTCAAAATCACTAATCTGTTTTCCCTCACTAGTTTTGCCTTCTAGCATGTCACATTAATGGAATCATACATTATAACATATTTTATGTCTGGCTTCTGTCACTTAGACAATGTTTTTAAGATTCATTCATGTTTTTGCATGTATCTAAAACGAGTGCCTTTTGTTACTAAGTTTCCCTTTATATCTACTGCAGTTTTTTGTCTTTTCACCCATGCATGGAAATTTTGTGGCATACATCTGGGTATGGCTTCCATATCACCCTCACCGGACTTAGGGGCAAGGAAAACTGATGAGAATATAAGGCTCATGCTACCTTCTGTGCTTTGAGTAATAAAGTCCTTTCTCTCTGGGCCAGAAGTCTCATGTCTTCCACCAGTAAGTGTGCAACCATGACAAGCTAACTTAATAACTTGCAGAAAGGGTAAAAAAGTTTATTTTAATCTCTATTGTTGATAATTATTCCAGTGACTGATTATAAAAAAATGGTATTCCATTTAATTTTATTTTTGACTTTACTTTTTCATATGCTCTTTGTTACATATAGTGTCCATGAATTTTAGATATCATTTTTAAATTATAAATCTGTATATCCTACTGCATACCTGGACATCCTGTCTTGATTATCAAATATGTGTATCAAATGAACTATATCCACAATTGTATTTACTAAATATTCCACATAGCACAGATCTGATTCTAAATACATCAACACTTCCTCTACCCAATCCATTAAAAAAATTTACATTACTGAACTCACATTTAATTATTAAATATTAGGCTTTCATATTATCAATATCTCTTCAATCTGATGCTATATTTTATCCCCCATTATTAATAAAATGACTTTCAAAGTTACTGTGACAGAAAGAAGGAAGTAAAGAAAGAATTTAGATAATTGGAGATTAAATCGGCATGCTTTCATCATTACTGAGGAGTGGGAAACAAAAGGTGGAAAGGGAGATTGAGACAGATACATTGGAGATGACTACAAATTTGTTTGAAATAATGTAGATAATTAATTAGAAGAGAAAATAATTGAGAAAAGAATAATTTTAACATCTAAGAAAAACCTGTTATTCCAGGTTCTTTTACATTTTCTCATTTACTTATAATTAAATAATAAAGTAACTATCAACAGCACTATTTTCCCGTAGTGAAAATTAAATTCAAGTTACATGTTCAAATTCTCATGAATATGAAGTCATTAAATTGGAGTTGAAACCCATATGTTGGCCGGGTACGAGGACTGACACCTGTAATCCCAGAACTTAGGGAGGCCGAGGCAGGCAGATCACCTGAGGTCAGGAGTTTGAAACCAGCCTGGCCAACATGGTGAAACCTGATCTCTACTAAAAATAGAAAAATTAAGTGGGCATGGTGGTGGGCACCTGTAATCCCAGATACTCAGGAGGCTGAGGCAGGAGAATTGCTTGAACCTGGGAGATGGAGGCTGAAGTGAGCTGAGATCACACCACTGCATTCCAGCCTGGGCGGCAAAGCAAGACTCTGGTAAAAAAACAAAAACAAAAAACATGTTTATGATTTAAAAATCTGTATTATTTCATCTGCTTATATCTCTAAAAATGATAATTGATATTTTCAAGACAAATTATTTATTTACTGTATTTTATCATAAATTAGAAATTTAGAATTCTTTTTTTGAAAACACCCAGGAATAAAGTGAAACCACTTGTAATAGCCCATTAGAAGTTTTTACCAACAATTAAAAAAAATGTGTTAGTGACTTTCGTTATATTGTATACAAATTATAGGAATGTTACACATGCTTTGTAACTAATACATTCTAAAATGCAACATTTTAAAAAAATGGATTAAGGTACTAATTTTTTTTTTAATTGAGACAGCCTTGATCTGTTGTCCAGGCTGGAGTGCAGTGGTGTGATCTTGGCTCACTGCAACCTCTGCTGCCTGGGTTCAAGCAATTCTCGTGCCTCAGCCTACTGAGCAGCTGGAACTACAGGTGCATGCCACCACACCTGGCTTCTTTTTTTTTATTTTTTATTTTTTTTATTTTTAGTAGAGATGGGGTTTTGCCATGTTGGCCAGGCTGGTCTCAAACTCCTGACCTCAGGTGATCTGCCCACCTCGGACTCCCAATGTGCTGGGATTACAGGTGTGAGCCACCATGCCCGGCCAAGGTACTACTTTTTATATAAATCTTATGTGTATATAAAACTATTAATTTTGAGATGGATCATATATTTCAATCAGAATATTGAGAACTTCATTCACTTTTCTTCTCTTTGTTCTTTAATTTTAATAATTAATTGGTCCTTATCAGAAACTGCTGATTTGTGAATGGTGTGAGCTAGGAAAAGTGAGGGAGCATATAGAATACTATGAATTAAAAATTGCACGATATACTGGAAATTTTCTGAGAGTAGATTTTAGACGATCTTACCACAAAAAAAGTAACTTTGTAAAATGATGGCTATGTGCAATTTATTACCTGTATTAATCATTTCACTACGTATATACATATATATATGAAATCATCATGTTGTACAATGTAAATTTATACAACAAAAACATTACTAATAATAAATATAATTAAATAAGAAAACAATTGGGTGAATGAAATATGATGGCTCTTTACTACATTTTCGTGTGAAGATAGAAACTAATAGATTCAAGTAATTAATATTGTCTTACAATCTATGATTTCTAAGCCAAATTATGCCTTTCTTCTTTCTATTCTTCAGTGTGTTACACAAGATGGAACTATGTCAATGGGAGGTTAGGTGTGTGGTATTATGGTTTTTATTCCTGAAGATTTGTTACTGCATCTGCAAATTTTCCAAAATGTTCTTAAGATAATTTTTAATTTCATAGCTTTACTCGTTCTCAAGCATTTTTAAAGAACTATTCATGTAATAGAGAACACAGAGAGACATGCATATCAATCAGTAAGATCATCTATTAATTATCAAATGTATGTTCAGAGCCTCCCGTGCTTTGGTCACTGCACACTAGGGATTGGTAAATAGCACTTCAACCTTTTACTGGAGATGACAGTGATCTGAAATATTAATAGTCAACTATACAAATAATTAAAAATACACAATATGCTTTAAATGAAGAACAAGGATTTATGTCAACCCATATCACGGCAATCTAAATTAAGTTGAGATGGTAAAATGGTTGGAAAAGCATGCAATAGGAAGAGTTGTAAAACCCAGACATAAGGATAAGGAGTTAGGTAGGTAAAGAAAGAGAAGGTAAGTATTCCAGACTATGACTCTGAGATTTATGTAATTTGAGTGCTGAATGAAATCCCATATGGATGAGAGGACATTCCAACTAAAAGGTGGAATTGGGAGATAATACAGAGACCTAAAAGAATTTCAGCATGCCAGACTTTTAGGAAACATTAAAGATTTTGTATTTAAATGACAGTGGATATCTACTGAAGTTTTAAACTGAGGAGTGACACATGAGGCCTACCTTTTAAGAAAGACACTCTAAATTGGAGAGATCTGGTGGCCCAGGCAGGGTGTTTGGGGGAAGGGTAGATGAGTAAATATGGACAAAACATTTATAAGGGCATGCTGTTTTAAGGTCAGAGCCTTGGAAATAAACTTTCATATACATAAATTCATCAGGGGAAAATTCAAATTTTCTTTCTCTCAATCAAAATAATGTTTGTACAACAGTTCTAACCCAAATCAGAGTTATCTGCTACTTCCCAGGCATTCCTCTAGATGCAGTCACCAGCCTCTGGCAGTTGGGGACAGCCCTGTGACTAATTGCTGAAGAGGACAACGTAAACAGGAAAGACTGACATCTGTTTCAACCCTACCCACCTGTGCTCCTAAATGTTTCCCCCTCTCAATTGGCTGGATGAATGTAAATTTAAAGGCAATCTTGAAAGCCACCCATTGAAGTTGGCAAAGCCCACATTAGGCTGGGTGTTTTTATTTTTACTTTCAGTATTAAGATCGTATGACAATTTTTACTATGATTTAAACATTAGAAATTCAGTGGATATTTACAATTGCAGTTAATCTGCCTAAACACAAAATATTACAATTCATACAAGTTTAGTTTAACGTATAAAAACTTGAATATTTTAAGATAACAGATCATTTTACATTTGTTTCCTGTATGCTATTAATTTTCAATTCTCTGCACAGTACTTTGTTAGCCGTGATGACTAAACACTTCACCATGCTGCTGACTTTCATATGAGATATGGTAGTACTTCTAAAGTGTCACCCTTAGACTCAAGACTTCAACTTCCATTCAAATTGCTTTAGACACTTGTTTTATGTAGCCTAAATTCACACTAATTTTGTTGGCAGTAAAAATCTTTTAACTTATATAATGTAAACAATATCCTTAAGGTATTTTTTCTACAATTTTGTATTTAAATAACATATTTAGTATAAAGATTTGGGACATTTGTATTATTTGGGTATTGGAGTTTGGTGGTAGTCATAAAATAAGGCAGTAAAATAGGTTTTTAGAGTTATTATTAACATTTACATTTATTATTAAATTTTATTTTTAGATGACATAATAATTGTACATATTTATGGAGTATAGAGTGATATTTCAGTTCATGTATTTTCTAGACAGAAAAGATTATTTGATAATCTAGCTCTATTATCTATCATGTCTATTCTTCTCTTAATTTTGTTTAACATAGGAATTTGGTCAAGCTGCTATGTATTTTTTTTTTCTTTTTTTTTCTTTTTTTAATTATACTTTAAGTTCTGGGGTACATATGCAGAACTTGCAGTTTTGTTACATAGGTGTACACGTGCCATGGTGGTTTGTTGCACCCATCACCCTATCACCTACATTAGTTATTTCTCCTAATGCTATCCCTCCCCTAGCCCCCAACCCCCAACAGCCCCAGTGTGTGATGTTCCCCTCCCTATGTCCATGTGTTCTCAATCATTGTTCAACTCCCACTTATGAGTGAGAACATGCATGTTTGGCTTTCTGTTCCTGTGATAGTTTGCTAAGAATGATGGTTTCCAGCTTCATCCACGTCCCTGCAAAGGACATGAACTCATCCTTTATTATGGCTGCATAGTACTCTATCTTGGATATGTGACACATTTTCTTTATCCACTCTATCATTGATGGGCATTTGGGTTGGGTCCAAGTCTTTGCTATTGTGAACAGTGCCACAATAAACATACTTGTGCATGTGTCTTTATTGTAGAATGATTTATAACTTTTGGGTATATACCCAGTAATGGGATTGCTGAGTGAAATGGTATTTCTGGTTCTAGATCCTTGAGGAATCTCCACACCGCGTCTTCCACAATGGATGAACCAATTTACATTCTCACCAACAGTGTAAAAGCACTCCTATTTCTCCACATATTCTCCAGTATTTGTTGTTTCCTGACTTTTTAATGATCTCCATTCTAACTGGCGTGAGATGGTATCTCATTGTGGTTTTGATTTGCATTTCTCTAATGACCAGTGATGATGAGCATTTTTTCATATGTTTGTTGGCTACATAAATATCTTCTTTTGACAAGTGTCTGTTCATATCCTTTGCCCACTTTTTGCTGGGGTTGTTTGTTTTTTTCTTGTAAATTTAAGTTCTTTGTAGATTCTGGATATTAGCCCTTTGTCAGGTGGATAGATAGAAAAAATTTTCTCCCATTCTGTAGGTTGCCTGTTCACTCTGATGAGAGTTTCTTTTGTTGTGCAGAAGCTCTTCAGTTTAATTAGATAATATTTGTCAATTTTGGCTTTTGTTGCCATTGCTTTTGGTGTTTTAGTCATGAAGTCTTTGCCCATGCCTATGTGCTGAATGGTATTGCCTAGGTTGCTTTTAGGATTTTTATGGTTTTAGGTCTTATGTTTAAGACCTTTTTAAGTCCTTAATCCATCTTGAGTTA
Organism: Homo sapiens; assembly: GCF_000001405.40. Taxonomy (NCBI): domain Eukaryota; kingdom Metazoa; phylum Chordata; class Mammalia; order Primates; family Hominidae; genus Homo; species Homo sapiens. The sequence continues at coordinate 59,555,634 of NC_000004.12, forward strand.
ATTTTTGTATAAGGTGTAAGGAAGGGGTCCAGTTTCAGTTTTCTGCATAAGGCTAGTCAGTGTTCCCAACATCATTTATAAAATAGGGAATCCTTTCCCCATTGCTTGTTTCTGTCAGGTTTGTCAAAGATCAGATAGGTATAGATGTGTGGCGTTATATCTGAGGCCTCTGTTCTGTTGCACTGGTCTATATCTTTGTTTTTGTACCAGTACTAGGCTATTTTTGTTACGGTAGCCTTGTAGTATAGTTTGAAGTCAGGTAACATGATACCTCCAGCTTTGCTCTTCTTGCCCAGGTTGTCTAGGCTATGTGGGCTCTTTTTTGTTTCCATATAAAGTTTAAAGTAGTTTTTTTCTAATTCTGTGAAGAAAATCAATGGTAGCTTGATGTGGATAGCATTGAATCTACAAATTACTTTGGGCAGTACGGCCATTATCACGATATTGATTCTTCCTATCCATGAACATGGAATGTTTTTCCATTTGTTTGTTTCTTGTCTTATTCCCTTGAGCAGTGGTTTGCAGTTCTCCTTGAAGAGGTCCTTCACATCCCTTGTAAATTGTATTCCTAGGTATTTTATTCTCTTAGCAGCAATTGTAAATGGGAGTTCACTGATGATTTGGCTCTCCATTTGTCTGTTAATGGTGTATAGGAATGCTTGTGATTTTTGCACACTGGTTTTGTATCCTGAGACTTTGCGGAAGTTGCTTATCTGCTTAAGGAGATTTTGGGCTGAGATGGTGCAGTTTTCTAAATATACAATCATGCCATCTGCAAGCAAAAGCAATTTAACTTCCTCTTTTCCTATTTGAATACCCTTTTTTTCTTTCTCTTGCCTGGCTGCCCTCGCCAGAACTTCCAATACTATGTTGAATAGGAATGGTGAGAGAGGGCATCCTTGTCTTGTGCCAGTTTTCAAAGTGAATGCTTCCAGCTTTTCCCCATTCAGCATGATATTGGCTGTGGGTTTGTCATAAATAGCTGTTATTATTTTGAGATACATTCCATCGATACATAGTTTATTGAGAGTTTTTAGCATGAAGGACTGATGAATTTTGTCAAAGGGCTTTTGTGCATCTATTGAGATAATCATGTGGTTTTTGTCATTGGCTCTGTTTAAGTGATGGATTACTTTTGTTGATTTGGGTATGTTGAACCAGCCTTGCATCCCACGTATGAAGCCAACTTGATCGTTGTGGATAAACTTTTTGATGTGATGCTGGATTCGGTTTGCCAGTATTTTATTGAGGATTTTCACATCAATGTTCATCAGGGATATTGGACTGAAATTTGTTGCTGTTGTTGTTGTTGTGTCTCTGCCAGGTTTTGATATCAGGATGATACTGGCCTCATAAAATGAGTTAGGGAGGATTCCGTCTTTTTCTACTGTTTGGAATGGTTTCAGAAAGAATGGTACTAGCTCTTATTTGTACCTCTGGTAGAAATCAGCTGTGAATCCGTCTAGGCCTAGACATTTTGTTTGGTAGGCTATTAATTACTGCCTCAATTTCAAAACTAGCTATTGTTCTATTCAGACATTTGACTTCTTCCTGGTTTAGACTTGGGAGGGTGTATGTGTCCAGAAATTTATCCATTTTGTCTAGATTTTCTAGTTTAGTTGCATAGAGGTGTTTATAGTAGTCTCTGATAGTAGTTTGTATGTCTGTGGGATCAGTAGTGATATCCCTTTTATCATTTTTTATTGTATATATTCTATTCTTCTTTTCTTCTTTATTAGTCTGGCTAGTGGTCTATCTATTTTGTTGATCTTTTCATAAACCAGCTCCTGGATTCATTGATTTTTTGATGGGTTTTTCGTGTCCCTGTCTTCAGTTCTGCTCTTACCTTAATTATTTCTTGTCTTCTGCTAGGTTTTGAGATTGTTCACTCTTGCTTCTCCAGTTATTTTAATTTTGATGGTAGAGTGTCAATTTTAGATCTTTCGTGGTTTCTCTTTTGGGCATTTATTGCTTAAATTTCCCTTTAAAAACTGCTTTAAATGTGTCCCAGATATTCTGGTAACTTGTGTCTGTGTTCTCACTGGTTTCAAAGAACGTCTTTATTTCTGCCTTCATTTTGTTATTTACTCAGTAGTCATTCTGGAGCAGGTTGTATAGTTTCCATGTAGTTGTGCAGTTTTGAGTGAGTTTCTTAATCCTGAGTTCTAATTTGTTTGCACTGTGGACTGAGAGACTGTTTGTTATGATTTCCGTTCATTTGCATTTGCTGTGGAGTGCTTTACTTCCAATTAGGTGGTCAATTTTAGACTAAGTGTGAAGTGTTGCTGAGAAGAATGTATATCCTGTTTCTCTGGGGTGGAGAGTTCTGTAGATGTCTATTATGTCCAATTGGTCCAGAGCTGAGTTCAGGTCCTGAATATCCTTGTTAATTTTCTGTCTCGTTGATCTGTCTAATATTGACAGTGGGATGTTAAAGTCTTCCACTATTATTGTGTGGGAGTCTAAGGGTCTTTGTAGGTCTCCAAGAACTTGCTTTATGAGTCTGGGTACTCCTGTATTGGGTGCATATATATTTAGAATAGTGAGCTCTTCTTATTGCATTGATCCCTATACCATTATGTAATGCCCATCCTTGTCTCTTTTCGTCTTTGTTGGCTTAAAGTCTGTTTTATCAGAGACTATGATTGCAACCCTGCCTTTTTTTTTTTTTTTTTTTTTTTTTTTTTTTTTTTTGCTTTCCATTTGCTTGGTAAATATTCCTCTATCCCTTTATTTTGAGCCTATGTGTGTCTTTGCCCATGAGATGGGTCTCCTGAACACAGCATACTGATGGGTTTTGATTCTTTATTCAATTTCCCAGTCTGTGTATTTTAACTGGGGCATTTAGCCCATTTCCATTTAAGGTTAGTATAGTTATAAGTGAATTTGATCCTGTCATTATGATGCTAGCTGGTTATTTTGCTGATTAATTGACACAGTTTCTTCATAGTGTTGATTGTCTTTATCATTTGGCATGTTTTTGCAGTGGCTGGTACTGATTGTTTCTTTCCATGTTTAGTGCTTCCTTCAGGAGCTCTTGTAAGGCAGGCCTGGTGGTGTTGACAAAATCTTTCAGCATTTGCTTGTCTGTAAAGGAATTCATTTCTCCTTCGCTTATAAAGCTTGGTTTTTCTGGATATGAAACTCTGAGTTGAATATTCTTTTCTTTAAGAAGGTTGAATATTGGCCCCCACTCTCTTCTGGCATGAAAGGTTTCTGCAGCGTGATCCACTGTTAGTCTTATGGGCTTCCCTTTATGGATCACCTGACCTTTCTCTCTGGCTACGCTTAACATATATCCCTTCATTTCAACCTTGGTGAATCTTAATGATTTTATGTCTTGGGGTTGCTCTTCTCAAGGAGTATCTTTGTGGTTTTCTCTGTATTTCCTGAATTTGAATGTTGGCCTGTCTTCCTAGGTTGGAGAAGTTCTCCTGGGTAATATCCTGAAGAGTGTTTTCCAACTTGGTCCCATTCTCCCCGTCACTTTCAGGTACACAAATGAAATGTAGGCTTGGTCTTTTCACATAGCCCCACATTTCCTGGAGGCTTTGTTCATTCCTTTTCATTCTTTTTTCTCTATTCTTGTCTTCTTACTTTATTTCATTAAGTTGATCTTCAATCTCTTATTGAACCGATTCTTTATTCTGCTTGACCGATTCAGGTATTGATACTTGTGTGATACTTGTGTGTGCTTCAGGTATTCATACTTTATTCTGCTTGACCGATTCAGGTATTGATACTTGTGTGTGCTTCAGGAAGTTCTCGTGCTGTGTTTTTCAACTCCATCATTTCATTTATGTTTTTCTCTAAACTGATTATTCTAGTTAGCAGTTCCTGTAAACTTGTATCAATGTTCTTAGCTTCCTTGCATTGGGTTAGAACATGCTCCTTTAGCTCAGAGGAGTTTGTTATTACCCACCTTCTGTAGCCTACTTCTGTCAATTCATCAGACTCATTCTCCATCCAGTTTTGTTCCCTCACTGGCAAGGAGTTGTGATCCTTTGGAGGAGAAGAGGCATTCTGGTTTTTGGAATTTTCAGCCTTTTTGTGCTGATTTATCCCATCTTTGCGGATGTATCTACCCTTACATTTGATGTTGGTGACCTTCAGAGGGGGTCTCTGAGTGGATGTGCTATTCCTTTCTGTTTGTTAGTTTTCCTTCTAACAGTCAGGCCGTTTTGCTGCAGGTTTGCTGGAGTTTGCTGGAGATCCACTCCAGACCCTGTTTGCCTGGGTATCACCAGTGGAGGCTGCAGATCCACTCCAGACCCTGTTTGCCTGGCTATCACCAGTGGAGGCTGCAGAACAGCAAAGATTCCTGCCTGCTCTTTCCTCTGGAAGCTTAGTCCCAGAGGGGAACCCACCAGATGCCAGCCAGTGCTCTCCTGTACGAGGTGTCTTTTGGCCCCTACTGGGAGGTGTCTCCCAGTCAGGATACATGGGGCTCAGGGACCCACTTGAGGAGGCAGCTCTGTTCTTTACCAGAGCTCAAACGCTGTGCTGGGAGATCTGCTGCTGTCTTCAGAGCTCTCAGGCAGGGGCATTTAAGTCTACTGAAGCTATGCCCACAGCCGCCCCTTCCCCCAGGTGCTCTGTCCCAGGAAGATGGGAGTTTTATCTCTAAGTCCCTGACTGGGCTGCTTCCTTTTTTTCAGAGATACCCTGTCCAGAGAGGAGGAATCTAGAAAGGCAGTCTAACCACAGCAGCCTTGCTGATCTGTGGTGGGCTCTGCCCAGTTCGAACTTCCAGGCAGCTTTGTTTACACTGTGAGGGTAAAACCGCCTACTCAAGCCTCAGCAATGGCAGGCACCCCTCCCCCAATGAAGTTCAAGCATCCCAGTTCGACTTCAGACTGCTGTGCTGGCAGCGAGAATTTCAAGCCAGTAGATCTTAGCTTGCTGGGCTCTGTGGGTGTGGGACCCGCCGAGCCAGACCGCTTGGCTCCCTGGCTTCAGCCCCCTTTCCAGGGGAGTGCACTGTTCCGTGTCAGTGCCATTCCAGTCTCCACTGGGGTATGGAAAAAAAACTCCTATAGTTAGCTCAGTGTCTGCCCAAATGGCTGCCTAGTTTTGTGCTTGAAACGCAGGGCCCTGGTGGCATAGGCACTGGAGGGAATCTCCTGGTCTGTGGGTTATGAAGACCATAGGAAAAGCACAGTATCTGGGCAGGAGGCCACCGTTCCTCAGGCACAGTCCCTCACAGCTTCCCTGTGGTAGATGAGAGAATTCCCCGACCCCTTGTGCTTCCCGGGTGAGGTGATGCCCCACCTGCTTCTGCTTGCCCTCCATGCACTGCACCCACTCTCCAACCAGTCCCACTGAGATGAACCAGGTTCCTCAGTTGGAAATGCAGAAATCACCCACCTTCTGTGTCAATCTCGCTGGAAGCTGCAGACCAGAGCTTTTCCTAGTTGACCATCTTGCCAGCAATCCAAGCTGCTATGTATTTTTCTTAAGAATTGATAAACTTGATTAATATAAGGAGATTTTAATACATAAAATCTTCCTACACCCCTAAAAGAGCTCCCTAGTAATATTTGAAATTGAATTATTTTTGTTCTGCCATTCAACCATTCATAAATGAAAATAGCAATATCTCCAGTATGGTGTCTCTCTTAATCTCCCAAAATATCCTAGGTAAATTTTTAGATGACTTGCTAAAATTTTTACCTACTAAATATCTCGAATTCCACTTACCTACCAATTGTTATCTCTTCGTCATAACTGACTCTAAAATTCTTGCACAATAGCTGAGTTCTATAGAACTAAACACAGTGTCATTTGGAAAAGGATTAGGCTATTTGAAAAAGATAGGACTAAGCCAGCAAAAATGTATTTATCTGTCAAGAATAGCTTTTCATATTTTTCATCTCGAAATATAGTGCAGAAAAAATACACAAAACAAAAAGTTACAACTTGATGATTTATCAAAACTGAATTCACATAACCAGACTCCAGACAAAGGGAATATTGTTAGCTTCCTCAATGACACTTCATTCCAAATTCTACAACCTTTCATCTCCTCTCTGGAGATAAACGTTATCCTAAATGTTATGGGAATAACTTCCTTGCACCCCACAATATGCATACTAAATACCATAGCTTAATTTAATCTGTGTTTTGGAGCTTATATAAATATAATTAACTAGCAAATATTAAATTTTCTCTGTGGCTTCTCATGTTTAGCAAAGATGTATATACAGTTGTCACTCATAATTCCTTTGTTTTTATGGTTGCATAGTATTCCATTGTGTTTATTTACAGCAATCTAATCTAGTCTTGGTGGGTATTTGGATTGTTTTCAACTTTTGGTCTATTGTAATGTTCCCATGAATATTCCACTATAGGAATCTTGGATAATGTGGACATGAGTATCAGCTGGTTACACACCTAGAAGTGGACTTGCTTATTGATGGAATATTTGCATGTTTAATATTAGTAAATAATGCTGAATAGTATTCAAAAGCAGTTTTAACAATTTATATTGTTCATATAGTATATGGAAATCTTTAATGCTTCAAATGTTTGTCATAACTTTGTTAGATTTTATTTTCTTTTTTTAAATATTGGCCATTCTATCTTAGTTGGTTTAATTTGCAATTTGTAAATAATTCAGTCTATGTAAATAAGATCAAAGATAATTCTTGATCACGTTAGAGTTAAGCATGTTTTCATACTTATAGGCTATTTAAAAATATTCACCTGTGAAGTGACTATATCTCTCAGCCTTAAAACAATTAGGTTGTTAATATTTTATTGCTTTTAAAAAGCACTTTATATATGCTAAACATAAAACATTTATAGCTTATCTGGGCTAAAATACCTTTTACAATTGAGTAAATTGCATTTTACTCTCAATTATCTACATTAATAAGCAATTCTCAATTTTATCAAGCTAAATTTATTAATATTTTAAATAAATAATGATTGTGTTTACTATTTTTATTATCGATAAAAGTCATGAATCTTTTGTGGATTCATGATCCATAATTTGAATCACCAATATGTTACTTAGAAAATTTACATTCATATTTATGAGTGATATTAGTGTATAAATTTCTGTTCTTATAACTTCCTTATCAGGTTTTGGTGTCAAGGTTATTTGGGACTCGTTACATGGATTGAGGACCGTTCCTCCTTTTTTATTCCATAGGAGATATTTGTAAGATAGGCAAAACTTATAACTTAAGTATTTGTTATAATTCAGAAGTGAAACCATTTATACCTACAGGTTTATTTGTGGAAAAAATTAAATTAGGAATTCAAGTTCTAAAATAGCTATGCGATTATTAAGATATATTGCACTATTTTTATTTTACTATTTTCCCAAGAATGTGTCCACTTCACCATGTTTTTTTCAAATATATTGGCATAGACATGTTCATAATTGTCATCTATGTGTCTACCCCTTTGTTTCTAGTTCTTTAATACCTTTACTCCTTTAACCCTATTTTTCAAATTCATGTAACTGCTTTCCACCATTGCTGCTTTGAACCACTTTCACATTTTTCAGATTTGACTTGTTTTCTTATTCCTGGAATTTGTACCTTAACTTTGCTATTTGAAGTAAAGTTTATTATTCTCTCTAGTCTGAAATCCTACAGGACTTGATTAGCTTTTTTGACTTTATCTTTGTCACCTTAAAATCTATCCTTCACACTACCCTTAGAGTAATGAAAGCAAAACACATATGTAATTGCTGTTTTTAAAAAGTTAATATTTCCCAAATTTGGATATCATAAATTTGAGTAAATATTACAGTGAAACATTTTCTTCACATCGTTTTTACCCACTTAATTCATGTTCTTATTTCGGTTCAGTATAGCAACACCAATCTTAGCCAGAAAGCATTTGCTGACTACTGCCCTATCTACCTGGTTAAACAAGGCTTTCATTACTCTGTGTCTTTGCATGTATTTGTGTTATATAATGACATTAACTACATTTTAGCATAAGTTCATGTTTGTGTGGTGGCTGATATGGTTTGGCTGTGTCCTCACCCAGCTCTCACCTTGAATTCCCACCTATTGTGGGAGACACCTGGTGGGAGGTAATTCAATCACGGGGGCAGGTCTTTCAGGGCTGTTCTCATGATAGAGAATAAGTCTCATGAGAGCTGATGGTTTTTAAAAGAGGAGTTCCCCTGCACAAACTCTTTCTTTTTTCCTGCCGCCATCCAGGTAAGATGTGACTTGCTCCGCCTCACTTTCTGTCATGATTGTGAGGCTTCCCCATCCACGTAGAACTCTGAGTTCTCCATTAAATCATTTTCCTTTGTAAATTCCCCAGTGTCGGATATGTCTTTATCAGCAGCGTGCAAACAGATTAATACAGCGGCTTAGTAAATATTTTGTTCTTTGGGTTATTTTTATTCCTATCTCTAACTTCTAGCTCAGTAATTCACATTACCGAAACTCTTAAAAGTATTTATTGCCGGGCACAGTGGCTCACGCCTCTAATCCCAGCACTTTGGGAGGCCGAGACGGGCGGATCCCAAGGTCAGGAGACGGAGAACATCTTGGTCAACATGGTGAAACCCTGTCTCTACTAAAAATGCCAACATTAGCCAGGTGTGGTGGTGCGCACCTGTAGTCCCAGCTACTCTGGAGACTGAGGCAGGAGAATCGCTTGAACCTGGGAGGTGGAGGTTGCAGTCAGCCAAGATCGCGCCACTGCACTCCAGCCTGGGCGACAAGAGCGAAACTCGAGCTAAAAAAAAAAAAAAAAAAAAAAACAAACAAACAAAAAAGATTATTACATAAATATTGGATAGATGAAAATAAAATCTTTCATTTTAATCTAAGTAATCGTGATTATTATACTACTGGACATTAAAAAGAAAAACATATCTCTGGCTTTATATTGCTCCTATTAACTGCTTTGTAATAGTCACAATTATCACACAATATTTAAAAGCTAGTAAACATGCCACATCTCTTAAAAATTTCCTGAGAAGTAAAGGCAAACTATCATGTGATTTGAAAATTTTCAGTTGTCTTGATGTGTAAAGTTAGGTTTTGCAACGTCTGTATCAGTTTTGTTATTAGAACGTATTTATAGTCTGTCATTCTCCTTCAAGCAATTAACAGAGGAGTAGTTTTGATATTTTACTTTTCTGTAAAGTTAAAATTTTATTTCATATCCTTGCTATAGCTATGTATTGGAAAAAAAACCAGAGATTTGTGCCTAATTTTTATACTTAGTTATTCTTTTATTCTGTTTATTTTTATAGATAATCTTTGTGTAGTTTTCTTAGAAAAATTATAATATAGACCACCTGTGAATGAATTTCAAAAATATCCATGGATGTTAATGCTTAATAATTAGTTTCTTATTTGCAAATTCTCCCTACACTTCCTCTTTTCCCTCTGTTTCTTAAATACTAGTGTCTTCTTAAAGTCTAATATGGATTTTCACTCACTCCATGGCATCCTCCACCCTGATGACAAAAGGCTTATTACTTTATTTCATCCTGCTGCTCAGAATAATTCAATGCTTCTTCATCACCTTCATATTAAGATGCAAGCTCCTTGGTGTATCACACAAAATCATTCACAATCTCAGCCTATTTTTGAAACTTCTCCAGCATCATCTCTTCCTGCCACTCTCCTCTTACCTGTGTTGCAGAGACACAGGAGAAGCCAGATCCCAAGAATACTGTTTTTTCTTTTTTAAATTTTTTTTTATTATACTGTAAGTTTTGGGATACATGTGCAGAATGTGCAGTTTTGTCACACAGGTATACATGTGACATGGTGGTTTGCTGCCCCCATCAACCTGTCATCTACTTCAGGTATTTCTCCTAATGCTATTCTTCCCCCAGCCCCCCGCCCCATGACAGGCCCCAGTGTGTGATGTTCCCCTCCCGGTGTCCATGTGTTCTCATTGTTCAACTTCTGCTTATGAGTGAGAATATGTGGTGTTTGCTTTTCTGTTCTTGTGAAGAATACTTTTTGATTCCTGCCTTCATGCCCTTGCACATGCTTTTCTCTCTGCTTTGAAAGTTTTCTTTTTCATTTTCTGGGTAACTGCAATATATCCTTGAAGGGCTAAACTGACAGATGCCTTCCCTAACCCATTGATTTACATCAAATGTTCTTTCTATGGCTTTCTATAACACCACTGAGTGTCATTATGAACACATAAATGATATGATCAGTATTCATTCCAAAATGTTATTCAACTCTGTACTCCTAGAACTAAGTGCAGCACTGGGAAGCTCAGTCATTTTGTTAAATGAGTGAATGAAAATGTGGGTTTTGTGAACATGCACAGACACAGGGCCCTTACTGTTCTGTCAGGTAACTGGCTTCCCTGTTCTTTTTCCACTCACTCCTCTCATTATACCACGGTTACCATCCTGTGGATACATGTTTCATTTATGTGCCTGTTGTCCCTGGCAGATTTCTGCAGTTCACCCTCAGTGCTCAGTAGCATCTGCTAGCTTCCCTTCAGCTCCTAGTTTAAATAATGTTCCATATGCATTCTTCAAGGTTTATTGATTCTGCTCTCTAGAGAGTGCCCTATACTTCAAGTGAAGAATTTGAAAATATGGGGATCATTAAAATAAATTCCTGTGTTTTGGCCAAAGTTCAGTTATGGTGCTATAGTTGTTTGCAGATTTCAGCCTGGAAGCAATGTTATATAATACAAAAAAATTGAAGGTATGCATCTTAACAACACATTAATAAAGGGATTTTCTGGGTCTTAATTTTAATCTGTTTATTTGCCACAGGAGAATAGCATTTGAAGTCAAGGTTTAAAATCTAAATGCGTATTAATGGAATTCATTATTTCAAAGCATAGAAGGTATAAATAAAGCTAAATTACAGGTAAAACAAATACATAATATAAGGAGAGACCTGGAATATTACTGATATTCTGGTATAATTTTATTTACTTTTTTCATAAGTGGTACAGACTTTGTAAAATGTTTCCAATAAAGCCCAGAAAGTTCACATATTGTATTTCAGAACCTCAGGTAATTAATGTAAATATGTCTTCAAAATCTTTATTTCTTGCTCAGAACTTTACTCTGGGGGTTGCAATTTTTTTTAGTTGATATTGGAAATATCCAAATGGTTGTCCCATAAGTATTTCAAGCTCAGCAAGCCTAAAACTGAGTTGAGTGTCAGAATTCTCTGCAAATATTCTTGTTTTGTTTCTTGAAGTATCTTAATTACTGGGACCTTCATCAACTAAGGACACCAATTATAAATCACCTTCCTCCCTCTTCTAGATAACGCACCCTTCTGTCATCAATTTCGAGAAATTCTACAGCAAACTTTTAATGTATCTCTATTTCCTCTATTAGAGACTTTAGTTATGTTCTCATTTATACCTGGGTAATTAACACTTCAGTTTACCCTGTTCCTCAGGGCAAACTCTTAGAAATCTGTTGTTAGGGCTGAATGTTATTCCATTGTATATGTGTGCCACAGTTTATCTCTTGTCTGTTGATGCACACTTAGGTTGTTTTCATATCTTGGCTATTGTGAATAATGCTGCAATAATCATGGGAGTACAGATATCTTTATCAGGTTGTTCTTTTTCTTTTATTTATTCATTTTTATTATATGCCTAGAAGAGGGATTTTTGAGTCATATGGCAGTCCTATTTTTAATTCCTGGAAACCTCTATACTGCTTTCCATAGTGACCATACCAATCTACATGCCTGCCAACAGCGGACTTCCTCTTTCTCCACATGCTCACCAACATTTATCTTTTGACTCGACTTATATATAAAATATTAAAGAAAGTAAAATATTTAGAGATAGGAAACAAAACAGTACCCAGGATGAAGGATGGGAGAGAGAAAATGGAGAAATGTAGGTCAGATGATACAAAGTAGCAGATATGTAGGATGAAAAAATGAAAAAATCTAATGTACAACATGAGGACTACAGGTAATAAAATTTTACCATATTTGGTATTCATGCTGAGTAGATTTTAGTGGTTCTTGCCATGAAAAAATAAATATGGGTGTGACATATGCTGCATATGTTCATTTGCTTCAGTATAGTAACATTGTTTACTATCTATATTCATCCGGAAACATTATACTGTATACCTAAACACACATAATAAACTTTATTTTTAAACAAATTATTAGAAATTACCTTTATTTTCTATTGTTTTCTCAATCAACATCTAACCTTCCAGTTAATCCTACAGGCTCTGCTTCCAAGCTGTATCCCTAATTTGACCACATTTAATTATTCTTATTTCTTGTAAAACTAATCCAAGCCAACATAATCTTTCATTAAGATTACTGCAATAGCTTGCAAATTGGTCCCCTTATCATTACTTTCATACACCAGTCTGAAATTTTGTTCTAAAGGATAAATCAGATAATAATTTCTATTACTTATAATATTTGTTATATCATATTTATTATTTAAACAATTCTCATCCTTCTTTGAAACTTCATCCAGTATTCCTAAATATATTAATAGTACTGACAAGGTAGTAAGCTTGATAGAATATTTATTAATAGTATTTTAACATAGAAATGTAAACATTTATTTGATATTTTATATCACAGCAGAGCAATTACATCATTATTACTCGAGGGTTTATTTTCTTCCCCAAACTAACACAACTAGTAAGTTGTGCATGCAGTATCTGAAAATTCAAACTTATAAATACAGATCATGGAAAAAAGGCATCAATTATCTGGTGGCTTTGTTAGATAGCTCTGGATAAAGAGATTTTTTTAAAAATCTGAACTCATTTCAGTTGTCCATAATATACTAATTCCAGAATGTTTACATCACAAATGACCTGAAAACACTAGAGAAATAGTTAGAAATCAGGTTATGAAATAGAACGTGCAACACAAATCCTCTACAAATATCCAAGGTTCAGATAGCCTGGATTTGTGTTTGGCTATGTGGCATTGATAACATCATTTTCTCTGTGCCTAAGTTTTTTTACTTATAAAATAATGGTGATATTAGATGATCTATTTGATATATTTCCATTAGTGCTGTATAAAATAAAATGAAATAAATTATTGTGTTGGTTTGGATAGTCAAAGAATCTGAGCTTAGTAAATTATGGTAATTGTTATTCCTATGCCAGCACAGAAAACACAAAGGATATGTAATGAGATGCTGTTATGTGTTGAACTGTGTTCCCCTAAAATCCATTTGAGAAAGAAAGGGTCTTTAATGCAGTATGACAGCATTCTTATTTACAGGAGAAATTTAGAGGCAGATACATTGAAAGAATGCCACGTGAAGATGAAGGTGAGATTAATGTGATGGAGCAAAAACCCAGAAACACCAAAGATGGGTAAGAAATCATCAGAAGCCAGGAGAGAGGCATGGAACAGGTTCTTTCTCGTATCCCTCAGAAGGAACCACCACTGCTCACATCTTGCTCTTGGACTTTAAAGCTTCCTGAAATGTGAGAAAATACATTCCTTTTGTTTAAGCTGCCCATTCTTTAGAACTTTGTTGTGGCAACCCCAGCAAACTAATACAAATGGTAAATATACTCATACACCACATAACAACATTTTGGTCAGTGATGGACTGCTTATATGACAGTGGTCTCATAAGATTATAATGCCATGTTTTTACTGTACCTTTCTTATGCTTAGAAATGTTTAAGTACACAAATATTTATCTTTTTGTTACAACTGCCTATAGTATTCAGTACAGAAACATGTTGTAGAGGTTTGTAGCCCAGGAAAACATACCATATATTTGTAGCCATACACACCATGAAATACTATGCAGCCTTACAAAAGGATGAGTTCATGTCCTTTGTAGGGACATGGGTGAAGCTGGAAACCATCATTCTCAGCAAACTAACACAGGAACATAAAACCAACCACCACATGTTCTCACTCATAAGTGGGAGTTGAGCAATGAGAATACATGGACACAGGGCAGGGAACATCACACACCAGGGCCTGTCAGAGGGTTGGGGAGCTAGGGGAGGGAGAAATAATTAATGTAGATGATGAGTTGATGGGTGCAGCAAACCACCACGGCACGTGCATATACCTATGTAACAAACCTGCACGTTCTGCACATGTATCCCAGAACTTAAAGTATAATTAAAAAAAAAAAAAACATACTGTATAGCCCAGGTACGTGGCTATACCATCTGGCTTTGTAGAAGTATACCCTAAGATGTTCATACAGTAACAAAATTGCCCAGTGAAATATTTCCCAGAATGTATCCTTGTCATTATGTGACACATGACTATAGTAGTTACCTCTAGGTAAGTAATCAAAAATTTTAATTTCCAAAATTGTCATTTTTATCAAGCTGTCTAAAATTATATACTATAATAAGTACTATATGATAAAAGTTATGGACCCATGCATACATATTCTCATTTCACAATTTAGAAAATGAATAGCAGTATGTTGATTCTCCTTCATACAGGATCATCATATGCATTATTATTTTGACAACATTTATACATGAAAGTAAAGGCACAATACAAGGTCATATCTCTTTGATTTAAACTAAAGTTGCAATGATGTTTTTGAAACTGAGCCTGTAGTTATCAAATAAGATAAGAGATAAGAGACTCCACAAAAAGTGGTACTTCAAATCCCACAATAGTCATTGTCATGACTCAAAGCAGAGTCTAGTAAAGCAAAACATGAAACTTGTATTTTTCCATATGCATGTCAAACATATTGACCTGAGTTTAGGCTCATTTGGACTTCTTAACTATTAGATAATGAGTAACTAAGAAAGGAGGAATGCAGATTTTTCAGCACAACACAAGTGGAATCAATGTGGATTTTGTGTTCCTACTAAAGTTAAAAAAATTGATAGACAAAAACTACTATATAAATAGAAGAAACAGAAGACAATTAAATGGGGATATTAAAGAAAACTTACATCATGTTCTCATTCACAAGGATTAAATTTTTAATCCCCTAATCAAGTGGTATAACACTGTCAATAAAGCTGACTGACATAGCATTGATCCAAATAAATCACATATAACTTAAGTTCCATAATGGGAAATACTATTTATACAATCACAAGTTGTGTTAAAAAAAAAAAAAAGATAAAGAGAGAGAGTTCTCTTTATGGACATTATATAGTATTATTGGCCTTATTTTCTAAGACTTTGGCAAATTAATGAGTAACTTGATAGCATGCAATAGATTTTTCTTTAAATAAATCAGTTAATGTGAACAACTAAGTTTTTGTTTATAAAGTTGAATATTTAATAAATGGTTGTAAATATTCCTCTTTAGGATAAGAATAACTATTCATATTAATTCATCCAAAGTTCAGCAAATTATTATAGTTCCTATCTTGTGTTTCCACCATTTAATCATAAAATACTATGCAGTTCTCTTCATTGAAGTTGTTGTAAAGCAGTCTTGAAGCACTTTGGAAGGGTCTCTTGTGGTTTTTACAAGCTCTATTTTGTTTATTTTCTTCTTTGGAGAACCTCCAGCGAACAGCTGACTGCACAGCCTTCGATACTGGCTTTGGTTATTCTGAAGTAAATCAATATTGTAAAAGTTATACTACTTGGCCCTCATTTCAGCATTATTTTAAAGCTAAAATAAAAAGGGGAACTGAAATTAGGTTTAGGATTAAGGTCTCCTCACCAAACACTTTACAAGAAAATAAAAACTTTGCTCAGTTTCACTATCCAAGTACCTCATTGGTAAATGAAACAGGCAAAACTAAAATATGTGGTTCCACATCACCTCCTGGCCTTTGCACAGCTGCTAAGTAGAAAAATTCATGTTATGAACAATGCAACTGATTATAAAATTAAATAGGATGAGTTCATAAACATAAAATAAACAATCCAGAAATTGTAAGTAGTTAATATGAGAGGCAGAAAAGATGATGATAACAAGAGAAAGAAAAGAAGAAATTTTACAGACATGAAAATTTTTGAACAAAAGTCAATTAAAATAGTCATATCCCCTTTTAGAAGTCACAATTTCCTGAATTTTTAAAAATTCCATAAACTGTACTGTCAAATGAAAACTGGTATAACTGGGAAAATGATACTTTACTATTATCTGGAGCTGTAACATTTTCCTGATCATCTCCAAAAAGATTATCTGGTCCATGAGAGCTTGAAAGCACTAAAACTTCATCTTTTGTCTGTTGTGTTGTGCCATGGACTCAAAGAAGGTAAAACATCAATCATAATTACATCCTTGCGTTTTAAAGCAGGACTGTGCTGCCCATCCTTCACCGTTTTTCATAATGGCAGTACTATGCCTGCAGAACTCGAGCTTGTATATTATTTTACTTTGCGGATTACTTTCAGCTCACAGTTCACTAAGAGGAACCAACTGCTTCTAAGAGAAATGAAAAAGCAAAGCACCAATCAACGGCTATTTCCATCTGCTGGAGTCTGATTGCTTATTTATTCAGTGGCCAAGGCTGACTGGTTTGCAACTCAGAAAGTCCTCATGTCGGAGTCGTTCCTATGCTAGCCAATGCTCAGGGTTCAGATTACTTCTTTATTGCATCTAACATTGAGCAAATTGCTGCCAGTTATTTTATTTGTTTTTGTCTCCTCATTAGCCGCAAACCTCAAAGATTAGAAGTACAATGGCTTACTGCACATTATATGACTAGAACATCCCCTCTCCCAAAAGGGAAATATTTGCTCGCATTGTTAAAATGCATGCTTAGGGCTCCACAGTATCAAATATCTCACAGAAAATGCCATGGCTGAATTATGTGCATGATATACTCCTAAGGAAAATTGTAGGATAGGGATAATTATTAGTTACTGATTCTTCAAATGTTACTCTTATTTAATAAATATATCCAAAGAAAAATAAAGATTTTGAAAAAATTATATAATGTGTTAACATATATTGTCAGCATCAGAAATGATCAGTGGATATTAATCAGCCAGAGTGCCAGTTTCATGCTAGATTTAAATAGACTCATCTAGCTAGAATATTAATATTACTACAACAAGAGTAATACATTTTCCGTTATCTTTAATGACAGGGAAATGTAATATTATTGTTAATAAAAAACTGGATTAATGCTATCATGTATATCATTTTTTAAAATTTCAAATAGAGCATTAAAAGTGATGTTAAAATCATGCTGAATGGAATTTAATAGATAGAGTCAAATAGCCTTAAGTTATTCACATTATTATTATTCTACATAAATGCTAAAATTCTAGTTAATAAAGTACTAATGACAATAATACTGGATAAAAAAGAAGTAAAGTACATATTTTGGTGCTAAGCACTAAAATTTGACAACCATGGTAATATAAGCCACTATCGTAAGGAGTCCAGAGAAAGTTATTTATTCATTCATTCATCAAATATTTATTGAATATCAATAATGGGCCAGTCAGTTGGGTAAAAGCTATAAATACAACACAGGACAAGACATGGCCATAGCCCTCGAATAGTAAAATGGCTAATGGGCAATTTCAGCAGGTAAACATATTACTAAGTATACAGGACTCTCACAGTCCTTCAGTGTTATGGAAATATTTATGGAACAGGTAAAAGGGGAAATTGAAGAGCAGTTTAGGCAATCTGTCTAGCAAAAACAGAACCAAAACTAAAAAAAAAAAAAAGCATATTTAGAGTAAAAATAAAGTTTTAGAGTTAAGCAGATTTCAGATCATAAAAAGCTGTTATCATAAATTGCAAAATTATATAATAATGTTCATCTTAAAATATGATGTAATTCAGAAAAAAATTAGCTGATTGACATTGAATTAATATTATACCATGGAAATTCAGGAAATAATTTTTTGCAGGACTTGCCTCAAAAATACAAGCTCTAGAATTTTTATAGCAAAAAAAAAAAAACTTGTTTTATAAAACTTTTGCTAGTTCTATTCTTGATTGTGGAGATGGATAAGGAGGAAATAGCTCTATCCCCTGATCTCAGAAACAGTTGCTTGAATAGCTTCCTAAAGGGACTACACAGAAACAAGATACTTACCAAGAACACTCCGGCAACATTCAAAGTATTTATACTGAGTATATGTCTCAGAGGTTGTGTGGAAAATTTCCTATTAATGTGACTGAAGGATGGAAATTATAATCTGGGCAAAAGGGATTTAAATATAATCTGGTCTACTTCATTTCATCATTTATAGACAGATAGATGATAGATGATAGATAGATAGATAGATAGATAGATAGATAGATAGATAGATGATAGATAGATATAATGTTTTCACAAATATTCAGTACTTACTGTGTTAGGTAATTTTGTAGTAACTGGGCATACTGTGGAGTGATGAACAAGATGGAAACTATACTGCTTTTGTGAAACTCACACTTCATTGGAATATATGCTTTTTACTACGAACGTCAGTTCAAAGTCATCTGAGGTGGTAAAATAGGTTCAATTTGAGTCAACTCACCAAATGTAGGGGTTTGCATGTAAAGATTTACGGAAAAGTCTTGTAGCAAACACAATAAAGAGAAGGTCTGTGAAATATAGCTTGAATGCTTATTTTTGTTTGTTTTTTGGTCACGCAGGTTGTTTAACCTTTAGCATGTATTGCACTTTGAAATAACTTGTCAACATTGAAATATTAGAATATTTCATTTAAAAATGAGGATTCTTTAGTTTCCCTTAAACACTGGAAAAGTACAATGCTGGGCACATGTAATTTTATGAGACTTCTAGGCTACTGGATGGTATCCTTACCTCTGGAGTTTGGGCAGGGAAAGGAAGACCCATTGTAAAGTGGAGTCCCACAGAGTAAAACCTATTTGAAATGTCATAAATTAATTAAAGTCATCATATTTTATCTTTTATTCCATTTTATACCTTTATTATAGAACTTAATCAGTAGAATTAATATGTTATTTTGTGGCTTTAGGTGCTGCTAGCATATTCTATGCTGAATAACCATGAGGATAGACACAGCCCAGGTAAGAAAGAAAATACTAAATTAATAGTTTTTTAAGCAAACAATTATGATTGGAAATATGGACGAGGAGACAGGACCATTGCTTTAAACTATCAGAAATTTTCTTGCCTCTCAACAATTACCTGTTGCTCTAACACTGTTTCTAAACTATCACTGGTACCCAAGGAAATTATAAAACCCAATGTTCAGCAAAGTATTCAAAGTGGAAAAAACAATGCCTCCATAATAATAGCTCAGACTCTGAAGGTTGTGTAAACAGAACATAATGTGTATTCTGTAGATTCAATGTTCTTTTTGTTATTTGTTATGTAGGAGAAGAGGATGGTACAATAGTAATATTGAAGATTTTGAAATTTAATCTTCTTGTGGGAACACATTTGTTAGGAAGATTTTTTAGATAAGGTACACTGTGGTCACATGGTTTAGTTAATCTGAAGATGTGTTTGGCTTCCCATCAAAACTGATAATTTTTCTAGGTATGTGATTTTTTATATTGGCAAATATTATTTCTTAGCACTTTGATGCTATTGTTGTATCTTTGTGCTATTAGGAAAAGCACTGTCAGTCTAATATTTATTTCTTTGGAAGTGATCTGTCTTGTCTATTTGGCTGTTTTTAGACCTTGTCTTTGTCTTTGGTACACTATAGAAATGAATTTCTTAATCTTGCTTAGAATATACTGTTCTTCAAGGAATAAAGGATATATGTCTTTAATCAAGGTTGGAAAATTTTCACCATATTTCTCAATGTTCCCTCACCATTGTTTTACTTTTTTCAGGAACTCAGATTACATATGTGGTATACCTTCTTATTTACTGAATCTGCCTCTTATCTCAGTTAAAAATTTTTCTCTTTCTTTAGGCTACATCATAATTTCAGGTCAATTCATTGTCTCCACTTCTTTCTAATCTGCTTTTTAAACTAACCTCCAAGATTTGTTTTTTAATTTTAATTTTAATCTTAATTACTAGAGGTTGTAAGTAATTTATTTCTAAATCTAAAGTTATGGTAATATCTTGAGTTTCTGTCATCTTTTTTTGTTCATCTACAAAATTTTGTATGCTCTCTTTTCAAAACTTTGAACATAGTTACTTTATAATTTGTATTTAATATTTCTAATTTTTAGTACATGAGATATACATTTATTATGTATTGCTTTTGCTAAATCGTAGTAACTAGACTTCTTATTGCATTCATTACTCTGTTTTATTGTAAACTCACATTTATTGGTACTTAACCTACATGAATTATAAGGAGTATGGTATGAGGAATATGAATATTACTACAACAAAACTTTTCTGTTACCTTTAATAAGAAGAAAATGTAATATAGTTAATAAAATATTTGGATTGATGCTATCATGCATATCATTTTTTAAAATTCCAAATAGAGCATTTTAAAAGTGATGTTAAAATCACACAGAGTGGAATTAAATAGATAGATAGTGAGTCAGATAACAACAATGTATGTTGAGGGATGTCTTCTTCCACGGGTCCATGTACCAGAATTCTATTCTCTGTGGAGTCATTCATCTCTACACTTTTATGTTCCTGGGATTGTTGTTAAGAAATAAGAAAAGTTATGGCTTCAGTTTTAACCACTCTGCTTTAACTTCCCTTTTGTATTTGCTTAACTTCTTTAAGTCTTGTGAGTTCAGATATGTTTTAAAAATAAGTATGACATAATTTGTCCAATATTAATAGATTTTTACTGATTTCATTCCAAAGTAACTGTACTACTCCATTTTTAAGAGGAGTGTTCAATCATATTGATGTTTCTACCTCAGAATTTTTATTTAATATTTTCTATATACAGAAGTATATAAGATAGAAACTCTAACTCAATAATAAATTTATGCCCAGCTAAAATTTATTTGATAGTTAGTAAACTGCAGATATTTGATTAAATATTAGGAATAAGGAAATTGACATAGGCTTTTTAATATTGACATTTACAGACTAGCTGCAATACTGTATAGACAGTTTTGCAGAATGCAAGTGTTTTCATATGTATATGCAACAGAAATAAGCTACCTTTCTAAATATATAGAAATTGATTCATTTAGAAATGAAAACATCCAGTTAGGTTAAGTAAAATGCTATGATATGAATATATATGAAATTGTTCCTCAAATGAAGAGTAAAATATAGGAAGATAGTAAGATAATGCTACATGATATCAACACATACAATGTTAGTTACTTACTGAAGGCTATGATAAGCTAGAGGTTCTCAACCTGGTTTCCTAATTAGATGAACAAGATGCAAGCATAGAAAAATTCTTGCTGTGGAGACACCTTCATAACTTACACAGATGTGAGGTTCACATTCAAAGTCTACCTTATTAGCACAGAGTAACAAACTTTTTCAAGCACGTATATGTGCCCATGGGGTAAGCAGTATTAGAGGGATATATTTGAATCCTTAAATGGATTTGGCAAATGAAACTTTTTGAGGGTTTTGTTTCTAAGTAGACTTTTTTTTTAAGTTACTCCACTGATATGGTTTGGATGTGTCCCCACCCAAATCTATCTTGAATTGTAGTTCCCACAATCCCCACATGTCATGGGAGGGACCCAGTGGGAGGTAATTCAATCATGGAAGCAGTTACGGTTACTTTCATACTATTCTCCTGATAGTGAGTGAGTTCTCCTCCTTTGCTGGTCTCTCATTCTCTCTCATTCTGCCCTGTGAAGAGGTGCCTTTCACCATGATTGTAAGTTTACTGGGGCCTCCCTGGACATGCGGAATTTTGAGTCACTTAAACCTCTTTTCTTTATAAATTACCTGGTCTCAGTTAATTCTTCATAGCAGTGTGAGAATGGACTGATACACCCACCACCAATCCCCCTAATGTAACTAGATCCTTCTCTGTTTTATGTAATATTTCAAGAGCAAGTTTTTACAAAATGTTCTTAAATATAATACAAATGCCTTATGATCAAGAAACACATGTAAGTCATTCCCCCAAATTATTTTGTTTATTGATAGAGTATGAAGAGTTCTAGAAATAACCCAATGCCTATAAAGCTATACTGTACTGTAGATGCAAAATTAGTTATAGTTAAAAGATGATTAACTGTAAGTAAAATTGAGGAGTGTTCATATAATTGTTTACTGTCATGCTAAGCTTGAGTATCACTAAAACTTACCCTAAATGAATTATTCATACTTGAGTTTTTTTGAAAAAGTTCATGGAGCTCATTAGCACAGGATAAAATTAGAAAATAAAATATCATGGTGAGTTCTATAAGAATCTGGAATTGGACCCAAAATTAAAGACTAGCACATCAAAAATAAAATCTAGAAGACTTTTTTTTCCAAAGGAGATATTCAGCAAGATGGTTCTGTGCCCCGAAGGTGATTAGGAACCCAATCTCTTAGGCAACATAGGCCAGTAGCATTCCCCAATAATTAAGAGTAACAAAGATGGTACCCACACCTCCAAAAGCCTCCTGAGAGGCAATACCAGCATCCCAGGTAACAATAAACAATAAGGATTCTTATCTAAGGTTTTGTGTTGATGTAATTCATAGGTCTTTTTCTCTTGAATTATCTTGTCATTTCCTAAAATAACCTTATTTTTCCTGAAAATATTTTAATGATTTTTAGTAAAGATAACCTCAGAAAATTTAATTTTCTATCACACATTTTGCACTATTCCTTGAAGAGTAACTTTTGAAGAGTCAATTTATGCTGAACATAAAATATTTCTATAAGGAACATAAAATTTTATCCCTCATATTACAAGATACTGTTATTATCAATTTATTGTTTTTAGCATTAATAAACTTTCTTACTTTCCACAGTACTCAATTCTTCAAGGTATACATATTGGACACTTTCTTCTACAGTACCTGTAAGTTTATTTTTGTCTACAAACTATAATTTTGTGTTTTGATTTTGTCATCTCAGTTTTTCATGTATGTGTATGCATGCATGCAAAATAAAAAGAAATAGATGATGCATGCATGTCATTGTAAGGAATTGTAATGAATTGAATGAAATATCCTGCTAATATTATGAACTAAATAGTAGATTGCTTCCTAACATCATATGTTCTACTGTGTTTGGAAATGGCTAGATATCACCAGTAAAAGATTAGCCGCATGGTGAAATATGTGTGTTGAATATGTGTGTTGGCCAGGGGGAAAGGTACCCTGAGGTCCATAATGAATGTCTAAGACTTTGTCCACCACTATTTTAGGCTTTCAGAGATCTTTACTAGTATATATGAGCCACACAAATATTATAACCATTTTTCTCCTGTTTCTGAGATATTGTTATGAGATAATTAGTATAAATATTGTCTAAATAGATGGATTGCTCCTCATGTAAAATGTAGTTTGGAGAAACTCAGGTTTAAACTTTTTAAAGGAGAAAACACAGTCTTGAAGTAGAATTTCCAGTCCAAAAAAAGGTATAGTATATGGGCTTTAAAAACTTCCCCTTTAATTTGATTGCACTGTGGTCTAAGAGACTGTTATGATTTCCATTTGTTTGCATTTGCTGAGGAGTGTTTTACTTCCAATTATGTGATCAATTTTAGAATAAGTATGATGAGGTGCTGAGAAGAATGTATATTCTGTTGATTTGGGGTGGAGATTTCAGTAGATGTCTATTAGATCTACTCGGTCCAGAGCTGAGTTCAAGTCCTGAATATCCCTGTTAATTTTCTGTCTTGTTGATCTGTCTAATATTGACAGTTGGGAGTTAAAGTCTCCCACTATTATTGTGTGGGAGTCTCAGTCTCTTTGTAGGTCTCTAAAAACTTGCTTTATGAATCTGGGTGCTCCTGTGTTGGGTGCATATATATTTAGGATAGATAGCTCTGCTTGTTGCATTGATCCCTTTACCATTATGTAATGCCCCTTTTTGTCTCTTTTGATCTTTGTTGGTTTAAAGTCTGTTATATCAGAGATTATGATTGCAACTCCTGATTCTTTTCTTTCCATTTGCTTGGTAAATCTTCTTTCATCCCTTTATTTTGTTATTTATTTATTTATTTATTTATTTATTTATTATTATTATACTTTAAGTTTTAGTGTACATGTGCACAATGTGCAGGTTAGTTACATATGTATACATGTGCCATGCTGGTGCGCTGCACCCACTAACTCGTCATCTGGCATTAGGTATATCTCCCAATGCTATCCCTCCCCCCTCTCCCCACCCCACCACAGTCCCCAGAGTGTGATGTTCCCCTTCCTGCGTCCATGTGTTCTCATTGTTCAATTCCCACCTATGAGTGAGAATATGTGGTGTTTCGTTTTTTGTCCTTGCGATAGTTTACTGAGAATGATGATTTCCAATTTCATCCATGTCCCTACAAACGACATGAACTCATCATTTTTTATGGCTGCATAGTATTCCATGGTGTATATGTGCCACATTTTCTTAATCCAGTCTATCATTGTTGGACATTTGGGTTGGTTCCAAGTCTTTGCTATTGTGAATAATGCCACAATAAACATACGTTTGCATGTGTCTTTATAGCAGCATGATTTATAGTCCTTTGGGTATATACCCAGTAATAGGATGGCTGGGTCAAATGGTATTTCTAGTTCTAGATGCCTGCGGAATCGCCACACGGACTTCCACAATGGTTGAACTAGTTTACAGTCCCACCAACAGTGTAAAAGTGTTCCTATTTCTCCACATCCTCTCCAGCACCTGTTGTTTCCTGACTTTTTAATGATTGCCATTCTAACTGGTGTGAGATGGTATCTCATCGTGGTTTTGATTTGCATTTCTCTGATGGCCAGTGATGGTGAGCATTTTTTCATGTGTTTTTTGGCTGCATAAATGTCTTCTTTTGAGAAGTGTGTGTTCATGTCCTTCAACCACTTTTTGATGGGGTTGTTTGTTTTTTTCTTGTAAATTTGTTTGAGTTCATTGTAGATTCTGGATATTAGCCCTTTGTCAGATGAGTAGGTTGCGAAAATTTTCTCCCATTTTGTAGGTTGCCTGTTCATTCTGATGGTATTTTCTTTTGCTGTGCAGAAGCTCTTTAGTTTATTTAGATCCCATTTGTCAATTTTGGCTTTGGTTGCCATTGTTTTTGGTGTTTTAGAGATGAAGTTCTTGCCCATGCCTATGTCCTGAATGGTAATGCCTAGGTTTTCTTCTAGGGTTTTTATGGTTTTAAGTCTAATGTTTAAGTGTTTAATCCATCTTGAATTGATTTTTGTATAAGGTGTAAGGAAGGGATCCAGTTTCAGCTTTCTACATATGGCTAGCCAGTTTTCCCAGCACCATTTATTAAATAAGGAATCGTTTCCCCATTTCTTGTTTTTGTCAGGTTTGTCAAAGATCAGATGGTTGTAGATATGTGGCATTGTTTCTGAGTGCTCTGTTCTGTTCCATTGGTCTATATCTCTGTTTTGGTACCAGTACCATGCTGTTTTGGTTACTGTAGACTTGTAGTGTAGTTTGAAGGCAGGTAGTGTGATGCCTCCAGCTTTGTTCTTTTGGCTTAGGATTGACTTGGTGATGCGGGCTTTTTTTTGGTGCCATATGAACTTTAAAGTAGTTTTTTCCAATTCTGTGAAGAAAGTCATTGGTAGCTTGATGGGGATGGCATTGAATTTGTAAATTACCTTGGGAAGTATGGCCATTTTCATGATATTGATTCTTCCTACCCATGAGCATGGAATGTTCTTCCATTTGTTTGTATCCTCTTTTATTTCATTGAGCAGTGGTTTGTAGTTCTCCTTGAAGAGGTCCTTCACATCCCTTGTAAGTTGGATTCCTAGGTATTTTATTCTCTTTGAAGCAATTGTGAATGGGAGTTCACTCATGATTTGGCTCTCTGTTTGTCTGTTGTTGGTGTATAAGAATGCTTGTGATTTTTGTACATTGATTTTTGTATCCTGAGACTTTGCTGAAGTTGCTTATCAGCTTTAGGAGATTTTGGGCTGAGACAATGGGTTTTCTAGATATACAATCATGTCATCTGCAAACAGGGACAATTTGACTTCCTCTTTTCCTAATTGAATACCATTTATTTCCTTCTCCTACCTAATTGCCCTGGCCAGAACTTCCAACACTATGTTGAATAGGAGTGGTGAGAGAGGGCATCCCTGTCTTGTGCCAGTTTTCGAAGGGAATGCTTCCAGTTTTTGCCCATTCAGTATGATATTGGCTGTGGGTTTGTCATAGATAGCTCTTATTATTTTGAGATATGTCCCATCAATACCTAAGTGATTGAGAGTTTTTAGCATGAAGCGTTGTTGAATTTTGTCAAAGGCCTTTTCTGCATCTATTGAGATAATCATGTGGTTTTTGTCTTTGGTTCTGTTTATATGCTGGATTATATTTATTGATTTGCGTATATTGAACCAGGCTTGCATCCCAGGGATGAAGCCCACTTGATCATGGTGGATAAGCTTTTTGTTGTGCTGCTGGATTTTGTTTGCCAGTATTTTATTGAGGATTTTTGCATCAATGTTCATCAAGGATATTGGTCTAAAATTCTCTTTTTTGTTGTGTCTCTGCCCGGCTTTGATATCAGGATGATGCTGGCCTCATATAATGAGTTAGGGAGGATTCCCTCTTTTTCTATTGATTGGAATAGTTTCAGAAGGAATGGTACCAGTTCCTCATCCCTTTATTTTGAGCCTATGTGTATGTTTGCATGTGAGATGGGTCTCCTGAACACAGCACACTGATGGGACTTGACTCTATCCAATTTGCCCATCTGTGTCTTTTAATTGGGACATTTAACCTGTTTACTTTTAAGGCTAATATTGCTATGTTTGAATTTGATCCTGTCATTATTATGCTAGCTGGTTATTTTGACTGTTAGTTGATTCAGTTTCTTCATAGCGTCATGGTCTTTACAATTTGGCATGTTTTTGCAGTGGCTGGTGCCAGTTGTTCCTTTCCATGTTGTTTAGTGCTTCCTTCAGGAGCTCTTGTAAGGCAGGCCTGGTGGTGACAAAATCTCTCAGCATTTGCTTGCGTATAAAAGATTGTATTTCTCCTTCAATTATGAAACTTAGTTTGGCTGGATACGAAATTCTGGTTTGAAAATTCTTTTCTTTAAGAATGTTGAATATTGGCCCCCACTCTCTTCTGGCTTGTAGAGTTTCTGTTGAGAGATCTGCTGTTAGTCTGATGGGCTTTCCTGCGTGGGTAATCCAACCTTTCTCTCTGGCTGCTCTTAACATTTTTTCCTTCATTTCAACCTTGACGAATCTGATGATTATGTTTCTTGGGGTTACTCCTCTCAAGGAGTATCTTTGTGGTGTTCTCTGTATTTCCTGAATTTGAACGTTGGCCTGCCTTGCTAGGTTGGGGAAATTTTTCTGGGTAATAGCCTGAGGAGTGTTTTCCAACTTGGTCCCATTTTCCCATCACTTTCAGGTACACCAATCAAATGTACATTTGGTCTTTTCACATAGTCCCATATTTCTTGGAGGCTTTGTTCATTTCTTTTTATTCTTTTTTCTCTAATCTTGTTTTATTGCTTTATTTCATTAAGTTGATCTTCAATCTCTGATATCCTTTATTCTGCTTGATCCATTTGGCTGTTGATACTTGTGTATGCTTCACGAAGTTCCCATGTGTATTTTTCAGCTCAATTAGATCATTTATAGTCTTCTCTAAGCTGGTTATTCTAGTTAGCAATTCTTCTAACCTTTTTTCAAGGTTCTTCGCTTCCTTGTATTGGGTTAGAACATGCCCCTTTAGCTCGGAGGAGTTTGTTATTACCCATCTTCTGAAGCCTACTTCTGTCAATTCATCAAACTCATTCTCCGCCCAACTTTGTTCCCTTGCTGGCGAGGAGTTGTAGTCCTTGGAGGAGAAGAGACATTCTAGTTTTTGGAATTTTCAGCCTATTTGTGCTGTTTTCTTCCCATCTTTGTGGATTTATCTACTTCAGTCTTTGATGCTGGTGACCTTCAGATGGGATCTTTGAGTGGACATGCTATTCCTTTCTGTTTGTTAGTATTCCTTCTAACAGACTCTTCTGCTGCAGGTCTGTTGGAGTTTGCTGGAGGTACACCCCAGACCCTGTTTGCCTGAGTATCACCAGTGGAGGGTGGAAAACAACAAAGATTGCTGCCTGTTCTTTCCTCTGGAAGTTTCATTCCAGAGGAGCACCTGCCAGATGCCAATGAGAGCTCTCCTATATGAGGTGTCTATCAGCCCCTACTGGGAGGTGTCTCCCAGTCAGGATACATGGGGCTCAGGGATCCACTTGAGGAGGCAGTCTGACCCTTAGCAGAGCTCAAACTCTGTGCTGGGAGGTCTGCTGCTCTCTTCAGAACCATGAGGCAGGGATGTTTAAGTCTGCTGAAGCTGCATCCACAGCTGCCCCTTCCCCAAGGAGCTCTGTCCCAGGGAGATGAGTGTTTTATCTTTAAGTCTCTGACTGGGGCTGCCTTTTTTTCAGAGATGCACTGCCCAGAGAGGAGAAATCTGTCAGTCTGGCCACAGCAGACTTGCTGAGCTGCAGTGGGCTCCACCCAGTTAAAACTTCCCAGTGGCTTTGTTTACGCTGTGAGGGTAAAACCGCCTACTCAAGTCTCAGCAATGGCGGACGCCCCTCCTCCCACAAAGCTAGAGCATCCCAGGTCAATGTCAGACTGCTGCTGTGCTGGCAGCTAAAATTTCAAGCCAGTGGATCTTAGTTTTCTGGACTCTCTGGGGATGGGACCCACTGAGCCAGACCACTTGGCTCCCTGGCTTCAATACGCCTTTCCAGGGTAGTGTCTTGCTGGCATTCCAGGTGTCACTCTGGTATGAAAAAAAAAAAAAAAAAAAAAAAAAACAACTCCTGCAAGTAGTTCAGTGTCTGCCCAAACGGCCGCCCAGTTTTGTGCTTGAAACCCATGGCCCTGGTGAGGTATGCACCGAAGGGGATCTCCTGGTCTGCAGGTTGCAAAGACCATGGGAAAAGCACAGTATCTGAGCCAGAGCACAGGGTTCATCAGGCTCAGTTCCTCACGGCTTCCCTTGGGTAGGGGAGAACATTCCCTGACCCCTTGTGCTTCCCGGGTGAGGCAACAACCCACCCTGCTTCAGCTTGCCCTCCATGGGCTGAACCCACTGTCAAACCAATCCCAATGAGATGAATTGGGCACTACAGTTGGAAATGCAGAAAACACCCGCCTTCTGTGTTGATCTAGCTGGGAGCTGCAGACCTGAGCTATTCTTATTCAGCCATCTTTCCAGAACTCAGGATAAAGAAACTCACTCAAAACTGCACAACTACATGGAAACTGAACAACCTGCTCCTGAATGACTACTGGGTAAATAACGAAATGAAGGCAGAAAAAAAGATGTTCTTCGAAACCAATGAGAATGAAGACACAATGTACCAGAATCTCTGGGACACATTTAAAGCAGTGTGAAGAGGGAAATTTATAGCACTAAATACCCACAAGAGAAAGCAGGAAAGAGATAAAATTAACACCCTAACATCAAAATTAAAAGAACTAGAGAAGCAACAGCTAACAAATTCAACAGCTAACAGAAGATAAGAAATAACCAAGATGAGAGCAGAACTGATGATGGAGGTAGAGACATGAAAAACACCAAAAAATCAGTGAATCCAGAAGCTCATTTTTTGAAAAGATCAACAAAATAGATAGACGGCTAGCCAGACTAATAATGAAGAAAAGAAAGAAGAATCAAATATATGCAATAAAAATGGTATAGGGGATTTCACCAATGATCCCACAGAAATACAAACTACCATCAGAGAATACTATGAACACCTCTATGCAAATAAACTAGAAAATCTAGAAGAAATGGATAAATTCCTGTACACATACACCCTCCTAAGGGTGTATGTGTCCAAATCAGGAAGAAGTCCATTCCTTGAATAGAACAATAACAAGTTCTGAAATTGAGGCAGTAATTAATAGGCTACCAACCAAAAAAGTCCAGGACCAGATGGATTCACAGCCGATTTCTACCAGAGATACAAAGAGGAGATGGTACTATTTCTTCTGAAACTATTACAAATAATAGGAAACAGGGAATCCTCCTTAACTCATTTTATGAGGCCAGCATCATCCTGATACCAAAACCTGGCAGAGACACAACAAAAAAAAGAAAATTTCAGGCGAATATCCCTGATGAACATCAATTCAAACATCCATAACAAAATATTGGCAAATATTGAACTCAGCAGCACATCAAAAAGCTTATCCACCATGATCAATTCAGCTTCATACCTGGGATGCAAGTCTAGTTCAACATATACAAATCAATAAACATAATCCATCACATAAAGAGAGCCAATAACAAAAAACATATGATTATCTCAATGGATGCAGAAAAGGCCTTTGACAAAATTCAACACCCCTTCATGCTAAAAACTCCCAATAAACTAGGTATCAATTGAATGTATTTCAAAATAATAAGAGCTATTTATGACAAACTTACAGCCATTATCATACTGAATGGGCAAAAACTGGAAGCACTCTATTTGAAAACTGGCACAAGACAGGGATGCCCTCTCTCACCACTCCTATTCAACATAGTATTGGAAGTTTTGGCCAGGGCAGTCAGGCAAGAGAAAGAAATAAAGCGTATTCAAATAGGAAGAGAAGAAGTCAAATTGCCCATGTTTGCAGATGACATGATTGTTTATTTAGAAAACCCCATCCTCTCAGCCCAAAATCTCCTTAAGCTGATAAGCAACTTCAGCAAAGTCTCAGGATACAAAATGATGTGCAAAAACACAAGCATTCCTACATACCAATAACAGACAAACACACAGCCAAATCCTGAGTGAACTCCCATTCACAATTGCTACAAAGAGAATAAAATACCTAGGAATACAACTTACAAAGGATGTGAAGGACATCTTCAAGGGGTACTACAAACCACTTCTCAAGGAAATAAGACAGGACACAAATGGAAAAACATTTCATGCTCATGGATAGGAAGACTCAATATTGTAATAATGGCCATAGTGCCCAAAGTAATTTATAGACACAATGCTATCCTCATCCAGCTACCATTGACTTTCTTCACAGAATTGGAAAAAACTACTTTAAACTTCATGTGGAATCAAAAAAGAGCCCACATAGCCAAGACAAACTTAAGCAAAAAGAACAAAGCTGGAGGCATCACACTACCTGACTTCAAACTATATTACAAGGCTACAGTAACGAAAACAGCATGGTACTGGTACTAAAACAGATATATAGGCCAATGGAACAGAACAGAGGCCTTATACATAATACCACTCATCTACAATCTTCTGATCTTGGACAAACCTGACACAAACAAGCAATGGGGAAAAGATTCCCTATTTAATAAATGGTGTTGGGACAACTGACTAGCCATATGCAGAAAACTGAAACTGGATCCCTTCCTTACACCTTATACAAAAATTAACTCAAGAGGGATTAAAGGCTTAAACATAAGACCTAATCATAAAAACCCTAGAAGAAAACCTAGGCAATACCATTCGGGATATAGGCATGGGCAAAGACTTTATGTCTAAAACACCAAAAGCAATGGCAACAAAAGCCAACATTGAAAAATGGGATCTCATTAAACTAAAGAGTTTCTGCACAGCAAAAGAAACTATTATCAGAATGAACAGGCAACTTACAGAATGGGAGAAAATGTTTGCAATCTATTCATGTGACAAAGGGCTAATATCTGGAATCTTCAGAGAACTTAAAGAAATTTACAGGAAAAAAACAAACAACCCCATCAAAAAGTGTGTGAAGGATATGAACAGACACTTCTCAAAAGAAGACATTTATGCAGCCAACAGACATACGAAAAAAACTCATCATCACTGGTCATTAGAGAAATGCAAATCAAAACCACAATGAGATACCATCTCACACCAGTTAGAATGGCGATCATTAAAAAGTCAGGAAACAAAAAATGCTGGAGAGTATGTGGAGAAATAGAAATGCTTCTACACTGTTGGTTGGAGTGTAAATTAAGTCAACCATTGTGGAAGACAGTGTGACGATTCCCCCAAGGATCTAGAACTAGAAATACCATTCTACCCAGCAATCCCATTACTGGGTATATACCTAAATGTTATAAATCATTCTATTATAAAGACACATACACACGTATGTTTATTGCAGCACTATTCACAATAGCAGACTTGGAACCAACCCAAATGTCCGTCAATGATAGACTGGATAATGAAAATGTGGGACATATACACCATGGAATACTATGCAGCCATAAAAAAGGATGAGATCATGTCTTTTGCAGGGACATGGATGAAGCTGGAAACCAGCATTCTCAGCAAAATGACACAAGAACAGAAAACCAAACACCACATGTTCTCACTCATGAGTGGGAGTTGAACAATGAGAACACATGGACAGAGGGAGGGGAACATCACACACCAGGCTTCTTGGGGGGTTGGGGGACTAGGGGAGGTATAGTATTAGGAGAAATACCTAATGTAGGTGACCGGTTGATGAGTGCAGCAAACCACCATGGCACCTGTATACCTATGTAACAAAACTGCATGTTCTGCACATGTACCCCAGAACTTAAAGTATAATTAAAAAAAAGAAAGAAAAAGAAAAAAAAAACACTTCCCCTTTTTTGGCATCCAGTGAACCATATTATGAACTCACTAAATAATACTACACAAACAGAGTTGATTGGAGGAATAAAAGGACACATACAATAACACATCATTAATTATTTCTACAGCAAGAAATCTTTTTGAATTTTTTGTTAGTTTTACCTTTTATAAAATGTAATTCTCTAAGGAAGGACAGAAGTATTACACGGTAAGAGGGAGTCTCCATCATGGGGCAGCTGACTCTGTCTTGAAAAGGTAGGAAAATAATCATTCCTGGTCCCAACTGGGATTTATTTACCATAGTGTTACCAAATTTACAGGAAAGGGTACTACATTTCCCAAATCACCTTCATTTTATTCCAATCCATACAATTCAGGATTTATATGAGTAATTTAACAAGACATTATGAGTACTTCCTTTGGATTGTGTTTTGCATGTTGTCTTACTTAGCTAAGAAGGGATTTTTATTATGTCCTTATAGTACTTGTGAGACAAGAAATTAAAATACTGAAGCCCAAATATCCATATATAAACCAATTTTGCTCTGGCAAAATCTATTAGTAAAAAGCAAAAAGAGAAGTATTTAGTCAAAAGACTACTAATAGAAAGAATCCAAAAAAGTTTTACAATACTGGATGTTTATTCAAATAGAAGAAACTGTCATGATTGAAGAATATATATTTATTTCTGATAGTCAACATGATTTTTAACTCTTAAGTCACTAGGTTTAACAACAGTAAATATGGTAAATCAACCATACTGTAGTCTATTCTGGTTTCCATTAAAAATAATATCTAACCACATTGAGTTTCTCAGGAGTTTTGCAATGGAATTAAATGACAGCATTAAGATATTCTAATAATTCCATACCAAAATCTTATTGCTTATTGATCCTACATCCAAAATAAGCTTTTTGTTTTTTCTACTGTGATGTTGGCGGAGAGTTAAAATCTAAGATTTTAAAGTTTAAAATTCCAAAAAATTAAAAATTCTTAGGTTATTGACAAAATTAATTAGTCTGAAATTTAACTCTTGTGCTTTTTAATTAAAAGTCCTAAAAAATTAAAGTTCAAAATTCATTACTCTCAAGGTCTTACTATGCTCAATCTTAACTAGAGATTTTTCTGTCTAGACAGACTTGAAGTCCATTCAGTAGCTAGAGCCCAGCCCTGTATTGCCCATATTTATTTCAGGATCTCAGAATTGGAATGGATATTTCATTTACCATACCTTAAGGGAATCCTTAGGACATCATAAATTATTATAGCACAATTCACAATGAAAAAAATCTAGAAAACATGCTAACCTCTAAAGGGCTTATATTGGGAAAATTTATATTTGCAAAATCTCACTATTTGTACAACCTAACATGATAGTAAAACCTCAAAAAACTCTAAGCGGTTTATAGAAGACAAGAAAAATCTTAGTTTCAGTTTCATCAGAATACCAGCCTCATTATTAAAAGTCAGATTGGAAAGAAATTCCCAATAAATTTTGAGAAAATCTTATTGACACCCATCCCCATCCAAAAAAAAAAAAAAAAAAAAAGAACTTTGTTGTAAGAACAAGGATTAATTGTGCCGGTAATCCTTTTATTTCAATAAATTATTTTTTGCTCCTTTAAAAAATATTAGGGATTTTTTTCTGATAAAGTGTTCCTTTTTGTCCATATTTTCAGGTCGTCTTTTAATTCTTTAATCACTTTTTAATACAGTATATATTAGGTAGGAGAGCTCTCTGATAGGAAGCATCATAGTAAGATGGTTACAAGCAAGAACACCAAAGTTTGAGTATGTAACATATTTTATATGTGCAGAGAGGTAGTATTCTAAATTTATCTGTTTCATTTTCATAATATGGAAAATAGGGAAGTTATCAATATCTGTTTGCAATCTTTTGAGAACTAAATGTTAGCACAGGTGAAAACTGAGGATATGCTGTGATACACAGTACACACTCATTAAATAATAGCTATTTATATATTACATAAAATTTTAAGAGAATCTATCCCTGCTATGTGTTCTTCCTGCTTATTCTTGCTGTATGAAATAAGATATTAATGCAAGAACACAATGAAATATTAATTAGAAAATTTATTTAACTCTCACGATTTTGAGATAGGTATTACTATTATTCTCATTTAAAAAGTGGAATTTGGGTCTTTGTTCTCGTGGGTTTCAAAGAACATCTTTATTTCTGCCTTCATTTCACTATTTACCCAGTAGTCATTCAGGAGCAGGTTGTTCAGTTTCCATGTAGTTGAGCAGTTTTGAGTGAGTTTCTTAATCCTGAGTTCTAGTTTGATTGCACTGTGGTCTGAGAGACAGTTTGTTATAATTTCTGTTCTTTTACATTTGCAGAGGAGTGCTTTACTTCCAACTATGTGGTCAATTTTGGAATAGGTATGGTGCGGTGCTGGGAAGAATGTATATTCTGTTGATTTGGGGTGGAGAGTTCTGTAGATGTCTATTAGGTCCGCTTGGTGGAGAGCTGAGTTCAATTCCTGTATATCCTTATGAACTTTCTGTCTCGTTGATCTGTCTAATGTGGACAGTGGGGTGTTAAAGTCCCCCATTATTATTGTATGGGAATCTAAGTCTCTTTGTAGGTCTCTAAGGACTTGCTTTATGAATCTGGGTGCTCTTGTATTGAGTGCATACATATTTAGGATAGTTAGCTCTTCTTGTCAAATTGATCCCTTTGCCATTATGTATTGGCCTTCTTTGTCTCTTTTGATCTTTGTTGGTTTAAAGTCTGTTTTATCCGAGACTAGGATTGTAACCCCCGCCTTTTTTTGTTTTCCATTTGCTTGGTAGATTTTCCTCCATCCCTTTATTTTGAGCCTATGTGTGTCTCTGCACGTGAGATGGGTTTCCTGAATACAGCACACTGATGGGTCTTGACTCTTCATCCAATTTGCCAGTATGTGTCTTTTAATTGGAGTATTTAGCCCATTTATGTTTAAGGTTAATATTGTTGTGTGTGAATTTGACCCTGTCATTATGATGTTAGCTGGTTATTTTGCTCGTTAGTTGATGCAGTTTCTTCCTAGCGTCGATGGTCTTTACAATTTGGCATGCTTTTGCAGTGGCTGGTACTGGTTGTTCCTTTCCATGTTTAGTGCTTCCTTCAGGAGCTCTTTTAGGGCAGGCCTGGTGGTGACAAAATCTCTCAGCATTTGCTTGTCTGTAAAGTATTTTATTTCTCCATCACTTATGAAGCTTAGTTTGGCTGGATATGAAATTCTGGGTTGAAAATTCTTTTCTTTAAGGATGTTGAATATTGGCCCCCACTCGCTTCTGGCTTCTAGAGTTTCTGCCGAGAGATCCGCTGTTAGTCTGATGGGCTTCCCTTTGTGGGTAACCCTACCTTTCTGTCTGGCTGCCCTTAACATTTTTTCCTTCATTTCAACTTTGGTGAATCTGACTATTATGTGTCTTGGAGTTGCTCTTCTTGAGGAGTATCTTTGTGGTGTTCTCTGCATTTCCTGAATCTGAATGTTGGCCTGCCTTGCTAGATTGGGGAAGTTCTCCTGGATAATATCCTGCATAGTGTTTTCCAACTTGGTTCCATTCTCCATGGTACTAGTACCAAAACAGAGATATAGACAAATGGAACAGAACAGAGCCCTCAGAAATAATACCACACATCTACAACTATCTGATATTTGACAAACCTGACAAAAACAAGAAATGGGGAAACAATTCCCTATTTAATAAATGGTGCTGGGAAAACTGGCTAGCCATGTGTAGAAAGCTGAAACTGGATCCCTTCCTTACACCTTATACAAAAATTAATTCAAGATGGATTAAAGATTTAAATGTTAGACCTAAAACCATAAAAACCCTAGAAGAAAACCTAGGCAATACCAATCAGGACATAGGCATAGGCAAGGACTTCATGTCTAAAACACCAAAAGCAATGGCAACAAAAGCCAAAATTGACAAATGGGATCTAATTAAACTAAAGAGCTTCTGCACAGCAAAAGAAACTACCATCACAGTGATCAGGCAACCTACAGAATGGGAGAAAATTTTTGCAATCTACTCATCTGACAAAGGGCTAATATCCAGAATCTATACTTAACCCAAACAAATTTACAAGAAAAAAACAAACAACCCCATCAATGAGTGGGCAAAGGATATGAACAGACATTTCTCAAAAGAAGACATTTATGCAGCCAACAGACACATGAAAAAATGCTCATCATCACTGGCCATCAGAGAAATGCAAATCAAAACCGCAATGAGAAACCATCTTACACCAGTTAGAATGGTGATCATTAAAAAGTCAGGAAACAACTGGTGCTGGAGTGGATGTGAAGAAATAGGAACACTTTTACACTGTTGGTGGGACTGTAAACTAGTTCAACCATTGTGGAAGACAGTGTGGCTATTCCTCAGGGATCTAGAACTAGAAATACCATTTGACCCAACAATCCCATTACTGGGTATATACCCAAAGGATTATTAATCATGCTGCTATAAAGACACAGGCACACATATGTTTACTGTGGCACTATTCACAATAGCAAAGACTTGGAACCAACCCAAATGTCCAACAATGACAGACTGGATTAAGAAAATGTGGCATATATAAACCATGGAATGCTATGCAGCCATAAAAAATGATGAGTTCATGTCCTTTGTAGGGACATGGATGAAGCTGGAAACCATCATTCTGAGCAAACTATCGAAAGGACAAAAAACCAAACACCTCATGTTCTCACTCATAGGTGGGAATTGAATAATGAGAACACATGGACACAGGAAGGGGAACATCACACATCGGGGCCTGTTGTGGGGTGAGGGGAGGGGGGAGGGATAGCATTCAGAGACAGGAGATATACCTAATGTTAAATGACAAGTTAATGGGTGCAGCACACCAACATGGCACATGTATACATATGAAACAAACCTGCACGTTGTGCACATGTACCCTAAAACTTAAAGTATAATAAAAAAAAAAAGAAAAAAAATGGAATTTTGGCACAGAGAGTGCAAATCCTTTTTTCCAAAACATACACATATTCAGGGCCAGTTCTAGGATTTGAACCCATTCCTACCTCACCTGAGAGCTAGGGATCTTATTTGCAATAACTTTGCTTTAGTGCATTTAATGACACTTCTCTCCTATCCTTCAATTATCTGAATGCCATTTATCTGCCTTCTAAGTAAGCAATAACCATTATGGCCTGTTCTTCCTCATGAATTAAAAACTAATATGAAGAAATATACACTATTAGTGGAAACATTAGTAGCTCTTCACATTTTATTTTTAATTCATCAATAGAATAGGAAACTTATTAAATAAAAATAAGTATAGATGCATGTATTTATTCTCCATAGATTATTTCAGTCATAAGAATTATAGTTTGTTAGTTGTAATAAAAAATCAAAACCATATATTGTTTGAGAATTATCCTGATCTTTGTAGACCTTCCTGCTTCTAAGTGAGAAACAAAAATTTGAATTTCAGAAAGAGGCTCAGTGATTAAATTAAGAGTAGGGATACAAATGAAGTTTTGACTGAAGGCAGAGCTATGGAATATAGAAGTCCTAAAAAAGTGAAAATGCCTCCATACCTGTAATAATTTTCCTCATTAGCAGTTTCAGAATTTAAAGGACATGTTAGAAGATGGCCTTTGTTGGAAATAAAATTATTTTGTTTTTGGTTCCTAATATCAAATAACTCAAATATGGGTCAATTATTTTCACATACAAGAAAATTAAATTTTGTAAATTATCTGTAAGAACTCATAAGCCCAGTTACCACACATGCTATGGTTTGAATGTTCGTCCCCTCTAAAATTCGTGTTCAAATTTAATTGTCAATGTAACAGCACTTGGAAGTGGGGTATTTAAGAGGTGATTAGGCCGTGAAGGCTCTACTCTCATAACTAGTCTAAAGTCTTTACAAAAGAACTTTCAGGAGTCGGTTCCCTCTCTCCTTCTCACCTTTCACCATGTGCTGATGCAACAAGAAGGCTCTCACCAGATGCCAGCATCTTAATATTGAAATTCCTAGCCTCCAGAATGATAATCTAATATATTTCTGTTCGTTGTAAATTACCCAGTCTCAATATTCTGTTTTAGCAGCACAAAATAAACTAAAACAACCCATAGACTGGGAAAACAAAAAATGGAGGAAGGCTACACTCTGCATCTCTTTTATCTTGTCATTTTTGAGAGAGACGTATAATGGAGTATGTCTGCATTATAAGAAAAACAAACAACAGGGCAAGTATGATAACGAAATGCAACTTACTTTTAGTCTTGGTTATTAGAGCTACAATAAGGGCTGGTAGAGATTGTGGAAAATTGGGAAGTCCATGGCCTTGTGTAAATTAGGAACACACTCACCAACTCCTGTTGTTTATGCTGAGTCTAGTAGTTCCAGAGAGTCTGACATTTCAAGATAATCTGGAAAACCATATTTCATATGAATTATTCCAATTTTTAAATGTTGCTACAAAACAGTTGTATGCCAAACAATATAAATCTACATGTTAAATCTGTGCTTTAGATCACCAGCAATTTCTGAAATATTGGCTTTGGTTTCAAGCAGTCTGTCAACTGTTGTTCAGAATGGAAAAAATAATTTTGAAATGACATCAATCAAAGCCCTATTTATGATTGAGTTGTCAAAGCCAGTCATTTATTTGTTTAATCTTAGATACTGTGATATGATAGCCAAGATATCTTTATCTTCCTCCTGGATTACTGCCTCGGCTTCCCAACTGCCCTGTGACTTTGCTTTGATTTCCTTCTGCCGATTCTTCACAGAGAAGCCACAGTGATTCTGTCCAGGCATAAGGCAGGCCATGCCAATCTTCTGCCTAAAACCACTAGTGGGTTTCCATTTACATTAAAAGCCAAAACCTTATAAATTCCTAGATAACTTGAACCTATTAAATTTTTCTTTTTTATTTTTTTCCTTTCTTTTTTTTTTTTTTTTTTTTTTTGAGACAGTGTATGGCTCTGTCACCCAAGCTGGAGTTCAGTGGCATGATCTCAGCTCACTGCAACCTCTGCCCCCTGGGCTCAAGTGATCCTCCCATCTCAGCCTCCCTCCCATAGTGGGATCAGGGGCATACCACTATGCTCAGCTGATTTTTTTTGTGTTTTTGGCAGATATGGGGTTTTACCATGTTGCCCAGGCTGATCTCTAACTCCTGAGCTCAAGCGACCCACCCATCTTGGCCTCCCAAATTGATGGGATTCCAGACCTGAGCCACTGCATCTGGCCTAACTTTCTAATTATGATCATACCTCCACATATGGTTCTCACTTCCCTTTCTTCTTCACTTCTAACTCATTCACCTCAGTAAGGTTTCTTCAACACTGCCCATAGACTCTTTCTTGAGGCAGTTGTTACTTTCTCTGTTGGATTTCTCTTTTTACTTACATCTGCATGGCCAGTTCTCTCATTTCTCTCACGTGATTATTCAAAAGTCACTCTCTGAATAAGGTCTTTCCAGGCTCCCCTATCTAAAACGTTAATGGCCTATTCATGACTTCTTACAGCATTCTTGCTCAATAGATTAATGAACTCACAGATTGATTAATCATGTTTTCCCTGTAAAATCTAACATACACATACATCAGGGGCTTGTGGTGTACATCCTTACCTTTGTCTTGTTTAATATCATTGAGTCACGATTTTGCAAAGAAAACAAAAAACCCACAAGTTTTATTCAAATGAACCAGTTTTCTCTACGCTTCATTGAAGTAAGAACTGAAATTTTTATGATCTGAAATTTTTTAAAAAAATAGGGAGATGGTGTGGATCAGTTCAATGTTTTCTGATTACTTACCGTATTAAAGTAGTAGAGATTAGTGAGCCAAGCATAATTGATAATTAAAAATAAGATAGATTTTTCAAATACTTAAAGCCTCCAACAAGCCCTTCACAAATCTTGGCTATGGATAAAGATAAAAACAAGTAATTTTAAAGGGTAGCAGGTAGTGGGGGATAAAGTTAAGATGGTTAAGGGGTACAAAGATCCAGTTAGAATGAATACGATATAATACTCAGTAGCACAGTATGTTGGCTATAATTAACAATATTCTATTTTATATTTTAAAATAACTAAAAGACTGAAATTAGAATGTTCCTAACATAAATAAATGACAAATGCTTGAGGTGATCGATACCCCAATTATCCTGATTTGATTATTAACCCTGATTTGGCCATGCCTGCATCAAAACATGACATGTACCCCATAAATATATACAACTATTATATTCCCATAATAATTAAAATTTTAAAATAAAAATATATGTGGAGCAGCCAATATTATACTGATGGAACATAATCAGATTATGACATTTCTAACCTTTAAAACCCTATGATAATGTTTTATATCACTCAGAATAAAACTGTAAGTTATTACAATGGTTTTCTCAGTCACCTCTTTCAGATATCTACTCAAACATCACCTTTTGCTGTTGCATTCCTGATGATAGTAATTAAGACTGCAGTACCTCCAGTCTCCTATTTTCCTCTTCTTTGCTTGATTTTGCTAAATATTTACTTATTTGTTTATATCTTTTTTCTTTCTTTACTAGAAATGTAAACTATACAAGTGCAGGCATTTTCATCAACTGAATTTTACTAATGTATTCTGTATTTTTACTAATGTATATTCTGCATTTGTCATTTATTTATGTTAGGAGCATTCTAATTTCACTCTTTAGTTATTTTAAAATATACAATAGAATGTTGTTAATTATAGCCAACCTACTGTGCTACTGAGTATTATATTATATATATATATATATATATATATATATATATATATATATATATATAGTAAATTCGGGTATAAATGCCTATAATTTATACACACACAAAACACAAAATAAATACACACACACATAGTCATGCAAGCTAAATAATTATATGGACTAAATAGAAGTATGAAATAGACATTCAATATTCTTTCTTTCTTTTTCTTTTTTTGTTTCTTTTTTTTTTTTTTTTTCTTTGAGACAGAGTTGTTTAGCCACCCAGGCTGGAGTGCAATAGCGTGATCTCAGCTCACTGCAACCTCCGCCTCCTGGGTTCAAGTGATTCTCCCGCCTCATCCTCCTGAGTAGCTGGGATTACAGGCATGTGCTACCATGTCCAGCTAATTTTTGTATTTTTAGTAGAGACAGGGTTTCACCATGTTGGCCAGGCTGGTCTCAAACTCCTGACCTTAAGTGATCTGTCCACCTTGGCCTCCCAAAGTGCTGGAATCACAAGCATGAGCTGCTGCACTCAGCCCATTATTTCTTAATTATAATTCTTTTCTAATTAACAACTATATATTTTTTTGAAATTCAACAGATCCTTAGAAAATATGACTCTGAAATAGTTGTAGAAGTATTTGAACAAAATACATTTGAAAACAGTTAAAGGAAGTGTGGCAAGAGAGTGATCACCCCCACCTCCACACACAGGAACACAAAATTAAATAACTATTCAAAAGAAAGCTTTCATAAAAATTCAGGTAAGTGACCACAGTACCTGCTTTTAACATCATATCAAGAAAAAACACATAGAAGAGGGTATGAAAGACAGTCTTGAATTGCCAACACCACCGCTTCCCCATCCCCTGGCTGCAGCCAGTTGGCACAGACAGAATCTGTGTGCTTGGGGAAGGATAGTGCAGGGACTGTGGGGCTTTACATTGGAGCTCAGTGTTGTTTGTAACAAAAGAAAGTGACAAAGGGCAGCATTCAGCTGGCGTTCATAGAGGAAGCATTTAGATTAGCCCTAGCCAGAGGGGAATTGCCCATTCCAGTGGTCAGATCATGAGCTCTGGCTAGCCCCAACATCATGGGCTAAAGTGCTCTTTAGTCCTAAAAAACCTGAAAGACAGTCAAAGCAACAAAGATTGCAATTTTTTGGAAAGTCCTGGTGCTATGCTAGACTTGGATCTGGTGGACTTAGGGTGCATGTGACCTAGTGAGGCACTAGTTGGGGCAGCCAAGAGAGTTCTTGCATCACCTTTTCCCTAACCCCAGGCAGCTCAACTCGCAGCTCTGGGAGAGACCACTTCCTTCTGCTTGAGGAGAGGAGATGAGAGCATAAAGAGGACTTTGTCTTACAACTTGGATACCAGCTAAGCTGTATTAGATTAGGGCATCAGACAGAGTCCTGAGGCCCCCATTTGAGGCCTTAGATCCCAGATAACATCATAGACACACCCTGAGCTATAAGGAAACTTGCTGCCTTGAAGGAAAAAACCTTGCTCTGTAAGGATTCATCATCTGCTAACTAAAGAGCCCTTGAGCCTTGGAAAAATGTCAGCAGTAGCCAGGCAGTACTTGTTATGAGTCTTGAGTGAGAACCAGTGATGTGCTAGCTTCTGGTGTGACCCAGCACATTCTCAGCTGTGGAGGCCAAAGGGACAGACTCCCTCTGCTTGAGGAAAGGAACGGGAAGAGTGAAGGGGATATGGACTTGCATCTTGTGTAGCAGCTTGGCCACAGTATGGTAGAGTACCAGGTAGGCTCCTGGGCTCCCTGATTCAAGAAAATGACTCCTGAGCAGCATTTCTGGACCTTCACAGGGATTGAGTGGAGCTCACCACCTTGAAGGGAAGGACAAAAACCTGGCTGGATTTGCCACCTGCTGAGTGAAGAGCCTTTGGGCCTCAAGTGAAAATTGATGGTAGTCGGGTAGTGGTTGCTGCAAAGCCCAGTACTGTGCTAAATTTGGTTCTGACCCAACACGGTCCCAGTGGTGGTGGCTCCAGGGGTACTTATGTCACCCCTCCCCAGCTCCAGGCAGCACAGCAAGGAGAGAGAAACTCTGTTTGGGAGAAAGTAAGGGAAGAGAAAAGTCTCTGCATGTTAATCTAGATAATTCTCTCAGATCTTACCCAAGGAAACTAAGGCAGTACCTTTTCTAGTCTGCAAGAGTCACAATATCACATGGCTTGGGACGCCTCCTAATGCAGATATGGCTGCATGACCAAAGACTTAAATTATAACACTCAATTCCATTTGAATACTTGAAGGAAGGACAGATACAAAAAACAAACAAACAAACTGAGAAGACTGTAATAAATACCTAACTCTTCAATGCCCAGAAATCAATGAACATCCACAAGCATCACCACCATCGAGGAAAACATGACATCACCAAAAACCAGACATGAAGAAGGAATAAACACCTTTCCCAGGCCAACAAAAGCTGAGAAGATTCATCAATACCAGCCAGACTCTACAAGAAATGCTAAAGACAGTTTTCAATCTGAAAGAAAAGGAAGCTAATCAGCAATGAGGAAAC
Source organism: Homo sapiens (assembly GCF_000001405.40). Taxonomy (NCBI): domain Eukaryota; kingdom Metazoa; phylum Chordata; class Mammalia; order Primates; family Hominidae; genus Homo; species Homo sapiens. The sequence goes on from NC_000004.12 coordinate 59,599,342, forward strand.
ATCTGAAGGTGCAAAACTCACCGGTAATAGTAAGTATACAGACAAACAGAATATTATAGCACTGTAATTGTGGTGTATAAACTACTCAGATCTTGAGTAGAAAAACTAAAAGATAAAGCTATGAAGAATGAAAACTACAACAATTTTTTCATGATACAGGCAATACAATACGATATAAACAGAAACAACATAAAGTTCAAAAAGCAAGGGGATACAGGTAAAGTGTAGAGTTTTTATTAATTTTCTCTTTGCTTGTCTATTGGTTTGTGCAGTCAGGGTTAAGCTGTCACCAGCTTAACATAATGTTTTGTTATTTTGCCAGCCTCATGGTAACCTCAAATCAAAAAACCTACAACAGATACATAAAATATAAAAAGCAAGAAATTAAAATATACCACCAGAGAAAATCATCTTCACAAAACGTAAGACAGGAAGGAAGGAAGAAAGAACATACAACAAAACAATTAGAACACAAATAACAAAATGGTGGTAGTAAGTCATTACTTATCAATAATAACATACGATGTAAATGGACTAAACTCTTCACTCAAAAGACAGAGTAGCTGAATGAGTAAAAACAAACAAAAGACCTAACACTCTGTTGCCTACAAGAAGCACACTTCATTACAAAGACACACATATACTGAAAATAAAGAGATAAATAAAAGATATTCCATGCAAATAGAAACCAATAAAAGGCTGGGCATGGTGGCTTACGCCTGTGATCCTGGCACTTTGGGAGGACAAGGCAGACAGATCACCTGAGGTCAGGAGTTTGAGACCAGCCTGGACAACATGACAAAACTCTGTCTCTACTAAACATTTAAATAAATAAATAAATAGCTGGGTGTGGTGGCATGTGCCTCTAATTCCAGCTACTCACCAGGCTGAGGCAGGAGAAACACTTGAACCTGGGAGGTGGAGGCTGCAGTGGGCCAAAATTGTGCTACTGCTCTCTAGCCTGGGTGACAGAGCGGGACTCTGTCTCAAAAAGGAAATAAATAAATAAATAAAACCAAAAAAGAGCAAGAGTAGTTATACTTACCTCAGACAAATAAGATTTTAAAACAAAAACTATAAAAAGAGACAAAGGAGGTTATTATATGATGATAAAGGGGTCTATTCAACAGGAGGATACAGCAATTATAAATTCGGATGCACCCAATACTGGAGCACACAGATATATAAAGTAAATACTATTAAAGAGAGACACAGACCTCAATATTATAATACCTGGAGACTTCAGTACCCTACTTTCAGCATGAGACAGGTCATCCATACAGAAAATCAACAAAGAAACGTCAGATTTAATTTGCGCCTATAGACAAAATGGATCTAATAGATATTGACAGAACATTTTATCAAATTGCTGCAAAATACACATTCTTCTCCTTAGCACACGGATCATTCTCAAAGATAGGCCATGTTAGGCCACACAAACTTAAGAAATCCAAAAAACTTGAAATTATATCAAGTATCTTCTCTGACCACAGTGGAATCAAACTAGAAGTCAATAACAAAAGGAATTACGGAAACAATTGAAACACATAGAAATTAAACATGTTTCTGAATGAGCAATGGGTCACTGAAGAAATTAAGAAGTAAATTTTAAAATTTCTTGAAGCAAATGAAAATGGAAGCACAACATATCAAAATCTATGGGCTGCCGTGAAAGCAGTGCTAAGAGAAAAGTTTATAGCAATAATCCCCCACATCAGAAAAGTAGAAAAACTTTGGCCAACCACCATGGCTCCACCTGTAAATCCCAGCACTTTGGGAGGCTGAAGTGGGCGAATCACTTGAGATCAGGAGTTTGAGAAAAGTAGAAAAATTTCAAATAAACAACTTAATGATGCATCTTAATGATACAGAATATCAAGAGCAAACCAAATCAAAAATTGGTAGAAAAAAGAAATAAATACCAGAACACAAATAAATAAAATTAAAATGACAAAAACAATACAGATGATTAACAAAATGAAAAGTTGAATTTTTTAAAAGATAAACAAAATTATCAAACCTTCATTCAGACAAAGAAAAAAAAGGGAGAAGACCCAAATAAATAAAATCACATATTAAAAAGAGGATATTACAACTGATAACACAAAGATCAAAGAATCATTAGAGACTACTATGAACAACTTTATTCCAATACATTAGAAAACCTAAAAGAAGTGGATAAACCCCTAGATACATAAAACCTACCAACATTGAATCATAAAGAAATCTAAAACTTGAATAGACCAATGACAAGTAATGAGATGGAAGCCTTAATAAAAAGTCTTCCAGCAAAGAAAAGCATGACACTTGATGGCTTCACTGCTGAATTATACCAAACATGTAATGAAGAACTAATACCAATCCTTCTCTATCTACTCCAAAATACAGAAAAGAAGGGAATATTTCCAAACTCATTCTATGAGACCAGTATAACCCTGATACCAAAATTAGACAGACAATTAAAAAAAATAAAACTATAGGCCAATATCCCTGATAAACATTGTTGCAAAAAACCTCAACAAAACACTAGCAAAACCAAATTCAACAGCACATTAAAGAGCTTATTCATGACGACCATGAGGGTTTTAACCCAGAGATGCAAGGATGGCTTAACATGTGCAAATCAATCATTGTGATATATTATATCAACAGAATGAGGAACCAAATCCATATGATCATTTCAATTGATGCTGAAAAAGCATTTGATAAAATTCAACATTCCTTCATGATAAAAACCCTCCAAAAACTGGGTATAGAAGTTATATGGTTTGGCTCTGTGTCCCAACCCAAATCTCATCTCATATTGTAATCCCCACGTGTCAAAGGAGGGACCTGGTGGGAGGTGATTGGATCATGGGGGTGACTCCCCCATGCTGTTCTCATAACAGTGAGTGAGTTATCATGAAAGCTGATGGTTTTAAAGTATGGCAGTTCCTCTCTCTCTCACTCTCTCTCTCTCTCTCCTCCTGCCAAGTGAAGAAGGTCCCTGCTTCCTCTTTGACTTCCACCATGATTATAAGTTTCCTGAGCCCTCCATATCCATGAAGAACTGTGAGTCAATTAAACATCTTTTCTTTATAAATTACCCAGTCTCAGCTAGTTCTTTATAGCATTATGAAAATGGACTAATTCAGAAAATTGGTACCAAGAGTTTGGGGCACTGCTATAATATGCCTCAAAATATGGAAACAACTTTGGAACTAGGTAACAGCCAGAGGTTGGAACAGTATGGAAGGCTAAGAAGAAGACATAAAGATAAAGGAAAGTTTGGAACTTCCTAGAGACTTCTTGAATTGTTTTGACCAAATTGCTAGTAGTAATTTGGACAATGAAGTCCAGACTGAAGGGGTCTCAGATGAAGATGAGCAACTTATTGGGAACTAGAATAAAAATGACTCTTCCCATGCTTTAGTAAAGAGACTGGTGGCATTTTGCTCCTGCCCTAGAGATATGTGAACATGAGAGATAACTTTAAACATGAAAGAAATGATTTAGGGTATCTGGCAGAAGGAATTTCTAAGCAGCAAAGCATGTAAGATGTGACCTGACTTTTATAGTCATATTTACTCACAAAGAGATGATATGAAATTGGAACTTATGTTTAAAAGGGAAGCAGAGTAGGCCAGTTCTGGTGGCTCACACCTGTAATCTCAGCACTTTGGGAGGCCAAGACGGGCAGATCACCTGAGGTAAGGAGTTCAAGACCAGCCTGGTCAACATGGAGAAACCCCATCTCTACTTAAAAATACAAAAATTAGTCAGGTGAGATGGCAGGAGCCTGTAATCCCAGCTACTTAGGAGGCTGAGGCAGAAGAATCCCTTGAACCTGGGAGGTGGAGGTGTGGAGGTTGCAGTAAGCTGAGATCGCACCAGTGCATTCCAGCCTGGCTGACAGAGCAAAACTCAGATTCCAAAAAAAAAGGAAGCAGTGTATAAAAGTTTGAAAAAATTTCTAAGAAAAACCCACTTTCTGGGGAGAAATTTAAGCCAGCTGCAGAAATGTGCATAAGTAAAAAGAAGCTGAATGTTAATAGATAAGACAATGAGGAAAATGTCTCCAGGGCATTTCAGAGATCTTCACAGTAGCCCCTCCCATCACAGGCCCAGAAGCCTAGGAGGGAAAAAATGGGTTTATGGGCCAGACCCGCTGCTCTGTGCAGACTTGAGACATGGTGCCCTGCATTCCAGCCACTCCAGCTTCAGCCATGAAGGGGCCAACGTGCAACTCAGGCCTCATGCCTGACAACTTTCATGTGGTGTTGGACCTGCAGGTACACAGAAGACAAGAGTTGAGATTTGGAAGCCTCCATCTAGATTTCAGAGGGTGTATGGAAACACCTGGATGCCCAGGTAGAAGTCTGCTACAGGGGCAGAGCTCTCATGGATAATCTCTACTAGGGAAATCCTGAGGGGAAATGTGGAGTTGAAGCCCTCACACATAGTCCTCACTGGGGCACTACCTAGAGCTATGAGAAGGGAGCCACTGTTCTTCGGATCCCAGAATGGTAGATCGACCAACAGCTTGAACTGTGCACTTGGAAAAGTCAAAGCCACTCAATGCCAGCCTGGGAAAGTGGCTATGGGAGCTGTACCCTGCAGAGTCACAGAGGTGGAGCTTCCCAAGGCCTTGGGAGCTCACCCATTGCATCAGCGTGCCCTGGATGTGAGACATGGAGTCAAAGGAGATCATTTTGGAGCTTTAAGAATTAATGAGCTCCCTGCTGGGTTTTGGACTTGGATGGGGCCTGCAGCCCTTTGTTTTGGTCAATTTCTCCCATTTGGAATGGAAACATTTAACCAATGCCTGTATCCCCATTGTATCTTGGAAGTAACTAACTTGTTTTGTTTATTTTACTGGCTCATAGGCAAAAGGGACTTGCTTTGTCTCAGATGAGACCTTGGACTTGGACTTTTGAATCAATGCAGGAATGAGTTAAGACTATGGGGGGCTGTTGGGAGGGCATGATTGGTTTTGATATGTGAAAAGGACATGAGATTTGGGAGGGACCAAGGCAGAATGAAATAGTTGAGCACTGTGTTTCCACCAAAATCTCATCTTGAATTGTAATCCCCACAAGATAAGTGAGGGACCTGGTGCAGAGTGATTGGATCATGAAGACAGTTTCCCTCATGCTGTTCTCATGACATTGAGTGAGGTCTCATGAAAACTGATGGTTTTAAACTGTGGCATTTCCTCACTTCCTCTCTCTCTCTCTCTCTCTCTCTCTCTCTCTCTCTGTCTCTTTCTCTCCTTCCCTCCTGCTGTAATATGAAGAAGGTTCTTCCTCTTCAGCTTCCAACATGATTGTAATTTTCCTGAGGCTTCCCCAGCCATGCAGAACTTTGAGTCGATTAATCCTTTCTTTATAAATTACCCAGTCTCAGGTAGTTCTCTATAGCAGTGTGAAAACACACTAATACAAGAAGAAATATATCTCAACACAAGTAAAGTCATACAGGATAGACCCACAGCTAGTAAAATACTGAATGGGGAAAAAACTGAAAGCCTTTCCTTTAAGATCTGGAACATGACAAGAATGTCTAGTTTCACACCATTATTCAATGTAGTACTGAAAGTTCTAACTAGAGCAATCAGACTAGAGAAAGAAAGAAAGGACATTCAAATTGGAAAGGAAGAAATCAAATTATCTTTGATTTCAGATGATATGATCTCATATTTGGAAAAAACTAAAGACTCCATCAGAAACTATTAGAAATGATAAATAAATTTAGTAAATTTGCAAAATATAAAATCTACACAGAAAAATGAGTAGCATTTCTATATGCCAACAGGAAAAAATTTGAAGAAGTAATCAAGAAATGAATCTCATTTACCATAGCTACAAAAAATATAAAATACCTAGGAACAAACTTAACCAAAGAAATGAAAAATCTCTACAATGAAAACTATAAAACACTGATGAAAGTAATTGAAGAGGATACCAAGAAATGGAAATGTATTCCAAGTTCATGAACTGGAAGAATCAATGTTGTTAAAATGTCCATACTATCCAAATCAAACTATAGATTTAATGCAATCCTTATCAAACTACCCATGACATTCTTCATAGAAATAGAAAAAAAAAAATCCTAAAATTTATATGGAACCACAAAAGGCCTAGAATAGCCAAGGCCATGCTGAGGAAAATAAAAATAAGAAAAAACTTGAGGATCACATTACTTGGCTTCAAATTATGCTACAGAGCTATAATATAACAAAAATAGGATGATATTAACATAAAAATAGATACATAGAGCAATGAAACACAATAGAGATCTCGCAGTAAATTCGTAAATATACTATGAACTCATTGTCATCAGAGGTGCCAAGAATATGCGTTGGGTAACGAACAACCTCTTCAATAATTGGTGCTGGGAAACTTGATATCCATATGCAGAAGAATGAAATTAGACTTCTATCTCTTGCCATCAAAATGGTTTAAAAACTTAAATCTAGGAACTGAGACAATGAAGCAACTAAAAGAAAACATTGGGGAAAATTTCCAGACATTGAACTGGGCTAAGATTTATTGAGTAATACCCGACAAGCACAGGCATCCGAAGCAAAAAATGAAAAAATCAGATCATATTAAGTTAAAAGGCTTCTGCACAGCAAAGGAAATAATCAACAAAGTGAAAGACAACCCACAGAAGAGGAGACAATATTTGCAAACTACTCATCTCACAAGGGATTAAAAACAGAATATATAAGGAGCTCAAACAACTCTATAGGAAAAAAAACTAATAATTCAATAAAAATGGGCAAAAGATCTAAATAGACATTTTTCAAGAGAAGACATACAAATGAGAAACAGTTATATGAGAAGGTGCTCAACATCAGTGATTATCAGAGAAATGCAAATCAAAACTACAATGACAAATCATCTCACCCAAGTTAAAATGGCTTTTACCCAAAGGACAGGCAATAAAAAATGCTGGCAAGGATGTGGAGAAACGGGAACCCTCATAGACTGTTGTAAGAATCTAAATTAGTACAAGAAATATGGAGCATTCCAGTGCTCAGCATATACTCGAAAGAAAGAAAATCATTATATCAAAGAGATATCTCCATCCCTATGCAGATATCTATTGCAGCACTATTCACAATAGCCAATGTTTGGAAGCAACCTATGTCTCCATCAACAGACAAATGGAAAGAAAGTGTGTTACATATACATGATGTAGTACTACTCAGCCATAGAAATGAATGAGATACTTTCATTTTCAACAACATGAATGGAACTGAAGGACATTATGTAAAGTGAAATAAGTCAAACACAGAAAGACAAAATTATCCTGTTCTCACTTACTTGTGGGAGCTAAAAATTGAAACAATTGAACTCATGGATATAGAGAGAATAAGGATGGTTACCAGCAGCTGGGAAGGGTATTGAGGAAAAGAAAGTGTAAATAGCTAATGGGAATAAAAATACAGTCAGATAGAATAAATAAGAACTTGTATCTGATAGCACAACGGGGTGAATACAGTCAACCATAATTTATTGCACATTTTAAAATAACTAAAAGAGTATAATTGAAATGTTTCTAACACAAAGAAATGATAAACATTTGAGATGATGGATATTTTGTTCACCCAGATATGATTTTTCTGCATTGCATGTCTGTTTCAAATTATCAGGTCCCCAACAAACTTATAGAACTACCATGCACTCATTTAAATTTTAAAAATACAGTTAATAATATATGAGTTCCTGAATCCTTTTGAAGAAGTCTCAACATAAATAGGGGTACTGGTCTCTGACACAAAAATGAAATTTCATTATCAACTATAAATTCTGAATTGTCTAGAAATATTATGTTGTAACATTGCAACAAAAATCATTCACAACATAGGTTGTGTTTCATATCAGTCAGGACAAGCTAGGTAAGGCTGTGGTATCAATCAAATAAAATTTTCAGCAGCTAAACACATTAACACCTTATTTTTATTTATGCTACATATCTAATGTGAGTCTGGAGGGGAAAAGTACTAATTCTCATAGTTTATCAGGATTATGACGTAAGAAAGGGTCCATTTCAATATATGCGTTCACCATCAGCTATACGGGGCAGAAAGAAGGTGGCAAAGTAAAATTAATTTTGAAATTTCTGGGCAGAATTGACACTCACATTTCTCACCATGAAAAATGATAGAGACATGCCTAACTTCAAAGGAGGTGTAGAAATGTAATAGTATCCTGTGGATGGACAGAAGAGAAGAAAATGCCAGAGGACTGACATATGAGAATATATATGTGAACCCGGGAGGCAGAGCTTGCAGTAAGCCGAGATCGCGCCACTGCACTCCAGCCTGGGCGACAGAGTGAGACTCTGTCTCAAAAAAAAAAAAAAAAAAAGAAACAAAACAAAACAAAAAAGAGTGTATATGAGTAGTACCAATGTGAAAAGTTTTGCTGTTGATAACTCTAATAAAAATAGTTATGAACAATATTTTAAGAAAACAATTATTCCATTTTGACAGATCATTTTAAAATCTCACTGATGAAATACCAGAAGAAACACATCGATAAGCAATAATAATGTCAGTAATGATAAAGTATATTGAGCTTGCCACAGCAAGGAAGAGTGCACCTCAGAGCAAGTATGGGGCATCACATAGGACAGAATTGGTGGTTTGAAGGAGCTCTGGGCTTCTAACAGGATTTGCCCTTGTGCTGGACGTTTTCAGAAGGTTCAGGCAGTGAGGGCTACTTGCTGGTTGCACTCTGTCAAGTGGGAGGAATTCTCTGATCCAGTGCTTTGACAATTGCGATGTGGGCAGACTGGGGACAGCCTAGAACTGTCATTGCCTGAGGAGCAGCTGTCATCTCTGTTGGCAGTGAGACTGTGCAATGGCCTTGCTTGTACCCCTGGTTCAGTCCAGCTCACAGAACTGTCTTGCTGAAGCACTTATATTTTATAAGCATTATTGATATGTAGTTAAAAATATTATGTCCTGGCTGCCAGCAGAGCCATTTCTGCTTTTCACAAAATTTAATAGCTTGGAATTTATTATTTTAAATAAAATTCAGTTGTCATTACGGCCAAAAAGATTAAGTTTAAGTTTATTTTACCAGGATGCTTATAGGTAGCACTGTGCAGTTGCAGTGTTAGGGTCAGTGCCTTCACTCTGTCTTCAGTTCATTGCCTAAGCTGGTGATAACTGATGAAAAGAAAATATAGATTTATATTGGAAAAGTGAAGATGGTAAAAATGCACTGACCTAAGAACGGAAGACAGTTTTGGACTTGATATGAAGGAATTATGTAATCCTAGCAAGTACATTAACTCTCTCTGCAGTTCTCCACTGCAGTCTTAACATTAGTGATTAATTTGATGATACATAGTTAGAATTCCATGACTATTACAGGTTTTCAAAGCACAGAAAGTACAAGGTTTCTCTAAGTGCTAGTTATTATTGTTCTTTCATGTCTGCTTTAAAGATTTATTCAAGCAACTTGCTGATATTTAAACTAAAAAGTTAGAATTTTTGAATATTGTATATTGAATAATTTCAGGTGACTCATCTAAAATAATATCAGCAACAAACCCTCCATGTCAGAAGTGTATCCTTTTGTGAAAACAATGTATAGCATTTCATTTTTGAATTCTCACTAGGTGCAAGCTACATTTCTTTTATTTGTAAACCCAGCAGAGTAGCTTAAAAGTAATCACACACACACACACACACACACACACACACACACACACACACCCCTTCCCAGATATACAAACACAAAGTGTCTTATTGGGAAAGGTCAAAGTTATTTACCCAGAAAATTAATATAATAAAAGTAATAAATATTTAAGAATGAAATGTTTAAAAAGATGGCATGACTAAGTATGGAAATTATTAATCATATATAGCATGCAGTATTTCCATATAAAATACAAGAGGAGATGTGCTTGCATTTTTATCAAAAAAAAGTACTTTAACTGAAACTCTTTTTAAGGTTATTTTAAGTTAAAAAGTACATTCATAAATAACAACCTGAAAAGGTTGGGGTGGTTTGGATGTGAGAAGAGTATTTATAAGGAAAGATTTAAGATGGGCTGCTACAGTTTCTTTCCCTTCAATGACTAGAAAGCCAAAGGACAGCAAGGTAAAAGACACCAACATTTGATAGAAAACAAAGACACTGAGAGAATAAATTTAAGAAGGAATAATTTTAACTGACAGTAGACAAGGGATGCAACAAGAGTGTGGTAAATTGATAAATGCTTCCCTCTCCCCAGAATATCAGATCCTAGTCCCTGGAATGTATAAATGTTACCATATAAGTATAAAAGTTTTTGCAGTTATAATTAAGGATCTGGATATTGGGAGATCATCCTGGATCATAAGGGTGGGCCCCAAACAGGATTGCATGTGTCCTTATTAGAGGGAGTGAGAGAATTTTCACACAAATACACACTCACCCATACAGAAGAAGTGATGTGAAAATGGAGTAGGGAAGGATTCCAAGATACTGGCCTTGAAGTGTGGAGTGATGTCGTCACAAGACCAGGAGTACCTGCAATTGCTAGAAGAGGTAAAGAGTGGATTCTCCCCTCGAGCCTCCAGAGGACACTCTGCTGACACCTTGCTAATAACTCAGTGGTACTGATATCAGACTTCTGGCTTCCAGAGCTGTGAAATAATAAATTTCTTTTTTTTTTTTCAGCCCCAGTTTGTGTTAATTTAGACATCATATGCAAAATAGATTTTTAACATTGCATAGACTCTCTGATTATTCAAATAACTTATAAAAATAATTAGAAGTCTGCTATTCTATTTTGACCTTACCATTTCAGATACAAGCTCAGAGCCTCATAGTAGCACTGCCAAAGGAAGCAAAGATAAGCCAGTGTGAAGCCTTTACAGGCACGAGGTTTGTGACAGGCAGTTTATTTTCCGTAAACTGGTAATAAGTTAATTATATTATTTCTGAAAAAAAATTATAAAAAGTCCCATCAACTAATTGTTTCTATTTTGAGAAAATAGTTTTTTTTCCAAAAGGAATTACTCTGAGTGACAGCTGTCTTCATAGCTATTAAAAACCTTTTCAACTTCTGGAACGTAGGCAGCATAATTATAATACTCCGTCCTTGAAAACAATATAATTTGCCAAAAAAGGTTAAAAAAATCTGTATCTATGCTAAAGTACTAGGAAGTGGTCACAGCCTCATGCCAAACACGTAGAACAATACCTGCCAGATTCATTAGTGTCCAATCTCACTTAAGAGAGGATGCTTGACAGCTGAGTTGACAAAGCTACCATTTAATGATTTGGGCAGCTAGAAAGAGAGGTAGGTTTGAAGCATAATTTAAAAAATCTATTTTTATGGCAAATTCATAATGATAATTAGGCCACAAACTTAACATGTAAGAGGGCAACTGAATACACAATTGAGCAATTCAGTAAAAATATAATTTTAGGACACATGAGTATATGTTTCTGATTTCATGTAGGACTAGGAAGAGACTATCTATAGAGACCTGAAGGGGGGCGGGTGAGAGGACTATGCATTAGAGCCACATTTCATATGAGAATTGGCTTTGATAGAATTAACCTCATTCAAAAAAAAAAAAAAGGAAAAGGAACAAGGAAAGAGACACATGCAAATAAAATATAGTAAAAAGAAAGAAAATATAGATGTCATGAAAAAATAAATAAATGAAGAAACAAATTAGTACAGATTAACATCCATACTCTAAGTTACAACAAACAGAAACTCTATAAAGCTAAGACAGAAGACAGTGTGATGAAAATTGAGACAGGCATACTAAGGGAATAAATTGAGGAAAAACACAACTGGATATCATGAAGTGGAAACGAAGCAGAAAAGCATGAATCAATAGTGTAGAAAGTCAAATCCCTCGCATGGAGGACAAGTTGAAAGAAATCATCCATACTGGGAAAGAAAAGAGTAAAGGAAGCCAGCAAGCTCACACAAAGAACATAATAACTGAAGAGAACAGACAAAAAAATGATATCAAATAGTGATCCTCTAATCTACCCCAAAAGAACACCAAAGGAAACAAAACAAAAAATATTCAAATTTAATAATGGAATACAATTTTAATTAAAAGAAAACACAAACTTTTAATAAAACATTTGCCTGTACTTCAGGCAAAATTAAAGACATTTGGTGATGGTAATTAGTATTATTGATCCCAATTCTCCATTTCTCCTTGTGTTCACAGCCTTTGTTCATGTAATTTTGTAGTTTTCCCACTGGAAGTGGAATTTACTTCCCTCCCTTCTGATGATGGGCCTAACTGTGTACTTGTTTTAACCATTAATAGGTATGAGGAAAAGGCAGCAGTGTGTAATCACTAAGTCCAAGCCTTAAGAGGCATCCATATTCCATTTTGCTTTTCTTAAGCTTCTTCCATCCCTATGAGATTTTCAGTGCACTAGAATCCATGCCTCTCATTTACATCTAATACCTGGTTTATTCAATGGTTCAGATAGCATAATAAACATGTGGGGCAGATGTGGACCCAAACTGCAGCTTGAAATATTGTCCAGCTAAGCCCAGCCTTTTCAACCAGACCCCTGATTAACCTACCAGCACATGATCACAAATCAATAACCACTTTAAATCAATGAGTTTCTAGGTGAACTCTTACGTGGCACTTTTGTGGCAATAGTTAACAGAGGAATTCACCAAGCAGAAAATATTTTATTGGTTATTTAAATTCAAGCTTAAAGAAATAAGCTACTTTGGAAAAAAATGCATGGAAGTACATTCACAAAGTATATGAAAAGAAATCAATAAATATTTGTTGGATTATGAGTAAATCCAGAGGGAAGACATTTACTTTTAAAGAAAGAAAAATATTAAGCAAACTGACCTCAGGCATCTCTGTAATACTGAATGACTCCAAAATCTATTTATAAGACAACAGCTAGGGAATTTTTTAAAAGCTAAAAGGGATCACTCAACCCCATTTTTCAGAACACTGCATTGGCTTATATTATACTCAGATTAAAATCCAGACTACTTCCCTTAAATGAGCTGGCCCAAAGCTGTATCTCCAATCTCTTACACAACCTTCGCCATCACTTAATTTTCTCTGCTCATACAGGCCTCCCTAGTAAAAGCCAGAATTTTTTCAGGCTCAAAGTCTTTTGCAATTGCTATTTCCTCTGCTTAGTCACTCTCCTTAGTCATTTCAGATTGCTTGTTCCCAGATGCCTGTCCTAACCACTTCTAAAAGTAGCATTCATCTCCTCCACATAGCATAGTATATATTTATTTCTGTGTTATGTATTTATTTACTTGTTTATTGCATTTGACTGCAGAGAGTTCTATCAGAGTTGCAGTTTGGGTTTCTTGTTCATTGCTGTATACCTAGCAACTGACAATATATTTGAAAGAAAATACAGCCAATAGGTAATTGATAAATATTTTTTAATACACTGATAAACAAATGCTATAAATCAGATGAACATCAAAATCATTTAAATGGGAAAAAGTCCCTAACAAAATTCTCTGTGGAGCATATAATCCTGTAAAGTCTCCAAATAAAGTCCACTTTGTAGAACAATCTATACTAGTTAAAAATAAACAGAAATAAAACTGCAAATATCTGAGTTTAACAGTATCAAAGTACTAGTGGTAGCATTGAATCTAGTTATAGACACAGAAATGTGTTAATGTAATTTTGATAATTATGGATATGATGTTATGATATAAATTGTAAAAATTCACTATCTAATATAACAGGTGTAATAATTTATTTACAAAAAGATTAACAATGTTAAGAAGAAAGGCAGGAGAAGGTATATGTAATTCATTATTATTTCTAATGAGAGTCTGTACATTTTGCTTTGTTTCTGAGGTCGATACATCAAGAAACATAGGGTGAGGATTAACATAAATAGGTAAAGCAAATTCTGCTAATAAGACAAAAAGCACTCTATAATGTTCAGATTATCAGAAGGGAACATAAGTAAAACAATGAGACAGATCATAAAGCACATGAGAGATAACAGAGGTAATTTCTAGGAAACATTAAAAAACTAAATCAAATAAGACAACAAGTGAAAACAATGTGATATGTCATATCAATATATAAATGCAATAACTTCACAATCAGGGTTATGACATTAAATTCAACTATATAGGGTTGTAAAATTAAACTGTATGTTTATAAAGAGACACACCCTGCAACATAGTAATTTAAAATGCTTGAATATAAAAGAGTGGGAAATATAGAGAGAAAAATGCAAAAAAAAAAAAAAAAGTTTCCATAACTTTAATGTCAGAAAGTAAATGAAGTTCAAAGTAAAAGAAAATCAGCAAAATATATAAACCAAAAAAATGCTAGAAATATAAGAAGAAAAGGGTAGAAAAAAATGTACTCTCCTCTGAAAGTCCAAGCAGACAGAAAAATATATAAGTTCTTAGTAGGCATATTACAATCTAAATCAAGACAGCAGCAAAGACCAATTAAGCCTCTATATACTTTAGACATATTAGAAACGGTACAGACTACATCATCAGCAATTAAACAAAAATAACAGAAAAACATGAGAAGGAACTCAGGTGCCAGACAGTAAAGCAAAACCATAAGCATGTATATTTAGAAAATAATTATAATGAGCTGAGCACATTTTCAGAAACTATAGAATATGGTGGAAGTTGTACTCAGAGGAAAATTTACAGTCTTAAACATTTTCGTTACTAAAGAAGAGATAAAATAAATTAAGCATTGAGCTCAAGAATTTTAAAAAGAGAACATGAAAATAAATAATATGAAAATAATATTAAAATGATTTAAATCGAAAAATAATGATGTCAAAATCAGGAAAAACACATTCAGTGAAATTTGACGGATGAATACAATAATTCAACAAATTTATTCCTGGTCCTATTCTAAACACTTGGATGACGTTAGTGGGCAAGTGGTTTTACATTAAAAGGAACAGATCCTCTCAATCTAATCTAAGTTGTCCCAGAGACTATGAGGTATAAGAAAAGCTTCCAACTAATTTTAGAGGTCAGTATATCCTTGAAAGCAAACCCCACACCCAAAACGAAAGAAAAGACAGAATAGAAAGAAAAGTAAAATCTTGAACATAGTTTAAAATATGCTAATTATACATTAATATTTTGACCAAATTTTATGATAAGTTCTTTTTGTTAATTACCAGGGAAGAAATACAATTATTATTTCTCTTAAAATCTAAAACAAATGTTTTATTTAAAATTTGAAATAAATTTTCCTTGCCCATTTTACCCTTTTCACTACAAATTCCAAAAACCAAACATTTAGCTGGGCACGGTGGCGTGTAATTATGCTCTTTCCTTAGCTGCAACATGTGCTGCTTTGTTCGTTAACTGGCAGAGCTCCTTCAGAGTCTCCGAAATTGTACCAGTTCAACATTAAGTCTGTAATGTGCCTAATTAAGTTTTTAGCTTAACAAATTAAACTATATAACATAATTAATTTTTTGAAATGTGTACAATCATGTAACTCTCCTAATATCATGATATATAACATTTCCATCAATCTAAAAAGGTCTGTACCCTGATGTCATTGTTACATATTGTATGCCTGTATCAAAATATCTCATACTCCCCATAAAATATATATCTACTATGTACTCATTAAAATTGAAAGTTGAAAATTGAAAAAAAAGCTCCCTTGTAGCATTTTTTTGAGTCAACTTTGAACCCTGGTAAACCACTGAGGGGCCTGCTATTACTATAGTTTACACTAGGATCTAAAATGAGTAAAATGCTTCTTCCCTTTTTAAGATGCATTCATGTTTGTTCCCTGTCTTCAGCAGTACACAGCATACATCAAATATCCACCAACTGGTCAATGGAAAGCAAATTATCATCCATTTATACAATAGACTTATTTATGTTTTAAGAAGACAAAAATACAAAGAAGCAAGATCATCAGAGCACTAGCCTCACAACCAAATCAAATTTGTGAAACAAATCCATTCTGATCCTCATACCTGTTGTCCCAGGACTCAATACTGAGTATTCCTAAAGTCCAAGACATAGTTTTTTTGGTGTTTGAGGCAAGGACTGTGCAGAGAAGCATTTCTTTGTTTTTAGCCAAAAACCAGGAATACCAGTAGTCTGGAATACCAGGTAGTTTGTGCCAGTTGTCTAGAATCCATGATGAATTCATTAACATTCAATTAGGAAAAGGTCCAACAAGAACTTAATTTTGTCAGAACATATTTACCACATTTAGAAGCCAACCAGTCTATGGAAACTGCCTCCTAAGTGAATTCCCCACATTTGTTTCAGCTGGAGCAGATTTCTGAAATCAAGTAGATTTCTCAAATGAAGCTACTATAAATGTTTCTGAAGCCTGTTCCACTAAGAGTAAAAACTGGGCATGGGGTAGACTGGTATGAACAAAACTTTGGTTTTTATGCACCTCAAAATACTTTTTTCTTCTATTTTCAATTCTATAAATTTTTCAGTAATGTTCCCTCTGGACCCAGGCAGTATCTGCATACCCACTTATCATGTTTCTCTCACCTTGAAATACACTCGGTAATGTTTTCTTGGAGTCCTTTTTATTCCTGAGCTTGTGGACAAGTCTGTATGTACGTCCACAGAATCCTCTATGGCCTTGAATGCAGAATGAAATTTGATTTAGTGTCTTTAGTCATGTCTACATAAGCCTAGCTTTAAAGGTTTAAAGCAAGAAATTCTCCTGTGTTCTACAACACAAGCAAACACAAATGCCTTGGATTTCAGCTGCATTAGAAATTGTTCAGCCCAGAAATGCTTAAGACAACAAATATCTGTTTCCTTAGGATCAAAACTTTGTTTCAGCCAAACATTCCTAGGAAATCCTGAAATTGCATTGCAAGGCAACGATGGCCTGCAAACGAATGTTGCCTGAGCCTGCATAAGTGGTCTTGAGATTGTGACTGCCATGTTGGCCACCTGTAGGGCAGTATTGGAGAGGCCACTCCTGACCTCTGCTGTTTTTATAATTTATTCCTCCCTTTCTTTTGTGTTCACTTGCTAAGGCTCCAGCAACACTATGATATATTCCAGAGGCTCTTTTAGCCTCCACAGAAGTCACTCAGATATCTTTCATTTGTGTTTGTTTGTGTTCTTATAGTACTATTCACTTTTGTGCATTTGTCTTTGACATTTCTGAGGAAACCGTCACCTTCCTCAAGGTTCAAGTATTTTTGCCTGTATTCCTGATTTTATAAACATGGGCAATCTACTATGGGAAAGCTCTCCATAGAAAAGTCATCATGAAATTCAAAATGTTACATAGCCCAAGGCTTAGAGCCTGTTGTCTATTTGCCTCTAGAAACCATTAAGATTTCAAATCTAGTAAAATCCTAAATTGTAAAGTCAAAAGTCACATGCTAGACTCTACCAAAAAGACTCTCCTCTTGTATTTCTGTGTCCTCCTAATTCACAATGCCTTCAGTCATGCAGAAGATATTGGTATCTCCAATAGAACACTTCATAAATAGTTGTACCTTCCCTGGTAAGGTTCTAAAAATAATTAAAAAGAGTAACTTAGGGTGTAGGATAAAATATTACTATTATTATTTACAGCAATGGACATGGAGAATGTGTTTACTGTGGAATCCAAATAGGTCTCTCAACTGAGCTCAACAATTAGGGAATTAAATCCACCCAGTTACTTCGACTGAGTCACATTTGTAGCATGCATTTGTAGCTTGGAGAAGTAGAGGATAATTCGTGATTTCTACTGCTGTGTAGACCCTAAAGAAAGAGAACAGCCCAGAGGACAGCCCGGGATATGTATGTCCAGTTTATTCTTCCCACATTTCTCATCAGCTAAGTCACTATCCTTCTCCTAGAGAGGATAGACTAATGGAAAAAGAAATGACAAGAATCTTATAGCTACTGGAGTTCCACGCATGGGAAGAAAGTATCATGATTGAAAATATAACTCCTTCTAATAAAATTAAATAAGTTCATCCCACAAGAACTGCTCTTGATAAGACATATCTGTGATATCTTAGTTGTATTGTGAAAAATGTGGGAAAAAATTAAAAATCAAAATTATGTATAGCTTTAAGACTATCAAAAGTAGTACTTCCATAATTCTAACCATATTTAATTTTTTTAAATAAAAAAGCTCCCTTTCTCTTTGAATGCAGAAAATAGAAAGAACATAACCATCTCACTCTATAAATGAGAAAACGCTGGAGGAACTACAAAATTGAAGGAGCAATGGCCTCTCCAAGGGGAGTCTTGTGTTGCAGAACAATAGAAGAAGATGTGGCAGGCATTCAAATGGGTACAAAGACATGAGCTAAGATTTCAAAGAATTGTAAAAATAATGAGTGTGGTGAAGAAGGTTAGTATAGAAACCATTGGAGACCCAAAATAAAAAGTGGAACCCACACGCATCTACAGGCCTTTTTTCCCACAGATCTCCATAAATTGTTTACAAGCAACACTGGGGCGGAATCAGAGTACAAAAAACAAAAAACAAAAAACAAAAACAAACAAACAAACTTCTATTATTCGGTTCCTATAGGAAAAGATTTACTGCTGCTGTTGGAAATATTCAGAATCCCACTTTTTGCTTGGAGTAGTCATTCATACTCAGAAAAATCCTTAGCTACTACGAAAGGAACAGTAAACTCTACTGTAGTCTGTATGCAGGTAATGTTTGATTATGAGTGGCAGAAGGATGAAAAGGAAACACCTCATAAACTTGGGGAAGTAGCAAGAAATATTCCTGAGTTCAGGACCCTATATCAATACTATTAGGGATTTCCTTCTTGTTGGGGAGCAAACTCTCTCCTACACAAGATCCAACAGAGATACAAAACACAATTGGATTATCGTGGAGAAGAAGGAAAGGACCATAGGGAAAACTTTGTCTATGAGGCTGAGTTACTCACTCCAGAACCATTCAGTTGGGGGTTGGTGGGGGAGCTCTAACAAACAAAAGGAGCAGTTTAACACTGAGGGAAGGGCAATGTGTTAGGGTTCTCCAGAGAAACAGAAACAATAGAGGTGTGAGTGTGTGTTAACTTATTATTACTTTATTATAAGGAATTGGCTCATGGAATTCCTTATTATAAATGACAAGGGATTGGATGAGCCTGAGACTGAGAAGTCCCCAAGGTCTGTAGTTGGCAAGCTGGAGCCTCATAAGAACTGACAGTGTAGTTCCAATCTGAAAGCTGGCAGGTTTTAGATCCAAGAAGAGCTGATGCTTTTGTTCAGATCCAAAGGAAAGAAAAGACCAATGTCCCAGCTCAGGGCAGTCAGGCAGAGAGTTCCCTCTTACTCTTACTCAAGGAAGAGTCAGCATTTTTGTTCTACTCTGGCTGTCAACTGATTGGATGAGATCCACACAAATTAGAGACATCAATATGCTGTATTCAGTCTATCAACTGAAATGTTAACCTCATCTAAAAACACCCTCACAGATATACTCCAGATAATGTTTTACCAAATGTCTTGGCACCCTATAGGATTGGCCCAGTCAAGTTGACATAATATTAGCCATCAGGGACAAGATAATGGAGAAGACACTTTGTGGCACAAGTATACAAGAATAGCTGCACATGACCAGTAATACATATAATACATATGGACAATATATACCCCTGATGTGACACACTAAGAGGAGCACATCACTTTTGTTGTATTCTGGCCAAAAATGCATTACCTCAAGTTAATCATAATAAGCAGCAGGTAAACCTAAATTAGGGATACTCTATAAAATAACTAATCAGGACTTTTCAAACATGTCAAGGTCATGAAAAATCAAGAAAGGCAGAGAAATAGCCACAAGTTGCAGGAGACCGAAGACACATGACAACTAAACGCCATGTGGGAATATGGATTAGATTCTTCAACAGTAAAAAAAAAAAAAAAAAAAAAAAAAAAAAAAGGATGCTAATAGAAAAGCTGGAGAAATCCAAATATGATCAAACAGTTAATAGCATTGTACCAATATTAATTTATTAGTTTTGATAATAGTGTTATGGTTATGTAAGATCATAACCTTAGAGAAATATGGGGGAAAGTCATACAGGGACTCTCCATAGTGTTTTGCAACTCTTCTGCAAATCTAATATTATTTCAAAGTAAACATTTTTTAAAAGAAGTAAATTATCAGCGTTAGAAATGAAAGTTGAAGCATTTCTAAAGGATGCTAAGACATATCAAAAACAAATTTATATCAATATGTTTGATAATGTAGATGATATGCATGAATTCCTTAAGTTATGGAATTTATCAACATTAATTCAAGAAGAAATAGATAACTGCCTGTCTTCTCCCAATAGAATGTAAACTCCCTTAGAGCCTTGATTTTATCTAGTTTATTTATCAATGTATCCCTTGTGTCTAGAACAGATTTTTAAACATTCAGTAAACACTTAATGAGTAAAAATGGCAAATTCAATAGCAAAGTTCAGTTACTAAAGAATTAAATTTGTATTTAAAAACTTTCCAACAAAGAAAGATTAAGGTCTAGATAACATCACTGATGAATTTTACTTAATATTTAAGGGAGAAATAATACCAATTTTACATCATGTATTTCAGAAAATAAAACAAGTAGGAACCTATCTCAATTGATTTTTTAAGGCAAGAATTATCCTGATTTAAAACCAAACAAAGGAATTACAGTAAAACTGTAGAACAATATTCTTCATTATCATAAATGTGAAGATAGTTAACCAAATATTGGTACCGCAAAGCCAGTTAAAAATATGAATCTTGAACTATGCCTTACACAAGGCTTTACTGAGGATATGTAGAGCATGATGTGGAAAAAAAAGCACATAATAAATGATCAACTTAATCCTGGAAAGTTAAGATTGCTCAGCATTTGAAAGTCAATCAATGTAGCTCTATAACCACAAACTGAAGCTGTATGATTATTTCAGTTGATGCAGAAAAACATTTGACAAAATTTTACATTCATTTATTACTTAAAAAAATCACACTCTAAGGAAAGTAGACGTTGAAGCAAACTTTCTCAACCTGATAAAGAACATACTTGAAAAAGTTACAATTGACATGACACTTTATGATAGAATACTGAACATGTTCCCTGTCATGTTAAAAGCAATGTAAGGATGTCTGCTGACACAATCTTTACTCAATATTGTATTGAAAACCCTAGCCAGTAAAATCAGATAAGAAAATTTTAATAAAAGTCATGTGGATTAAAAAGGGAGGGGACAACTGTTCTTCTTCACAGATTAAAAAAAAATGATTGTCTATGTAAAAAATCCTAAAAAGTCTATGAAAACTCTTATATCTGATAAATAAGATTATCAAGATTGACAAAATACAATCACTTTATACCAGCAATGAAGAAATAAAAACTAACAAATATAGTAAAATTGCAACAACATATGAAATACTAATCATATATGTGCACTCTCTTTTCACTGAAACTATAAAACATTTACATGAGAAATAGAAGTAGGCCTAAAAATAAATGACGTATTCCTTGTTCATGAATCAGATTGCTCAATATTGTTAAGAATATCAATTCTTTTTCAATTAATCCATAGGTAAAAAGCAATTGTAATAAAAATACCAGCAAGTTTTTAAAATAGTCATTGACAACCTGAATCTTTAGTTTTTACAGAAAATCAAAGAAACTTAGAATAGCAAAAACAAATTTAAAAACAATTGGAGTACTCATATGTACATTTTGAGGATTGAGTACAAAGCAATGAAGTTAACATGGTATTGATGAAAAGACAGATTTATAGGTCATTGGAATAGAATTTAAAAACCAGATATAGGCCTACTTTTATACAGTCAAACGATTTTCAGCAAAGGTAATTCAGTGGAAAAAGTGGCTTTTAAACCAATGGTGCTGGCACAATTAAATATCTACAGATAAAAACATCAATCTTGACCTATACCTTGTATAAGACAGCATTGAGGATATGCAGGGTATTCAGAAAAAACAAATAAAAACAACTTTTTTGTTGTTGTTTTCGTTTTAGGCAGTTCCTCTGTCGACAAAAGCAAGTTACGTCAGTAACATCCTGACAGGTCATTCTCCAAAGATCCTGTAAAAGAAGTACTGTGTCAGCCAGGGAGAGTGATCTATTCATTAAGCTATCCTCTTGGAACCAACGCATGCCTGAGGGCCTAGGTTTATCCAATATTCATGAGTTCCAGAGGTCCTCAGAGCATATGGTTGAATCAATTAACATGTAAAAATGTTGGAGGTACCCGAAAGGGGAGAAATGCAGACATGGGACTCCTGTGGGTTGTCTCAGGAACCTGAGTGGTACTTTGAATGTTTTGAAGGAATCTCTACGAAGGAGAGAGGGCAAGCTCTGTGGTGTATGGCCCCAGGCAAGGCTCTCACTTGCCCAGGTCAAAAAGCAGTACCATTTTCCACCATATACAAAACTCCATTGAAAATTGGACATAAATCTGCTATAGAATATAAAATGTAAAAACGACTGAATGATGGGGAAAAATCGCTATAATCTTGAGTTAGTCAAATATTTTTTCAGATGATACACATAAAGCAAGAGCTATTAATGGAAAAATATGTTACATACTTGACTTCCACAAAATTTAAAACTTCTGCTACTTGAAAGATGGTTACGAGAATGAAAAGACCAGTCACTAACTAGGAATAAATAATTACACAGCCCATATATAATGAATAGTAGATATTCTTCATACATAAAATTATCAACACCAAATAATAAAAAAACTGATTTTAAAATGGGCAAAAAATTGAATATACACATCTTCAAAGAAGATACATAGATGATAAATAAGCACATGAAAAGAAAGTCATCATCATTAATCATTAAGGATAATTTTTAAAAAACATAATGAGATGATGCTATGAATCTATTAAAGTGTCTTACATGAATACTCATAGCTGAAAATTTCAAGTGTAGAGGAGTGAAAGGATGAACTGAAATCTCATGTGTTGCTGGTAAGATTTCAAAATGATAAAGCCACTTTGCAAGATAATTTGGCTTATAATAACAGTAAAAGACAATCTTACCTTATGACTCAGTAGCCCTAATACTGCTGTCTCAAGAGAAATGAAAACATATGTCTATGCAAAACATATTTGCAAATACTTATATCAGTTTTATTTATAGTCATCAAAACCAGGAAACAATTCAAATATTCAGCAAGTCATAAATGGGAAAAAATGGTGTCTATTCGTACAATGGAATACTACTGAACAATAAAAAGAAATGATCTATTCATCAATGGGAAAGAATCTTATAAGCAACATGGCAAGTGAAGAAAAGACAGGCACAAAATATTGTATAACTATCATTTATCTGACACATAAAATTAACCATCACATTTTACAATGAGTATATACAATACTCATTGTACTGTGTGGTGGTGAATATATATATAAAGTATATATAATATAAATCAAACATTATAAATACATATATGGCCAGGCGCAGTGGCTCACACGTGTAATCCCAGCACTTTGGGAAGCCAAGGCGGGCAGATCACAAGGTCAGGATATTGAGACCATCCTGGCTAACATGGTGAAACACTGTCTCTACTAAAAATACAAAAAACAAAACAAAACAAAAAAAACTAGCTGGGTGTGGTGGCGGGCACCTGTAGTCCCAGCTACTTGGGAGGCTGAGGCAGGAGAATGGCATGAACCCGGGAGGAAGAGCTTGCAGTGAGCCGAGATTGGGCCACTGCACTCCAGCCTGGGTGACAGAGCGAGACACCGTCTCAAAAACACCAAAAGCAATTATATATACATATATAATTGTGTGTTTTATGTATATATTATACATAATACAGTATATATTTTATACATATATATGTGTGTGGTTAGACACATCCACATCTTTTCTATTTCCTTACTTATTTTTAAACATATTATTTTCCATATTTAGACTCACACAAAGTTACAAAAATAACGCAAATATTCCCTTATACCCTTAACTTAGATTTCCTCAATAACTTCTTATATAAACATGGTACACTGTAAAAATCAGGAAATTGACATTAGTATAGTACTACTAAATAAACTATAGACATTATCTAAACTTTACGTTTTTTACATGCACTCATTGTTTTGTTGTTACTGTTGTTAGTTTTGGTTTTATCTTTTTTGTTTTTTATGTGCAGAGCCTGGGTTACAAGCCATGTTGAACATTCCAGCTAAGCAGAACAAACAACAACACAAACAAAAACAAACAAACAAAACAGCAATTAGGCAGCAATCCACTCCCCGCTAACTAGAAAGTTGGTAAAGGATTATGAAGAAAAGTGAGGGATTCTGAGAATACCCCTGAGTGACCCATGCGGGAAACTGTCCAAAGTCAACAAAACACATGCTTTGATTGATGGTGTGGAACAATGTCAAGTTGTAAATTGGCCTCTGGTTAACACACCAATGGGATAGATCGAAATAATATCTCAAGACTTTGAAAGCTAAGTTTACATGTGAATCGTATCCCCCAAAATCTAAATAGGATGCATTCTGAACCTACACAGTTTGACTGCCCACAAAAACGAGAAGAGTTAATATGATCCAGACTCTTATAAAATAATAACTACCAAGATGCAATCCAACACTAATCATCATACCAATAATGAAGAAAATCTCAATTTATGACAGCAGATAATCAACAGACACCAGTGGCAAGATGCCATATTGCTGAAATTATCTCATGAGTATTTTAAAGCTCATTCTTTAAAATGCTCCAATGAGCAATTAGTAACACTCAGATTAAATTAAAAAATAGAAGATCTCAGCAAAGAAACAGAACATACATATATCTTCTAAACAGATTTTAAAAGCACTGCAATGACGTTTTAGAAGTGAAAAATACAAAACCAAGACAAACCCCCAAAACCTAAAAAACACCTCATTGGCAGAGATCAAGAGCATAATGGAAGTGACAGAAAAAAAATTAGTGAACTTGAAGATATGTCAAAAAACTTATTCAATACAAACAGTAAAGATAGATTTAAAGACATGAATGGAACTATGTTCCAAATGACTCGTGGGTCAACAACAACAACAGCAACAAAAAGATTGAACATTTGTGTCATCAGTGTTCTAAAAGAGAAAAAGAAAAAGTAAACAGATAAAAAAATTGATGAAATAACAACTGAAAACACCCCACATTTGTAAAAGACATAACTATCCACATAGAAATAGCTCAGTAAAATTCAAGCAAGATAAACCAAAATAAATCAATAACCAGACACATGACAATCAAATTTCTGTAAACTAAAAACAAAAAAAATTGATAGCAAACAGACAGAAAAATACATAATCCGTACGGTAACAAGAACTTCAATGACAAGAAACAAATATAGTTGAGAGACAATAACATTTTTCAAATGCTTAAAAGAAAAGGATGGCCAACCCATAAATCTGTATTCAGTGAAAATATTCTTAATGCATAAAGTTGAAATAAACATTTTGCTATATAAAAAACTAAGAAAATTTGTTGCCAGTAGAACTACTTTACAGTAATTTCTAATGGAATTTCTTCTAACATAAAAAAAATATAAAATGTAGAATATATACATGTCTTTTTTTTTTTTTTTTTTTTTGAGATAGAGTCTTGTTCTGTCACCCAGGCTGAAGTGCAGTGGCGCGATCTCGGCTCACTGCAAGCTCCGCCTCCCGGGATCGCGCCATTCACCTGCCTAAGCCTCCGGAGTAGCTGGGACTACAGTCACCTGTCACCACGCCCGGCTAATTTTTTTGTATTTTTAGTAGAGACGGGGTTTCACCATGTTAGCCAGGATGGTCTCGATCTCCTGACCTGGTGATCCGCCCGCCTTGGCCTCCCAAAGTGATGGGATTAGAGGCGTGAGGCACCACGCCCGGTCCCATACATGTCTTTTAATAATATAAAATTTAATTATTAATTATATTAAGACACTACCAACTGGTTTCTGGTTGAGCTATGAAATTATTAGTTCAGATATTCTGAACTTCTTCTAATCCAAGAAATAAACATATTTGTATTAAGTTTCTGGCCATTTATGCATGCTGTGAGCTCTGTAGTTTACAGAATTAATTCCTACTTATCCTTCAGGTATCAGTTAAAATATTTTTCTCTGGTTCTATTTCTCAAAGTCCCTCAGAGAGTTTATAAGTGTTTTCTGCATATGCTACTGCTGTATGACATTTCTCCTATCACAATGCTTATCATAACTTAGGTTATTGATTTACTATAAGCTGTCTTAAGAGAAGTTGTGACTCTATTTTTCACCATTATATTCCCACCAACTAGCAGACTATCCGACCCATAATAAGCACTTGAGAAAATTAAACATTGAGCATATAATGAGTGTTTCTTCATTAAATCTCTATTAAAAACAAGTAAATGCATGACTTTAAAAATCATGTTTTTAAATTATCTTATTCTGGAATTATCAAATCACTAATTTTTAAGTAAAAAAAGACTAATATTTAATGTATTGCATAGACTAGCTCATTGAAGTCTCACAAGCATTTATGAAATCAACACTATTATTTTTTCTATGTATTTGTAAAGGAGGAAACTGAGCCACAGGGAGGTTAAACCACTCTGCTCGGAAAAGGCTGGTAAGCAACTGGGTTCGGATTTAAATAAATGATATTTTAAAGGGCAGTTCAACAACATATTTTACAATTCCTAATTTTTATTACAAACTTTAAAAAGATTATTTCTAAAAAATTTATTTCTTGCCTGACATTTTCATAATTGATTTATTTTTTTGCATGGTTCATTACCCCAAGGTAATATAATATATTGTTGTAGGTAAGTCTAGAATTGTTGTCATACATGTGTGAGGCTTCACCTCCTTTTTAAGCTTTACCAAAAATATCCAATCAGATGGTGACATTCGAATACTTTTGGAAGTGTCAAGATTAGACAGGAAGTGTGACTTGAATAATCTTTATTCTTTGCACATATTCAAGCCATTGTATAAAGGTTTGCTTTTAAATAATCAAAATGCATAAAAATAATAGCTAATAATAGTTCAATTTTCATTGTTTGCCACATACTCTTCAGAGCAATTAATATATTATCAAAGTCGTGTGTGAGATACTGCTGGTATTTCTATTTAATGGAAGAGAAACTGAGGCCCAGACAGATAATTAAACCTGGTAAATATTACATATTTGCACATATGCATAGGTTTCCTAAATTTAGATATTTCAAAGAACTCATCAAACTCCACAGAGCAAACTCATAAAAGCTTTTACTTAAAGGTACTGATTACAATACAGAATATGAAAGCAGGCAGGCAAGTATTAGGGATATGAGAAACATACAGACACAGTCTTCCTAGGGTCCTGATGCACACAGGGGCATGCTTTGAATCATGATTAAACCAACGAGACCTGTGTCCTGAATCTTGGCTTCAGGATAGCTCAAGGCAGAAGTTACAGTGGTATCTAATTTTATGTCCCTTTGGTCAGTTGGTCAAGCCAGGCCATCATGCTGCTAAGGCCAGGTGAAAACCATCAGTAAACAAACCAGTTCTGTGTGTCATAGATGGAGTTTTGGAGTTGAAACAGCACACCCTTAAATTCCACTGCCTTTCTATTAGCCAAGAGTCAAAGTTGGATGTGAAGGCACCACATGGGTAAGGCTGGAGTTTTCCAGGCCCAGCTGTAAATGAACTGGATCCTACATCATGTTGGAGCCTGGATTTTAACCCCAACCCTGTGGGGTTAAAGAGATTATGCACTTAAAACAATGCAGTTGATGTCATAGGGTAAATTTACTATTTCTTTGGCCCAATATCCCTTATTAAAGATGAAAAGCCAGGCCTCACAGTGGTAAACCTATGCTAATAATGTTGATAATACATCAATTGGTCATAATTTTAATAGCTGATATTTACCTTATTATAATATAAAGTTGGTAATTTTGTAAGCATTCTCATTTTATAAGCAAAGGAACTGAGGCTTAGAGATGGTGTATACACACACACACACACACACACACATATATATGTATACACACACACCATTTTTGGAAGTGCCATTCATCTATTTTTCCATCTATCTATCCTACTGCACTATTTATGAGTTTATAGTCTGCAGCTAGACTATATTTGAATTGGGATTGACATAAATACAGCAGAGTTCTCTTTGTGAGGATTAAATTAGTTGATACATGTACAGCTCCTAGAACAGTGTCAGGCATACAGTAAACATAATATTAGCATTTCCTATTGTTACTCATTCAGTAAGTGTTTATTGAGTGTTCAGATCTGTTCTATACATGGGGGATACCTTAGTGAACAAATTAAATAAAGTCAAGGCTCTAAGGGAGTTTGCATTCTAGTGGAAGAAGACAGATAACACATAAGCAAATAGATGTGTACTCCATATAACAAGAGATAATACAATCAAGAAAAATTAAGCAGAGAAATGTTTTAGAGAGTGATAAATAAATGGGCCTTCTGTTTGCTACCGAAGATTTGAGGAAAGACCTAATTAAAATGAGGAGAGACAGATGCAGATATCTGTAAAACAACATTCATGGCAGAAAGCAGAAAATGTAAAGGTCCTGAGGCAGGCATTTGTTTGTATAGTGTAAGAAACATCAAAAGAAACTACCATCAGAGTGAATGGGAGAATTCACTACAGAATGGGAGAATTCAACCTACAGAATGGGAGAACATTTTTGCAATTTACTCATCTGACAAAGGGCTAATATCCAGAATGTACAAAGAACTCAAACAAATTCACAAGAAAAAAACAACCCCATCAAAAAGTGGGCAAAGGACATGAACAGACACTTGTCAAAAGAAGACATTTATGCAGCCAACAGACACATGAAACAATGCTCATCATCACTAGCCACCAGAGAAATGAAAATCAAAATCACAATAAGATACCATCTCACACCAGTTAGAATGGCGATCGTTACAAAGTCAGGAAAAAACAGGTGCTGGAGAGGATGTGGAGAAATCGGAACACTTTTACACTGTTGGTGGGACTGTAAACTGGTTCAACCCCCCCTTGTGGAAGACAGTGTGGCAATTCCTCAAGGATCTAGAACTAGAAATATCATTTGACCCAGCCATCCCATTACTGGCTATATACCCATAGGATTATAAATCATGCTGCTATAAAGACACATGTGCACATATGTTTATTGCAGCACTATTCACACTATTCACAATAGCAAAGACTTGGAACCAACCCAAATGTCCATCAATGATAGATTGGATTAAGAAAATGTGGCACATATACACCATGGAATACTACGCAGCCATAAAAAATGATGAGTTCATGTCCTTTGTAGGGACATGGATGAAGCTGCAAACCATCATTCTCAGCAAACTATCGGAGGGACAAAAAACCAAACACCGCATGTTCTCACTCATAGGTGGAAATTGAACAATGAGAACACTTGGACACAGGAAGGGGAACATCACACACTAGGGCCTGTCATGGGGTAGAGGGGAGTGGGGAGGGATAGCAATAGGAGATATACCTAATGTAAATGATGAGTTAATGGGTGCAGCACACCAACATGTCAAATGTATACATATGTAACAAACCTGCACGTTGTGCACATGTACAGTAGAACTTAAAGTATAATAATAAGAAAAAAAGAAAGAAAGAAACAGCAAAGGAGGGCAGTGTGGTTGATACAGTAGAAAAGAAAAAAGTGAGTAGCAGAAGGCTAGATTATTAAGGTAACAAAGAAGAGTTTTGGGAGGAACCTCCCCATAATGTAGAATCTGTACACTGTAATGACTTTTGACTTTATTAAAAATGTGATGGGAAGCTACTAGAGTGTTGAAGGTAGATTAAAAATAAAAAGTAAGTTACTCTTTTAAAATATTTTATGAACTCCTATGTGGAAAGCAGACTGGGTGTGTGAAAGGTGGCACGGAGGAAAGGAGACAATGAGAGGAGAGCTGAAAATTACTCAGAAAAGGGCAGTAGATTGATGAAGAGTGAGCAATCTATAATTGGGGATATTTGCAAGATAAAACCAGGATTTAATCTGGGCCTGCTTAACTGCAAATCCCCTAAGTCTATGACCAGACATGAAACAAATATCTTTGTAGACTAACTCCCAAGGTTCCAAGGTATATCTAAATCACATCACTGCTTCTGCAACTGAAGAAGGACACTATTATACTAATCCTTTTTCACCACCATGCCCTGGAGCTTGTGTTCCCTCCCAGGGTTGCAAGTTATTTGCATTCTTCCTCTAGAAAAATCATTCCCATTCCCTGAATTATCATCTGTACACAGAAGCATTCCAAATCTGTAACACCATCTAAAATCCTTCTAACAATCTCTTGGACTGTTTACAGCTTTGTGGAAAAAAATGACTGCTATTCTTCAAGCATAGCAAACTCAAAGTTAAACTCAATATTCAACACTCCTCTCCGCTGCTTCACTCCCCCTAAATATGCTTATAATCCAACACACATCTCACTCTCAAAATTAAATTTATGCTTCCTCTACTCTGGTTTCTATCTCAATGAATGACAACTTTTTGAAAACAGATACGAAGGCACATTGAAAACTAGAGATGAAAAGGTGATTTTCAACAATCAGTGGTGGCTGGCTGGATTAGAAAATGAAAAAGCACAATGTAGTTTCTCTCTCTATCTTTCATACACACATAAACACACATAATTGGAGCTCAGTTTAATAACTCAAACCTACCTTCAATCAAAGTGAAAATATATTGAGGGTTAGAAGTGTATCAGAATAAGTTTTTAGCATTCTAAATGTTAAGTAAAATCCCACAAAACATTCCACATTACAATAGGGCGTACAATTTTTTAAAGTTGTAATTAGTCATATATTTTATTAGAGAAGTGTCTCTTTCTTCAAAAGACAATAAGTACCTTGGATAAGAGTGAAACTTAGAATTTACATGGAGGATATTAAGACTACTCACCCTGGGTAGAAATCTCCTCCAAAGCAACACTCGACAGTCTTCCAGACTGCTTGATCGTATTCAACAATGTAGTAATCATGAACCCTTACTGTAGTTAGTGTACTTTTTAAAACTCTAATCATTGGATCATTCTCTATCTCTTATTAAAGAAGAAGTTGTGGAGATATTTGATCAGCGATATATAATGAAATTCAAATGACTTAGTACACTACTCAAATATCTTTACAAACTGAATCCAAATAGCTGATGTAACTACTTGTTTGCTCTTTAAACAAATCCAGTATACTTTCACAAGCATAACCATGGCAAATGTCCCCAAACCAACTTCACATTCTTTCTTTCTTTTTATCCTGGAATGAGGACAAGTTTTCATCCTCACTGTAGCTCAGTCTCTTCTTCTGTAATTAAAAATATTGTGATCACAGGTCTATCTCATAATCGTGTAAGATTCTTAAATGATTTAATATACATAAAGTGCTTAGGACAATGCCGAGGACAGCAATCAATGTCTGTTATACATTATTATTGTCAATGTTGTTGTTATTTTCTTATTAATATTATAATTTCTCACTTCATCATTGGTTACTTGTAATTCTAGCTCATTTCTTTGACTTATACTGGCCATATATTCCCTTGGTTTGGAGTCCTTTTGGGCATTTGCCATCCTAATTTGATTTTTGGGATACCCTGGAGAGTGTCTCCTGGTTTTTGCCTTTGGCTTCACAGGCAAAGAAACCACATGTGAAAACCACCTATGAATTGCATAGGCTGAACTGGCCCTCATTCTTCCACACCTTGGCATTCAAAGCCACAGGATGTTCCTAGAGCCATACTTGCTACAGGGATTTCAAAATGCTGAAGATCCATACTGTGATAATTGAGTTCTAACAACTGATTTTTTTTCACTTCCAGGGTTCACATCAGGTATTAATCCTTGGCATAGAGTGTGAAGCTATGTAATTCTAATCTCCCATCTCCCATTTTTATGGGATGCTGTCATCACTATTCCTGCTTGGTAAGTTGTTCAGTATCCTTCCTTTGAGACTACCTGTTTTCTTTGTTAAAATAACTCTTTAGCAAATCATTAATGTCTAAATTTTCAGAACATTTTAAGAAATGTGCATCTCTACTGGCTGTCAACTGAATCAGTTTTTCTTTTTTTTTTTCCTGATATTTATTTTTTCCTGAATAGGACAATAGCCCCACTATTTTCTCATGAATCAATACTTTTTTAAAATAAATAAATAAACAAACAAATAAGAATTAGAAAAAATGAAATAATAACAGGTATACTCAAGTTACAAACATCATATTTTACTATTAAATTACATTTTTACTGTGAAAGTACATTTCAATAAAAATGGTAAAAACTTATGATAAAAAATCGTTCATCAAAAAAGAACCTATAGGCCAATCAATATGAAAATGGTTCTTATAACTTTTGATCTTCTACTGTACTAAATAAATAAAATGCCATGAGTAAAATGAAATTATTCACAGTTAAAGTGTGTTTGCACATTTTGAATGAACACTATGCATATAAATATTAAAATTCTATGTAATGAGCTGTCTTATTTGCTAATTTATCTAATCTAGATGACAATGGTACAGCAGCTGATACTCTATAGCCTGTTTCTATGTTTTATTTTTTCACTACTTGTAGGATAAACCAATCTGAAAAAGTATATTAATGAAAATAGAAGAAAAACTTGTAAAGCAATTTCAGTAAGCTCAGGAAATTCTTTTTAAACTTTTACCCAAATTGGAACAAATCATGGAATAGATTCAAAATTTATTTTCAATTTTTCATCAATAGCCAGTACCAACAATTTATCTTATAAACTATAGAAAAAAAATAAATAATGATTTGTTAAAAACCTATGTTATGAATGTTAAATTACTTTATTTTTATTCTAGATTAAGGAAACTACCTAATGTTACTTTATTGGTTATTTAACCATCTTTTATTCTCTAAAAATGTCACATCACTTTCTCTTTGTTTCAGAATTATTGTCACATATGACCCATGGATTCTTACTGTTTTTAATTTATTTCTAAATAGCTTTTTAGGAAATAATATCTAATTCAAACTCTAAGAGTAGCAAATTAATCAAGTCACACTTTTACAAATATGCTACAGTATTTGTCTTTTAAATGTTTCTTTTTTCTTGTACTAGTCCATTTTCATGCTGCTGACAAAGACATACCTGAGACTGGGAAGGAAAAGAGGTTTAATGGATTTATGGTTCCACGTGCCTGGGGAGGCCTTACAATCATGGTGGAAGGTGAAAAGCACATCTCACATGGCAGCAGACAAGAGAAGAGAGATTGTTTGGGGAAATTCCCATTTTTAAAACCGTCAGATTTCATGAGACTTATTCACTATCATGAGAAGAGCGTGGGAAAAACCTGCTCCCATAATTCAATTACCTCCCACCAAGGTGCTCCCATGACACATGGGAATGGTGGGAGTTACAATTCAAGGTGAGATTTGGGTAGGGACACAGCCAAACCATATCAATCTGTGCCTAGACCCTCCCAAATCTCATGTCCTCACGTTTCAAAACCAATCACGCCTTCCCAACAGTACCCCAAAGTCTTAACTCATTTCAGCCTTAACTCAAAAGTCCACAGTCTGATGTCTCATCTGAAACAAGGCAAGTCCTTTCTGCCTATGAGCCAGTAAAATAAAAAGCAAGTTAGTTATTTCCTTGATACAATGGGTACAGAGTACAGGAACTGGGTAAATACAGTTGCTCCAACTGGGAGAAATTGTCCAAAACAGAGAGGCTAGAGACCCCATGCAAGTCTGAAATCCAGTAGGGCAGTAAAATCTTAAACCTCCAAAATGATCTTCTTTGACTCCATGTTTCACATCCAGGTCATGCTGATGTAAGAGGGAAGTTCCCATGGTCTTGAGCAGCTCTGCTCCTATGGTTTTGCAGGGTATAGACCCCCCTCCCAGCTGCTTTCACAGGCTGGCATTGAGTGGCTGCAGCTTCTCCAGATGCAGAATGAAAGTTGTCGGTGGATATGCTATTCTGGAGTCTAGAGGATGGTGGCCCTCTTCTCAACAGCTCCACTAGGGAGTGCCCCAGGAGGGACTCTGTGTGGAGGCTTTGACCCCATATTTTCCTTCTGCACTGCTCTAGCAGAGGTTCTCAATGAGGGCCTTGCCCTTGCAGCAAACTTATGCCTGGGCATCCAGGCGTTTCCATACATCTTCTGAAATTTAGGTGGATGTTCACACACCCCAATTCTTGACTCCTGTGTACTCACAGGCTCACCACCATGTGGAAGCTGCCAAAACTTGGGGTTGCACCCTCTGAAGCCACAGCCTGAGCTCACTTTGGTCCCTATCAGCCATGGCTGGAATGTCTGGGATGCAGGGAACCAATTCCCAAGGTTACACCCAGCACTGGGACCCTGGGCTTGGCTCACAAAGCCTTCTTTTCCTCCTAAACCTCTATGTCTGTGGTGGAAGGGGCTGCCGCAAAGGTCTCTGACATGCCCTGGAGACATTTTCCCTATTGACTTGGGGATTAACATTCAGCTCCTCATTACTTATGCAAATTTCTGCAGCCAACATGAATTTATCCTCAGAAAATAAGATTTTATTTTCTATCATATTGTCAGGCTGTAAATTTTCCAAACTTTATTCTTTAATTTCCTTATAAAACTGAATGCCTTTAACAGCACCCAAATCACCTCTTAACTGCTTTGCTGCTTAGAAATTTCTTCCACCAAATACCCTAAATCATCTCTCTCAAGTTCAAATTTCCACAAATATCTAGGGCAGGGGTGAAATGCCACCAGTCTCTTTGCTAAAACATAGCAAGAGTCACCTTTGCTCCAATTCCCAACAAGTTCCTTAGGTCCATCTGAGACCACCTCAGCCTGGATTTCATTGTCTATATCATTATCAGCATCTTAGTCAAAGCCATTCAACAAGTCTCTAGAAGCTCCAAATGTAACCCGCATTTTCCCGACTTCTTCTGAGCCCTCCAAACTGTTTCATCCTCTGCCTGTTACCCAGTTCCAAAGTCACTTCCACATTTTTGGATATCTTTTCAGCAGCGCCACACTCTATTGTACCAATGTACTGTATTAGCTCATTTTCACACTACTGATAAAGACATACCCTAGGGTGAGAAGAAAAATAGGTTTCATGGACTTACAGCTTCACTTGACTGGGAAAGCCTCACAATTGGAGGCAGAAGGTGAAAGGCAAATCTCACATGGCAGCAGCCAAGAGAAGAGAGCTTGTGGGGGGAATCTCCTGTTTCTAAAACCACCGGGTCTCATGAGACTTATTCACTGTCAGGAGTACAGCACAGGAAAGACCTGCTCCCATAATTCAATTACCTCCCACCAAGTTCCTCCCAAGACATGTGGGAATTGTGGGAGTTACAATTCAAGATGAGATTTGGGTGGGAATGCAGCCAAACTATATCATTCCTCCAGCTCATTAGTGCTTATAATCATCACTATTTCATTGAACATATTTTAAGATTTTAGTACATTTTATTTACTATTTTATCATGTCTATTACTCTCTTATCACTAGATGATATATTAATAATAAACATGAGGGAAAAGACCTTGGAATTATGTTTGCAATGTAGCTCTGCTACTTCCTAGCTATTTCCGACTCCCTGAGACTGGTGCATTCATAAAAGGGTTAACAGTAACTATATAATAGGAGAGCAATAAGGTTTACATGAGCTAATCCTTTTAGAATGGCTTCTACAAGGCAAGAACTGAATAGATCTTCACCAGGTTCTAAGCTCCTCTTGATCAGGGAGGCTATAATATTCAATTATCCATATTCATAATTCCTGGTATATAATGGGTCCTAATTAAGGTACTTTTGCAATGTAAGAGAACTATTGTTTTAGTTTTTTATTGCTGTATAGGAAAGTACCATAAATGTAGCAGTTAAAAAAGAAACAAACACATGCACATTTTTTACCTCTCCATTATATAGGACAAAAGTCTGAAGATGGCATGGCTGCATTCTTTTCAATGTCTCACAAAGTAAATAGTAAGCTTCAATATCAAGGCATCTTCTCTGGAGCTTGAGGAAACTATTTCTAACTCACAAGATAGAGGCAGATTTCATTTTTGTGTGTGTGATTTAGTACCGAGATTCCTGCTTACTTGCTGCAAGTCAAACATGAGCTAGTCTCAGTTCCTAAAGGTGACTGGTGGTCCCCTATCACATGGCCCATCAATCTTCAAAGTATTCAGTACTCTTAAAGAAAAGAATTTCCAACTAAGAATTTCATTTCCAACCAAACTAAGCTCCATAAATGAAGGAGAAATAAGATCCTCTTCAGACAAACAAATGCTAAGGTAATTCACTACCATCAGACCTGCCTTACAAAAGTTACTGAAGGGAGTTGTATATGGAAAGGAAAGACCATTATCATTCACTACAAAAACACACTGAAGTACATAGACTAGTGATGCTATAAAGCAAGCATACAAACGAGTCTGCAGAATTACCAGCTAACAGCATAACGAAGGATCAAATCCACATATATGAATACTAACCCTGAATATAAATGGGCTAAGTGCCCCAATTAAAAGGCACAAAGTGGCAAACTGAATAAATAAGCAAGACCTAATCGTATGCTGTCTTCAAGAAACCCATTCCACATGCAATGATTCCCATAGGCTCAAAGTAAGGGAATGGAGAAAAATCTAGCAAGCAAATGGAAAAGAGAAAAAGGAAGGGGCTGCTACTCTAATGCAGACAAAACAGAATTTAAACAAACAAACGAAAAACAGATCAAAAAAGACAAAGAAGAGCATGACATAATGATAAAGGGCTCAATTCAACAAGAAGTTCCGGCTATCCTAAATATATATCACATTTAACACAGAAGCACCCAGATTTATAAAGCAAAGTTTTTAGAGACCTAGAAATAGAGTTAGATAGCCACACAATAATGGTGGGAGAATTTAGCACTCCTCTGACTGCATTAGACAGATCATTGAGGCACAAAACTAGCTGATACTTAGGACCTGAACTTGACACTTGACCAAATGGAACTAACAGACATCTACAGAACTCTGCACTCCAAAACAACAGACTACACATTCTTCTCATTGTCACATGGCACATACTCTAAAATACCCTAAAATGACCACATTATTAGACATAAAACAAACCTCAGCAAGTTAAATAAATGAAATTGTACAAATCAAACTATAAGACCAAAGCACAATATAAATATAAATCAATACTAAGAAAATTTCTTAGAACACTACAATTACATGGGAATTAAACAAATTGCTCCTGAATGACTTTTAGGTAAATAATAAGATTCATACAGAAATCAAGAAATTCTACAAAACTAATGAGAACAAAGATAACCCATATCAAAATATCTGGAATACAGTTAAAGTGTTAAAAGGAAAGATTATAGCACTAAATACCCACATCAAAATGTTAGAA
Organism: Homo sapiens; assembly: GCF_000001405.40. Lineage (NCBI taxonomy): Eukaryota > Metazoa > Chordata > Mammalia > Primates > Hominidae > Homo > Homo sapiens. The sequence continues at coordinate 59,636,673 of NC_000004.12, forward strand.
AAATCTCAAATTAACAACGTAACCTCATAACTAGAACTAGAAGAACTAAAGAGATCAGAAAAAATGAACCCCAAAACTAGAAGAAGACAACAGATAACCAAAATCAGAGCTGAATTAAAGGAAATTGAGATGTGAAAAACCATAAAAAAGATCAATGAATCCATGAGTTGGTTCTTTGAGAGTAATAATAAAATACATAGATTGTTATCTACACTAATTAAGAAAAAAGAGAAGATCCAAATAAACACAATTAGAAATGACAGAGGAGACATTAACTCTGACCCCACAAAAATTCAAAAAAATCCTTGGAGACCACTACAAACACCTCTTCTATGATACGCGCTGGAAAAAATAGATAAAATTCCTGGAAACATACAACCTCCCAAGATTCAACCAGAAAGAAATTGAATACCAAAATGAGTTCTGAAATTGAATGAGTAATAAAGTGCCTACCAACTAGAAAAATCTCGAGACCAGACACATTCACAGTGGAATTCTACCAGATGTAAAAAGAAGAACTGGTATCATTCCTACTGAAATTATTCCAGAAAAATAGAGAAGGAGGAACTCCATTGCAACTCATTCTATGAGGTTAATAATCATACTGATACTAAAGCCTAGCAGAGATACAACAACCAGAACAAATGAATTTCAGGCAAGAATCCTTGATGAACATAGATGTAGAAATCCTCAACAAAATATTGGCAAACAGAATCTCACACCACATCAAAAAGCCAATCTACCATAACCAAGTAGGCTTTATCCTGGGATGCAACGTCAGATCAACATATCCAAATCAATAAATGTGATTCATCACATAAAGAGAACTAAAAACTACATGATTATCTCAAGAGATGAAGAAAAGGCTTTTGATAAAATTTGACATCATTTCATTTTAAAAACCCTCAACAAAGTAAGCATTGAAGGAACATGCTTCAAAATAATAAGAGCCAACTATGATAAATCCACAGCCAACATTACACTGAATGAGCAAAAGCTGGAAACATTTTTCTTGAAAACTGAAATAGGAAAAGGATGGATGCTCTCCCTCACCCCTCCTATTCAATATCATATTGAAAGTACTGGCCAGAACAATCAGGCAATTGAAATCAACAAGAGGCATCCAAATAGGAAGAGAGGAAGTCAAACTATCTGTTTGCAGACGATATAATTGTATACTTAGAAAACCCCATGGTCTTTGCTGAAAGGCTCCTTGTTCTCATAAGCATCTTCAGCAAAGTTTGAGGATACAAAATCAATGTACAAAAATCAGTAGCATTCCTATACACTAGCAACATTCAAGTTTAGGTCAAAATAAAGAACACATTCCCATTCAAAATGGCCACAAAAGAATAAAATACCTAGGAATGTAGCTAACCGGGGAGTTTAAAGATCTTTACAATGAGAATTACAAAACACTGTTTGAAGAAATCAGAGATAACACAAACAAATGGAAAAGCATTCCTTGCTCATGGATAGGAAAAATCAATATTCTTAAAATGGTCATACTGCCCAAAACAATTTATAGATTCAATGCTATTTCTATAAAACTATCAATGGCAATTTTCATGGAATTAGAAAAAAAAAAGCTATTTTAAATGTTTTATGTGGAACCCCCTAAAAAAAAATCTTGAATAGCCAAAATCCTAAGCAAAAAGAGCAAAACTGGAGGTATCATATTACCTAACTTCAAACTGCACAAAGCTACAGTAACCAAAACAGCAAGGTACTGGCACAAAAACAGACATGTAGACCAACAGAACAGAACAGAGAGCCCTAAAATAATACCACACCACAAACCTATAACCATGTGACCTTTGACAAAGTCAACAAAGTCAAGAATGGGAAAGGACTCTCTATTCAATAAATGGTACTGGAATAACTAGCTAGCAATATGCAGAAGATTGAAACTGGACCCCTTTCTTAGCAGAATATATAAAAATCAACTCAATATGAATTAAAGACCTAAATGTGAAATCTAAAACTATACAAACTCTGCAGGACATCCTAGGAAATACTCATCTGGACACAGGACCTGGCAAAGATTTCATGATGAAGATGCCAAAAGGAATTGCAACAAAAACAAAAACGGACAAATTAGAACTAATTAAACTAAAAAGCTCTGCACAGCAAAACAACCTATCAGCAGAGCAAACAGAGAGCCTATAGGATTAGAGAAAATATTCCCAACCCATGCATCTGACGAAAGTCAAATATCCACAATCTATAAAGAACGTAAATAAATCAATAAGCAAAAAAAAAAAATTATTTCCCATTAAAAAAAGGAAAAATACAGGAACAGACAATCAAAAGAAGACATACATGTGGCCAAGTGGTATTTGAAAAAAATGAAAATCAAAACACAATGAGATGCCATCTCACACCAGTTAGAATGGCTATTATTAAAAAGTCAAAAAAAAAAAAACAAAAACAGATACTGGTTAGGTTGTGGAGAAAAGGGAATGCTTATATACTGCCAATGGGAATGTAGATTAGTTTAGCCATAGTGGAAAGCAATTTGCCAATAAAAGAACACAAAGCAGAATTACCATCCAAGCCAGTGATCTCATTATTGGGTATACGCCCAAAGGAATATAAGTCATTTTACTCTAAAGACCCAGACATGTGTATGTTCATGGCAGCACTATTTTATAATAGCAAAAATATGGAATCAAGATAAATGTTCATCAATGACAAAATGGAATAAAAAATGCGGTACATATACACCATGGAATACTACACAGCCATAAAAAAGAACAAGATCATGTTTTTTTGTAGCAACATGGATAGAGTTGGAGGCCATTATCTTAAGTAAATAATGCAGGAACAGAAAACTAAATACCACATATTCTCACTTATAGTGGGAGCTAAACATTAAGTACATAAGGACTTGAAGAATGGAGCAAGAGTCACCAGGGACTACTTGATTGTGGAGGGAGAGAGGAAAGTGAAGACCAAAAAAACTACCTATTGAGTACTGTGCTTATCCAAGTGGTGAAATAATCCATACACCAAATCCTCAAGACATGCAATTTACCTACATAACAAATGGGCACATGTATCCCTGAACCTCAAATAAAAGTTAAAATAAATAAATAAGTCTCTCTAACACTTTAAATCCTCTAACTTAAAATCTCTTTGTCAGAGAGATCACAGCCTTTTAATGTTTTACTTGATTAGTGCAGGTCCACCAAAAATGATCTTTTCTTAGACAACTATGCCATACAACAAAACTTCATTATTGGAATGATATCTCATCATACTCAGAGTTCCTGATTATATTCAATGGAAGAGATTATTCAATAGCTTTTGTTATTCGAGGTCATCCTACTATTCTGACTGCCACATATATCATTCTTCCTTTGTAAAACCAATGCCTTAAATATATAGTTGGTATGTAACATATAGTTATAAAAGTCATTTTATTTTATTTTATTTATTTAATTAATTAATTTATTTTTTTGAGACTGAGTCTCGCTCTGTCGCCCAGGCTGGAGTACAGTGGCGCGATCTCGGCTCACTGCAAGCTCCGTCTCCCAGGTTCATGCCATTTTCCTGCCTCAGCCTTCGGAGTTGCTGGGACTACAGGCGCCTGCCACCATGCCTGGCCAATTTTTTTGTATTTTTAGTAGAGACAGGGTTTCACCGTGTTAGACAGGATGGTCTCGATCTCCTGACCTTGTGATCTGCCCTCCTTGGCCTCCCAAAGTGCTAGGATCACAGGCGTGAGCCACCGCGCCCGGCCAAAAGTCATTTTAAAAATAGACTTTATATTTTGCATTATTTAATATAAAAATCAGCAAATTAATTCTGGAAGAATTAGGAAACAAACAAAAATTTTAAAAATTATGCCTAGCCTAAATATGGCCATTAAAATGATGATGATTTGTACACAGACTAAATGCTACTAATTGAGTGGGGCTGATCTAACAGAAGGAGCTAATATTTGATTTCAACAACAACAGTTTAGCTAAGACACCAAACATAATATAAACTTTTATTGTAATATAAGTAATTCATTTCTTTCTCTTCCAAATTGGCATAAGTGCTTTGTGTATTACTTTCCAAATAGCACGAGCACCAGCTTAACAATTTTATACGCTAAAAATAAACATTATCTGTCTTTAAAGTGATCTATGAAAATACATTTGAAGAATCACCTGGTAGTACTGTAATAGCTTCACATGTTTCTTAGAAAGATTTTACACTCTACAGTTAACTTCTTTTTAAATCACTTATCAGCTTCTTTGTATTCATATATTGAATTTTGTCCCCAGGAATGAAATTTAATTCTCACCATCTGTGCCTTGGCCAGGAATGTCCATATTCCTTTAATGCATAAATACATCCTGAATATTTCTCATTCTGTTAGTAAGAGCTGTGAAGCACAGAAAATAATGTTTCAAAGAGGAAACACGAGGGATCATTTATTGCTCCAGCACTTTGAAAAATCTGTGAATTCCTTTATGGCTTCTTCATTATATTTTCAATGGAACAATTAGTTTGAGTGGCTACAAACACTGAATTTTCATGACCACTTTAGCCTTTGAAGCCAAAATTATGGAAAGTATTATTCTCTATGCAAAATATAGTGGGATGTGGTAAGTTTGTGATTAAAAAGCATAAGTTGCCTCCAACTGGAAAACTAGTTGAGAGTTAATTTCCTAACAGCCTATCTGGTCACACTTTAAAACCCACAAAGTTTGCATAATTTAGTAGTTTGTTCCAAGGATATATTTTACAAGTCTTGAGAGCAGTAACTCGGACTTTTTTAACATGCAGTAAAGCTCTTGCAATGAACAGTTATGTCTCAAGTACAAAAATCGTCCCTTGAAGACCTCATTTGTAGTCTCTAAAGGTAATAAAACATTCTCGTGCCCATTTCATTCAACCAAAAACTATAATTACCTCAGAATTACTGAGGGTACACTCTAGCACAAACTGAAGTATTTTTTCATAGCTTGATAGAGTAGAAGCATGACAAAATTATCTTCAAATAATATGGCTTAACCTCTCCTACTGGACCTTACCAGTTCTATACTTTCGAATTCTGGGAAGTTCATGTAATATATGGAGATTTGAACTCTAGACCAGGGATTAGCAAACATTTTCTGTAAATATAGTAAATACTTTAGGCTTTGGGGCATACAGTTTCTGTGGCAACTATTTGATTTTGCCTTTGTAGCATGAAAGCACCAGAAGACAATGCTTAAGTGAATGAGTGTGACTATGTTCCAATAAAACTTTATTTACAAAACAGGTGGCTAATGGGATTCGGCCTTCAGCTTCTAGTTTTCCAACCCATGCTCCAGACAATAGTGGAAGACCTATACTTCTCATTTTCTCATCAAAACTATTTTTCTGGTTGAAGAAAAAAATATATTGTGATTTTGGAAATACATTCAATAATCCTTGTGGCAGTCCTATTTCACTTGGTGTCCTTATGATGGTTAAGTATATGTGTCAAATTGTCCAGGCCCCAGTACACAAATATTTAGTCAAATACCAGACTGGATGTTGCCATGAAGGCACATTTTAGATGAGATTAATAATTTCATTAGTAGACTTTGAGTAAGCAGATTACTCCACATAATGTGGGTTGGCCTCATCCAATCAGTTGAAGTTTGATTAAGACAGAACAGACTGAGGTTCCAAGAGACATAGGAAAGAATTCAAACGCAGGCATCAACCTCAACTCTTCCCTGAGTTTCCAGCCTGCTTGTGCACCCTGTAGATTTTGGCCTTTCTGGCTTCCACAGTCAAGGCCCTGAGCCAATTTCTTGAAATAAATCTCCCCCCTTGTGTGTGTGTGTGTGTGTGTGTGTGTGTGTGTGTGTATACACACAGATGATTAGGCATCACTTAGCAGATGGTGAAACATTCTGAAAAAGGTGTTCTTAGGCGATTTCACCATTGTGCAAATGTCATAGACTGTAGTTATACAAACCTAGATAGTGTAGCTTACTACACACTTGCACCATGCGGTATAGCCTATTGCTCCTAGGCTACAAACCTGTGCAGATTATTACTGTACTAAAACATTGTAGGCAATTGGAATCCGAGGGTATTTACATACCTAAACATATTTAAATGTGGAAGAGATACAGTAAAAATACAGTATGTATCACATATGACATATCATCAAACATGCAGTCCTTCATTGACTGAAACATTGTTATGTGGCAAATGACTGCATACGCACACAAAAAAACACACACTCATGCAGAAACACACACATATCATATTGGTTCTGTTTCTCTGGAGATCCCTGACTAATACAGATCTTAAATTTTGAACCATTTTCTTCTTGATATCTGAAGAAGCAGAACTTCACTATCACTTAATTTTTACAATGGAATTAAAATTCCCATTAAATTATTTCATGTGTGATATAATAATTTGATACTACCTAATAATCATGGTTTAGTCATCCAATAGCAATTTATGTGTATTGGTAAGCAATAGCTTTTCCAGTTTTAATATTTTCAAGCTATTAATATATTTAGTGTAATAAAGTACTTTTTTTCAAAGTATGTCTATATTTTCCTAAATATAAATTACCAAATTGCTGGGAACCTAGTAGAATGGGAGCTTTTATTTCTTAGGATTCATTCTTTCTTGGTTTTGGATAATAATAATACTCTCAGTTTTCTAAAATTCATCTATGCATTAAAATATATATGATATACTCATATTTAGATTCTTGGATATACCATATGTACCTATGTGTACATATAGAAATATATGTGTATATATTTATAAATATATACAGATATTACTTTTTGCCAAATTTCATGTCCTACTAGGTGTTTTCAGTATATACAGTGCTGTATTGCCAGAAACTAAAGTCACCTACTTAAATTTAAATATTAATCTGATAAATATCATATATATACAGTTAGTTTGGGTGGGCTTAATAATTTTACAATATGTGTTTCAAAGTGACTTGTAAACTGTTTGTAGCTCAATCATTATTGTTGAAAAACTGTATAATCTTGACAATTTGTACTATTTCTCAGGATTGAAAATGTTAGTTCTTTTTCAAAAAAAATTTCCCTGTTTCTTATTTTTCAGACAGAAGTTTAAGTAACAAGGCAGAAATGAGTTAATATTTAGAAAAAAATCAATATATTGTGGAGACTCTAACCTTTAAAGATCCAGCCATTTCTTACCAAAATACGTGACTAGAGAAGTAGACTTTGGCTCCCTAAATCAGAAACCCAGGGAGAAAAACTAAACACAGTTAGACTTATCCTGATGTAGTGGCCAAGCTGTAAAGCAAATGAGTAGCCTTATTATCACTACTGTTGGAGTCATTGGTATCTTTTTCAGGCACTTATTTGGGGTTGTTGTCTTGCTCCCACATGGCCTATGCTACTGGGTCATAGAAATTCTCAGGAGAAAAAAGCAAGTGCTTCACTAACACTTTCTAATCCAGGATTCTAAAAAAAAAAAGACAGGTACTCAATAAATACATACATAAAAAAAAGGAAAGCAAAGAATGAAAGTGATAAAGAGTCTCTTTTTTGGATTCACAAGGAAGACTTAGTTCATTATTTTCATTATAAGTTTCTGTGTCCATAATTTTCCTTGTGATTATTTATTGCATTTTATTTTGCTTTAGTTTTAATGTACGAAAGCAATAGTATGGAGATTTGTTAAAATAACATTAAATACTCAGATATCATTTGTAGGGTAATGGCTTTATAAGTTCTATATAATACTACCCATAGTCTACACATGTGTGAAAACATTCAATATTGACTACATGTCATATATTTTAAGATATATTTACCTTATCAGTATAAAGGACATACAAATCATTTCTTTTATTTTTAAGGTGAAATAACTTGTTCATTTTCTTCTACTTTAATTTATTTAGGATTTTAACATTTTGTTTTTATTTTGGTGGAATGAAGGACAATAAAATTGTTTTAACTATAGCCTAAAATACTACTACATATATTTTTGCTTTAGTTGAAAATTGTGAAACATGCCCTATTTTAAACACAGGGAATCTCAGATTATTAGTTGATCCATTTGGCAAGTAAATATCTAACAACTGTATGAAAAACTAGACTAGCATAGGATTAATTGTGCTTTATGTTTTTCTCCCTCTTTCGCTAGGATAAAAGAATAATATTTAAAAATTATGGTAGTTACCAATTATTATACAACTGCTAAATGATTAGAATGCATTACATAATTTATTCATATTTAAATTTTACAACATCCTTGCAATGCATGAATATTTATGCCTATTTAGTAGATAAAGGAACTGAAACTCCACGCATGTCTTAGTCAGCTTGGACCGCTATAATGAATTACCATAGACTTAATGGCTTAAATAGCAAATTATTTCTCATATTTCTGGAGACTATAAGTCAAATATCAGGGTTCCAGCATGAGCAGGTTCTAGGGAAGGCCTTCTTTCTAGTTTACTGGAAGCTGTTTTCTCTTTGTATCCCCATATAGGGGAGGAGAGAGAGAAAGCAAAAGGAACACAAGCAAGCTAGCTAGCTCTCTTTTTATTCTTATAAGGAAACAAATATCATTATGGGATTCTACCCTTATAATGTAATCGCCTTCAAGGACCCCACCTCTTAATACCATTATAATGTGGGTTAGGGTTTCAACATATGAATTTTATGGAGGCATAAACTTGCAGCATATAACAAAGACAATACGTAACTTTTAAGGTCAGTTAGGCAATAAGTGATCAACTCTTCAATTTTAACTAAGACTGTCTGACTCAAAAAAGCATGCTTTTTTCAATTGTTATTTTTTCTGCAATTACCAAGTAAGAGTAAAGGAGTTAAATCCTGTAGTCTAATTCACTTCATTAAATTCTGTAAATAATTTTTAGCCTTATTACATAACAAAAAGATATGACATGATCTCATATCATACACAAATTATAGTAGACCTGAGAAGAAATAAGGGATTTATAGGTAGTCAGAGTTTCTGCATTACAGTTTGGACTACAAATAATTCCTATCTCCCTATCTACCTCCCACACACATTCTATTCTATAGTACAAAATCCAGTCCTTCACTTGCCCAATGAGGAAGATACTATCACAAATTAAGAATATCTATCTATCTACCTATCTATCTAGTCATCCATCCATCTGTCCTAGATTTCTTTTCTCACTCAGATGTTTATTAATATCTAATTCATTCCTGTCTTGCTGCTTTAGTTATAAATAAGTATACCCAACTGGTTGGGAAAATAATACTCTGAAATAAGCTACAAGTACCTGAAATCTTGGCTTTTAAAAATTATTATTTATATCAGCTGCCACCTAAGATTTTTCTGCATGGTCATTAAAACCACGCCTAGAAGAGAATGCCTGTCTTCTCCTGTGCCTAAAAAATGCTACTCCAGGACAAGGTGGCCTGGGTTCCCACTGGAGATTCCAAGTTGTTATCAGAACTCCATATACTCCTGATCCAAAACTGTCCTGTCTCCAAGCAGAAGCCCCAACACTCTCATTCAGTGCTAGACCCGATGTCATGCTCTAATTGCCTATTCTTTCTGAGACTTACTTTCCTCATCTGTAAAGTGAGATCATGAATGCATAGCAGGGAGAAAATGTGGGGTGATGAAGTAATACATGATGTCATCACAGTCCTCACCATCCATTTTATTTTATTTTATTTTTGAGATAGGGTCACACTCTGTCACCCAGGCTTGAGCGAAATGGTGCGATCTTGGCTCACTGCAACCTCTGTCTCCCAGGTTCAAGTGATTCTCCTGCCTCAGCCTCTCAAGTAGCTGGGATTACAGGCACACGCCACCGTGCCTGGCTAAGTTTTGTATTTTTGTGTAAGGATGGGCTTCCCAATGTTGTCCAGGGTGGTCTCCAACTCCTGTGCTCAGGTGATCTGTTCGCCTAGGCCTCCCAAATCTCTGGGATTAAGGGCATCAGCCACCACGCCCTGCCAGTCTTCGGTATTCTATGGGCATGCATAAAGGCATATCAGTTACTGTGCAGATCCTGTCCACATTTTTTACTTTAAACTTTTCAATCCATAACCCCTCTTCTCAGTGAAGCTGTGTTATGTTCTTCTTCACAAAAGAATAACCAAAGATTGGACCTGAGGTGGTGGCCATGGCTACCTGAGTTGAGGCTGGCTCCTTGGTAAGTTAGACAGCAACTTCTTTGTGACCCATAAGAATAATAACATTGATAAGAACTGCCTTAGCCAGTTGGACTATCCATCTTTTGAGGATAAAAGGAGGGATGACAAAGAAGACTTTTGGGTGTTGTGGGTTAACAGGGGAAGACAGTAACCATGAACACAAAATAGCTTTAGGAGCTGATAAGCTGATTTGATTCCTCAAGATTTTTCTACTTCCAGTGCCAGAACCTATATACCTGTAACATAAATGCCATCAATCCAAAATTAGGTGGAGTTAATCTCTGTTCCTCGCCCTTACATGAGTCATTTTAGCCAGTTGTGCCGGAGTTGCCAGCAGTCAGCACTCAGAAAGTTTTTGGATCTGTCTGTAGCCTCAGGGTGAGGTGGGAGGCATTAAGCTCACCTTTCCATGGTTGGAACTCAAGGGCTGAGAGCTGTGTAATGAGGCAGTGGATGAACATTCCCTCTTATGATAATTTAGGATAGAGGTACTGACTACCAAAAATCAGGTTTTGCCAGCCTAGTTCCATTTTGGACACATGAAAGAGGTAAAAATAGCAAATTCATGTGTCAGATTATCTGACAAGAAATAGGTAAGGGAGTGTGGGCTGTCTTAAGGCCCTGTTTCATGAAATAGTAGAAATCATACACACACAAAAAGTCTAAAGCTGTTATGGCAGAAAACTAAATTCCAGGTTTATTGAATGCACAAGCTATATTGGCTGCTATAGTTAACATTTAAACAAGAATGAATAACATTTGAGTAATTGGATACTTACAGTCAATAAGCTATCTCTCTTGCTTGCTCTCTTTTTTAAGTTTGCTAATTAGACCTGTTTAATTTCTATCCAAGAAGCTTAACCAATAAAGCATTTGATGACTCAACAAATATTAATTCCTTTCTTTCATACAACTCTGCATTGAAGGGAAAAAATCACAACATATATTTTACTCCTTATGTACTTTTAAAAATTTTAATCTTCAATAAATTAGGTTTCATATTGTTCTTACTGTTGCTATTTTATGTATTCATGTATTAATATTTTTATTCATTCAGTCATTCACTATCCAGGCATTGGGACTGCTGCAAAGAACAAGATACAACTCCAGATTAGAGGACAGTCTGTCTAATGGGAAGACTGGCAGTCAAACAGACAATTATGAACTGGAAAAATGCTAGTACAGTTCTGTAGAATCACAGAAAGGGGAATAACTAATTCTATTAGAAAAAAGAACAGACTGTATAGCCAATTACTTAGGAATTTAGCTTTCAATTCTAGTTTGTGTTAAATTAACATTTGCTTATACATCTCTTAATCATATATTTTTATTCCTACATAACCAGCCTTCTAATTATGAGTTAAATGAATTTTTATTTTCAGCTGTAGCAAAGTTCTGTGTTCTATCTTCAAAGACTTTTTTTTTAGCTTTGTGGAAAGAGAACTACATATAATATCTTATTAACCAAATCTGGTTTAAAAAAGCAAAAAGCAGGAAGTGCTATAAATATGAAAATTTCATATTTTCTTTATGCAGTACTCAGAAACACTCTTCAGGAAGACCTTATTCACACCTACATAAGAAATACACTGAAAATCTGAAGAGAGGAAGTGGATACCATATGTTTCTCTAAAAAATCACTACACTAGCAAAAACAAATGAACAAACAAAAAAGCAATTTATCGTGGTGAGTAAAGAGATCGAAGTTGAAGTGCCTTCACCAACAGCATGCTCCTGTTTTATTTGATTTCTTGTTGTTTCACAAAACATAGTAAGAAAACATAAGTTCAAGAGAATTTCTATTGTATGTCTACAAAAGTCAGCTAGCCCTGCAAATTATGTCACATCTGTTTGTTCCTGCATTCTGAGATTACATCATGAATGAGATAAGGTGATTTCAAAACTTGGTTATTGAAACAAATCTTGAAGACATTCAAAAAGGTTTAACAATTAGATTTTACTAAACATGTTTGACTCTTCCTGACTCATCAATTAGTAGTCTTAAAATGGGATGAAAAATTATATTATTTTCATATCTTAAAAGGAAAAAATATTTTTCACTTGGGGAAAATATATTTTCTGTGTTACTTATTCATTTTCAATTTGTATTTAGATCAAGAAACTTCTTTTGACATAATAGAAATGGAGAGAACAATACAGTTTACACCAGCAATCTGATTTTTTAATATTTCAAAACATATCTAATATTTAAAAGTCACTTCCATTTAACTTTACCAGATGTCACTAATATTGTTACTAGATATATCTGTAATTTACATAATTTTATATATATAGAAAACTGATTTTTTAAAAAATTGACAACCATTAAATCAAGGCTTACAGCAATGATGGAAGGCAGAAGCCTTTGTCCTCAGACCTCATCTTAATTAATCAGGTCACCTATTACCTTGACAAGTGACAAGAGCTTTCAGAGAGAGAAGACCCGGATTTATACTTTTATAGACCAATTATGAACATGATTTTGATCTGGTGACTTTTACATGGCCTAAGTTACAAGATAAAGTCTATCTCCCTAAGACTGGCTGAAGTTAATTTATGGGATTCCAAAGTTGATTAATAATGCTATGACAGGAAACAAGAAAGAGAGAGAATCTTTCCTGAAGCTCCTTTCTCCTGTTCTCCAAGAGAGGGTCAAAGGTGTGATTTACCCAAGTGCGGTCCTGCAAGAATCAGTTATATCCTGTTTATTTCCTTTCTGCCATCTGTTCCTCTCCTGAGGCTAACTACTCACATTGGAGAGAATATGGTTTTAGAGGCAGTGAGAAAGATACTATATTCTTCTTAGTTTTTCTCTACCTTCTTACAGAAAGGCATTATCTTAGTCAGTTCAGCTGCTATAACAAAAATACCATAGACTGGGTGACTTAAACAGCAAACATTCATTTCTCACGGTTCTGGAGGCTGAAAAGTCCAAGATCAAGGGGTCAATTGTTTTGGTTCCTGATGAGGGCCTCCTTCCTGGTTTGCAGATACTATCTTCTTGCTGTATACTTCACACAGTGGAGAGAGAGAAAGAGAGTGAGAGAGTTATTTAGAGAGAGAGAGAGAGACAAAGCGAACAAATGCTCTGGCCTCTTCTTTTCTAAAGGCACTCATCCCACCATGAAGAGCTCATTCTCCTGACCTCATCTAAACATAATTTCCTCCAAAAAGCTCCAACTCCAAATATGATTACATTGGAAGTTAGGGCTTCAACATATCAATTTTGGAGAAATACAAGCATTTAGCCCATAGCCATTTATTAAGCCATAACTCTATAATTTCAATTTTTAAATGTCAATCTACCACTTCATGTTTATCATTCCTTATCCTTGATATATGAACCTGCTTGCAGTTTCTTCAAGCAAAATTAGCTGTTTGTTAGTTGTGTCCTACAGAATTTTTGCTCTCCTTCCCTCTGTACACACCTGAGCTATACCTGAACAACATCTATTCTGCACCTTCCCTTTACATGGAAAATACTTACTTAGTTTCAGTAATCAGACCCCTCCTATTAGAATTTATTTTGCTTCTGTGGTTGTTTAAATCTTGCTTTTCAGACTGGATAACGTGAATCTGCTAAGGCATGTTTTATAACAATGTTTCTATTTGTAGCATATCCAGCATATAAATGGAATTGATGTTTAATGAAACAATGCATGAAAGCTCATGACATAATTTTGGTTACTGATATGGTTTTGCTGTGTCCCCACCCAAATCTCATCTTGAATTCCAATGTGTTGTGGGAGGAACCCGATAGGAGGTAATTTTCCTCACTTCCACTTTAGCTTCCTACTCATTTTCTCTTGCTGTCACCATGTAAGAAGCGCCTTTCACCTCCCGCCATAATTCTGAGGCCTCCCCAGCCAAGTGGAACTATAAGTCCAATTAAACCTCTTTTTCTTCCCAGTCTCGGATATGTCTTTATCAGCATCATGAAAACTTACTAATACAGTAAATTGGTACCAGTAGAGTGTGGCGTTGCTGAAAAAATACGCAAAAATGTGGAAGCGACTTTGGAATGTGTAACAGGCAGATGTTGGAACAGTTCTGAGTCCTCTGGCTCAGAAGAAGACAAGAAAATGTGGAAAGTTTAGAATGCCCCCGAGACTTATTGAATGGCTTTGACCAAAAGGTTGATAGAGATATGGACAATAAGGTCTGGGCTGAGGTTGTCTCAGATGGAGAAGAGGAACTTATTGGGAACTGGGGCAAAGTTAACTCTTGTTATGTTTTAGCGAAGAGACTGGTGGCATTTTGCCCATGCCCTAGAGATTTGAGGAACTTTGAACTTGAGAGAGATGATTTACGGTATCTGGTGGAAGAAATTTCTAAGCAGCAAAACATTCAAGAAGTGACTTTGTTACTGCTAATGGCATTCAGTTTTACAAGGGAAGCACAGCATAATAATTTGGAAAATATGCAACCTGACAATGTGACAGAAAAGAAAAACCCATTTTCTGGGAAGACATTCAGATCAGCTACAGAAATTTGCATAAGTAGCAAGGAGCCTAATGTTACTTCCCAAGACTATGGGGAAAATGTCTCCAGGCCATGTCAGAGACCATCATAGCAGCCCTTCCCTGGAGGCCCAGGAGGAAAAAAGGATCTCTGTACTGTGTGCAACCTAGGGATTTGGTGCCCTGTGTCTCAACTACTCTAGCCATGGCTGAAAGGGACCAATGTACAGCTTGGGCTGTGGCTTCAGAGGGTGGAAGTCCCAAGCTTTGGTAGCTGCCATGTGGTGTTGAGCCTGCAGGTGCACAGAAGTCAAGAATTGAGGTTTGGGAACCTCTGACTAGATTTCAGAAGATGTATGGAAACACCTTGACGCTCAGGCAAAAGTTTTCTACAGGGGTGGGGACCTCATGGAGAACCTCTGCTAGAGCAGTTGCAGAAAGGGAATGTGGGGTTGGAATCCCCACACAGAGTCCCTACTGGGACACTGCCTAGTGCAGCTGTGAGAAGACAGCCACTGTCATCCAGACCCCAGAATTCTAGATCCACTGACAGCTTGCAGTTTGCACCTGGAAGAACCTCAAACACTCAATGCCAGCCTGTGAAAGCAGCTAGGAGGGAGGCTGTACCCTGCAAAGCCACAGGGGCAGAGCTGCCCAAGACCATGGGAACCCACCTCTTGCATCAGCATGACCTGGAAGTGAGACCTCAAAGGAGATCATTTTGGAGCTTTAAAATTTGACTCCCTTGCTGGATTTTAAACTTGCATGGGACCTGTAGCCTCTTTATTTTGGCCAATGTCTCCCATTTGGAATGGCTGTATTTCTCCAATTCTTGTACTCCCATTGCATCTAGGAAGTAACTACCTTGCTTTTTATTTTACAGGCTCATAGGTGGAAGGGACTTGCCTTGTCTGGGATAAGACTTTGGTCTATGGACTTTTGAGTTAATGCTGAAATGAGTTAAGACTTTGGGGCACTGTTGGGAAGGCATGATAGGCTTTGAAATGTAAGAATATGAGATTTGGGAGGGGCCAGGGGTGGAATGATATGGTTTTGCTCTGTCCTTACCCAAATTTCATCTTGAATTTCCAAGTGTTGTGGGAGGGACATGGTGGGAGGTAATTGAATCATGGGGGCCAGTCTTTCTCATGCTATTCTCGTGATAGTGAATAAGTCTCTCAAGATCTGATGGGTTTATCACAGGTTTCTGCTTTTGCTTCCTTCTCATTTTCTCTTGCTGCCACCATGTAAGAAATGCCTTTTGCCTCCTGCCATGATTCGGAGGCATCTCCAGCCATGTGGAATGGTAAGTCCAATTAAACCTCTTTTTCTTCTCAGTCTTGTGCATGTCTTTATCAGCAGCATGAATACAGACTAGTACAGTTACTCTCAATGTATAATGGAAAAGACTCAAAGAGAAAACAGCTAAATATATTGACAGGCTAGATAATATTGATAATATATTTTGTTTGTCCATCAACAAATTGTCACTTCTTCTTTTATTCTTTTTTCATTTATAAGAGGCAATGTTACCTGTCTCAGGAACTAAATCATTTTTTCTCCACTTGTCAGTGATTGGCTGAAGGGTAAGATTATTAACCCCTTCTGGTATTTGAATTATAACCAGAAGTAGAATACAAAGTTTTTTCCACCCTGAGAAAAATAGATACCTAAAGATAAGCAGCCCTTACCTACTTTCTATTCAGGGCATTAAAATGAGGAAATCATCCTCAATGGCTACTGCATCCTTCATACAACCCCAAGAAGTAAACCAAAAATACACCAGAGAGCTGAACACAGAGGACTGTTTTGTTCAACTGCTTTATCTGCTCTGAGACTTTTCATATGTAGACTATTTGTTACATGGGAATGTACCTTTCTAGTTTTTTTAACCTTTTAAGTCAAGTATTTGGTTATTCCAATTAGGTGGATCTTAACTGACTCGAGTTTGATGACTGTGACTAACAATAAATCTCCACCTGTTAGGAAACACATCTGGACAGAGACATCTTCTCATGTTAGTTAAGTCCCCTTCTATCTGCCTTTCAGAAAAATTTGGAATTGAAGCCCTTTGGTACAGAATTTGGAAGATGTTGCCCATTTTATTTTGGCTATGTAGG
Organism: Homo sapiens; assembly: GCF_000001405.40. Lineage (NCBI taxonomy): Eukaryota > Metazoa > Chordata > Mammalia > Primates > Hominidae > Homo > Homo sapiens. The sequence continues at coordinate 59,653,398 of NC_000004.12, forward strand.
GGCCCTGGTCATTTTTCCAAGTAACACTATCTATGATTGTAACCTAAATATACGTACAATCTTTTATTGCCCACAGAGGAATTTCCTCCCTTTGCTTTCCTATAGCAGGAGTTTATTTCTCTGCAAAAAAAAAAAAAAGATGCTATGAGCCCTGAAGGCAGTGTGAAGCAAGCCCCTGCATCTATAGATAAACTTTTAGGAAAGGCATCACTAGTGAACTAGATAAAATAGCAATTGAACCACTTTATTAAGGCTTGCAGCTTTCTAAAAGCTTCTTATTTCTCTCCAGTAGGAGTGAACTCTGATAATATCTATGGTGAAGGGTAGCATCCTCGGTCTGAAGGAACTCCATTTTTATTTTAAGCATTAATATAAAGCACCTTTTCACTCTTCTTCCACTCACATTGCTTCCACTCACCTCCTCTACATCCTCTCCTTTCCACTACCCTTCCACTCACTCCTGCCTTCCAAAACATATTCCCTTCCTAAAGGATTTAGTCCCTTGCCAAAGAAGAAACTCACTCGGCATAAGACATAGGGATAATCTCCACTATTGTGCACACTGTGGTTGAAAATGAAGTCTTTGGCTGATGAGTGTGTGTAGATGTATTACTAATGTGACTTCTGTAGCTGTCATATAATAGCTATTATGAACTAGCAGACCCAGAAAATTACATGGTGTAATTGCTATTTGAATTTATATTTAATTTCCAGTGGAAAATGTGGTCCAGTCAATAGTCTCAAGTTTATCAGTCAATGAAATCGTAAAATACCTCTAACTTATTTACTCCATTCATAAAATTGAAATAAAAACAACTATTGTACAACAATGCTCTTAGAATTGGAAGTACGCTACCTTCAAATAAGTAAAAAGCTTTATCATTAAATAGCATGCAGTATGTTACTTAAGCAGACACAGGTAAATTCAAGAAATATAACCCAGATGTGGGAAAAGGGAGAAAAAAGCATATTGAATGGCCAGTTCATCAATGGAAAACCTCATACTCAGGGGAAAATAAATCAACTGCACTTTTTGAGGAGATCAAGAGCCAACACAGAGATACCACATTTCTAAATTACTAATTACCTTTTATAGATTAAATTATTTAACAAATTATCATTTACCTTGTGCCCTACATGTATCCCAGATCAGGCTGCTTATTATCATGCCAAATTCTTTTCCACACTCTAAAGAATGTCAAAAATGGTTAAGTCAGCGCACTATCTCTTTGTCATATAAATATATTTCATTTATAATTCAAGGTTAATATTTTCTTTAAAGGAAGCTACGGGTTTTCAATGGTTGAAGTTGTTACAGGAGAGCATCTTTGAAATTTTGCATTATTGACCTACTTAAACAGTAAGACCTTAGAGAATGACATCAGTCATTTCTAATTGTTAAATTAAAAGAATGACATCAAATATAGCAGGAAACTTAGAATAACACATTTTGAGAAAACATATGGTATTTTTATGTAAATTCAAGCCTGCACATAAAAATCTTATTTGTCAGTTATCAGCAATTCTTTCTTGACTGTCTCTGACTTAGGATGAGCCAATCTTTAGCAATGGGGAGAAACAGAATCTGATTTTTCATATTCTGGTTTTTAAATTGTTACACATTCTAATTGTGAATCAAAGTTTATTATTAAGAATTATTAGTTATATATAAATTAATTAAGCTGTATCTTAATTGATATAAAACAAGAGTTTGAATAATGGACATTAAGAGTCTCCCCTTGGGTGAGATGTGATTATTCCTGATTTAAGATACAGGTGAAATCATTCACTAGGTTTTGAGCACAACACACACCTAATCAGAGAGTGGCTGGGCAAAGGGATTTTATAATCACAGAGATAAATATTAATAATAGAAGGAGATGTCTTATTGTCAAAATATAGAATATATTTAGCAGTGAGTATTACTAAATACACCACAATCACAGAAGTCAACGTCTTGGGTAGAGCACATTTCTATTTTGAAAACTTAGTCGGTTTAACCACCATTATAGCTTGCTGTTTTTATATTGCTAGGTATTATTTCCGCACAATATCAAAACTATAGTTAGAAAATACAACTGCTTTCAGAAATCTTTGTATGCCCTTTTGATAATGTTTGACTTCAGATAATTTTTAACACAGATTATGTATTTGTTAATTATTTGTTTCCATTTTGGTAGAGGACCTGAAAGACTATTCTGGGTGATTGGACCCCGTAAGTTACAGAAAATACAGTGTTTCAAAACTGTTTTACAAGATGTATTTAAAATATATGTGGGGGTGGGGCCGAGATGGCCAACTAGAAACAGCATTGTTTGGAGGTTCCCATCAAAAAAAAAACATAATAAGCGTGTGAATCCTTCACCAGCAACCAAGGTATCCAGATTCTCTCATCAGAAATGACTAGAAGGCTGACATGACCCACAGAGAGAAGGAAGAACAGTGTGGTGCTGCAGCTCACCCGAGATCCACTCTCCCCCCAGCCAAGGGAGGTGGTGAGTGACCCTGCTAACCAGCTGGGGAAACTATGCTTTTTCCATGGAACTGTGCAACCCATGGATCAGAAGCTCCCACTCACAAACCCATGCTACCAGGGCCCAGCATCCCAACCCAGGAACTCACAGACTCTTAACAGCCTCTCAGCTGGAATCTACTTAAGCCTACAGAACTCCCTGGGGAAGAGGCGACCAGCATCTCAGCTGTGCCTGCCTGCTGTCTAAGCCACATGAGCTCCTTTGGGAAGAGGCAGCAGCCAGCACTGGGGCTTAAACTGCTTAACACACTAAGCTCCCTGGGCAGCGGAAGGGCGACACCCATCTCTATAGCTCCAGGCTGTGGTTTTCCACTGTTGGAGCGAGGGAGGCTGGTTGGCTTGGTCCCAAGACTTGTCACCCACTGCCCAACACACAGGAAGTGGCAGTCTGCTGCCATAGGGCCTCTTCAGGCCTGACCCTGACCTATCCTTCCTCACTGGGCAGGGCTCCCCTGCAGGAATTCCAATAACTCCAGCCAGAGGCTCAGGGACAGAACCCAGATCTCCCTGGGCCTGAGGCCATAGGGGGAGGGGTGGCCGCAGTGACTGCGGACCAGCAGACTTAGCCTTTCCTACTGGTAGTTCTGAGGAATCTGGGCAGCCTAGATGAGTGGTTTTCTCCCTGGGGAGGCACACCCCCTCCACCAAGAGACCAAACTCTTCTTTAAACGGGTCCTGTTCCCTGTGCCACGCAACTGGGTGAGACCCTCCAACAAGGAATTGTCAGACACCCAATGCAGGAACAATCCTACTGGCATCAGATTGGTGTCCCTTGAGGTCAGAAGTCCCATCAGTGGGACTCCAGCCTCCTTGGGTGACATCTCCAGGTGGAGAAGCGAATCAGATGAATAGGGCCTGAAGTGAACCTCCAGCAAACTGCAGCAGCCCTATAGAAGAAGGACCTGATCATTGAAAGAAAAACAAACAAGCAGAAGGCAGCAATAACAGCACCACCACCACCACCACCAACAAAGCCCCCCAAAAAACCCCATCTTAGGGTCAGCAACCTCAAAGACCAAAACTAGACAAACTCACAAAGATGAGAAAGAATCAATGAAAAAAATGTTGAAAACCCGAAAGGCCAGAGTACCACTTCTCCTCCAAATGAGCACAATGTCTCTCCATCAAGGCCATAGGACTGGACAGAGGATCAGATGGATGAATGGACAGAAGTAGGCTTCAGAAGATGGGTAATAAAAACTATGCTGAGCTAAAGGAGCATATTCTAACCCAAATGCCAAGAAGCTAAGAACAGTGATAAAAGGTTAGAGGAATTGCTAACTAGAATAACCAGTTTAGAGAGGAACATAAACGACCTGTTGGAGCTGAAAAACACAGTATGAGAACTTCATGAAACATACACAAATATCAGTAGCCAAATCAACCAAGCAGAAGAAAGGTTATCAGAATTTGAAGACCACCTTGTTAAAATAAGGCATGCAGACAAGACCAGAGAAATAAGATGAATAAGAATAAACAAAGCCACCAAGAAATATGGGACTTCATAAAAAGGCCAAACCTATGATTAATTGGTGTACCAGAAGGAGACAAAGAGAATGGAAACAAGCTGGAAAACACACTTCAGGATATTATACGGGAGAACTTCCCCAACCTAGTGATACAGGTCAACATGCAAATTCAGGAAATAGAGACACCACCATTACGACACTCCATGAGAAGATCAACCACAAGATATATAATCATCAGATTATCCAAGGTCGAAATCAAGGAAAAACTGTTAAGAGCAACCAGAAAGAAAAGCCAGTCACCTGCAAAGGCAAGCCCATCAGACTAAGAGTGGACCTCTCAGGAGAAACTCTACAAGCCAGAAGAGTATTCAACATTCTAAAAAAAAAAAAAAAAAAAAAAAAAAAAAAAAAAAAAAAAAATTCAGCCCCAAATTTTGTATCTAGCCAACCTAAGCTTCATAAGCAAAGGATAAATAAAATCCTTTCCAGACAAGCAAATGCTGGGGGATTTTGTCACCACCAGGCCTGCCTTCCAAGAGCTCTTGAAGGAAGCACTAAATATGGAAAGGAAAAACCGGTACCAGCCACTGCAAAAACACACCAAAATATAAAGACCAATGACAGTATGAAGAAACTGCATCAAACAGTGTGCAAAATAACCAAATAACAGCATGATGACAGGATCAAATTCACAATAATAATACTAACCGTAAATGTAAAAGGGCTAAATGCATGAATTAAAAGACACAGACTGGCAAATTAGATAAAGAGTCAAGAACCATTGCTGTGCTGTGTTCAGGACACCCATCTCATGTGAAAAGACACACATAGGCCCAAAATAAAAAGATGGAGGAAAAGTAACTATACAAATGGAAAGAAAAAAAAGCAGGGTTTGCAATCCTAGTCTCTGACAAAACAGATTTAAACCAAAAAAGACAAAGAAGAGCAGCACATAATGGTAAAGGGAACAATTCAATGAGAAGAGCTAACTATTTTAAATATATATGCACCCAACACAGGAGAACCTAGGTTTATAAAACAAGTTCTTAGAGACCTACAAAGAGACTTAGACCTCCACACAAAAATAGTGGGAGACTTTAACACCCCACTGTCAGTATTAGACAGATCAATGAGACAACAAATTAAAAAGTATATTCAGGACTTGAACTCAGCTTTCGATCAAGCATACATAATAGACATCTACAGAACTCTCTACCCCAAATCAACAGAATATACATTATTCTTAGTGCCACATAGCACTTATTCTAAAACTGACTGCTTAATTGGAAGTAAAACACTCCTCAGCCATGTAGAAGAACTGAAATCTTAACAAACTGTCTCTCAGACCACAGTGCAATCAAATTAGAACTCAGGATTAAGAAACTCATTCAAAACCACACAATTACATGGAAATTGAACAACTTGCTCCTGAATGACTCCTTTGTAATTAATGAAATTAAGGCAGAAATCAATAAGTCCTTTGAAACCAATGAGAACAAAGACACAATGTACCAGAATCTCCGGGACACAGCTAAAGCAGTGTTAAAAGGGAAATTTATAGCCCTAAATAAGCTCGTCAGAAAGTTTGAAAGATCTCAAATTGACTCTAACATCACAATTGAAAGAGCTAGAGAGGCAAGAACAAACTAATCCAAAAGCTAGCAGAAGACAAGAAATAACTAAGATCAGAGAAGAATTCAAGGAGATAGAGACACAAAAAGCCCTCCAAAAAAATTAATAAATCTAACAGCTGTTTTTTCTGAAAAATTTAACAAAATAGATACACTGCTAGCTAGACTAATAAAGAAGGAAAGAGAGAAGATCAAATAGAAACAATAAAAAATGCAAAGGGGATATAACCACTGACCTTATAGAAATACAAATTACCTTCAGAGAACACTATAAACACCTGTATGCAAAAAAAAACAAAACTAGAAAATCTAGAAGAAATGGATAAATTCCTGTACACGAACACCATCCCAAGAGTAAACCTGAAAGAAGTTGAATCCCTGAATAGACCAATAAGAAGTTCTGATATTGAGGCAGTAATTAATAGCCTACCAATCAAAAAAAGACCAGGATCAGGTGCATTAACAGCTGAATTCTACCAGAAATACATAGAGGAGCTGGTACCAGTCCCTCTGAAACTATTCCAAGCAATTGAAAAGGAGGGACTCCTTTTTAACTCATTTTATGAAGCCAACATCATCCTGATACCAAAACCAGGAAAAGACACAACAAAAAAAGAAAACTTCAAGCTAATATCCCTGATGGACATCAATGCAAAAATCCTAAATATAAAAACATATCCAGCAGCACATCAAAAAATGTACCCACCACGATCAAAATGGCTTCATCTCTGGGATGCAAGGTTGGTTCAACATACAAATCAATAACCGTAATCCATCACATAAACAGAACCAAAGACAAAAACCACATGATTATCTCAATAGATGCAGAAAGAGCCTTAGAAAAAATTCAACATCCTGTTTTTATCCATGTTAAAAACTCTCAATAAACTAGGTATTATGGAACATATCTCAAAATAATATGGGCTATTTATGACAAACCCACAGCCAATATCATATTGAATGGGCAAAAGCTTGAAACATCCCCTTTGACAACTGGCACCACAGACAAGAATGCCCTTTCTCACCAATACTATTCAACATAGTATTGGAAGTTCTGGCCAGGGCAATCAGGTAAGAGAAAGAAATAAAAGTATTCAAATAGGAAGAGAGGACGTCAAATTGTCTCTGTTTGCAGATGACATGATTTTATATTTAGTAAATCCCATCACCTAAGCCCAATAATTCCTTAAACTGATAAACAACTTCAGCAAAGTCTCAGGATACAAAATCAATGTGCAAAGTCACAAGCATTTTCTTATACCAACAATAGACAAGGAGAGTCAAATCATGAATGAACTCCCATTCACAATTGCTACAAAGAGAATAAAATAGCTAAGAATACAGCAAACCATGGATGTGAAGGACCTCTTCAAGGGGAACTACCAACCACTGCTCAAGGAAATAAGAGAGTACACAAATGGAAAAACATTCCATCTTCATGGATAGGAAGAATCAGTATCGTGAAAATGGCCATAATGCCCAAGGTCATTTATAGATTCAATGCTATTCCCATCAAACTACCATTGACATTTTTCACAGAATTAGATAAAAGTATTTAAAATTTAATATAGAATCAATGAAGACCCCACATAGCCTAGACAATCCTAAGCAAAAAGAACAAAGCTGGAGGCATCACGCTACCTGACTTCAAACTATACTGCAAGGCTACAGTAACCAAAACAGACATATAGACCAATGGAACAGAACAGAGACCTCAGAAATAACACCACAAATCTACAACCACCTGAACTTCAACAAACCTGACAAAAGCAAACAATGGGGAAAGAATCTTCTATTTAGTAAATGATGCTGGGAAAACTGGCTAGCCATATGCAGAAAACTGAAACTGGACCCCTTCCATACACCTTACACAAAAATTAACTCAAGATGGGTTAAAGATTTAAATGTAAAACCCCAAACCATAAAAACCCTAGAAGAAAACCTATGCCATTCAGGACATAGGCGTGGGCAAAGACATCAGGACAAAAATGCCGAAAGCAATTTCAATACCAGCTAAAATTAAAAAATGAGACTTAATTGAACTAAAGAGCTTCTGCACAGCAAAAGATACTATCACCAGAGTGAACAGACAACCTACAGAATGGGAGAAAATTTTTGCAATCTACCCATCTGACAAAGGTCTAATATCCAGAATTTACAAAGAAATAAATTTACAAGAAAAAACAAACCATCTAAAGGTGGGCAAACAATATGAACAGATGCTTTTCAAAAGAAAACATTTATGCAGCCAATAAACATATGAAAAAAAGCTCATCACTGATCATCAGAGAAATGCAAATCAAAACCACAATGAGATACCATCTGATACCAGCCAGAATGGTAATTATTAAAACGTCAGGAAACAATAGATGTTGGTGAGGCTGTGGAGATATAGGAACACTTTTACACTGTTGGTGGGAATGTAAATTAGTTAAGCCATTGTGGAAGACAGTATGGTAATTCCTCAAGGATCTAGAACCAGAAATACCATTTGACTCAGCAATCTAATTACTAGGTATATACACCCAAAGGAATTGAAATCATTCTACTGTAAAGACATGCACATGTATGTTTATTGCAGGACTATTTACAATAGCAAAACGTAGAACCTACCCAATGCCCACCAATGATAGACTGGATAAAGAAAATGTGGTACATGTACAACATGGAATACTATGCAGCCATAAAAAGGAATGAGATCATGCTCTTTGCAGGGACATGGATGAAGCTGGAAACCATCATCCTCAGCAAACTAACACAGGAACAGGAAACCAAATACTGCATGTTCTCACTCATAAGTGGGAGCTGAACAATGAGAACACATGGGCACAGGGAGGAGAACATCACACACCAGGGCCTGTTAGGGGTTGGAGGGTGAGGGTGGAAACTTAGAGGACAGGTTAATAGGTGCACCAAACCACCATGCCACAGGTATACCTATGTAACAAACCTGCACGTCCTGCATGTATCCTGTTATTTTTTTTAAGAAGAAATAAAAAAAGAAACTCTGATATCTATATCTATATATATCTATGTACAGATACATATAGATATATATGATGAAATACTACTCTGCCATAAAAAGGAATAAACTAACGGCATTTGCAGCAACCTGGATGTGACTGAAGATTATTATTCTAAGTGAAGTAACTCAGGAATGGAAAACAAACATCATATATTCTCACATGTAGTTGGGTGCTACACTATGAAGATGCAAAGGAATAAGAATGACACAATGGACTTTGGGGACTCAGAAGAAGACGGGGTAAGAGGGTGAGGGATAAAAGATAACAAATTGGGTTCACTGTGTATTGCTTGGGAGATGGGTGTGACAAAATCTCACAAATCACCATTAAATAACTCACTCATGTAACCAAACACCACCTCTTCCAAAATAACCTATGGAAATAAAAAATTTAAAAAAAAATGAAAAAAATTATACATGTGTACATAGGTGTTTTGTTAAATTTTCTCTTTCTATGGTAAATGATGAATAATTAAAATAATTATATATCAATACCCTAAATAACAACTATCAGTGGTGAAATATATGCATTCAATATACATTTTGAATTTGACAATGTAAAAGTCATCCCACTACTGGGTATCTACTCAAAGGATATTACTATATAAAAACAGATACATGCACTCATATGTTTATGGCAGCACTGTTCACAATGACAAAAATATGGAATCAACCTAATTGTCCATCATCCATTCATGGTTGCATAAAATAAATGTGGTATATATACACAATGAAATACTATTCAGCCATAAAAAATAATTAAATCATGTTTTTTGCAACAACATAGATGGAACTGGAGACCATTATCTTAAGTAAAACAACTAAGAAACAGAAGGCAAACACCACATGTTTTCACAGGTGGGAGAAGGATGGATGATGAAAAACTACTTAATGGGTATAATAATGTACATTATTCAAATGATGATTACACTAAAAGCCCAGACTTTACCGCTAGGCAATATATCTGTGTGACAAAATTGCACTTGTATCCCTTAAATTTATACAAACTATATGTGTGTATGTATATTTATTTACATATGCATATTTACAATTATATATATATACACACACACATACACTCACACACAAATATAGTTATGCATTATTAATATTTAATATTTAGACTGGCACTGGCACCTTCCCTAAGGCCATTTATTTCGGAAGGTCATGTGTCACGTACAGAGCAGGATATGTCCTTAAGGAAACAGTGAAGTTCCATGAGGCACTATGTGAAAGTTACACTCTCAATAGTTTCTTTCCTTTCAATGTATTTTGACAAATTACAGTGTACACATGCCAGGTTAAAATGATTTATGGATTATATTAGCTAGATTAAGCTAAATAAATCTCCCAGAATGGCTAATGACTTTAAAACATTTCTGTAAGAAAACAGTCTATTAAAGTAGTATCAATAATGCAGACACAATAAACAATGAAAAAACATGGGTATGACATTTAACATAACCTAGTAAAAATTCTTAATCATGAAACAAAACCATGATTCTTTTAATTATATCTGACAACTGGTGGGTGACAGATGGAAAAAAATTAGTTTATCAGACATAGGGATTAGCATTCATTATTTTTTAAAATAAATTGCACTCTATCTTGTTGATTTCTGAGGTAGTAATGCTCTGAACTTCTTACAATTTTCAACAATCTATTTCATGTCTGTCTTAAGAATTTATACTTTGAGTATCCTTACATTTATAAAACTTACATAAGGGTAACCACTTATATATACAATTTATTTTAACATATATTTTGAAATTGTGGTTAAAAATTGTTTTGGAAGAGAGGTCTGTAATTTTTCTAAAAAAGTTTAAATACTATTATCTTGGAGTTTAGACTTTGAAAACTTATAATGAACATGGGAACTTAGTTTAATCTATCTGTATTTGAGCAATAAGAATTTCAACATATATATAGCATACAGTCTATAAATTTTAATGTTTTATAAATGAAACATTATTACTGAAATAAAATGATCACAATCTTGAAACTGTAATTCTGTCATTTATTACCTGATCACTGTGCAATTAATATATAAATAAATTGATTGTAATCTGTTACACTGTTAAAAAAAAAAAAAAAAAAAAAAACCCTTACCTGTGGCCATGGATGGGGTGCTATTGACATAAGTAAATATTTGTTTGGTTTCCAGAAAATTTACCTTACCTTGAGAGTCTGCTATGATTGTTTAAATGTAAATCTATGTTAATCTGGCCTCTTGTTCATCTTTCCCATGGAAATATTGCAAAGGCAAATATTTCAGTTTCGTAATTTAAATATGTCTAAGATTATGTTCACAGGCATACATTTTGTCTTTGAATTACTTAAAAGAGTCTACCTTATCTAATACCCTATAATCCATATTTCTCAAGGACTACTGATAGTGAAATAAGGTGACATCAAATACCTCAAACTATTTCTCTGGTCATGCCACCTCCTTTCCCCGTTACCCACACTCCTGTTAATCCTGAAAGCTTTCAAATAATTCTGGGATTACCAGGAGATCTCTGACATGTTTCTTGGATTATACACTCTGTCTCTCAGCATAGCATAATATTTAGGAGAATAGATTTTGAGCTTGAGTTCTGGCTCTAAACTTATTGTGTGTGCTTATGAGCAAGGGCGTGAAAGCCATAAGATTCATTAAATTAATATATGTAAATTTGTGGAAAGTGTGCGACACATAGAAAGCACCATACATGTTTTATATTGTCATCCTTAGTCACAACTGCTGGTACCCTGGACAACTAATGAAGTAGTTTGGCCACAGGTGCCACCCAATTTATGTCCAACACACTGGAGCCTAAATATACCTAGAAGTATCTTTGCCAGGAAAGCTGCCAAGTCCCAGTGTTGTGAGCCCTGATGTAGTCTCTGAGGACCTGCTTGCTCTTGGCACTGCCTCCATCCCTGATGCAGCTGCTGGCTCTGAGGATGCTGATGCTGTGTGCTCTCACTGTCCCACAGAGACCTTAGTCAAACAGCTCATTTTTCTTCTGGCTCTTTTTCCATAGCGCTCTACCTTTCTCCTGGAGCAAACACAGTGACCATTTTCTTTTAACTAAAACCTGTATGTCCAGAATAAATATTGCAAACTAGAAGCCCATGGGAAGTATTTATTGTTTTTTAATATATTTTTAATGCCTTAAGGTTGGGCCTCTACTTTCAATTGACTATAGACTACTGTTCATTATTATCTTACATTCTAGGACACTTTCCACTTTTTGTTCCTGAAGATATGTTTCTAAAACTCTAGTTTCTTTATTATACTGTTGGATAAATTCATTCCCTAGCAGCTTTTTGAGACTACATTCTTATAAACCCTGGCAGACCATCTCAAGTTCTCCAAAAGTTTCAGAACTTAAGATTGGTGTGGTCTAGGTTTAATATGGAGGTTTTACTTCCAATAAAACATGATAAAAAATGTTTGACAGTTATATAAAGTGTTCTTGGCCTTGACTTGATAGACTTGTTGAAAAATACCCATAAAATTCCTTAATGGATAATTTTTGATAAATGAATAAATTAATATTGATATTATAAACATGTTTACTATATATCCTTGCACAGAGATTTATACCATCACTTTAGAGAGTCTCTTCACGCAGTTTTCTTTAATATAATCAAATACATAACCTTAGTCTAACATCTAACTGAGCTACTTTAAGATATAGTAGAACATATGCTGAGAATGTTTTAAAGACTGCTGACTGCCTCAATATCTAGGCTTCTGTTCTTCCTTTATAAGCAAATTCTCTATGTTTAGTGTTTTACAGCCTCCCCTTCAGGTAGGTGTCGCCCATGTATACAAGTCCTGTCCAGTGGTATTGAGAAAACAGAAAGTGTCAGGTAGCCAAATTGTAATCAATGGTCTTATCCACTCTCAAGCTGTGCTAATATTTTCAAAGATGCAGGTAATGGTGAATACTAGGTAAAACCTGGAGATATTCTGTACTGTCAAAACCCCTTTCCAGGTCCTGAATTTTCTCGGCCCAGATTTAACATAGGAAGTTTCTAAACGATGTGTGTATTGCTGAAAATAAAACTACTTTGGTAATGAAAAGTCTTTTTGTTATACTCCAGTAATTACATAGTTTAAGTGACACTTCCAAGGAATCATACCCTCAAAATTCCATAATTTCATAAATTCCAGGTGTGTTAACTGTAAAAAAAATCTTAAATACATCAGGTGTATCCTGCTAAAACTATTTCAGAGATAAGCATTCTCTAGCTAGTAAATACCATTAGTGAGTTTGCCAGGTTATTAGCATTTTCACAGGAGGATTTGATCTCTTACTTACTAATTTCTTATCAGATATATAAGCCAAAAGATTATGTATAACTTTCAGAATTATTTTCTCTAATGTTATACCAAACAATCTCCAGCAATTCAACTGCATTTAGCATTGGCCAACATGGAGTCCAGGTGTTGGTCAGACAGCCTAAGTGTTGGCACAGAATTATTAATACACCCATATTGAAAAGCCAGCTTGACTTAAATGTACCATTCTTCTTCCTTAATGTAGAACTCTCTAAATCTATTTGCACACCATTCCAAGATCCAAGATTTACATGGACATAAATCAGTGAACTCTTGTAATTCTTTTGGTGCATAAAGCTTTTCCTTTTGATTTAAAAATTGTACGTGATCTCCCATGAAAGTTAAGGTCTGATCTAGTTATAAATCTAAAGGTAATTAGGGAAGGGATTAGAAAAAAGGGGCAATGAGGAGAATGACAATGTAAATAAGGAAGATGATGTCATTGAAGATTTCTCAGGGCATAAACTACTCATTGAACTTACAAAGAGCCAGCCTATGCTGGCAGGAGAAGCTCAGGGAGTGTACAGCCTATGCTGGCAGGAGAAGCTCAGGGAGTGTAGGAGTTTTGGATATACAGATTATTCATTTCGGCTAATGTGTCTCAGTTACAATATCAAAGTGTCTCTCTTCACCAATCAATACATTAACTTTCATAAAAGAGATCTGATGGGGGCTTAAGCCATTCCTGCCCTAGTGGTTTCTAGCAGTGGTACCTTGACCCAACAGCATTATGCTTTCAGAATATAGGTGTGTGTGCTGCATCATTATTTACTCCACCCATCTTCCATCCTCTAAGGATAATAGTTTTTTGTTGCCTGGAAACTTGACCATGTCAGATAATCACTCCTGATTTTACTTCCTTAAAGTTCTATTCTGTTGCCTGCATATAGTATTGATAAATATTATTAAATGTGAAATGTAATAAGTTATAAATAACAGAATTATTTCTATCTACTTTTAGTAGAATTATGTTTGTTAAGAAAGAGAGCTCAAGTCGTCTTTTAGAGAAGTAAATTGACACACCCAAACCTAAAGTTTCAGGAATTATTCCCCAAACCAATCCACAGACCTGGTGACTAAAGTACATGCTGCCTTTGCTTCTCTCACTAGATTGGGGTACATAAGAAGTGACCAACGCTGTTATTTCCAGGGTCATGGTACCCTGCAAGTATCCTTATCTGTAAACATGCCTGCTCCTTCCCTCTCTTGCCAAGTAGCTTCATTAAAAAGTAAAATTTTCTATTGGAAATCTTTCTCACTTCGTGTGGCTAAAAGTTTCTTCATCTGATTTGTAAAATCTGAATCGTATCCAGATCTCTAGTGTCAGTACAATCTGGAAAACAATGATTTTTGCTTCATTTCTTCTACATACTATGAACAAATTGTAGTCAATTTTCAGCAAGCCTCAAGCCATTGTATCTATCCTATCTATGGCTGAGTTTCTAACGGGAATCAACTATGAAAATATAATGTTGGTGTATATAATTTTTATAAATGATAGGTTAGACAAAATGTATTTCTTTACTCTGATGTCTTTGAAAGTATATATGGAATCCCTTCAGAGTGGATATAATAAGAGGTATATTAAAATTTATTTGACCATACAAATATTTTCATGAAACATCCATTAGAAACTAGTGGTATCTTAGGAGTCAATGTAATAAAGTTTTGGGAATAATATTTTATAGCCCAAGTGATATTTTTGGAGACAACTACGTAAGTAAAATCGATTACCTTTTACCCTCATAAAAGAGATGTAAAGAGAAATTAGACTAGTAAATACATATACTTTCATGCATGTATACCAACATCATGTGTACGTATATGAGAGAAAACATATATGGAAAATTGAGGTGGATTAAATAAGAAATAATTATAAATTCAAAAATATAATAGCAAAGCTGACACTATAAATCCTAATGAAGTGACTGTAATGTAGAGGGGAAAAAAAATGATAGACTAAACTGATGAGAGAGAGAGATTGATAGATATGAAGGACCAGAACAGGAAGGAACTCAACATAATGATTCTTTCAACCATTTCTGAGAAAGAGATAAAACAAAGTCAACAAAATAAATGCTTATAGTAAGAAGGCTTTCTAGTGTTATGAATCCTGAGAGTGAGCTATTTGAAAGTGTTGAGCATTTGTCAAAAATCTATGAAATTGTATGCATGCCCTATAACATTTTGGAACCTTCAAAATTATGAAAATATTCCATAAGCATTTATATTAAAAAATAAAAAATAGACTTTTTCACAAAAGAAAAGAATTTGTTTTACATTTCTCTCAACTGTAAATTTCTGAACTTATGGAAAATATACCTACACTTTCGAAGAAAGAAATTCCCTGGAAATGTCTAAGATGGACAATTTACTTTTAATTTTTAATGCAACTGGAAGTTATTTACAGAGAAGCAACTTCTCAGAAACTTTACCACTCACATAATTCTAAAAATATTTTATTTGCTATTACATTCAAGTCAACTCTCAAATTAATATAGTTTGTAAAGCACCATCAGGAGGAAAGGAAATTATTTTGCAAATATGTTAACGATATGTTTTTTCACTTCAATTGTCATTTGAAATGAGACCTAAATGACAAGGAGCCAGCAATTCAAGGATTTGAAAGGTAGAGTGGGAAGGCTTGGTTCATGAGCATTTTGAAATGAGAAGAGAAATGCAGAGAGGGACTTACAGATGTAAAGCTTTGCAGGCTACAGTAAGATCTACATCTTACGCTGTAAACTCTGTAATGGAAAGCTATTGTAGGATTTCGGAAAGCAGTCACTTCACATCATTACATTTTGGAAAGATGCCTTGGATTACAATGGGAAAAAGGGATTTCTGGAATAGAATTAGAAACAGGAAGGCCAGATAGGGGCTATTATAGGAGTTTAAGTGAGACATAATTGTGGCTTAGACCAAGGAAAGAGTAGTAAAGTGGGAGCAGAGTGGAAAAGGAAAAGTGTGGAATATATTTTGGAGAAAAATAAAGTATGGTGTAGACAGGATGTTGAGAATGAGAAAAATAGAGAAATGAAGAATAACTTCTAGATTTTGATGTTAACAACTGGGAGAATGGTGGTTCTCTCCCAGAGGAAAAGCGTATTTTGGGAGAAATACTTTTATAGAGGAAGAAAGAATAAAGAGATTGTTTTTTGAAATATTCAATCTGGAAGTACTTATTAGATGCAAAACAGCAGTGATAAGTGGGTATCTTTTAGACATCAGGAAAATAGCTAATGTTTTGGGTGAGTGCGATGCCAAGGATTATTACCCAACAAGCCAGATCAAAAGAGGAAAATACTTTGAACTCTGAAGTAGCTTGGGGTCTAACTCCAGGGACATTGGACAGTGCCCTAGAGATTTCCTGAATTATCTGAGATACTTTGAATTAGGGAGTGGAAAGCCAATACGCTCCATAGAAGAGGTGATTATGAAGCCATATCAATTTTGTTTTGCAATTTTTATTTTGGACTCACTTTTTTAAGCTAGTACAAATTCAGACACAGTTTTGAGTTATTAGGTAAGATAAATGTTCTAAGGGGTTCAATGTGAAACATGTATACATTAATGTAATGTAATAACTAAACTTGAACAATTATCAATTAGGAAACTTCAGTTATCCATGTAATGCAATGAAGTATACCTATATGAAAGAAAGGCAGGGATCCCAGGTTTATATTAAAACAAATTATGCAAAATTTTTATAAGTTAATATACATTTTCTGAAAGTCAAAATTGTTTTAAATGTTTCATTTTTCTATAAAGAGCATTTATTACTTTTGCTTTTAAATTAAAAAACAAAACAACTTTGTAAAATCATTTAAAAGTGTTCACTCCTGCAATAATTTAAATTATTACTATTGCAATTTGGGAAGTTGAATCTGTTAGGTAAACTTGTATTCTTCAATTTTCTTGTATAAAGTCTTATATAAGTGAAATGCAAATAATGATTTTGGCCCAAGGATATACAACACAACACTATGTACAGTGGTGAGAAATTAGAAACAAATTAAGTGCTAGTACAAGAGCAGTTTAAAAGAACAAGGTGCATCTCAACAATAGACGATAATGGAATGATGAAAGCCAAGATTATTCGACATTTTATGCACAAAAAAGTTTATACTATAGCTGATAAATGAATAAAACAGTATGCAAATTATGTTTTCAGTATTATCAGATATGTTTACAATAATCATTAAGAGCCCAATATACTACGAGAAGATTTTAGCTATAATTGCTTTTAAGTGTTGAAATAACTGATTTATTATATTTATTTTATATTTTTATATTTTATTATGTTGATTCTATCAGTATTCTCATCTAGATTTATAATCAGACAAAAACAACAACAACAAGTCAACATAAATTTTTTGGGGGAATTTTGAACATTTTCAGTATCCAGAATCCCATTTGACAATTAATTGTTAGGGACTTAGAAAAGCGATAAATAACACCCACCTCTCCGAGCTACACTTTGAGCAGAGAAATATGACAAAAAGCATGTAGAATATGTGAGATCAAAATATACATTTTTTTCTAATAAAGCTAATATCCGGTATCTGTAGTTTATTTGATTTCCTCATAGTAAACCCATACATTTGATATCTTCTCTCCCCATTCATAAGTAATGTTTGAGTACTTTTAATATGCCTGTTTTTATAAAATTTTTTACATAGAAAGTTAGAGTACATTTTTGTGGGAGCAGACTGGCTTCTATGCAAAAAGAGAAGAAATAGCAAACCATACATGCATACTATGTTCTGCTCTTTAATTTAGTAGCCAAACAAACTACTTGTCTTTTGCAAAGAATGCGTGGTGTGAGGGAGAGCACTGAGAGGAAGATAGTAATGTCATGTTTGTGGAATTCCTTCCATGTGGAAGGGCACACCACAAATTAGGAAGTTTTGAACATGAATCACATTACCTGTAGGAAACAATTCATTTTTATGGATTAAAATTAATACTTAATTTAGCCTATGATACCAGGAAGAAACATCTATGCACTTCTGTTTGTGAATTTATACCCCACACTTACTAATTCTTCTTGAGTAACCAAACCAGATTTAGGAAAATAATATTGCTTACCAAAAGTCATTTTTACATGGTTGCTCTAAGAGAGTTTCTAAATACACCAAAAGTTTGAATGGTGCTGTTAGAAAATATATTCTAAAAGGAAAATGGGGTTTTTTTGTGTATAAAATAAGAGATGAAACTTTCCTTTCTCAAATGACAAGTTATAAAGAATTATTAATTACTTATTTTTAACAGAAATTAAATGATAATAAAAGATTCTGAAATGTTTAACAATATGCCTTCATCATTCTTCTATGGCAGAATATAGAAGTCAATTAATTTCCTCTTTATAAATGCAAAGCATCACATTGAATGGACATGCTTCTCTTTTTTTAACTAATTCTTCTTTAGTAAATAAATTTGAAGTGGGGCATTAAAAGCACAGCAAATAATATCCTAGAAAATATACCTTTCTTAAATTATCAGATTATTTCACTTGACTAAAATATTGGAATCAAATTTTCTAGGTAAAGAAATGCACAGCTAATTTGTGTTATATAGTCCAGAACTGACACCCTTAAAAAATGTAATCGATAAGATTTTTATCAAACATAATCATTACTTTGGATAGATTGCTAGTTCTTTAAATGTGTTTTTTGTACTTTATTTTCACAACATTTGAATACAGCAAAAATTACTATTTTTATATTAGTTAACATGTAGTCTGAGTAGTATTTCCACAGTCCAGCAAAACATATGAATGTAATATTTAAGATACATAATTGCACATTATTTTAGGAGAAAAATTAGTAAAACGGGTGAATTTGTATTTGTTCCAAGGTGTAATTTTAATATGTTTCCAATGAAGACATTTGATGAGTAAAATACTGATGTGTCTTGTTTAGAAATATCTCTAACACCTGTCCAGCCAAACCTGAATGGAAACAAACACTTTACATTTAGAATGTGTATTCTACAAACAACAACTACTTTTTAGGTATGTTCCGGGGCTCCATTATGTCACAGTGTCTTATGTGCAATGTTTATAGCAATAGTTCATTCATTCATTGATTTGTCAACAACATAGACTTAGACCTCTTATGCTTCAATTATGGTGTCAGGAATAAATAGGTGAAACAGAAATGACCTTTGCCTTGTAGAATTTTAAAAGGTGTATTATTCTGCCAAAAAAATCAATTGCAGCATTGTTTATGTAATCTAAGATGATCATTGTAGAATCAGGCAATTAACAATACAATATACATATTTATGTTACCATAAGATTTATTTTTTGAGTAAGTGAATTATACCATTCTCTGATTACTAATGTAAAAGGTATGCAATGCTTATTTGTACATCTAGGCAAAATTATAAAGTATTCAAATGTCTTCTCAGATGCCCTCTATTCTAATGTTTAAGTTTGCTAATTGCATATGTTCTACTCATCTATATCTCTGCTCCCAAGGAGCCCCTGTATTTTCACGATCATCAGGTGTAACTCTTAATCTATCTGTATGCAGAAACGTCAACCTAGAAGCACAACACATCTTCTATTATATTCCCGACCTCTTCCCCATCCAGGTCTGTAATATCAACCCTAGCACATATGTATTACTTTAGAGTCTTGCTTTTAGCTAAGGACTCAATGACCTACTAGGAGAAAAACAATATTGTTGGATAATTATGTATTTATTTTCTTTATTCAAGGATAAAATAATTAAGAAGTGCTTCTATTTTATATGGCAGTGTGCTAGGTGCTAAGGATTAATCGTGGCAGAAGGTAGAAGTGAACTTTAGAGAAGGATTAAGACCAATGGTTATTATTTTATTATACACCATAGTATCAATAGGATCACTTGAACAAGAAATTCAGTATCTTCCAATTTCCAAATGTTCAACTGTATACATTATACTCATCTTATCTCAATGTATTTTCCCTCCAATTTGCTATGAATTTTTTATATAGAGGACATCACTTTTGTACCATACCCATTATACCTTTAAAACATTTCCCACCAGAAGACTAAAAGATATGCACAATAACATTCACAATTCCAATTAATTTTAAATAAAAGTAAAAATAAATAAGGATGATTTCTTTATATATAATTGAAACTTGATATACATTATTTGCCACTTAAACTATCAGCAAGAGAATAAGCATTATCTGGAAATTGTTTTTGCTTGAAATGGAGAATCTCAAGCCCCACTCTGAATAGGCATTTTAAAAGATCTTTAGATGTCTGTATTAATGGTATAATAAAATTTAAGAAGTACTGTTCTATAGAATTTTGTGGAGCTTGAAACAGAAAGAGATGAGGTTAAAATAAGATAACAAAAGGAATGGTAAGTTAAAAAGGAGACACACTTGAATGGTCAGGATAGCGGCGGAGGAAAGATGAACTAGGATGGTAGTGCAGATGTTCAGCTTTGATTGTCCTTCAGCTTCTTTTCCTTTAGAGTATCCAGTGATCCCTGGAACATTCTAAGATGTTCACTATTTGCTCCTTTAACTCAAGCAATATATATATATATATCACATTATGGGGCATGTATATGCATTTGGGGGCTGCAAGTCACTTGAAATAAATAACATCTTTACTAAGAAAAGTGAATGCTTTATTTTTGAGCAATTAATAACTGTAATTTTTTCTAATATACATTCATGACAAAGAATGAATGACAAAGCCACCAAGTATCTAAAAACTATCTTTTCATGAAGCTCGGAAGAATATCCTATGTGGAGGCTTTCTTAACATCTTAATGTAGAATAATTAACTCTCCCTTTTGTGCAATTGTAGAACTTCATTCCTGTCTTGCGGATTATGTGTCTGTCTCCTCATAAGACAGTCTCCTTGAACACAGAGACCTGCTATCTCTGTTTCAGTAGCTTTAATTTGTGGCATCACCTGTACATAGTAGGTGCTTCATACCTACTTTAACAGTGAAGAACTCATAGGCTCAATGACAGAATGAATGATAGACTACATTGTTTAAGCAACATATCTTTCATTTGGCATCATAGTTTAATAAGAGAAGAAAGGGAAGAGCTGTGTCCTTAGGAGAGTTATGAAAAGGGTCATTAAGCAACAGGGACCCATCCCTTGATTTTTCAAGTGGCAGCTGCTCCATTCACTCAGCGGGTAATGCCAGCTACTCCATCACTGCTAACCCCAGGGAAGGCCACTTAGTGTGCAACTGCCACTTTAGGGGGATTTCATATTTGCAGAGTTAGCAGACTATGTAATCTATTGCATTTTCTATATATGTTCCACACAACTTTTGAACACAAACAGGAAGATGTTTTAAAGAAATATATTGAAACCCGTTGTCCTCTCTGCCACAGCCAGGGTCATTGGAGTTATAGAGTTATAGGAGTTCGTTTGAAAATAGATAATCAAGAGAAGCAAGGTAATGTAAGTAAAAGCATAAAATGAATTTTATGTATCATTAATTCTGATAACTGATTTTATTGCTTTGGAAAATTATTATGGCAGTCTGCTACAAAACACTTAACCTAATTTAAATTTCTGAGCACAATTTTTGGCAAATCATTAGAAGCAATATTTTTAATCAATGAAGTGGATCTAATTTGGATCTCAGACACACCAAGATAGAAAGAGAAAAAAAAAAAGTTTCCTAAGGTTAGCACTTCATATTTCACAGCTGTGTTTTAAATGTTGTTATATGGAGCAAAATTGAATGATGACTTTTTATTTCTATACAGAAATCCCACAAAAGCTCAAAGTCTAAACTGTTTCCTTGCTGACATATTTGAATTGATATTTTTACAGAGTCATTATGTTTTCAGGAACTACTTTATTACCATAGAGGATAATAATAATTTTTCCAAGAGCCAGATGATGTTTAGGAGTTCCATTAGAACACCTAACACATTGTTTTAGGAGTCAGAATTTTAAAATTGCTATTACTTTGGTCTGAAGAAAAACTTAAGCTTAAGGAGTTATTCTGAGTCTCAAAAATTCGAATTAGAAAGATAGGATCACACAGCTTTCTGAAGTTCAATTATTTTAGTTAGTTCAGAATTGTCTGGCGGCATCGTCTTTATCAAAAGGTTTGGCTGCATCAAATATTAATGATATAAATATTGATTTCATGCAGATGAAAGAGGAAATCTCTACTTTGTCATTTGCTCACTAGAAAATGTTGGTAAATGTGAGAAAAGAGGTTTCTATCAGTCAGTTGACTACAAGCTGTGAATTGTAGGCAGTCCTTACAGAATTCTGGCTTTATTTCCTTGTTTTATTTATTCCTAGAGCAATCATCCATGATACCAGCAAATAAAGCTATCCACTGCACTTAACCTAAAACCTAGATGAGGTCAGTGACTGTCAGAGTCAAATGGGAGCCAGCAGTACATAAACTGGTCCCTCATCTGGACATGGTTGAGGAATGCAAACATTTTTTAAAATGGTGTGTGTGTGTGCGTGTGTGTGTGTGTGTGTGTGTGTGTGTGTGTGTTGATAGGAGGAAAAGTGGATTAACTCTGCTTATTCTAGGCTTTAAAACCAATGGGCAAGATTCTGCTTTTTATGTAGATGCTTATTATTCCTGATGAAGTCAAGATGCACGTAAGTAAAAGCAGAAAGCTGCCCATCTCATTCTAGGTACTAAAATGTTTCACCTTTGCCTTAAAATGTTCCTGTACTTTACATGACCAAAGGAAAAAAAAGTCACATACAAAGCACCGATTTTTATTATTCGTAATTGACAACTCAGTTTTCTACTAATATGCTTTTCTTTTAGGAGGTGTAAAGTAGATGAGATGTATAGAAGATTAATTTAATATGATTTGATGAGAAAAGTTAGGTTCTTACAAAATGATATCAGAAACCAATTTACTATGTGGTCCTCAGACAAAGAGGAGGGCCACCTGTATCTCAAGGGGACGAGCTAATGTTCCTTAAAGAGTTAAAAATTCTGAGCCTCTTAGCAGAACATGCACTTGAACAGATAACTGAACCAATGAACTTTGGAATAGAACATGAGAGCTGCATTTTTCACAGAGGAAATCCAAAATGTATAATCTATGTCTGGTAGAGTGATGGATTTCTTTTCAGAAAATCTAGTATGTCATCATTAAGGGGGAGATAAGATTATCAGACATTACATTGTGATACTGATGATTTAATCTTCTTCTTCACAGGGCATTCACCAAACAGGAATGCCAAATGTTTCTGGCAAGAGCTGCAGCCAGAGAAGATGATACTCTGAGAGATACCCCACATTTAGGTGATATTTGAAATACCATAGTTTTATCTTCAGAATTTCAGAGGACATAGAGGAAATGCATTCGAGTTTCTTCAGAATGTTGTGCAACAATATAGTTTATACAGAAATAACTCCTTTTAAAATGTGATGGATTGGTACACAGAGAATAATTTTAAAATAAATTTTGGAATAGTAACTGTTAGTCATATAGACTATTTCCACATGAATTCATTTGAATCAAACATTTAGATCATTTAAATATGCACATGCAGGGCCAGGCATCGTGGCGCCCTTCTGTAATCACAGCACTTTGGGAGGCCCAGGTAGGCAGATCACAAGAGGCCAGAATTTCGAGACCAGCCTGACCAACATGGCAAAACCTCGTTTCTACTAAAAATACAAAAATTAGCCAGGTGTTGGGGGGCATGTCTGTAATCCCAGCTACTCAGGAGGCTGAAACAGGAGAATCACTTGAACCTGGGAGGCAGAGGTTGCAGTGAGCCAAAATCACAACACTGCACTCCGGCCTTGGCAACAGACTGAGACTCTGTCTCTAAATAAATAAATAAATATGCACATAGTGAATGCCTATCCTTTCCTGAATAATTAGATACCAGGAGTTTCTTGAACTCTCTGAATAACTTACACATTTTATTAAAATAAAGCATGTTATTTTATCCTCACAACTCAGTAAACTTTGGTCTTTAGCAAAAGTTTAGTTTGGGAAATTAATGATTAGGTTTCACAGGAAGTAAGAGAAGCAGAGATCAAAACTGTATTTTCTCCTGTGAAACCATTTTTTAAATTATTATTATTGCCTCCCAATAACTGAAATATGAGACTCAGTCCTTTTTTTTTTTTTTTTTTTTTTTTTTGAGGGAGGGAGTTTCGCTCTTGTTGCCCAGGCTGGAGTGCAATGGCACGGTCTTGGCTCACTGCAATCTCCTCCTGCTGGGTTCAGGCGATTCTCTTGCCTTAGCCTCTTGAGTGGCTGGGATTACAGGCACCCACCACAATGCCCGGCTAATTTTTGTATTTTTAGTAGAGATGGGGTGTCACCATGTTGGCCAGGCTGGTCTTGAACTCCTGACCTCAGGTGATCCACCCATCTCGACCTCCCAAAGTGCTGGGATTACAGGCGTGAGCCACCGCACCCAGCCAAGACTCAGTCTTTTTTATTTAAAATAGGCTAAATGTATTATGTGTGGAAAGGTTCAGATAATAGAGTAACCTAATACCTTATAAGACAATGATGACCACTGACAAATAGACTCCCAAGAAACAACTCTGCTTACTGCTCTAAATGGAGCTACCAGAGAAGATGGATCATGTTGCAGAATGCTGTATGGAGTATTATAAGAAGAGAAAGAAGGTCAGTGTGAATAATTAAAAGGAAAGGAGGGGCAGAATGGAATGAAATAAAACTAGAGAAATAAGCAGGAGCACACAACACTAGATTATTTGATATCTGACCTGAGTTGAGTATGTTCATAGTTACTCATTCATTTGTTTTGCTTTAATTACTACATACTCCTTGGTCAATATGCTAATCTTGTTTTCTAAAGACATGGTAAATGGCAGCACTTGAGAATACTTAATTTTTGCACTAAATTATTATTGTGCATTGAAAGCCTCTGTGGCAGTCTCAGAAATGCACCACTGAGATGCCCTAATAATTGTCTGATATGGATCCATCTGCTGCCACTCTGGATTCCACCACATTTATGCCTAGGCAGTGCTGCAGCTGATGAATGAGCACTCTTGAGGTTCTAATGAAGACCATTTCCTTGAGATGTGGGACTTAATCTACTGAGTGACTTTGGCTGTAGGACTTCCTGTTGGCCTTGCCAAATCTTTCTTGAAGTTGCGCTGCATTCTGAGACTTCTTATTCAAACTTGCTGTTTTCTCCTTATTCTTTTCAGCAGACTTGTGGCTAAAGATCTCCTCACCTTGTTTATCTCCCTCACCTTTATTCTTAACTCTCATGTTCTTCAATAATTCACTGTGCATCAAATTCTGTCTTAGTGTATGTTTCTCAGAGGAACATCACAAACAAATGTTTGCAGTAGTAGTCTGAAAAAACAGGCAAGAAGTTAGAAAACCCCAGCTGGTGCTGTTCCAGTTATTAAAGATTTCACTGTTGGAGACCTGCAAAATGTCCTAGTGGTAAGTGCAACGATTTCAGATTTGAAAGATATGAGAAGATCAATGCCCATAGTAATATCAGAGTTAGCCAGTTACAACTGAGTTGTATCGACACATTGCAGAGAAATAGTGAAAAACTGAGGTAACAAGCAGTTTAGAGGCTACGTATGAAAGGGAATTTTTTTGGTAACTTACAAAGAGACATTAATTTCTGGGAATGGATAAGTCTGCACAGCTGAAAAGCAGACTGGGCATCTGATAATTATAGCTCTCAGGTAACAGTTACATTTCCAAGTGAAATAGGTTATTATGCTAAGGTCAGAGCCTTATTGTTAAAACCTGGGACCCAGAAATATGGGATGAGACTAGATGAGTGCCTCACATGATGTTGGCTGCACAAAGCCTTTTAATTTCTCCTAGCTTGTGAACGTGGCCAACCCATCCCTAATAGGAGTCAGAATTTCTCCTAGGCTGGAAGATGCTGCTTCAACAAGACAATAAGGCATCTACTCATGAGTTGTCTCTATCTTCTCTCTTGGCCTCCAGTTTCACTAGGGTTAAATTCAAGGGAGAGTTATTTGGAACTTGCTGATCCTGATAAGGGAAGAAAAGGATTATATGATAAAGCAGTTGTAATGATTAGATTTAAAAAGTTCACAGGAGGCAAGAGAGTATTCCTAATATTGATTTAGATTGAGTTTGCTTACCTGGACCAGAATATAAGACATTGTAAACAAGAAGAGCCATTGATTTGGAGACATTTTCTTGGGATTCCATATTTTGTACCCAGGGAAGGACTCCACAAGTTTGGGAAGCTCACTGCTGGAGTGGATCTTAGAGGTACAGAGAAAGTGATGGCCAACACTAAATGACGTATAAATGAATGTGTTTTCCCTGCAGGTTGTAGGGTAATAAATAAACAGCTGACATGAGTAGAAATGCTGGGTTGGATATAGAATGTGAGGTTGGAAGAGTCACAGAGGATAACATTTCTATTTCACTTGTAGCCCAGAGGACCCACTATTCATCAAGGCTACCAGAATACACTTTTGTGGAATACCAACATCACCAACAAGTTCAATAACAACTTTCCTCTATGAGTTAATTCTTAGGTAAGGAAAGCAGTCAGAAAGCCTGTTTTGATAATATCAATGGAGATAATATAGCTCTAAAGTAATAGAAGTCAGATGGCAGAAGTGACAGTGCTAAATTATCAAAATTCAGGACTCTGTATTTACCTTAACTATCAGCATGATGGAAGGGCATTCAAGGGAGCTGACACAGTGAGTTGTGGAAATGGTAAAGACAGCATGGTATCAGTAGGGGGCAAAAGACATGGGCAGCCAGCAAGGGTAGTTCTTAACATTTATAACCAGAAAAAGTAGAGCAAAGGAGAGCAGAAAGATAAAACACTTATCCCAATGAAAAGTCCTCATTTCTTGCTCAGAACCAAGGCCAGACCTTTTTTATGTCAAGAACCCTTTGACTGAAGAAGAGGCTGCGTACCCAGGAGGAAAGGTCTTGCAACATGACTACAAGTATATTTATAATTTCTCTAATCTCCCCCAAAATGACTTATGGTCATTTAAGCAGGTGAATTTGCAGTGGGAACCATAGAATACCCAGGCATTGCAAGCAGTGAGACAGATAGTATGAATTGATAATAATATCTGAAGACCCAAAGCATCTAATTGGCCCCTGTTAGAATAGCATACTAGCTAAATTTCTGCTCACAATAAAGCTAATAAGTTTTGAAAGCCTAAGATTTGAGATCACCAGTGACCTCATTTAATAAAGTTGCTCTATTTGTTTATTACATTACCAACATTACTAGATGCACAGCAGGCAGGCACCGTGGTATAATATAAAAAGCATGGCCTTTAGGCATGTGACCTCCATGGATGCACCCAGTGGTATTTCTTCAAGTTTTGAGTGTATAAGTGGAATTGATACACTTGGCAGATAGTGTAACCCACATTCAGTCTTGGCCTGTGGATAAAAATTATCACAGTGGAAAAGCCCAAGCAGAAATCTCTGAAGGTATACCCCCAACTCCTCCACCACACACAATCTGGCCAATAGAGTAAATCCAGATGAATATATCCTGGGAGGGGGAAAAGATGGTGGAGTTTAGTGACATGATTACAGACTGAAATGATGCACTGGTATGATAAAAGTCTGTATCGTACCTGTATTTATTTGCCATTTAGTCACTGTAGAAGCTAGAAAGTTCTGAAAAAAATAAATGTAGACTACTATATTTAATAGTATCCCAGCATAAAGAGCTGAAGGAGAAGGAACTGGGGCATGGCATCAAGTGACATAAGCCAGACATAAAAGAACACATATTGTATAATTTGATTTATATGAAATGTACATAAAAGACAAATCTATAGAGACAGGAAATAGATTAGTAGTCACTTGGAGCAGAGGCAGTAGTGCACAATTAATTGTAAACATGCACTTTGGTTTATGCAATATTCTAAAACTCAATGTTACTGATGACTTTAAGACTGCAAATTTACTAAAAGTCATTTCATTGTATACTTAAAGTGGGTGAATTTTATGGTATATACTTAAATTTTAAACTATTTACTCAATGTTATTAAGAAAACTACATGTAAAAGGTATGAGGAAAAACAACCAAAACCCAAGCTAATCAAGAGATCCATAAAGCATTTTTATTTAAAACATGTACACAGGCACACAAACACACACCCACACACACACATTCCACTATCCTAATTATGTAAAAAATTCTTAATATTAAGAAAGAATATATTCAGAATTATTTCTAATGCCGTTCTCTAGATGATTTTTAATTTTATTGTCGATGTTTTTATACTGTATACATTTTATGCTATGATATTCTAAAGTAATAAATATATTTAAAAGAAAAATTGCACCATACATGGCATTTTCATTATAAGTCTAAGTAACTAATGAGTAATTTGAAGCTATAAGAGGTGCTAAAAAGCTTTTAAAAATGTTATGCTGTTAAAAATGTGTGTCTTCATAATTAGTGAAAAAAAGAAAAAATTAAAAATCCATTTATACAAGTGACACTAATAAAATAATAAGAAAAATTTCCAAGATCTCAAAATAAATAAATAATATCAATTGGCAGAGACAATAAAAAGATTTGACATATTTTTTAATTAAAAAAGAAACTTACAATGAAAGAAGCCAATCTGTTAAACCTACATACTATATGATTCCAATTACATGACATTCTGGAAAAGGTAAAATTCTACTGACAGTTAAAGATCAGTAGTTAGCAGGGCCTGGGCAGGAGAGGGGATTAAGGAATAGGCAGAGCACAGGCAATAGCGAGGCTGGTGAAACTATCCTGTGTTATACTGCATTGATGGATACATGTCGTTATGCTTTTGGCAAAACCCACAGAACTATACAGCAGAGAGAGTAAACCCTAATGTAAACTCCATAAATTTCCTTAATAATAATGCGCCAATATTGATTCAGCTATTATAATGAATGAATTACACCAATGTTACTTAGTGACATTGTATGCAAGGTAGGGGGTATATAGAACTTAATTCATTTTCTATTCAAGTCCTATTTGAAAACTTCTCTAAGAAATAGACTATTAATTTATTTTTGTAAGTAATTTTAGTCTTTTCTGAAGGTATGTATAATAAAATGACAAAAATATTTCATCTTTTTACGTAATTAAATCATGAAAATTTAAAACTATTGATAAACAATGCTGGGAGTTATAGAAAATGTATACACATATATTACATAATATTACTTTGACACTTGAATGGATGATACTGTTTTAAAGAACAATATGGTGGTATATTTCAAGCATCTTAAAAATGTTATTTTTGATATGATAATCGTGGTCTTAAAAATGTATATTAAGATAATACGAAGAAATATAAAATAATATATTTATTTTTTAATAAGCATGATGTTTGATAACAATAACAAAATTAGTAGATGATTAACATTAACTGAGTGTTTTTCCTCTGACACTATGGTAACTTCATTACATCTGTAAACTATATCTCAAACAATGATACAATGATTAAATAATTTAATTGCCGTACACTTGGTGAAATGTTTTAACTATTAAACAGAGGTATGAATGTTAGAAGAAAATATGATACATATTTATAATATAATGCTAAATTATAAAGCAACTACAAAATATTAGATTGCAATACCATGAAAACACTCAAGGATGTAAAAAAAAAAAGAAGATATTAAAAAGTGAAAACATTTTGTTTGGATAGTGTAATTCTGGATGCTTATGTTTTCTTTTGTAAAATGTCGATTCTTAGTATAATGTTCTCTGGGCATTAAGTATAACATTTGGCATTATAGTACTGCATAATAATAGCATAAAATCTTATGCAGCATTTACCATATTACAAGCACTTTCTAAAATTTAGAAATCTATTCTACACATCTATCTCCATTATTAACCTGGTTTAATAGATAAAATAATGAAAAAAACAAGCATTTCAAATAACAGATGGCACAGCTAATAAATGGCAGAGCCACTATCAAATATCTTAGACAATGAATGTACAATCAATTCATCTTATTTTATTATTTTTGATACATTTTATTATGTATATTTGAAGTATACAATGTCATACAATACCATATATATAGTCAAATGGTTGCTATAGTAGAACAAGTTAACATATCTGTTATCTTACGTAATTACCCATTATTCCCCCCAACCACCACTCCGCTGGCATGAACAGCGATAGCCTACTCATTTAGCAATAATTGGGAATCCAATACGTTATTATTAACTATAGTCCTCATGTTGTACATTAGCCTTCTGACTTGTTCAGCCTACATATTTGCTACTTTCTGTACTTTCACCTATATATTTCCATTTTCTGTCACCTCTACCACCATAACCACTGTTTTATACTCTATCTTTATATTAACACATTTGGCCTTTATAAAATGATCTAGGATGTCCAGTCTTCAGATCATGTTATAGGGATAATTTGAAACAAGAAAGTGGTTTCTAGTGATATTTTGAGAAACTAACCCTCCTGTGATAAAGGGCCAGCAAGATGTAGGTTTTAAACTCTTCTATGGGAATTAACTAAACTTTTATTTGTAAAACAGGTGAAAGTGAAACAGTACTTGTCCTCATCTCACATGATATTGACTGTATGTTATGTAAGATAGTCAGAGTAGGAAATATCAGCTTTGTACAGATTTTTTTTAAAAAATCCGAGGCTCAGGGAGAAGAAATTCTTTTCATGGGTACCTATAACAATAGCAAGTATGGACCCACAACTATTCCTGTCAGTGTCCGTGTCCTAGCAGTTCTGCCTTACTTGGATATCTCCTGGATTTGCCTTCACTCTGTATTTTCCACTGGGTTTCGTTATCTGTGCAATACCATTTTTAATTTATCTGTAGAAATAACTTTTCAGAAATCTGTTCTAAAAAGGTTTCAGGTAGAAGAAGATGAGGAATGTAAGAGCATAAGAAGCTTACTTTTAATTTTCATCACACCAATTTGAGAGTAAGAGAAGGAATTGTTAGCCTTAAACTCAAGGATGTATACATGTTTTTCTTTCTCCTCAAAAAAAAAAAAATATAGCTAATTAGAACAATTTGACCCTTTCACTGAGCAGTACAGATGAATATTCCATCCTCCTTAGTATTGTATTTTCCCAGTGGCAACCACAATCTAGTGCCTGAAAAGAGAAAATGAACTTACACAGTCATGCTGATTAGCTGACTTAGTTGACTTATTAATTTTTAAAATTAAAATTAAATTTTTTTTTGGAAACAAGTCTTGCTCTGTCACCTAGGCTTGAGTGTGGTGACATCATCATAGCTCATTGTAGCCTGGAACTCCTAGGCTCAAGCGATTCTCCCTCCTTAGCCTTCTGAATAGCTAGGACTGCAGGCGCAGACCACCATTCCTGGATAATATTTAATTTTTTTTTTTTTTTTGTAGAGACAAGTCTCGCTATGTTCCCCAGGCTGGTCTCTAACTCCTGGCCTCCAGCAGTCCTGCCTTTGCCTCCCAAAGTGCTGGGATTACAGATGTGAGCTACCACACCCAGTCAATTTTATTTAAAATACATAATGACACCCTTGTAATTAGTGTCAATTTTATAATTAAATAATAGTTCTATAAACATATTATTTTGTATCATTTCTATTATAGATGACAAATTTTATTACTTGCCAGTTATATCAAGCTTCCTAAAAACATTATTTTATATACCTAATTGAACAAATACATGTTCTTAAATATTAAACAATTCTAGTTATTAATTTAAAAATATGTAATAAAAGCAAAGATAAATGCTACTTTTTTCTTTTTTTTAGTTTTGTGAGGCTTTCAAGCTTATTCGATGTATTGGGTGTTTTTTGTTTTTAAATAGTTCAACATTTTAATTCAAAATCAAATATAGGATGTTGGGAAGAACTTAGCAAATAAAGATCCTGAAGCTTAGGTTGTATTAGCTTCATGGTAAATCAATCTGTACTAATATATATTGAATGCTTTTTCCAGTAGCCTGTATAGTAAATACTTGTCATGCATTATTTCATATTTTTCTAATAATGATCGTAAGAGATAGATACTTTTATTAAACACAATTGATGAATAAGGATGCTGAGGCAGAGAAAAATTTAAAAAACACTCTTAATAAATTGTTGATCCTGGAATCATGCCTAGCAGCCTGTTTCTTAAATTACTTAAAATATTAATTTTTTTAAAAGGTGATATATAAAAAAACAGGAGAGACCTCCATTATTTTTCCCAACACCTTTGTTTCATAAAAAAATCTCTAAAATCAAATAAGTCATGTTACTTACCCAAGGTTATATAGGGAGGCTATTCGTCACAAAGTTAAAACTAAAACTTCAAGTGATGTTTGAATCTCATCTCTGTTACTTTTCCTTTCAATATTTCCACCAAGAGCATATTTTGAAAGACAATGGCAAATCACTGTGGCACTCAGCCATATTAAGTGATTTTGCTTCAGTACTATTTGCTTTCCAGCAATTCCAAGTTTAGCAACCTTATTTATTTTATTTTTTTCACTAACACTTTGTATATATCTTTTGATATCTCCAGTCACAGAGATCTAGGCCATGGAAAGTCACAATGTCAGATTCCATTTGTTCTTCTGCCCATTGCAATTTTGTTCCTGCAAAGCTTTCAATTCTACTAGCTAGTTTTATTCTAGCTTTGGAGTTGGTTACTTGCTTCACTGTCTGTATAAATTATGTACTTTCTCTTTTGTCCCACTGCTAATTCAGTGACACGTAATTCTAAGCTGATCTGTCAGTCTTATGGATTTGTATTCAATATTATTCACATTTTGCTTAGTTCGTAGAGACCCTTATTCACATTTTTGACAGGAGAATATTTATCTGACTTGTGAAAATGTGTGCCATATATGGACAAGCATATAAACATAATCATTATTTCCATAGCCTTCTTCATAAATTTACATCTGTCTTTTTCAAGGTAAGTGGCTATAAGATAACGAAACATATATTTGCATATTTGTAATTTATAATTTTAACTTCAAAAATATTTTCCAGAAAAAATAAAATACATTATTAATTTTATTAGAAAATAGAATAAGGATTTTATACACTGTGAAACTTTGTTCCACACTTTTTCAAATGACAAGAGGAGAAAATGAGCTATGAGATCTACTAAAATATAGCAATCTCATAACCAGAACTTTCACTTCACTAATACGATATTGCCTGAAACAGAAGAAAGATTAGTAACTTCCCCAGAGTTCAGGACTATTGGCTTAAATAAACCAGTTTTTTTTCCCCAAGATACTGACTTTAAAAGTAGTGAAAAACACTATGTATTTTTAAAGAAACTATTTAATACATGAATATATTGGATATATTATAGTTGTCTGATGTATAAACTTTGAAAGTTAGATTTCAGTAAACTTATCATTGCCCAAAGTGAACACTAAAATGTTGGATCAGATCAGTGGCTTAAAACACATTAACAAAAAAACCCAAACTTTCTTTTAGAAAAATATGACAAGAATGCTGTATGTTTAAAGCAGGTATACTGAAACTCCTCAATTTCAAAATGTGTTTGGACACCTTGGAGTCTTGTTTATTCTTCCTGCCAGCGCTTTCATCTATAGGCTCAGAGGAGTAGTCTGCATCTCAAGAGATTCTGTAGAAAACAGTGTGAAAACTTCTGGCTTCAAATGTGTTTTTAAAATTATGAAAGTTTTAAACATGCTTACCCTTTCCATTTCTATCTCCTCTATTTGTGGAAAAAGATTCTCTGTTAAGACAAAGTAAATCAGCATACACTTTTTACTTATGGGACATTAACATTCAGCTATGAATGAAAATATGTTTTCTACATAGCATCTGGCTCAATTTTGGTGTGAAGCTTGTGTTAATTGTGAAGATAAAAAATCCCTGACATGCATGGCATCCCATTTACTGAAGTTTTTACCTATATTTACTTGGGATGATATTAAAGTGAATGGCAAAGTATTGGGAGGCCAAGAGCCTTTGGCATTTTCTTGATATGGGAGCAATGATATCTATAATATTTTCCTTCTCCACAGAAAAAAATGAAGTGATACTGAAACCCCAGAGGCATACAGAGACTACTCACAGTAACAAATACTTGAACATGCATGGTTGTGATCACCACAATATCCTCACTCAATTTTCTCATCTGGCTTCTTCAAGGAAAAAAGAAAAAGAAAAAAAAAAGACATAGAAAAATTAATAAATAATGTCTAAACTTATTCAGGTGGTAGCCCGAATTGTAGTCATTTTACTATAACATATTATCTATGTTATTAGAGCTGATCTTTACAAACATTGGTACTTGGTATGAAGCTGTTTATGTATGGAAGGCTTTTATTCAGTCCTCATTATTAGAAATAATCAAAAGCAATATGCAATTACAGGGCAAGAAAAATAGCATAAAAAATCTATGTTAACTCTCCTGCTATCTGTGACTATGTAGTCGCAAACTTATTCAGCAGAACATTGTGCTGGCCTACTATATTAATGAATAATGTTAAGTGGACCTGAGCAGAAAGTGGCAAATTTCCTAGACATCATAGAAAGACACAGACCTGGCAGAGGATAAGAGAAAAACAAATCTCACACACCAAAAAACAAGGTCCTGTGAATTTCTTGGAAAGATAGTGGTCTGTGAAATGTTGTGCTATCCTCCTTAAGGTCCAAGACAAGTAGTTGCACCTTGCATCTCCTGCCACTAAAAGGTACAGAGTTGAAATGTTACTGTACTCTTCGACCTCGTTTATTGCGTGACTTCAAATATTGTCAATGTCAAGTGAGGACCATTGTTAAGAGACTACTCTTAAGAATATTCAGACTCCAGGCCGGGCGCCGTGGCTCACGCCTGTAATCCTAGCACTCTGGGAGGCCGAGGTGGGCGGATCACGAGGTCAGGAGATGGAGACCATCCTGGCTAACACAGTGAAACCCCGTCTCTACTGAAAAATACAAAAAATTAGCCGGGCATAGTGGCTGGCGCCTGTAGTCCCAGCTACTCGAGAGGCTGAGGCAGGAGAATGGCGTGAACCCGGGAGGCGGAGCTTGTAGTGAGCCGAGATAGAGCCACTGCACTCCAGCCTGGGTGACAGAGTGAGACTCCGTCTCAAAAAAAATAAAATAAAATAAAAAATCACCTGCGTCTTAAGACCAAATAGATTCAATCCTGCTAGAGGTATCTATGATAAATAATGATGACATCTGAAGTCAGGAACGTTGCAGCATAGACCCCTGGGTCTTGAAAGGAGGTGATATCTATCTCAGAAGAACTACTTTCTCTTCTCTAAAAAGTTATTGGTATCTATGTAGAGGGTGATCCCCTGATAACACACTAATTGACTAGACAACTGTGGGTAGCCATATGTCATCTAATTTCAAAAGGCTTAAGGATAAGCAGACATAGCAACAGTCTCTTGCGTGTTGGTAGTGGTACAGTCAAACACTAGCCTGATCTGCTGCAGAAGACATATGTAAATAGTTGCCTCATAATCACGAGTAATTGTCCCATACTTTCATATTTCCAACCTCTTTAGCAACAATGCCACATATATAGCTTCATGGGAAAATCCCAAAAATTAACTGATAGAAGAAGAAAGGATATGAACCGTTACAGGGACGTGGTATGAAACCTGGGAGTGAGCTGGAATTAATAGCTGCTGCATTACTGTCCTTACACAAGTTGTCCTTGAGTACAGATATGAGGGAAATACCATGAACAGAGCTGCTAGGAGAACATTTAATTTTCCATATAACATGGAGGAAAAAGAAAGCTGAGATATGGTTATGCTATAAAGGAAGAAGAAAACTGAGATATGGCTATGCTGTAATGCCTGAGAAATGAAGAATAATTTGACTTGTAGGCCTGAGACCTGGGATTTGGACAAGAATTACGTGACTGAACGCACGTAACTGGACATGTAGATCTTCGTGTTTCACTTATAATGCCAATTGGAGATATTCCAACACAGAAAAGGCTCTCAAAAGCTGGATAGACAGGATTTGTCAACATGTGGGTGTTGCCAGCTTTGGTCTTCAGCTTACCCTAGAGTAAACACAGACTCACAAGTAGAGCGGATAGGGATGGAGCAATAATTGTCACCAACAATACAGACCATCACCGTGTCTGGACTAGCTTCTGACATTATCAATCTGCCAGTAGAGACTGATGTTGAGCTTTTGAGACTACACTACCTTTCAGAAAGACCAGCTATCCATTGGGTGGTAGTTTGTTGCAACATCATAATTTCTCACTTACAAGGAGCATTGAATTATTCTTAAAATAAATATTACATAACTTGAATAGTTGGGATATCTTGTCTGTTCACAAAGACTTTACCAATGCCTTTAGTCAATGGCATCCACATTTCATCTATCAAAATGGTACCCCACACAACATTACCTTGAATTAAAAGACACATTTATAGCCCAGGAATGAATTAATGGGCTGAAACCTGTAGGATCATATCAAATATATCATGTACCTCTTCACAGAGATGCAGATGACTAACAGAACATTGGAAGGACCTACTGAAGACTTAGCTCAACTAGATCTGCAGCTTGGACAAACCATGTTGAATGGTTAAGGTAATATCAAAATACACAGTACAGGATGGTGTTTTCCTCATATTGAGAAACTACAAGTCTAGGAATTAAGGGATGAATAAGGATGGACCCTTCTCCATATCGCTCTCATCATCTACTTGTAGAGTTTTTGCTTTCCATTTATGCCAAATTATGCTCTGCTGTATTTAAAATCTAGTTTGGACTCTTCTGCCAGGTGGCAGAAGAAATAATTTCTCTATCGGCTGAGGTAATCAACCCAGATTACTGTGACAAGTTGGGATTGCAAATACATGATGGAGAAAGGGAGATATGTTTTTAATACAGGAGTTCATTACAGTATCCTCTAGTATTTTTCTGTCCAGTGATAACTCATGGGCAACTTCAACAGCATGTGCAAGTTAAGTAAGTGCTCATATATCTCATGATGAAGGTCTTGTTCACTCCAATAAAATATAGAATGTGCAGTAAAGGATATTTATGATTAATATTAATTATTGCCTTTGGACCAGCTACAGCAGCAGTGATATTGTATAGTGTTTTACTCTGCCAATTTGTTTTACAGAAAATCCTAAGTGGCCATCTCTTTAATATTTAGGCTCCCTCAGAGGTCAAAATGTGGCTTAGGACCGAGTTCCATTACACAGATGATGGAAGGAACCACACCAACTTAAGCATCCAGGTCAGATACTTTTCCCAATGTAAGCCACACCCTGAGAGTATGGTTGAGTAAATGTGCTTTTGGGTGACACTTGACCAATGAAAGGAAAAAACGGAAGATAGCATGTAAGTTGGTATGCTCACATAGACTGTTTTGAGATGCAGAAAATTATTTCACACATTCAGAAGATATTTGGTGGCATTGAGGAACCAGTTATGTTTTTTCTGACTCTTCAGGTCAGCTCAATAAGACAACAACTTCAATTTTCCTTCCCCTTCTCTGCTTTACTTTCCTGCTTCCCTCATTCTGGATTTTCTGGGATTGCTCACCCTAAATAAGTGTTAAATGCTATCTTTGTCTCAATATCTAGTTTCTAAGAACCTCAGATTGAGAAAAGATGGTGTGTTGACACATTCAAAGAGGTAGAGACGTTTTTGAAAGAGGTTTTTGAAAGAGGTTTTTTTTTTTTTTTTTCCTCTCTTTCCAGGATGAGCAGCTGAGCCACTGAAAGGCAGAGGGTTCAAAATTGCAACTTTCTCCAGCAACACTCAGGGTTTAGGGCTGAATCAAGTTTACCCATCAAAATGTATTATTCTACTATGTTGACTTTTTTTCTCAAAAATTCTTCTTTACTGTTTGACAGTCTATTTGCTATCAGGTGATCCACAGACTGTTATCAATACATGCGCATGTCTGAATTTTGTTTGTTGACATGGTCTAATTCTTCTCAATTGTACACCTGAGCTCAAACATATAAGAGACACGTTTACTGTCATAGAACATGACTATTAAGGAAACACTGATGTTTTAGCAGAAGAATGAAACCTTGTTAAATATTCTAACTGGTGTGAGATGATATCTCATTGTGGTTTTGATTTGCATTTCTCTGATGGCCAGTGATGATGAGCATTTTTTCATGTGTCTGTTGGCTGCATAAATGTCTTCTTAAAGTATAATATATATATGTGTATATATATATATATGTGTGTGTATATATATATATGTGTGTGTATATATATATATATGTGTGTGTATATATATATATATATATATATGATACATAAAAAAAGAATAGAAATACTTCAGGGAAATCTTATCAGATACAACATCCTGGTGTGTTGGCTCCAGATGCTGTTAGTGTTAACAAAAATGGGACTTGTTTTTAACAATTGAGCTTCTATTGCTTTTGAAATTAAATGGATATATAATGAAATATACAGTGGGCAAATATTTCTTTTGGATTATTAATGTCAAAAACTTAAGTCCTCTTAGACTTATTCTTAAATATATAATCATATCACATTTTGGAAAAGTTAAAAATAAATAAAATAGGTATCATTTGTTGATCATTTACTGTGTATCCAGAAGGTGCTTTATAAATGTTAGTTGTAATTTTCACAGTAACCCTTCAAGGTAAATAGTATTTTTCAAATTTTATGAGAGAAGACATAGAGGTTCAAAAAAGATTAGATCCTCACATAGCTAGTAAGTGGTAAAGTGAAGAACCAAATTCAGAGGTTTCCAACTCTAAATTTTAATTGTACTATAATTCCATTCCAGGCTAACCATTGCTATGATACTTTTGTGTTTCCATAAATTAATTTTGGGGGGTAATTAAAACTTTTTTTACATTGTGAATGAAAGATTTCTTAAAATTTGGTTTAAAAAATACTTTTCCCTTTGAATAGGAGAAAAGGAAAGAAATTGTTAGCCTCAACGTGGGAAAATAAGTATAAACTTTTAAAAATGATTACCTTATGCTAAAGAAAAAAGAGCAGTATTCATCCTAAACATCTTTTGACTAGAAATATGTTTTCAGTAAATTATCAGAGATGGTAAATTTTTATGAGATCAGATTGCAGACACCTTTTGAATTCTAATATTTGCTGAATTTTATTTTCCTAAGTAAAATAGAACAGCTGAGTCACTGCAATTAGTCACCAAGTCTTCTGAATGGGTAATCAGAGGAGATAACCCAATGAAAACGAAGCTCCTGAGCTCATGTTGAGTGGAACAACAAGTGAACAGTAGCCTATACTCTTATAGATGGTAGGGGAAAGAGAGCATCATCTAAGGACTGAGGTCCATCAGGGCACATCTTTTCTATGATTCTCTGCTTTTTATCTTGCAAACATGTGGACAGAGCTTTGAGTGTGATCCAACATCTCTGTACTCCATGCAGAATCACTAATATACACAGAGCTGTGATCCACTTTACATCCACAGGTAGAATATAAAGGCTATATGAGTAGCCCGCACTGCAACCAAGAGTAGGAGAAGTGAGTGGGTAGTTGTAAACATTTTTCTTTGTCTACTATACACAACTAACAAATCTATCTTCTTTTTAAAAGGGCATGGTTTGATTGTTCAATTTGCAGGTAGGTTGTCTTAAACTTAGAAGGCTATCTTTAAATTTAAATTTATATTAGAAGTTATTTTGCAACGTATACTGCCTATATTATTTGGTGGTCTGCTATGTTTTATATAATGTTTTCTATGTTGCTACTGTGACCACAGTCATCATTTTAATGGCGCCATATGATTGAAGTTTTGTTTATATAATTACATTAATGAAAAATGTTTAATTGCTATTGTGGCCTTTCAACCACCACTAAATTTTCTTTTTTGAACCTCATTGGATGGGACTTTCATCTGTTTGCAATAATCAGTTTATATCCTGAGAGATTTAGAGAAAAGGAAATATTGATTATGTGCATATTGGCTATGTGCATACTATTTAAAAAGGTTTAAAAAACTGTACGAGAAGAGATCTTTTTTGCCCTTGATGGCTACTTTTCTACATATAATATAATTTCATAAATATATACCTCATTCCATCACATTTTTCTTGGGCTTGGCATAAATTAGAGT
Organism: Homo sapiens; assembly: GCF_000001405.40. Lineage (NCBI taxonomy): Eukaryota > Metazoa > Chordata > Mammalia > Primates > Hominidae > Homo > Homo sapiens. Next base: position 59,693,427 of record NC_000004.12, read on the forward strand.
ACAGTAATGTATTTTTTTTTTCAGAAGAAAGTATAATTAAAACAAAAATTCCATACTGGCTTACCAAGACACAAAAATATTAGTCCACTAGGACTGCCAACACAAAAATGTTGCATTGATTATATTATGTTTGGCTTTGTATACTATTTTTTGGCTATAAGATTTTACAGGTACCAATATTCAGATAATAATACAAATTCTATTTTTTCAGATGTTTCTGACCAAAATATTTTTGATATATTATTCATATAATCATTTTAGTACTTGCTTATGTAAATGTATTATTGGATCATAACTAAAGTTGGATTCATTCAGGGTTTTGTTTATTTTGTTGGTTAGATGTTAAGCAGTATTTCAAATGATATTTGATCCCAAAGCTATATAATGTTTAATGTCAACATCCATACAAAATAAAATTATCTGATTTCATACATTGTTATATTTACAGTTGCCTAACAGATTATTTTGAATCAATTAAGGAGCTCAATTAGCAATTTATATACCCCAAAGTGATTTTATATATTAAAATATAAAACCTCATGTAAAAGCATTTAATATTTGCTCTTTGAAAATATATTTCAGTGTCTATTCAGCTATGTTTATTCATACAATAAGCTGTAGCACAAATCAAAAATCAGAAAGCAATAAAAATCAATTAATTTTAGATGGACGTATTTTTTCAGGTCAAAAGCAAGAACACAATATATCACCAAAGAAATGCCAGACAGTTGATTGATTGTTTTGCATGTTGCATGTGGGACCTAGATTAGTATAACATCAAATAGTAGTTGGGAAAAATTAATAACAGAATGTTAAATAGCGGAAGTAAATAACAGAAAATTAGATAATAGAATGACTAAAAACTAACACAATGTTGACTGATAGCAAAAAGATCACATACAGTCTATTCATTTCTTTTAAATTCAATTTAGAGACGAGTTGTGGTATATGACCCAAATTATGTATTTGTATTTGAATCTATACATTGTAATGACATATTTATAAAATAATTTCCTGAATTACATTGCTGACTACTAAATTTTTTAATCTAAAAAAAAGTCTCAGTTTTCTGTAACCCTTGTGTCTATGTGCAGTGGCAGACCTGGAATGACACGAGAGAGCAGATGGTAAGGGATGATGTTGGTCAGAGTATCATGCTTGCAATGCCTGGTGGCATCCCCACAAATCAAGATTTCAAGATTACATGTCACTTCTGATACAGGGAGACCTTATGGCAGTCAAAATTCCATGAAATTTAAAAGAAGTCATCCATGTAATGACACTATCCTGGTGTTATTAATATTATAGATTTTAGGATGATATTTTCCACTCAAGCATTGTGAACTACAGTCCACCTGATACTACTGTGACCTCTACCAGAAATGTCTGGTGCAAAGTAATGTACAAGCTTCTAAGATTGTTCACTTGTTTATTTTTCCCATAGCTCCAGATTACACAGTAAATTCTGCTGACACTTGCCAAGAAGTCTTACTCCATCACAATGATCCTCAGTTGAAGTTTTCAGATAGATGATAAAATGGGGCAAAAAATGTGAATTCCTTGAAGATGCAATAGCGAAAGCAGTGTGCTCAATTGTGTATATTCTGGCTCTACATAAAAGGTCAGCAAAATCATGCTCACAATGATCAATAGAATGACTGTTAGTGATAGTTTTTTGGAACAGTCTCGAGAGTCCTATCCTATTATCTAAGTATAATAATTATTATTATTTTTTAATTATTATACTTTAAGTTTTAGGGTACATGTGCACATTGTGCAGGTTAGTTACATATGTGTACATGTGCCATGCTGGTGCGCTGCACCCACTAACTCATCATCTAGCATTAGGTATATCTCCCAATGCTATCCCTCCCCCAATAACCCTCTTTTACTGTCACATTCTGTGTTGAATGGAAAATAATTATTTAAACACTCTACTTACAAGACTGTCTTTAATTTCTCCTATCCGTGTTTCATAGCCTGAAACTACAAAGGCCTCTGGTTTCCTCCGTAGGAGAATTCTATTCAGTGCTCTATCTCTTTCATGAGTGTTCTGGAAATTTAAGGCAGACCTCAAAGTTTTGTTGTCTTCCTTCATATATAGAAACCCAATTTTAACATCTCAATCACGTGATAGATTAGAATAGGACTTAGCCATTAGAATAGGCGCTAACCTAACATTAACTTTCAGCCTTTATATGTAATAGTGGCTGTACTTTTTCTCTTAGAGATGGCTTAAACTTTCTAACCAACTATATAATTTATTATTTATAACCTTCATTTTCTTACCCCATGTAGTTTTCAAGAAGGCAGGAGGTTTTAGGCTTTTTTTCTAGTTTTGTCACCGCATTTCTTAGTTATTGAAACAAAGTTCATGTAGTATTTGCTTAATAAATATTTGTTAAGAGAAGATAAATAATGGCTGGCTTTGGGTCATTAGTTTTCTTAGTTATGAGAAGTAAGTGTGATAAGGTGTAAGTTTTTGAACTATAACAGGTCCTAAATAACTGTGTGTCTTCCTTCTTCCTAAAGCACTTGCAAGCAGTGTTTAATATGTTTTTGTTAACAAAAAAAGTTTAGCAGATATTTTTGGCTTCTACCATGACATGTATTTTGTTAAATTTATCTCCTATTTTTTATTATATAAGTCACTCTGATTATTTCTCCTAAATTTAAACTTTAAACATGTTCGAGTTCATTAAAATATTGACAGCATAGGGAATTCTGTACTTTAAAGAAAGAAGAATTTATGCCATAAAAGTTCCTATGGTATTTCCACAAATATGCTCAAAATAAACCAGGTGACACATTGTACTAAAATATTGTCTCCTAGACAAATTTGTCAGTCTTACACTTTACTTGGATCTAAAAAACGAGTGAGAAAATTAGATTAGCATAAAAGTTTTGCTCTCTACAGAATTGGCAAAGCCTGTTCCCAAAACTAGTTCAGGAGTATAACTCAGATGGTTTTTTTAATATCTCCAATGCTATAGAATAAATATATAAGTACATTTTAGATTCTTTATAAAACTGATCTCTGGTATTGCCTAAATCTCTCACCTTACCTGTTGCACTACAATTAAAGGTTTGGGGTATAAGTACTAACTAGGGAGTTTTTCTTCAGTACAAAATTTCTGAATGGTAAATAGGAAAATACTACTGTAAAAAAATCAAAGACAAATAGCAAACTAGAAAAAATACTGCTTGAAAGGATACAACAAATTGCCAATTTTCTTAATTTTAGAAATAGGGCAACTCATTCAAACAGGAAAAAAAATACCAAGTACAACAATACACACACTATATGAAGATATAATTTTAAAAAAAATGTTGTCTGTAAGCATATGAACACATGGTCAATTTGTGTATAAGTAAAGGATTGAAAATGAAAACAATAAGAAGTGATTTTCACCAATATGGTTTAAAATATGAAAATGTTGCTGATACACAATGCTGTTTAAGTTGTAGGGAAATGTGGGAAAATTGAATACACCCCTAAACTTCTGATAGTAAAATAACTTTGAATGGATTTTGAAAAACAATTTTTAATAATTTAGTGTGGAGCACAATTCATCATAATACTTCATTTTTTTATCAGCTGCCTTAAAGAATCAATTACATATGTGCACAAGCAGCTTGTGAAAAGTTTACATTGCAACATCATTTACATTGCCTAAAAACTGGAAACATACTTGATATTAATCACTAGGCATTTGTTAAAATACATGAAACAGCAAATAATCATCCAAAAGAACAGGGTAATTGTGTATGCGTTGATAGAGAATCACGTCTAATCTAAATTCAGTAAGTTTGATAATGAATACATATTAATCAATATACATATGAGTTATATTAATATAATCATTGATTATTATAATGTATGACATAACATATGTTGCTAATAATTCTACTTTAATCGTTAATTATATTATTATAATTATTTAAATAATACATGATTATTGATAAAATTAATAATTTAATAAAATAATTTAAGGAAAATTATTTTATATGTTCCAGAGACTATAATGAAGCTTTTATAATAATCTTCTAATGTATTCATACAATATCCCTAAAATGTAGTTTATTCATTTTACAGAAGAGGAAACTAAAGTTTTTTAAAACATTTATTTCAGTGGGGGTGGATGAAACTTACTCATGATAACAGGTGAAAATTTTACAGCAACTACTTTCATTGCAAGTGATACTGGATCACTATGACATACTTTCTTAGGTATCTGTTATGATTCCCAGTCTGATTCAAAAACTCAATTCTACATTGAGGTGCTGACGCCACAGTGTCATAATTAATATACAGTTAAAGTATTTTGATATGTGATACACTTGACATTTAATACTCCACATGTATTAGAATAAGAACCAGTTGAGATTTTAATGGAATCTCAATTGGATAGATTAGTGTTTGAAGAGATGTTATATACAAAGTTGATTCTTAGCAACATGAGAGTTGGAGTGCTAACCCCTGTACAGTAAAAAATCTGCCCATTACCGTTTACTCTCTGAAAACTTAACTACTAATAGCCTACTGTTGACTGGAAGCCTTATTGATAATATAGACAGTTGATTAACACATATTTTATATATTATACATATTATATACTATATTCTTACAATAAAGTAAGGTAGAGAAAAGAATGCTATTAAGAAAATCATAAAAAAGAGAAAATATATTTACTATTTATTAAGTGGAAATGGATCATCGCAAGGGCTTCTATTCTTGTTGTCTTCATGGTAATTGGGCTAAGGAGAATGAGGAAGAGGAGGGGTTGGTCTTACTGTCTCAGGGGTGGCAGAAGCCAAAGAGGAAGAGGAAGTAAAAGATGAGACAGTGGATGCAGACACATTTGGTGTACCTGCTACTGAAAAACATGTGCATGTAAGTGGACTTACGAAGTTCAATCCCATGTTGTGAATGGATCAACTGTATACTTTTGCATCTTTCCATATTGAGTCATCATATGGATCCATTTAGTCAAGTCTTTGTTGTCATTGTTCTTTTTCTTCTTGATAATGATCTTGTACATTTATCGTAAAGTAGATGTCTAGATATTTTATATTTATGTTTTTATAATATCTATTATAATTTGCCTTTTGTTATAACAAAAGGAGTAATTATAATTTTTTAAACTAAAAGCTAAATGTTTAGTTTCACATAATATATTCTTGTTGTAGAAATGCAAATAATAAATAAAATTTAAAGCCTTGATCTCCAGGGCCAAATCCAATTATCTCTTCAAATACATATACTCTTCTTGCTCTTGTTTTAAAGAGTAGCTCTTATATATATTTCCTTACAGAAAGGTTTAGTAAGTTTTATCTGTGTGTGTTTTACATAAATAAGACAATGTGCATTTTTCAAAAAATTGTCTTTTTAAAAAGAGCCAAGTAAATTACTACTTGGTATTTTTTTAAAAACTATGTCACAGACTATTTAGCTATTCTCTTTTTAGAGACATTTAGAGCCATTTATTCATTTATTCATATTGAAGCAAGTCTTTATGGACTAAAAATAAGTAGACCTTATCACACATAATTGAATCACTGGAAAAGCAAAAATAACATTCTTTATAAACATACATGTATAAACAATATACCCCAAATTCTAGAGAAATAAACTCACAAACTTGCTTTCTCCACTCAGAACTACAGACCAGAAACCCAGAAATATTGTCCATTTGTTTCATTTTCCTCACTCTTTCTAGTATTCACCTTCAATTATCATTCTTTTCATGCACTTAACTTCTCTTCTGTCCAGACCCTAAACCCCTTCCTCTAGGATTTTGCCTTTGCCTGATTGTGCTTTCTAACTCTGGAATGCTTTGCTTCAATACTCTTTCCGCTGAACTTCTAGTTTCTGTCTCTGATTTCATATACACAGTTGACAGAGTAATATTTTAAAAACAAAAAAGGAAATAAAGAGACATCATGTTACTTCTTTGCTAAACACTTAACTTGTTTCTTGCTTCTGCTTATTTTTCCTATTAGTTATTTAAATAGGCACAGACTTCTTAGTATGCTATTCTTTGTGCTTCCTCTGTTATATGTTGATGTCTCACTAAGCTCTAGCTATTTTGTTTGTGTGCCCCAAACAGTGGTTCATGGACTGGCAGCATCAACACTTCTTGGGGACTTGAGGGAGGCAAATTTTCAGTTTGTAGGTTAGCCCTACTGAATCAGAACAGAGGGTGTGAGGTCTTGGCATCTATGTTTTAAGAAGCCTTCCAGGTGACTCTTACGCACACTACAGTTAGAGAACTATTGCATTTATCTATAATTATCTGTTTTTCTCATAATATTCATGCTGCTTCACCTGAGTGCTTTGTTTAATTCACATTTGCTTTCTTACCTACTGTTTTCTCTCCTACTTATTTCCTCCCTTATTCTTTCTAAAACTCCTCTTGTTTGAAGTCTACTCCTCTTTCAAGATGCAGATCCTGCTCTACTCCTTTAGGGAGCTTTTGTGGTCACTCCCAGGTAAAATGAGGTACTTCCTCCTTTCCAGACCTTCTCACCAACTGCATAAATGTTTCAAAACTACTACACTTTCTTGAGCCATGTACTCATTTATCTTTTATTAGAAAGAAATCACCTCATTCTTTATGGTGTCTCTATCACTCGCTACAGTGTCAAACAAATATTAGGCATTGATTACATGCTACTTGACATAATTAATGGAAAAAATTAAACTGCTATATTATACTAAGTTTTGACTTCATGGAAATGATAGAGTAGGAAATAAATTAACTTGTTTGTTTGTTTCTTACTACTGCAACTGTCCAAAAAATTGGACTGAAATAAATTCAAGGTTATGAAATAATCTCTGAAGTGTTATAATTTATGGCACCATGGCAAACCTGGTCAAAGAAGGTAAGTGGAAGTACAATTAAATATGGAACATAATTTTTAATAGACTGAGATATTTAAGGTCCATTCGAGTCTCCATGTGAGTCCACAAAGCATACCAAGCCCATCTGTTGTCTTCATACTTTATTCAATAGCTATCAATGGATGCCAATGTGGAGTTACTACTTTGATATGAGCCTTAGCACAAAAGGCTTTAAATAATTAAAAATGATAGAATTGGGACAGACTGCTAAACATAAACAGAAGGATAAAAAGACATCTGGTATAATTAACAGTGAGTAAAGCAGGTTTAACTAGCTTGAGTACAAAGTACATTGAAACATCATGAAAAACTGAGAAACTTCTGTCGAGAGATAATTTTACTGATATGTAACTTAAAATATTTCTCTTCAATTGCATTTTTATTAATTGGGACATTTCCATAAAATGGGGTATATAGTTTTTAGATTGAACCTGCTCCTGCTGCTTGTTTCTCAGTTGAAGGCATAATCCTTTGTTTGTGACTATGAAATTGGCTTATGTAGAGATGATTATGATGTACATTCAGAGAATTGTGACTTCAGGTGAGAAATAAGCAGCAGGAACAGATGAACTCTTAGCAACAGAGAAGCTATTTTCATGCAAATATCCCCACAGTGGCAGAAAGATGAGAAAAGAGAATTACAGAACACAGAAGGCTTACAAAAATATTATTTCATAATATTGAATGATTTCTCTATGTGTTTATGTAGAAGAATCGATCAACACATTTTTAGAAATATATTTGAATGTCTCTATAAATACCATTAAACCACTTCTCTAGGAGAAATTACATTTGCTTGTTTCTGTTACTAAATGAAATATACTATCAGCAGGCATGCATTTTCAGTTAGTTGAAAATCATAACTAGGAACAGGTCTCTAGTTTAAGCATTTAGATTTCAGGAAGCAAATTCACTCAGTAAAATGAGAACTGATATATGGTTGTTGAGCTGTTTTTGTGTTGACTGTTTTGTATAACAGTCTGTTTTTAAGAAAGGAAATAAAGAAAGGGAAGGCATAATCATTCAAACTAGGGATAAATGTACACACTGTTCAAATTAAAACAAATTTAGATAATCAGCTTGGCACGGTGGCTCAAGCCTGTAATCCCAACACTTTGGAAGGCTAAGGCGGGTTGATCACTTGAAGCCAGGAGTTCAAGATCAGTCTGGCCAACGTGGCGAAACCCCGTCTCCACAAAAATACAAAAATTAGATGAGCGTGTTGGTACAAGCTTGTAATCCCAGCTACAGGGAGGCTGAGGCATGAGACTCCCTTGAACCCAGGAGGCAGAGGTTTCAGTGAGCCAAGATCTTGCTACTGCACTCCAGCCTGGCTGAAAGAACAAGACTCTGTATAAAAATAAATAAATAAATACATAAATACATAAATAAATAAAATGAACAGATTTTGCAGACTAAACCTTAATGATGTTTTAGAACTGATTTAACCCTTGCCATCTGTCATTTCTTTGTCAACGGGAATACATAAGGAAGTCAATTAATTATAATATCTGTCATATGTTATTATGATTTCTAGATAAAGTATCAAGAAAGTATGCAATTATGTTGTAGAAGAAAAAAACAACATAATGTTCATTATTTTAATCCTGCAATATTTTGTTGGTAAATTAGTTCATCATAGATGTAGGTTATTGGCCTATATAAGAACTGGGAGCTTTAATTTTATCTATAAAAGTGGTATAATATCACTTATTTCTGGCCATACCCAATTCCTTCCAATTGAACCCAAAGATGGGACTCAGGTATTAATCACAGATCAAATGGCACCATGATGGAGCATGGTTAAGAGCTAGGATACAGAGACAGCGTGCCTAAAACAAATCTGGGGTCTGCCACGTGCTGACTGTGTGATTTTGGAAAGATTCCAACTCTTCCTGTGCCTCAGTTATCTTAACCACAAAACAAGAACCAAAACAATATCTATCCCAGAGAACTGGTCTGAAAACTAAATGAATTAATATCTGTAAAGTACTTTGAATAGCTCCTAACTAATTTTAAGAAGCAAAGAAGTATTATTGAAAGGCAATGCATACGTGTGTGTATAAAATAAAAGCATGTGTGTTCACAGCATAGAAGATATATTAAATGATAATAAGTAGTTTAATCTGAACTCCAGGCAAAAGGAAATTGAGATGCCAGGTCCTCAGAAGAATTCTGAGTGTGTGTCTTTAAATGTTACAGTGCTGGAAATAGGGAAACTGATGCAGTTCAAAGACTAAGTAGATGGAAAACAGTGATGAAGGCTGTTCATAATGCTGCAAGGTAAGAGCTCAGCTCAAAAGAAAGGCCTCTGCAGTGAGTTAGCCCTTATTAGGTTGTAAGGAGTTGAATATAACCAGACGGTACAAATGGAGAAATGGAATATGCCTTCTTCTGAAACAGTTGTCAAACTTCAGCATGTGCTTCATACAGCAACAACAGAAGACAAAGGGAAAATTCCACCACACAAGCACATTTCAAAGCTTTGATTTCATCATATTTACCGATTGGTTGAAGAAAGTTTTATTGTCTGGTCTATCAAAAGTACTGTGCACATTGAAGGGAAATTGGAAAACTCTCTCTCTCTCTGTCTCTATCCCCCTCCTCTCTCTCTTGCTGTCTCCTTTATGTATGAGATGTTTTATTTGATATGCTTTCTTATACTAGCCATAGCTAATCTTCTACATTTCTAGCTTCTATTCTTGTTGCATATGAATTTTTCTCATATCTTCAAGGTTGTAGATGTGCTACCATCAATCAATGTTAGAAAAGGTTAATTTCATTTTGTTCTTATAGGTAATCTGGAGCATCCCTTCACTAGTAAGATTTACAGTATGCAATGTTTGGCCCTGCATACCTAGATATAATAAATTTTCTATGTCAAATAAAGAGTCTTTTACCTACATTTCCAGTTGTTTTCATGTCCTTTTTCTATTAATCATTACAACACCTTACCAACCTTTACTTTTTATTTTGTTTGAGTGTTTTCATGTTTCTGATTATTTTCTGGTTTATGTCATTTATTTGGATTGTTAGAAATTTATTGGGTACCTACATTTTACTGGGTACTAAGATATTACATCAGGTTCTAAATATTCAATTGTGAATAATGGAGGCATGGTGCCTGCTTCAAAATGCTTACAGGTCAATGGGAAGATAGACAATGAAACAACTGAACATGAATGAAACTATAATCATAAAATTTGTTTAGTACCATTGAAGATGTGTTTGAGTAGAAGAAACCGTCTCTCTGTGAAAGTAGTATTTTAGCATACATTTGAAGGAGTCATATGGAGAAGGAGTCAGATGTGAAGATTTGCAGAACATTTCATGGAGGAAGTAGCAAATATAAACCTCTCAAGTGGGAAAGAGTTTGACCTCCCCCTTCTCCCATTCCCATTGTTTTTTATTTAAATTTATAAAATAAAGTCAATATTTTTAGATAATAATGTTCAAAGAAATGTGGAAAGTATGAGATTAGGGAGGTATGCATGATCCAGATAAAATAAGATTTTCTGATCTACACTATGAATGGTACAGTGGGGAACTATACCCCACTGTACCCATATAATGGTACAGTGGAGAACTATGTAAATGGATTAAGAGAAGAATGAAGCAAGAAATATTCAGCTGGCCTCAATCAAAAGGAAAGACTAGTGGGAAGGTGTTCTTTAAGGAGGTGTCATTTTGCTGGATTAAATGTTAACCAGCAATTTCTTTGGAAAATCCCATCATCTCACATAGGTGCAGCATTATTATTATAACATTAATTAACAATATTATTAATATTAATTACCTTGATATCACTGCTGACCCCTGAAGGAATAATATGGTGGCTTATAACAAAAATGATTATGGTTACCTTCTACTCAATTTTGCTATAAACCTAAAACTGTTCTAAAAAGAATAAAGTCTATTAAAACAAATAATTGTGGTTCTGGCAATGTTTGGAAAACATGAAACAGACACAAACAGTCACAGAGTCTATGTCCCATGACTACTAATTTCTCTTGCCCTTCTTTCAGGAAAAATCTCATCTTCATACATGATTTTAGCTCAGGGTATGTGTTTTTAACCTTGCTAGCTATAACAATATCTGTTAAACCATTTCTGTGTTCTAGCTGTTAAAAAAAACTGATACATAAAATAGCATAAATCCAGAGAACAGATTACCAGAACGTTCCTCACATTTATAGGTCCATTTGTTTTCTTCAAAGATTGAGTATCAATTTATAAACCGTGTGTGTGATTTCTGCGCAGCTTAAAAGTCTTATGAGTTCACATAAATAGAATCCAATGGGTGTTTTAGTAGTTAGAAAATAAGCTTAACTGCTGTGATAAAGAGATGCTAAAATGCAGTGCCTAAAAAAAGACAGAAGTGGGCTTATTTATTTATTTATTTATTTTGGTTTTGGTTTTGGTTTGCTCTCCCCGCACCCCGCATAACAAAATTCAGAGGGAATTATTCAAGGCTGTGAGTCAGCTCTTTTTTTGAGATTTTTCGGGACCCAGGTTCCTTCTTTTTGCGTCAGCATTACCTAGGTTGTTTCCCTCACTCTTACAGTCAGAACAGACTTAGTAGGGCCGTATTCAAAGACAGCCCATTAAAAAAAAAAAAAGGGGGAAACAACACCCAAATCTTTTAAAGGCAAGACACAGAAGTTACACACTACATTTCTGTTCAAATACTCATGAACTAACTAGACGTGAAAACTAACTAGATGGTCACAGCAAGCTACAGGGGAGGTTCAGAAATGAAACACTAGCTGGAAAGTCATGAGCCTATCTAACTCTCAGATAGAAGAATATGGTCTAAGTTACTAAAAGAAAGAAAAGATGAACGGATAATAAGGAAAATTAACTGTCTCCAGGACAAGGAGCATTTTAAAAACACATCGTGATCACCATCTTATTCTGTTTCCTATCTTGGCAGTGAAAATATCACCTGTTTTTCAGTTATGGCAGATAGAACATCAGTATTTCATATAGATGCTATGCCTCTCTAGCTGAAGAATTCCGAATGCTTTTCTTAATTAACCTACATTTATCAACTTATCTAACCTTATTGTAGAAATTTATTATTTTCTGCATATTCCTCCACACAACATAAAACTATATGAACCCAGATTTTACCTATATTCATTTATTAATTTTTTTCCAGCAAAGATTTGTTAGGCACTTATTATAGATTGGGTTTATGGCAGACTGCCAATACACACCGGTGTTGAAAATTACACATAATCTCTCTTCTCATGAAGCCTACAGATCAGTAGGGAAGATATAATATTCAAATAAATAATTGTAAGTGACGTGAAGGAGGTAGAGTGCTATGCAATGCGCGATAGCAGAGTTTTGTCCAAACAAGGAGTCATAGGGAGGGTTCCCTAAAGAACTAATGATGAAAGTGCTGGAGAAGTCGGGGTGATCTAAGTGAAGTGAGGTGGGTGGTAGATGGAATGTTCCTGGTATAGGAAACAACAGATTCCAATGCCCTACTGTGGGAGTGTGCGTGGCACTGTGTTGGGAGAGTAGGAGGGAGATGAATGAGGGTAAAGCACAGAAGGACGGGTTTGAAGCCAGCTGGAGAGCCACACAGAGAGCAGTATTAGGAGCCTTGAGACCTCCTTTAAGGATTTTGTTTTTATAGTCAGAGCAGTAGATTTCTGTTGAGGTGATTAAGCGGGGAAGATAAGTGATCATATTTCTACTTCGAAAAGATCCTTCTGACAAGTGCAGAGAATGGTCTCTTGAGGATAAAACACACAGCACAAAGATGTGTGCTTTCCCAGTAGCCCAGGTGACAGTGGACTACTAACGGATTTACAATTTTTTAAGTGTGATTTTACATTTCTGGAAGTTTTATGTGAGTCTTTAAAGAAAAAGAAAACACATTTTTCTATACATTTCATAACTAAATCATTCTTAAAATAACTTTAGCCATATAGCATGTAATACAGTGTTTCTTTCATTTTTTTATATTCAAAATGTTTATGAGCTAAGATATATATTTAAGATAACTTTCCAAAGTAAGACATACAATGGACTCAAATTTGAAGGTAGGTATTGAACTAAAGAAATATATTTATCTTTAATCAATGATATTATTTAAACTGGAAACAAAGGAACATTCAAATAGAAATTATGTATAAACATTTGCATGTATATGAATATGAGAATTAAAAGAATTATAAATGCATTATTAACCTGACTCTATGTTAGAGGCATCGGATATGATTAAATTATATTTTTAGATATGAATAAAAGAAAACAATAGGGAAACATTAAAGAGCGTAAGTTTGTTTTATCCTAAAACGACCCACATCTCATAAATTCAAATACAGTAGGTTCTACATTGTAAAGTAAATATGATGTCTAAAAGCTCAATTCAACAAATAATTTTTTAACTTATTTATTTGATATAACTCTTCTTGAAACATATTTTTTGTTGTTCTTTTCTACACAGATTATTCTAAAGTGTATTAAAAAGGAAGAATTTATCTGGATACATTTAAATTAACGATTAAACATTTAAGTGTTGTCCTTCAGATGAAATTCTTGTTTACAGGCATATGTTGAGTGTTGAACATCAAACAAAGGAACTTTCAGGGATAGCAAAATTTAAGTAGATGCTTAGGGAGGTATGTGTGACCAGGGAGAATTTTTATGTAAAAATGTTTCAGAGTGAATAAATAAAAGTCTCAGGATGAATGTTATTTTCCTGCCACTGTCTTCTCCTCTCAAGACACTATTTTCTTCCTGAATGTGTGCCTTAAAAGATTCTTCTTTTTTAGTCTCATAAAACCAGTTTCTCTGAATGTGGTTTAAATTAATTAAGACTTATTTGAAATTTTTAAAATGCTAATAGAAGTAAATGAGGAAAGAACAGTAGATTCAGTACTCTAACTTCAATATTAATGAACATTTGATCTGTTTATTGCAATCAGAACATAACTTTGGAACTGATTTTAATCACTTTGACTTGGGTAGTCTTAGTAGCAATTAGCTCTCATTAAATATCAAGAGGCAAACCAAAATGGTTATATCATATTGAGGTTCTAATTAAGCTCAGAATAATAAAGTATACAATGTAAAATGAGAAGGAAAAAAGAATTTGTGTGATTTTATGCATCCAATCAATAGTATTTCTCTTTCTCTACATGCAGAACATTTTGCTTGGTAGCAAGCTAAAACAAAAACTGGAGACTTACCAGAGCGACAGACCTGAGTCTGAGACCATGATCTGTGTGATGGTTAATTGTATATACTAACTTGGCTAGACCATGGTACCCAACTGTTCAGTCAAACACCAGTCTAAATATCTATGTGAAGGTAATTTTTAGATGAGATTAATATTTAAATCAGTAGACTTTGGATAAAACAGGTTACCCTGCATAGTATGACTGGGCCTAATGGAGTCAATTAAAGGCATTAAGATAAAAGAAACTGAGGTCCCCAGTGGAAAAGGGAATGCTGCTTCCAGACTACCTTCAGAGTTGAGCTGCAACATCACTGCTTCCTGGGTCTCTAGCCTGCAACCTATGCTGCAAATTTTGGACTTGCCAACTTGCCAACTTCATGAGCCAATTCCCTGAAATAAATCTGTTTCTCCCTCTTTTTTTCTTTCTGTTGCTTCTCTCTTCCCTTTAAACATACATACATACACACACACGTGTGTATGTATGTGTGTGTGTATGTATATATGTATATACATTTTATTGGTTTTTTCTCTGGAGAACTCTAGTATAAGCAGGAACAATCTTTCTGCCATTTGGGCCATGATGGGTGTTCAAAATTTTATGGGGATGATGATGACTATGAAAGCAATAATGATGAAATCAAATGTAGCTGAAATAAAGTATCACAACATAAATCATAAATAACTGTGTAATTATTTTACTTTAAGATTTTGTGGCTGCTGACTTTAAATCTGTTTGTATGCAGGTATTACCAAGAAGGTTTACTTTGTTAAAAAATCTTGATCATTTTAACATTAAAACATTCTTTTGTCTTAAGAAGCAAGAAGGCTGTATCATTCATAAGTATTTTTTATTTGGCTTCCATTGTACCTTAAAAATACATTTCCAAATGACCCATCCTCAGTGATGAAGAGACTGTTATGTCTGAGGGCTTTGTCAGGACTCAAGATGGAAATGGGAGGATGATGTTAGGAAAGCCATCCTGCCCAAGCTGAAGGAACAAACAGCCTTCTCAAGAAAAGTCAGAAACTCCAAAGACAACAGGCAGTGAACTGTGATAAAAGTGAAAAAGTTGAAAAGTGAGACCATGGTCAACCAACATCAACACAGTGAGAAAGTAAATATTATGGCAGCCCTAGAAAACTAATGCCCTCTTCTATTCGCTGGTAGGTTGGCCTGAGAAAGTCAGTCAACCCTGCCCTGCTTAGCTACTTATTGCATTCATCTACAAAAGGGAGATAATATCAATCTGGCCAAGCTGTTTTACATATTAAGTATTAATATTAAATCTAACTACAAGAGTTCTGCTTATATTGTTCACTGCCATAGTCCAAGAAAATAGAACTGTACTTGGAACAGTATCTCAGTTGGGTTTATTACTTATTAATGAATATCAGAAGCCTGGCATAGTACATTTCTTGTAGCAAGCCATGTGGTGGCCGTTTTTACTGCAACTGCTAGCTCTAATCATTTAGTGCAACTAAAGGTGAGGAGAGTAAACAAAATTTCTGTGGAAGGTAAGTTACCCTGGGAACAAACCCAGATGGTACACATTATTAAATAACAAAATCAGTTGTTCACACACTAAAGTGTTGCACAGAAACAAAGAGATCAATGAAATCTGTAATGGATGAAGAGGATATTATGCAAAAGGTGAGGCTTGTTAAGGCCTTAAAAGATGAATATTATTTGGAGAAAGGCAGCTATTTAACACATTTTTATTGTTAATAGTAAGAGAAGCAACATAAATGCATTCTGTTTGAATTGGAATATGATAAAAATTGTTTAAAACCTTGTTAATTAAACTCACCTAAAACAACCTTCATTGACACTATTGTCACCAATGAAATTGCTTTATAGTAAAATAACTGTTAGCAGCAGCAAAAATAAAAACTTCCAAGTTGGTTAAAATTATGTTCTCTACCAGTTGTAGTTATGACAAGACTGGAAGAGTTTTATTGAATGTGTCAGATTCACGGTAATTTTACTGATGCCCAGATAAGCTGAAACTTTAAAGACTGAAAGGTACTTACCTTGGTAATAGAAAGTAGCTTTTTAGAAATATATGCACGCTGAGTACATTATCTCAGAAATATCTGTGTTTTCAATCTCTCAAATTAACTGTGTTTCATTTCCTCCTATTCTTTTTAAGCTTGAAGTTTAGGAGCTCTGTCATTCCTGTTAGTATATCTTTACAGACAGTATGAGAAAGGAGCACACGATATATTTTCATAAATTTGAAAGCAGGTCTAGATCCCAAATTTACTCACCATGTAAATGATTATACACAGTTTTCAAAGGATTCTCTTTTAATCTGTTGGTGCCTTTAGCTTCTCTCATAACAGGGCAATTGAAAGCGTTGAGATAAATTTAAAAAATAACACTCAATCATCACCTTTTTTGAACCAAGATGCTATTAGTCTCTTTCTTATTTGCTTTTTCAAATACTTTTAGTATTAATTAGGCCATATGTGGAACATTACTTAGTTGTTCACAAAAATGCTCTACCTTTATTCTTTTTCACCTGATTGTCAGTTTGGGTCATGTGACTTGATTTGGCCAATGAAATGCAGTAAAAAGCAGTAAATACCATTAATCTTCCTCTGCCTTATCAGCAATTTTTCGAGACAGGAGTTTTTCTATTATTTTGATTTCTAAATGCGATCAACACAAAAACGATTCATAACTAACCCATGATAGTTACTCAGAATACATGAGAAATGAACCTTTGTTCTTATAAATCAGTGAGATTTGGTGGTCAGTTATTATTGTGACATATAGTAGTACACTATTACGACATGTATATAAACACAGATTATATGTCATGGATTGATTAGTTCACATCACAAGTATTTGAAATACTGCACTATATCAGATATGGTGCTAGGCACTGAGGTTCTAATGGTGAACCAAAAGCTATTCATCATGAAGATGTTTTGCTATTGTGTTTCTCTCTCTCTCTCTCTCTCAATGTATTTGATATGCTGACTATCATAGCCTCAGCTTTAGATCTCTCTGTCAGATTGTAGAATTAGCATTGTATCTGAACATTGTGAAAGAAGTTTAAAAAATAATAGAGCAGAAAAAGGACAAGACTTGAAGAGGAAGGTGATATTTTAGTCCATAAGAAAGGCCTCAGGTGTTAATGCAGACCTCTGTTTCTGCAAGGATTGATCAAAGCAGATGAAGTGGGAGGCTTGTTTATCTTTTCTTTGTTCTCCTGTCTATAGGAAGTTTCAAATTGTCCTCTGGGTTATTTTATATCATGTGATACCTGAACACCAGCACTGAATTTCCTTTTTTCTAGGGTAAGGATTAGCAGTATTTTGTAACTGTCAATAATTCCGGAGCAAATCCCTGTGAATTGTGAAGCAAATTATTTTTCCTGGGAATCTCTGCAGCATTATAATGATAAATTTTATTGTATTTGTAAAGACCTTGCTCATAGCTTGAATCAGAAATTTACATATATATATAAAATTCATATATTTATAAATTTATATGTAATTTTTTCTGCATTTATTATATATGATCTGTTAGACGAGCCTGATATATGTATGTAAAATATACCATATATCTAGTATGTCTATATGTATAGTACACATAATATAAACAGAATTTATTGTATATTAGACATCACTTTCCAATTAGTTTTCGTCTAACTCTTCTAACAAATATCTTCATGCATCCTAATTTTGAGTTTTTCAAGAATTATGAAATTCTGACAAATACATACTTCTATAAAAAGGTAAAATGTGGGCTCAAAATGTTTCTAACTTTTTCCAACATACTGAGAAGGTGCAAATCAGCCGTAATGAAAATCAATCACTAGAGCATAAACAATACTTACAACAGGACACGGTCAAGGCTATAATGTTGCTGGAAACATGACTAAACCCTTACTTCTGAGCATGAATTATTTTTACCCGTGTCACCTCTAGGCCTGATTTAATCCTCCCTCCTCTTGGATAAAAATTATTCATATCAAATCAACTTTATACACTTTTTCCTACTTTTCCCCACTTTTTTACAATGTCCAACCCAGAACTTCCCCCTCCTTTTTATATCTCTTCTCGAAATTATTGATAATAACCCAAACCTTAAAAGTTTATCCAACTCCCCTTTACTGAAGCACTCCCCATTTTTTTCTGCTGTGTGTTGTTTGCTTCAGACTTTGCTTGAATACAAGAGTGTACCTTTCCAACTTGGGTAGAGGATTTCAGGAATAATGATGAGGGGTCTAAAGAAACTCCTATGGTGTGATTAGTCATATACGCATATACACAGAAACGTTGCCCTAAACATCAATAAATCTGCACACCACAGGGGAAAATATTGGTATATTTTATGAAAGTAAGCAAGCTGTGGATTTTTCTGAGTAAGAAAAGTTTTTCATACATTCAGACTTAAAATGAATGGAAAATGCTCCTTGGTGTATGTTTCAAAACCTTTGAAAATAGTCCATTCTTGTTTGGCAGCCTTACAGGATTGGTCATGTAAGGTGCTCAGCCACTTAAATTGATGCTGGGACTACAACTCCATGGGCACAGAGAGTCCTGAAATGATCAATTATACTGCATTTATAGCTAAAACCAGTATTTCCATTGTTTATTCTTTCTTCTTATTTCAACTCCATGTTTCCCTGGAAGAAACAATGAGCTGATTGGGATAGATTCTAAGAATTTTACTAACAACAAATACATGTCAGACATTATTCACATAAAACATATATTCCAGTGAAAAATAAGTAGAATTTATATATTTTCTGCAGGAAGGATGAAAATGTTTGAGTGTTTGGTTTCCTGGTCAGAATTCTGTGAATGCTTTCTGTGCTATAATTACAACTTGAGATTTGTTACTTTAAGAATATAGAGTAAGACTATAAAAAAGATTCATAACTTCAAATTACATTAACCGTACATTAAGGGAGATGCACAAATCCCAAGAAATAATGATATGTCAGGGTTAGAATCATCTTTTTTCAGGTTTAGTGCTCAATCTCCTATGATCTTGCATAAAATGCTATTGCTGTTCACCTTGCTATTAGGAAGTACAATTGATTTGCTTGCAATATTTATTAGTGCATTAGTCATATACATTAGCACCAAACTGGAAACAAATAATGCTTTACTTCCTCAAGTCTGTGGCAAGCCAATGCAAGTAAAAATGTAGGTGCCGATATAAATACAAGTGTGACTCACACTCCTGAAATATCCTTCCTTTACCCAGATTTACCAGAAAGCATTTAAGAGATGAACACTGCAACCATTTCAATCTTTGAGGAGATGGAAGAGTTCACATTATTCAAGATACTGTTTGTTCTTTCAGTTTGGTGTCATTTTGACAAACTATCAATAAGAGGTCACAAAAAAATAAAAATGGAAAGGAACAGTTTGTCTGATGTTAATAAATAGGATAGGCTAAAACCCAAAGCTATCATTTTGCCAAATATGTATTTCAACTCAGGAATATTATGCTAAATTCTACATAAGACTAGATTTTTGGCTTAAAAAAAGGAGAAAGAAATGTATCTACAATTAACTAAATGTAAGCTTGAAGACCCAATGTTATTCATAAGAGTTGGTTTCATCATCACCATACCACCACGGCCAAGGCATCTAGACCTAATTCAAGTCAATTCCAAAGAACTCACTCCATGACTATTAACTTCAATTTCTGGACACTGGCATGTGAAAATTTTCTCTACATAAACTACAACTGGCTGTGATCAAAAGACCTTAAATTTCCTTATTCCTTGGTTGTCATTATTCTGAGGTTTCTCCTGTAGAAATCTTGCTTTCACAAACAAATTCTATCTCCTGATCCTTCAATAACTTCCCAGGTAGGTAAGCCTACCTCCCAATTACTCTGGTTTATTGCACATACTGGAACAACAAGAAAGAAGAGTAGATAATGCCAATGCATGGCATTTGTAAGAAAAATAAAATCCTACTGTGAGTTTATATATTTTATATACAGGAATCCTATCATTTTCTTTTTTTTTTTCATTTTGGTTTAACACTGTAGTTGAATCACACTATTTTTCAAACAGTCCTAAATTCAATTTTACTACATGAGAATTTATGATAATCTGAACTGAGTTTGGGGAAATTTTATACTTGTTCAATTTTATATGACTGATGACACTTACTGGATATGTGCTAGATCTTGATACATTTTTTAAACTTCACAAAACTTTCATAAGAAAGGTATCATTATCCTGTGTGGCATGTTGTATTTCTTAAAAATAGCCAGAACCATATCTCCTATCAGACATGCTGTTTTGCATTGTGACTCTGCCACTCCTCATCAAGTTGTGTCCAGTTTATTCTACATCCCCTTGAATCTGGTCAGGCCTTGAAACTTCTTTAATCTAAGAACACAGTGGGAGTGACCACTTATTGTCGTAGCCCCTAAAAGCTTTTACTTCTGGGCCCTTCAAAACCAATCACATGTAAGTTCTGTGACTTTCCAGATATCACCAAGTTGTGAAAAGCTCCATTTAGAATGAAGGATAAAACACATGAAGAATGAGAGGCCAAGGAACACTAAATTGGTAAGCATGGTCATGAAGAAGCCATCAAAACCCAACTGAAAACCAGAACACAGTCCTCAGACATGGCAAACCAGAGGCCACAGTATCCTTGTGTCAGGCCCAAATTCCTCTCTCACAGAACTGCAAGCGTACTAAAATGGCTATAGTTTTCTCCTCTAAGTTTTGGGGTCTTTCATCAGGCAGAGATGGAGTGATGAAAATGCACTGTTTGGAAGATGAAGAAAACACAGGCTAAGATAAATTAAGAAATTTGCCAAAGTCCACGTGGATAGGAGGTGGCTGAGCCACGAATTGAACCATATCCTCTTGAATGTATATCCAGAGGTCTTCACCACTATGTAAGGCATGCCCCCAAAATATATTTAGAAATTTTTTTTTTTTTCTAAAGAGACTCAAATTGTAAGTAGTACTATAGGAAATGTGTTTGGCTTGCTTAAGAGAAAAATCTCGGTTTATGGGTTATAGCATATGTTTATAACCAAACAGATGCTCCTAATTACAAATTTATTTTATCTACTTATTGAAACAAGTTGACATAACTCCTACTTAGAAACACTTTAATTTAAAGTATATATCTTAAACACATGGAACTGTACAATTTTCTTTCTTTAAGTGTATATTTAGATTTTCATTAATTCACTCTGAATTTCCAGGAGATTTTCAGCAGTAATTCACAGAAAATTTACTTAATTCATGCTTTTTTATACATTATTTCTTTTATGCTCAGCTAAGAAAACAAATCAAATAAAAGAGAGGTATTAGTTACTTCTCTTAGTAATATGAGTTACCTCTCATAGTAATATGATCTTATTTCGAAGCAATCCACAAGTTAAAGTCACTTGAATTTAAAGATACAGAGAAAGGAGCAGAACCAGATGTATAGAAAGAAAATATAAAAGATACATTGGCAATAACATTTCATAAGTATAGTATGAATAGAATATCTCTTCTACTTGGACAAAAGTAGAAGTGAATACCTTCACAAAAGGTATTCAGATGTCAGTAAAATGAAAGAGGAATAGATTTACGTGGGCAATATTCCACAAGAGGATGCTTTTCAAGATGACCTTTAGATGACTTTTGCTGACTTTTAAGATCTAGGTAAATTGACAAGAAGACCAAATTCTGTGCGATGGAGAGGACTTGTACTTAAGGCTTTCCTCTCTATAGGTTTTCCTGTTCCGTATTGCATCTTCCACATTTGAAATACAGACCCATGTTCGAATTTCAGAAAACCACTACAACAACTATGACAACAAGACTCCCAACCAAATTTACATCAGTCTTCACTGAGGATTTGAGAAACACAAGGCTGGATCACTTTGCATCTAGAAATTCTTGCTTCTCAGAATTTCCATCTCCTCTGAGACTTTGGATTTTTAGCAAATGGAAAACCCAATTTCACAAAACCTCTCCATTTCGAATCTTTGTTTGCTTGAATCTTTCATTTTTTTTTTGTAGTAGTCATTTTTGTTTTTTAACTTTCCTTTTATCAGCACTCCAGTCATGAGCCCTCAACCCACCTTAATTAATAAAAAGTGTTGTTTTGTGTGTGCGGTTTGAGCTTCTGCCTCCCTCTACTCCCTAAAACCATGTATTCTACCTCAATTGACCACAAACATATTTTCTGTAAACAAGATAATTCTCCCTCAAAGGAAACTGTGAAAATAATTTGTTTATCATTTGTATCTTGTCTTTGACCACTCTAAAACTTTTTGACAAGTTATTTGTTTTAATTCAGCCTTAGGTTTTATGAAATAAATATTGAATAAAAGCAAACTCAAATGTTAAAGAACTCAGTAAAATAAAGATTAAGTCTAATACAATGAAAGAATTTCATAAGCAGCCATTTCCTTTCTGCTTATCTTTGCCATCTTCCTTCATGCTTTCCTCTCCCACTATTAAAATCACTCGATGGTGTTGCCTCATCTTTAAGATAAATATTACACAGTAGTGCCAAAGGTTCCTGTTAGTTTCAAATAATTTTTTCTTACTCTCTTATTGCCTATTAGCTTGTACCGCAGTTTGTGGAATGGCCTGGTTTCATACATGTTGTAACCTAATCTCTACATCTCTATGTGAAAAGACCTGAAAATAAGAAGGTTTTGTTCATTTTATTTATATTCTGTACTCCTAAACACTTGGAAAAATAATAACACCCCAAGACCTATTGTAAGTTACTTTGTTTAATTGACCATGTACAATAATCATGCTATAATGCTTATGAAAACTGGAATTTTATTTTTTTCACAAACAAAAATTATACTTTAAAAAGATATAATAAAATGTGTTTGAAACAGTTAAAGTTAAATGTGGCTGTCTTATTAAGCACAAGATATTTATTAGTTTGATTTTGGGGTCTAGAGAAATTTGTACAGATTATTGTAATTAACACAATTGTAATTATAATCAAAATAATTACTATGATCCCTCTCTATAAATTTAAATGAAGCATTGGAATTTTAAAACCTTTATACTTTGATGAAGTATATTTAGCTTTTTTGTGCACCTTACATCTATATTACTTGACCTGTTTTGAAGCAATCCACAAGTTAAAGTCACTTGAATTAAAGATATAGAGAAAGGAGCAGAACCAGATGTATAGAAAGAAAATATAAAAGATATATTGACAATAACATTTCATAAATATAGTATGAATAGAATATCTCTTCTACTTGGACTCACAAAAGGTGTTTAGATGTCAGTAAAATGAAAGAGGAATAAATCTACATGGGCAATATTCCAAAAGAGGATGCTTTTCATGAAGAAACAATATGTATCTATTGTTACCTTCCTTCTAGAAAATAATTTAATCATTTATTAAATAACTATTTGAGGTTGAAAAACTTAAGCTTACATTTTAATTAATTCAAGGTTTAGGGAATAATACTTTGCAAGGAGGATCCATTTGGAGGCAATTTGAGTACACTGTTTAAACAACATTGCAAATTAAAATTGATACAAAACCAATACATGTTGAAATTTAAACATGGATTTTTCAGTTCAACAAATATTTATTGAGCCTCTACTTACATATTTGATTAATTGTTTAATGTTAACCTCATGTGTGGTGACACATAAAAATATTGACACGTTGATTAGGCTATTGTAAGGGATGTAGATAGATATTCCTTGTGTGGAACACTTTATCTCCTACAGCACAGGGGATAACTGCACCACACAGTCTGTTTCTTACACATCTCCCTGGCTTCATGAAGTTATGTGGGGCAAGGTTTTACTTCTAGCCAATAGGATACGGACAGGAATGACTTGTCTTGCTTGAAGCCAAAGCATGTAAAAGCCAGTACGTAACACTTCAGATATCTCTTCCCCTGATGATATAACCCAATTACATACTATGTATATGACACATATAATCTATTATATGAAATCTACACACAAACTCGGATACAAAGACATACACACACACAGTCTTAATTAACCTTCTGTGGAAGTAGTTTGTTGATTGAATACAGCCTTTTTTTTTAATACTTTAAGTTCTAGTGTACTTGTGCACAACGTGCAGGTTTCTTACATATGCATACATGTGCCATGTTGGTGTGCTGCACCCATTAACTCGTCTTTACATTAGGTATATCTTGTAATGCTATCCCTCCCCGCTCCTAACACCCCACGACAGGCCCCGGTGTGTGATGTTCCCCACCCTGTGTCCAAGTGTTCTCATTGTTCAATTCCTACCTATGAGTGAGAACATGCGGTGTTTGGTTTTCTGTCCTTGCAATAGTTGGCTCAGAATGATGGTTTCCAGCTTCATCCATGTCTCTACAAACGACATGAACTCATCCTTTTTTATGTCTGCATAGTCTTCCATGGCGTATATGTGCCACATTTTCTTAATCCAGTCTATCATTGATGGACATTTGAGTTAGTTCCAAGTCTTTGCTATTGTGAATAGTGTGAACAGTGCCACAATAAACATAAGTGTGCATGTGTCTTCATAGCAGCATGATTTATAATCCTTTGGGTATATACACAGTAATGGGATGGCTGGGTCAAATGGCATTTCTTGTTCTAGATCCTTGAGGAATTGCCACACTGTCTTCCACAATGGTTGAACTAGTTTACAGTCCCACCAACAGTGTAAAAGTGTTCCTATTTCTCCACATCCTCTCCAGCACCTGTTGTTTCCTGACTTTTTAATGATCACCATTCTAACTGGTGTGAGATGGTATCTCATTGTGGTTTTGATTTGCATTTCTCTGATGGCCAGTGATGATGAGCATTTTTTCATGTGTCTGTTGGCTGCATAAATGTCTTCTTTTAAGAAGTGTTTGATCATATCCTTCACCCACTTTTTGATGGAGTTGTTTGATTTTTTCTTGGAAATTTATTTAAGTTCTTTGTAGATTCTGGATATTAGCCCTTTGTCAGATGGGTAGACTGTAAAAATTTTCTCCCATTCTGTAGGTTGCCTCTTCACTCTGATGGTAGTTTCTTTTGCCATGCAGAAGCTCTTTAGTTTAATTAGATCTCATTTATCAGTTTTGGCTTTTGTTGTCATTGCTTTTGGTGTTTTAGACATGAAGTCCTTGCCCATGTCTATGGTCTGAATGGTATTGCCTAGGTTTTCTTCTAGGGTTTTTATGTTTTTAGGTCTAACATTTAAGTCTTTAATCCATCTTGAATTAATTTTTGTATAAGGTGTAAGGAAGGGATCCAGTTTCAGCTTTCTACATATGGCTAGCCAGTTTTCCCAGCACCATTTATTAAATAGGGAATCCTTTCCCTATTTCTTCTTTTTCTCAGGTTTGTCAAAGATCAGATGGTTGTAGATGTGTGGTATTATTTCTGAGGGCTCTGTTCTGTTCTATTGGTCTATATCTCTGCTTTGGTACCAGTACCATGCTGTTTTGGTTACTGTAGCCATGTAGGATAGTTTGAAGTCAGGTAGTGTGATGCCTTCAGCTTGTTCTTTTGGCTTATGATTGTCTTGGCAATGCGGGCTCATTTTGGTGCCATATGAACTTTAAAGTAGTTTTTTTTTCCAATTCTGTGAAGAACGTCATTGGTAGCTTGATGGGGATGGCATTGAATCTATACATTACCTCGGGCAGTAAGGCCATTTTCATGATATTGATTCTCCCTATCAATGAGCATGGAATGTTCTTCCATTTGTTTTTGTCCTCTCTTATTTCATCGAGCAGTGGGTTGTAGTTCTCCTTGAAGAGGTCCTTCACATCCCTTGTAAGTTGGATTCCTAGGTATTTTATTCTCTTTGAAGCAATTGTGAATGGGAGTTCACTCATGATTTGGTTCTCTGTTTGTCTGTTACTGGTGTATAAGAATGCTTGTGATTTTTGCACGTTGATTTTGTATCCTGAGACTTTGCTGAAGTTGCTTATCAGCTTAAGGAGATTTTGGGCTGAGACGATGGGGTTTTCTAAATATACAATCATGTCATCTGCAAACAGGGACAATTTGACTTCCTCTTTTCCTAATTGAATACCCTTTATTTCTTTCTCCTGCCTGATTGCCCTGGCCAGAACTTCCAACACTATGTTGAATAGGAGTGATGAGAGAGAGCATCCCTGTCTTGTGCCAGTTTTCAAAGGGAATGCTTCCAGTTTTTGCCCATTCAATATGATATTGGCTGTGGGTTTGTCATAAATAGCTCTTATTATTTGGAGACACGTCCCATCAGTACCTAGTTTATTGAGAGTTTTTATCATGAAGGGCTGTTGAATTTTGTCGAAGGCCTTTTCTGCATCTATTGAGATAACCATATGGTTTTTGTCTTTCGTTCTGTTTATATGATGGATTGCATTTATTGATTTGCGTATATTGAACCAGCCTTGCATCCCAGGGATGAAGCCAACTTGATTGTGCTGTATAAGCTTTTGATGTGCTGCTGGATTCGGTTTACCAGTATTTTATTTGGGATTTTTGCATCGATGTTCCTCTGGGATATTGGTCTACAATTCACTTTTTTTGTTGTGACTCTGCTAGGCTTTGGTATCAGGATGATGCTGCCTCATAAATTGAGTTAGGGAGGATTCCCTCTTTTTCTTTTGATTGGAATAGTTTCAGAAGGAATGGTACCAGCTCCTCCTTGTACCTCTGGTAGAATTCAGCTGTGAATCCATCTGGTCCTGGACTTTCTTTGGTTGGTAGGCTATCATTTTTTATTGCGTCTATTTGATTTTTCTCTCTTTTCTTCTTCATTAGTATTGCTAGTTGCCTATCAATTTTGTTGATCTTTTCAAAAAAACAGCTTCTGGGTTCATTGATTTTTTGAGGGGTTTCTGTGTCTCTTGTCTCCCTCAGTTCTGCTCTGATCTTAGTTATTTCTTTTTTTTTTTTTTTTTAATTTTTTTTTTTTATTATACTCTAAGTTTTAGGGTACATGTGCACATTCTGCAGGTTAGTTACATATGTATACATGTGCCATGCTGGTGCGCTGCACCCACTAACGTGTCATCTAGCCTTAGGTATATCTCCCAATGCTATCCCTCCCCCCTCCCCCGACCCCACCACAGTCCCCAGAGTGTGATATTCCCCTTCCTGTGTCCATGTGATCTCATTGTTCAATTCCCACCTATGAGTGAGAATATGCGGTGTTTGGTTTTTTGTTCTTGCGATAGTTTACTGAGAATGATGGTTTCCAATTTCATCCATGTCCCTACAAAGGACATGAACTCATCATTTTTTATGGCTGCATAGTATTCCATGGTGTATATGTGCCACATTTTCTTAATCCAGTCTATCATTGTTGGACATTTGGGTTGGTTCCAAGTCTTTGCTATTGTGAATAATGCCGCAATAAACATACGTGTGCATGTGTCTTTATAGCAGCATGATTTATAGTCCTTTGGGTATATACCCAGTAATGGGATGGCTGGGTCAAATGGTATTTCTAGTTCTAGATCCCTGAGGAATCGCCACACTGACTTCCACAATGGTTGAACTAGTTTACAGTCCCACCAACAGTGTAAAAGTGTTCCTATTTCTCCAAAATTGACAAATGGGATCTAATTAAACTAAAGAGCTTCTGCACAGCAAAAGAAACTACCATCAGAGTGAACAGGCAACCTACAACATGGGAGAAAATTTTCGCAACCTACTCATCTGACAAAGGGCTAATATCCAGAATCTACAATGAACTCAAACAAATTTACAAGAAAAAAACAAACAACCCCATCAAAAAGTGGGCGAAGGACATGAACAGACACTTCTCAAAAGAAGACATTTATGCAGCCAAAAAACACATGAAGAAATGCTCATCATCACTGGCCATCAGAGAAATGCAAATCAAAACCACTATGAGATATCATCTCACACCAGTTAGAATGGCAATCATTAAAAAGTCAGGAAACAACAGGTGCTGGAGAGGATGATCTTAGTTATTTCTTGCCTTCTGCTAGCTTTTGAATGTGTTTGCTCTTGCTTCTCTAGTTCCTTTAATTGTGATGTTAGGGTGTCAATTTTAGATCTTTCCTGCTTTCTCCTGTGAGCATTTGGTGCTATAAATTTCCTTCTACACACTGCTTTAAATGTGTCCCAGAGATTCGGGTATGTTGTGTCTTTGTTCTTATTGGTTTCAAAGAGCATCTTTATTTCTGCCTTCATTTCATTATGTACCCAGTAGTTGTTTAGGAGCAGGTTGTACAGTTTCCATGTAGTTGAGCAGTTTTGAGTGAGTTTCTTAAATCCTGAGTTCTAGTTTGGTTGCACTGTGGTCTGAGAGATAGTTTGTTATAATTCCTGTTCTTTTACATTTGCTGAGGAGTGTTTTACTTCCAACTATGTGGTCAATTTTGGAATAAGTGCAATGTGGTGCAGAGAAGAATGTATATTCTGTTGATTTTGGGTGGAGAGTCCTGTAGATGTCTATTAGGTCTGCTTGGTGCAGAGCTGAATTCAATTCCTGGATATCCTTGTTAACTTTCTGTCTCATTGATCTGTCTAATGTTCACATTGGGGTGTTAAAGTCTCCCATTATTATTGTGTGGGAGTCTAAGTCTCTTTGTAGGTCTCTAAGAACTTGCTTTATGAATCTGGGTGCTCCTCTGTTGGGTGCATATGTATTTAGGATAGTTAGCTCTTCTTGTCGAATTGATCCCTTTACCATTATGTAATGGCCTTCTTTCTCTCTTTTGATCTTTGTTGGTTTAAAGTCTATTGTTTCTAGGATTGTAACCCCTGCTTTTTGTTTGTTTGTTTGTTTTCCAATAGCTTGGTAGATCTTCCTGCATCCCTTTATTTTGAGCCTATGTGTGTCTCTGCACTTGAGATGGGTCTCCTGAATACAGCACACTAATGAGTCTTCACTCTTTATCCAGTTTGCCAGTCTTTTGCTTTTAATGGGAACATTTAGCCCATTTACATTTAAGGTCAATATTGTTATGTGTGAAGTTGATCCTGTCATTATGATGTTAGCTGGTTATTTTGATCATTAGTTGATGCAGTTTCTTCCTAGCATCGATGGTCTTTACAATTTTTCATGTTTTTGCAGTGGCTGGTACTGGTTGTTCCTTTCCATGTTTAGTGCTTCCTTCAGGAGCTCTTGTAAGGTAGGCCTACTGGTGACAAAATCTCTCAGCATTTGCTTGTCTGTAATGGATTTTATTTCTCCTTCACTTATGAAGCTTAGTTTGGCTGGATATGAAATTCTGGGTTGAAAATTCAAAAAACAAACACTGCATGTTCTCCCTCATAGGTGAGAATTGAACAATGAGAACACAGGGACACAGGAAGGGGAACATCACACACCAGGGACTGTTGTGGGGTGGAGGGAGGTGGGAGGGATAGCATTAGGAGATATACCTAATGCTAAATGACGAGTTAATGGGTGCAGCACACCAACATGGCACATGTATACATATGTAACAAACCTGCACATTGTGCACATGTACCCTAAAACTTAAAGTATAATAATAATAAAATTTAAAAGAAAATTGTTAGTTCCAGTAGAAAAATTAAAAAAAAAAAGAAAAAGAAAATTCTTTTATTTAAGAATGTTGAATATGGGCCCCCACTCTCTTCTGGCCTGTAGAGTTTCTGCCAAAAGATCAGCTGTTAGTCTGATGGGCTTCCCTATGTGGGTAACCCTACCTTTCTCTCTGGCTGCCCTTAATATTTTTTCCTTCATTTCAATTTTGGTGAATCAGACAATTATATGTCTTGGAGTTGCTCTCCTTAAGGAGTATCTTTGTGGTGTTCTCTGTATTTCCTGAATTTGAATGTTGACCTGCCTTGCTAGGTTGGGGAAGTTCTCCTGGATAATATCCTGAAGAGTGTTTTCCAACTTAGTTCCATTCTCCTCGTCACTTTCAGGTACGCAAATCAGACTCAGATTTGGTCTTTTCACATAGTCCCACATTTCTCAGAGGCTTTGTTCACTTCTTTTTACTCTTTTTTCTCTAAACTTCTCTTCTCGCTTCATTTCATTCATTTGATCTTCAATCACTGATACCCTTTCTTTCACTTGATTGAATCTGCTACTGAAGCTTCTGCATGCATCACGTAGTTCTTGTGCCATGGTTTTCAGCTCCATCAGGCCATTTAACATCTGTTCCATGCTGTTTATTCTAGTTAGCCATTCGTCTAATCTTTCTTCAAGGTTTTTAGCTTCTCTGCAATGGGTTCGAACATCCTCCTTTAGCCAGGAGAAGTTTGTTATTATTGATCATCTGAAGCCTTCTTCTCTCAACTTGTCAAAGTCATTCTCTGTCCAGCTTTGTTCCATTGCTGGCGAGGAGCTGCATTCCTTTGGAGTAGAAGAGGCACTCTGATTTTTAGAATTTGCAGCTTTTTTTCTCTAGTTTCTCCCCATCTTTGTGGTTTTATCTACCTTTGGTCTTTGATGATGGTGACATACAGATGGGGTTTTGGTGTGAATGTCCTTTCTGTTTGTTAGTTTTCCTTCTAACAGTCAGGACCCTCAGCCGCAGGTCTTTTGGAGTTTGCTAGAGGTCCACTCCAGACCCTGTTTGCCTGGGTATCACGAGCGGAGGCTGCAGAACAGCAATTATTGCAGAACGGCAAATGTTGCTGCCTGATCGTTCCTCTGGAAGCTTCGTCTCAGAGGGGCACCTGGCTGTATGAGGTGTCAGTCAGCTCCTACTGGGAGGTGTCTCCCAGTTAGGCTACTCGGGGTTCAGGGACCCACTTGAGGAGGCAGTCTGTCCATTCTCAGATCTCAAACTCCATTCTGGGAGAACCATTACTCTCTTCAAAGCTGTCAGGGACATTTAAGTCTGCAGAAGTTTCTGCTGCCTTTTGTTCAGCTATGCCCTGCCCCCAGAGGTGGATTCTACAGAGGCAGGCAGGCCTCCTTCAGCTGCAGTGGACTCCACCCTGTTCGCACTTCTTGGGGGCTTTGTTTACCTACTCAAGCCTCAGCAATGGCGGATCCCCTTCCCCCAGCCTCGCTGTTGCCTTGCAGTTCCATCTTAGACTGCTGTGCTAGCACTGAGCGAGGCTCCGTGGGCGTGGGACTTTCTGAGCCAGGCACGGGATAAAATCTCCTGGTGTGCTCTTTGCTAAGACCATTGGAAAAGCACAGTATTAGGGTGGGAGTACCCGATTTTCCAGGTACCATCTGTCACTGCTTCCCTTGGCTAGGAAAGGGAATTCCCCGACTCCTTGCACTTCCTGGGTGAGGCAATGCCCCTCCCTGCTTCAGCTCACATTCCATGGACTGCACCCACCTTCTGACAAGCCCCAGTGAGATGAACCCAGTACCTCAGTTGTAAATGCTGAAATCGCCCATCTTCTGCGTCACTCACACTGGAAGATGTAGACTGGAGCTGTTCCTATTTGGCCATCTTGTAACTGCTGCAAATACAGGGTTTTAAACCCAGAAAGCCACAGATCATTTCTAAGGATGATGAACCTAAAAAACAAACCAAATGTCCCTTAAATACATTTTTAAAGTTTAGTTTTTACTTATATTTTATATGGTTCCTAAACATATTCAATACACTTGGTCATACATTTTCTGCCCCCAATTTTTTCAGAATCCTTCATTTGGCCTTTTTCTTATTTATTGATATTGATTATTCTTTTCTTAAGGCACATTTCTTTATATCTCATTTACCCCCTATATTAAACCCACATGTTAATAGTGATGAAATCTAGATTTCTATTCTCAGGTCAAATGGTTTCCTTGAGCACAACTGCCACACATCCAACTCATTCTTGAATAAATTTTACTTGCATGCTACCTGGAATCTCAAATGCAGTGTGATCAAACCTGCTTTTGTCTCACCTATTCCCTAACTTCATTCTGCTTCTCGTTCTATATTCCTAACATTAGTCAATTTCTCTGCTACCAACTTGACCCCTCATTCCAGGAACCATACCTGCTTTCTCCTGCCACACGCATAGTACCCATAGTTCATACCGTTAATACTAGTGTATGTATTTCCCACTCCATTCCTACTTCCGATTTTAGTTCACACCAACTTAGTTTACATAGATTATTGCATCAATGTCCAAACTGGTTTTGCTGTTTCTACTATCATATCCCTCCAAACTTTTCTCAATGCTGCTGCTAAATTGACCATTTTATAATAAAAAGACTTTTATCAATATCCTGTTTAGTGGTTTTAAATGCCTTCCCATTCTTACCAAAATAAAATACAAATTATTTAACATGATAGACTTCGTAAGGACTCTATACAATTGTCCAACTTTCTTTAGAACTTTTTTAAAAATTTCGTACCAAAATATCACAATTATCAATTTTTCAAAAACAAATTAACAAACAGAAAAACAAAAGTCATGCTCTCATTTCTCCATAATTTAATAGAAACTGCTTTCTTGACACCTCTAATTGAAATATCATAACAGAATTATTATTATTATTTTAATGAGAGCTCTTTCCTCCTGCAAGATTGACATTCCAAAAGGAAAGATCTCTTGTTATAGAAAACCAAATGCATATACTGTGATGTATCAGATGAAGGTCGTACTTGTCTTTGGAAGTATAAATATGCAGATATTTTGTTGAATGAAAAAGCTTTTGTAGACCACATGACCTTCACCATATTTTCTTCATTCTCCACCCTGAAGTCTCTGTCAGCCATAAAAATAGGCACAGAAACAGATGCTAAAATAAATAAAATGGATTTTTAAATGTAAATAAAAATGTAATCAATGATAATAAAAGTAGTTATTGCACATATCTCAAATATACAAATATCCCAGATTGTTCTCCTTCATTCTAGTTCTGCCCTTATAATAAGGAAAAAACAAAACAAAACAAAACAAAAACCTTTGTCCTACGCTCTGTTCTTTTGAAGGCCTCAAATATTAAAAAGATTAAAATGTATACACACACATGCAGCCACCTCTGACACTTAGGATGTGGCATTTACCATGGGAACAATGTAACCCCCTAAACCTGAATGCTGCCCTTAAGAATAATACTAGTCCAGTCACAGATAAATGGTTCTCCTGGCCCACTCCAATTTTATATATAAAAGTAGATATAAAAGGTGACTGAATGCCTTGAAGTGTTATGGGTTGTATAGCTGCCAATTTAAGTCACCAATACTGCTCTCAGTGAGCTAGATAGCGTTGAGAGTTTGACATCTTTAGGTAAGAAAAAAGACAAAATAATTAACTAGTCATATCTGCCCTTTTAAGTAGCATAAATGCAATAAGTTCTTGCTTTATGAAGTATTACCTCCTAATGGTACCAGTGTCCATATTTCTCTTGTTTTTCTGTTTCAACTTGTGGTCCTGCAACTACTATTGCATTCATAATATTGAGCAATTCAAATTACTCGTAATCGTTAGAAAGATAGTGTGATGGTTAATACTAGGTATCAAGTTGACTGCATTGAGGGATACCTAAATGATTGATGAGCATTTCTTCTGAGTGTGTCTGTAAGGTTGTTGCCAGAGGAAATTGACATTTGATTCTGTGGACTAGGAGAGGAAGGCTCACTCTCCATGAAGGTGAGTACCACCCAATTGCCTAAAAGCACAGCTACAACAAAGAAGGCAGAAGAGGAGGGATAAGTAGTTTGCTTGCTGAGTCAGCTTACTCTCTCTTCCTGTGCCATGCCAGATGCTTGGCTTCCTCTCCTCCTGCCTTTATACATTAGACTGTAGGATCTTCAGCCTTTGGACTCCTTTGGGACTTTGGATATTGGGACCAGCCACTTTCCAGGGGCTATCCAACCCTCACCTCAGACTGAGAGCTGCACTGTCAGTTTCCCTGGTTTTGAGATTTTTCAGACTTGGACTGAGCCATGCTACTGGCTTCTCTCTTTCTCCAGCTTGCACACAGCTTATCCTTGGACTTTCTTTGGTAATCATGTGAGCCACTTGTCCCAATAAACTCCAGTTTATATGTACATATACCCTATTGGTTCTGTCCTTCTGGAAACCCTGACTAATACAGATAGATTGCAGATAGATCAATGAATGACAGGCATTGTTTGATTCCAACATCTTACATTGACCACTAGATATAGATTAAACTCCAGAATTGTAAATTGATTTATTGTTATAAATCAATTTAATTTAATTTTCAAAAAATTGATTAATTTCAGTTTTATTTAAATAATATTTAAGGATTTATTTCTCATAATTATATATCATATCATTAAATATATAATATAATCATATATAATATAATTATTATATGTTATTAAGAAACATTTATTATAATTTTTTAAATTAAATAATTTTAAACATTTAGAAAAACAATTTTAAAACAATATGTTAAAATAATTTTGATGTTTAAACTTTATGCAGTTAATGTTGTTTGATAAAATATACTCACTTTTATGCTTCTATTAAAATATTGTTCACAAATTGTCATTATTTTTGGTAGAACACAAATTATGTGAGGTTTTGTTATAACAACATAATTGGTAATTTTGCTGACATAATAGAAATACAAATACATTGTATACAAATACATTAATAAATTTGTAGATTACAAATTATTCTTTACTCTTCACTCAACAATAGAACTTCCAGTGATGTGCAGTAATAGTTAAGGCGTCTAGTATTTTTCTGACTTTTAGTTACCTAAAAACATAGCTGTACACATAGCTTTTTTATTTTATCATATAAAGGTGTATTTGTCAATGTAGAAAGATAGAATGCATTTTTCTTAGCAGCTTGTTGTTTGATACACTTCATGTATTTAGAAGCATGATATGTGAGCCTCTGGTGCCTTCTTGACTGGGCCTGGGATGGCAGGGGCAAGCCTCCTTCATGCCTGCCTCTCTCTCTTTCCAAACATGGCCGCTGTTCACCACCAGGCCCTTTCTGGATTATGACAATACCATCCCAATTTCTCCTCCCACTTTCCTCCTCGCCTCTGATTTTAAATTTTTGGTGTCAACTTGAGCAGGTTGAGATACCCAGGTAGCTGGTAAAGCATTATTTCTGGGCCTATCTGTGAGAGTGGTTCTAGAAGAGATTAGTAATGCAATCAGTAGACTGAATACAAAAAATCTTCCCTCCCAAATGTGGGCAGGGATCATCCAAACACTTAACCCTCCAGATAGAACAGAAAGGCAGAGGAAGGGCAAGTTGTCTCTCTTCCTGATCTGTGACATTCATCTTCTGCTAACCTCAGACCTCAGATGTTCAGAATTGTTGGCCTTCATTCTCAGACTGAGAGTCACACCAGAGGCTCCCTGGGTTCTCAGGCCTGCAGACTCAGACTTGAGCTACACCACAAGCCTCCCTGGTTCTCCAGCTTGCAGACAGCATATTATCGTGGGACTTTTCAGCCTGCATAATTTAATGAGCCAATTACCATGACAAACTCCTATCTTATATCTGTAGATCTTACTGGTTCTGTTTCTCTAGAAAACCCTAACATATTGCCTTACCTTCAACTTCTTGTCCATATAATAGCTTGTCCATATAATAGCTTGTCCATATAATAATCTTATCATGTTATTATCCTGCTTGAAATACTTCAGTGGTAATCATATCTATATATATATTATATATATATGAAATATATATAATATATATATATGAAATATATATATATTATATATATTATATATATATGAAATATATATAATATAAAAATGAAGTGGATGGTGAGGTAAACTATTCAGTTTTTTAGTATAGGGCAAAATACTTGTTCTGCCAGCTGCCAAGATCACTCTGAGTCTCTAGCAACTTAAGAAATCAACTTGCCCAAGACAATCTTTCCCAAAACCAATGACTGTTCAAGGTGGTGGTGCAAGGTCTCTGATCTCTTGCCACAATTTGGGGCACCTGTGAGTTTTCCAGAGCTCCTCAAGGGATCAGATAAAGCCTCTATTGGAATTGCATGGCAGTTCAACTTCTCTCTATGCTCAATTGTGCTTTCTTCACTCTCCTGCAGATGTTAGCAAGAACATTCCCCAGAAAATTTCCTACATGAAATTGTCTGTGTCGGGGTCTGTTTCCCAGGGAACTGGACTAAAACAACAGACCTCTATGTTCACAGGCTACTTTTCCAACTTTATCTCCATGCTGCACTCCCCCTCAACCACAGTACCTAGCAACATCAGCCTTGTGAATATTAAAGTCTCTGGGGACTTGACAACTGATTTTTTTTTTTCTTTCAAAACAGTCTTTCTCTTTTCTTCATAAGAATAAAAAATTCTCAACTTTTGCAACTCATCGTGTGTTCAGAGAGCCTTCTTTTCCATCTTACACTTGCTTAAAATCCCAGGATAGCAGGGTTCATACCTTTCCTTTTTTACATCATCTCTTTGTAATGCTATTTGTCTGCTTTCTCATTTGAATTGTATATGTGTAGTAAAGAAATTAACACATATGTATTAAATGTTTTCCATGGGCCCAGCATGCTAGCAAGACTAAGCATAAAGAACAAATCTGGAGGCATCACATTACCTGATTTCAAACTATTCTATAAGGCCATAGTCAACAACACAGCATGGTACTTGTATAAAACTAGGCACATAGATCAATGGAACAGTATAGAGAACCCAGAAATAAACCCAAATACTTACACCCAACTGATCTTTCACAAAGAAAACACAAACATAAAGTGTGGAAAGGATACCCTTTTCAACAAATTGTGCTGGGATAATTGGCTAGCCACATGTAGGAGAATGAAACTGGATCCTCATCTCTCACCTTATACAAAATTCAACTCAAAATAGATTAAGGATATAAATTTAAGACATGAAACCACAAAAATTCTAGAAGATAACATTGGAAAAACCCTTCTAGACATTGGCTTATGCAAGGATTTCATGACCAAGAACCCAAAAGAAAATGCAATACAAACAAGGATAAATTACTGGGACTTAATTAAACTAAAGAGATTTGCACGGCACAAGGAACAGTTAGCAGAGTAAACAGACAACCCTCAAAGTGGGAAAAAATCTTCACAATCAATACATATGACAAAGGACTAATATCCAGAATCTACAAAGAACTCAAACAAATCAGTAACAAAAAAAATTCCCATCAAAATGTGGGCTAAGGACATGAATAGACAATTCTCATAAGAAGATATACAAATGGCAAACAAACATATGAAAAAATGCTTAACACCACTAATGATCAGGGAAATGCAAATCAAAGCCACAATGCGATACCACCTTACTCCTGCAAGAATGACCATAATAATAAAAAAAATAGTATATGTTTGTGTGGATATGGTGAACAGGGAACACTTCTACTCTGCTGGTGGGAATGTAAACTAGTACAACCAGGATGGAAAACAGTGTGGAGATTTCTTAAAGAAATAAAAGTAGAATTACCATTTGATCCAACAATCCTACTACTGGGTATCTACGCAGAAGAAAAGAAGTCATTATACCAAAAAGATACTTGCACACACATGTTTAGAGCAGCACAATTTGCAATTGCAAAAACGTGGAACCAACACAAATGCCCATCAATCAACGAGTGGATAAAGAAACTCTGATATATATATATATATATACTTGTCTCATATATATATATAAATATATACACACACACACTCATCATATATATATTTACACTCATACATATATACACTCATCATATATATATACACTCATATATACACAGTCATCATATATATACACACACACACTCATCGTGTGTGTGTGTGTGTGTGTGTGTGTGTATGATGGAATACTACTCAACCATAAAAAGGAATGAATTAATGTCATTTGCAGTAACCTGGGTGAGACTGGAGACTATTACTCTAAGTGAAGTAACTCAGGAATGGAAAAACAAACATGAGTTTGTTCTCACTCATAAGTGGGAGCTAAGCTATGATGACGCAAAGGCATAAGAATGACACAGTGGACTTTGGGGATTCAGGGGGAAAGGGTGGGAAGAGGGTAGGGATAAAAAACCACAAATAGGGTGCAGTGTATACTGCTACAGTGATGGGTGCACCAAAATTTCACAAATCACCACTAAATAACTTACTCATGTAACCAAACACCACCTGTTCCCCAATAACTTATGGAACTAAAAAAAATGTTTTTTATTAAACAGCATGTATTATGCAACAGATATTTTTGTGAGTAAGAAGGAAGCAAAAAATTTTTATATATTATACTTTTTGGAAGACTTGTAATGACTGACAAATTGATAATTTATTCAAGTACTATTTTAACAAATAAAAATTTATATTAAATAATAAAAAGTAAGAAATATGTGCATTAACACAAAATATTTTTATTTACTGAGCAAACATTCAAAATAATATAAGAAGTATAATCATTTTGTTGCATATTCACTATAATTCTTAGTTGTATCTACCTCTAATGCCATGTCATCAATACCACATTATTTCTCTGAAGGGTACATTTTTCAATAGACCCCATATAATTACCTGCAATATTATTCAAAGTTAAATTTTATGGTTACTAAATTTGATATTATAGATACCATTCATTGATTCTTCTCTGTTGACACAAATAGTATTAACTGATAAATACTCTTTTCAGATGCTGAGGTACTTGGTAAACTCAGAGCATATTCTGTGAAATCAAAAATAGACATATTTCTAATATTTTTATATTTAAATGCATAAATATCTCCATCCAATTGTCTATTTTCATATATAACTCAAAGTACTTTCTGGCTCCCATTCAAAATATCTTTCTTCAATAGGCACTTTTGTAAGACAAATCTCATAAAACCATTTTCTCTATGACTGTTTATATTTTGCTCACTTTAGGTGCAGCAAATAACAGGCCCTCTCGATTTTATTCAATTCCACCATAGAATGTAAATGTATCCATTTAGAAACATGAACTCCATCAATATATTTTCACTAGATGTTGACATATTTCAAATTTCAATTTTTTAATCTCAAATTAAACCCTATATAACTTTGGAACTCATTATTTTATTTGTTTAGCTCCTTTCCTTTTGCAGAGATATATTACAATATCTGCCTGTTAAAAAAATTGTTTGTCAGTAATTGCATTTCCCTAAAAATATCGGAGGCTGAATTGTCCTTGCACAACAATTGCTGAACACTGGGATTAAATATTTCCAAATATTTTTGAGCAAAATGCAACCAATATTCAGAGGATTAATTTACAAAAATTTAATACCACTGTTGAACACTTAAATTGATTTGTAAAGTAGTTCTTCAAAGTTTCAAGCATTTGTACCAACACCTAATGGATAACAACAGCAAAAAGTTTTGGACTACCATGAAATTATTTATTTTTTATATTCAACATCTAGCTCCTGAAAACCAGAGACTGTTAAAGCCTGAGACACTAAGCATATGTTCACATTCACATTGACAGTGACCATTCTTGTTTTATTTTATTTTTTTAAAATAACTTTTATTTTGAGAAAGTAAATCAATGCAGGAAATTCACCTATACATTTCACCTCTTCCTTTAATATTAACAATCTATTATACATAACTATTGTATAATGATCAAAACGAGGAAATGGGTTTGGATCAATGCCATAAACTAAATAACAATCCTTATGAAGATATCATCCGTGTTTCTCCTAATGTCCTTTGTCTGTTTAAGAATCTAATCCAGTAATCCACATTATATTTGGTTGTAGTGTTTCCTGATGAAATCTGTGATATTTGCAATACTTTCCCAGTCTTTCTGGTCTTTCATAATCTTTAAATTTTTGAAGAGGACTAGGGAGGAAGTATTTTGAATTTGTCTGGCATATTCCAATTAGATTAAATTTTGGTACTTTTAACAAGAATAAAACAAAAGTGATGTATGTCCTTCTTGGTGCATTTTAGGTGATACATGACCTTCGTATGCCTATTACAGGCAAAGCTAAACTTGATAAAATTTTGAAGGTGTTTTCTGCCAGATTTCTCCAATATAAAGTTGCTATTATTTCTTTCATAATTAAAACATACCTCTCGGGGATGCATTGAGATTATACAGATATCCTATTTTCTGATCTCTCCCACTGATTTTAACACTCGTGAGTAGAGTTTGCCTGAAATAATTACTTATATGCATTTGCTTATTAGTAATTTTATTTTTGCCTCATTTCTTCAATGTTTATTGAATATTTGTATA
Organism: Homo sapiens; assembly: GCF_000001405.40. NCBI lineage: Eukaryota > Metazoa > Chordata > Mammalia > Primates > Hominidae > Homo > Homo sapiens. Next base: position 59,733,570 of record NC_000004.12, read on the forward strand.
ATAGAGAACAGCTTCTTCTCTCCTATATTTATTATTCAATTATTATTTTTATGTAATTATGAGCTGATCAATATTTATTTTATTCTATGGGTTGTAATTCAATACCACAGTTATTTATTTTGTTACTAAAATTGTTTCAGCTTTGGCCTTCAGAAGTTTCTTCAGGTCGTCTTCTTTGTCCTTGTGACATAATCCCATTTTTAAAAACACTTTTATGTTTTTGGCACCACAAGATAGTTCTATTTTACCTTGCATTTTCACTACAAAACTTCTATAATCAACTATTTGTCTAATGAGCCCCATTTCTTTCTATTGAAAACTTTATTTAGAAACCAGGATCTAGGCACTAGTTTTGCTTACTGTTACAGGAGTATCATTGGTCCTCGGTCCTTTCAGAAGATTAAGCTTAGAAATATATAGATAATGTCTTTGTGTTCATGCCTATTAAATTACATATGTGCCAGATAGATAGATAGTTAGATAGATAGATAAATTAATATCCAGACAAAGACACATAAGATTTCATGCTGATACTATGGATTCTAATTCAATATCACAGGTATTATTTTAGTATCCCCTCCTTCGTTACTTATAAATTCTTTCTCTAATAGTGAGAAACATTTCTTATTATTTCTTTCTTATTTATTTCATTTTACTATTTTATTTTATTAGAGATGTGGTCTCACCCTGTTGCCTAGGCTGGAGTGCATTGATGCGATCTCAGCTCACTGCAACCTCCACCTCCCAAGCTCAAGTGATTATCCCACCTCAGCCTCCGCAGTAGCTGGGACTGCAGGTGCGTGCCACCAAACTCGACTAATTTTTTTTATTTTTGTAGAGACAAGGTTTTGCCACATTTCTTACTATCTACAATACTTTTACATGTTTGTTCAAGCAGTGTACACATAAAACAGTTTCAGACTTGTAATTTCATACTGAGCAGAAGACAAATTTACTAACTAGAGTATGTAATATACTTTATGAAGTGTATTACTAAATAAATTTACGGAGAATATGAATTATTAAACATATATGCTGCTAAGGCTTTTTAATAAGCCATGTACCAGAGCTTCAAAAGAAAGAGTAGTTTATAAGCTGATATGAAAAGTAAGTAGCTTGATGAGTTTTCAGATATAAACATATCTGCAAGGTGTTATTTAAAAGATGGCTAGTACCTAGTAAATAACTCTTCAAAGAATACAAACAGGTCATCACTTGCCTGTGGTATCAAGTTGAAAGCTATCATTAATATTAAATTTAATATAAATGGAAAAAACACAGAAAAATCACATAGAAAATGCATACTATTTAGTTTAGTCATATTTGTTCTAAATTATATTTTAATTTATTCAATTTATGAGAAATGTAATAGCACTGGATTGTAATAATACTCCTAAATGATAATAATAGTTTGTAATAACTGGCAAATCACTATTACTTCTCTTTTACTAACTTCTCGTTATACTAACATTAATCAGGGTGAATTATTTGGATATTACCAATGGGGGAGTAAGACACAATACTACCAATATGAGGAGCAAATCATTTCCCCTGCAGTTCAGTGTCTTGTAAATATCTCCTATTTTTTTAAAGAATTGCTATTCATAACATGAACATGCAACAAGAGAAAGAAATTACATTAATTCAATTGTTTATGAGATTATTAAAAATGTATCGCATGCCTAGAATAATGAAATTGAGCTATTAAAAACAATGTCAATTCATCCTTCACCCATCAAGTTTGTCTTCTCTGCCAAAACACTCTGCCATTTGTTTTTAACAATGTATCTATTTTCATTTTTGTCTAAATTTGCAATGTGAAATTAAACACAAGCTATAACGTCTTTGGAATTATATTTTATATGGTGTGTATTATGGGGTGAACTATGTTCTCCCAAAATTCACATTTTGAAGCCCTAAATCCCAGTACTTCAGAATGTGAATGTGCTACGGTTTGAGTAGGTCCCTTCTCAAATTCAGGTGTTGCCAATGTGATAGCATTAAGAGGTGGAATTTTTAAGAGGTGATTAGGCCAGAAGGACTCCTCCCTTGTGAATGCCTTTATAAAAAGGCTTGACAGAAGGAGTTAATTGCTTTTGCCTTTCCACATTCTGTAATGAGAGGACACAGCATTCTTCCACATCAGAGATGTGGAATCAAGATACTGTCTTGGAAGCAGAGAACAGTCTTCACCAGACAACCAAATCTACTGGAACCTTGATCTTGGACCTGCCAGTCTTCAGATCTGTGAAAAAACACAGTTCTGTTCTTCATAAACTCCCATCTCAGGCATTTGTAGTAGCAGCACAAGTGGACTAAGACAGACTGTATTGTAGAAGGGCCTTTCAAAATGTGATTAACTTAAAAGAAGGCCTTACACGTGGACCCTGATCCAATCAAGCCGGTGGTTTCATAAGATGAAGACATTTGACCCACAAGGAACCATCAGGTATGTGCACTGACAAAGGAAAGATCGTGTGAGGACACAGTGAGAAGCCTGCCTGCCAAGGAGAGAGGCCTCAGAACAAACCAAACATATTGCCACCTTAATTTTAGATTTTCAGCCTCCAGAACTGTGAGAAATAAATTTCTGTTGCTTCAGCCGCTAAATATTTGGTACTTGGTTATGACAAATCTAGCCAACTAATACAGAGTGTTTACTCATATGTGAAATAAATTGCTTAATGTTGTTTATATTACACATTGAAAAAAAAATACTGTTCCATTTGAAGAGATTGTTTTGAAATACAAAGACCAACATATAATACTAATCTATGAATTACAGGGTTAAAATGAATCTTTCAATCTTTGTATATTTAATTTACTTTATTCTGAAAGAAAATTGTGTCTAAATACAAATTCAGGAATAGTGATCAGTTAAGACGTATTTACTAAACTGTTCTTTAAAACAAGCTAGGAAACCAAACATACTTCTTCAGAAAGAGCTAAAAATTCAGAGTCTGATTTTTCAGAGTTTAACTTCAATGATAAAATGGTTTTAGGACTTTGTTAGTTGTCGACTGTGAGGCCAATTTAATTTACAAATGTTATGATAGAAATCCATATATTAAAAACCTGTCCCCTAAAACTGAAAAAGCTAACTTTCCTAGTATACTACTTTGATGCTAGGAATTTACATGACTTTAGTTCAGGTACAAAATCAGTTACATAAGTTAGACAACTGGGAGAGACAACTGATTTGTCCATGTCTAATAATGAAATGCTATGACAAGGCTAAGTTAGATTATTTGAGTCCAAAATAGAATCCAGAAGTAGATAAGCAATTCCTCTCCATTGGCTGACAAACATGGTGATAACATCACCAAATTATTATCCCACTTAATAGGAATATTGAAAAGAGGTAGAAGTATTTTTAAATAATTTGAATAGTTATAGAATTATATAAGTAAGTATCTCATGAAAATTTGAGCTGTTCATTAAAAATATTATATTATTATTTTCTATTTGCATGACCTTTGTATAACCATACATGATTGGCATATAGGTAAGCATGTGGAAAAAGACATTGTATAGCATATTGAGATAGGAAATGGCATTCCTTTTCTGTATATCTTCCAAATTCTAAAACATTCACAATAAAAGAATCTACGTGTTTGTGACTGTATACAACTCAGTGAAAAGAAGAAAACAAACTGAAGTTCAAAAAGTCATTAAATTGTCCTTAGAAACATAATCTTTGGAAGATAACAGGGATATAATTGATATTGATAGCTACTATTTATTCAACATGCATTTATGCTGAGCATTAAGATGAACAAATATCTCATTTATTTGCACCAGAACCCTTTGAAATAGATAATATCTATTTAAAATGTATAACATTGTTACGTTATTCTGCCCTTTTACAACAAGTCACACAGTTGAGTATAAGTGAAATTAAGTAATTGCTGCAGATTCACACAATTAGTAAATAGTGGAGCTAGAATTATAGTCCTGGTCTATCAGATTACAAGGCTAAAGCTTTTACACGATATTGAGTGTGTGAGATATTCTACCAAACTCTTCCATCCTTACAGGCCCCCTGCTCAAAAATTCCATTTTTATAACTTTAGATTTTATAAATAAGGTAAATGATTCTATTGTATTTTTCAGAACATTAATTTGAATATATAAAAATAAATAAAGATGTGAAAACCAGTGATTGAAAGGCAAACAAGAGTTAAAATACTTTGCTTTCGTTAGGTGTACCAATCAACCATAACTAACCTAAAGTTCCTATTTCCTATGTGTCTAGAGTGAACACTGGATAATACATTGCTTTGGAGAGCTGAGTCTCTTTCTAGAGGCAATGCTGCTCTTTCAGTGGTACTGATATAGAAGAGGGAGGTCTGTATGATGGAGTGGAGGTAGGGGTATCCAGTAACCTGTCACACATAAATTGTAACAGAGTAAAATTATATGAATGTCTGGAACAGATAAACAGTTTAAAAATATTCTATTGCACTAAAATAACTCAGAATATCATGAAACCAAAAATTATTAGGAAGTTCGTTTTAGATAAAATATGTATGAACTTCCAGTTTATTAAAATAGATCTATAGTTTTTCTACCGTATTCTATTTTGGTGAATATAGGTGCTTTTATTATTCTTGAGACTAGTCAGCTTCTAAGATAATCTTGAGTGCTTTTAGATGTGACATCTATAAATGACATGCATTCCTTTCTCTAAGTGAATAAAACATATTATTTAGTGCTGAATTTAAAGTAATAGATTAATTCAAAATATTCTTGTAGTTCTGTTCCTTGTTTATATTTTAGTGGCTATTGTACTTTAATTCCCCACAAACTTGCTGGTTGGCAAAGAATTAAGAAAGTTGTGATTATAATACTATATTATTATATAATATTATAAAATCTATTTAAAATGTATAATATTGTTATGTTATTTTGCCCTTTTAAAACAAAATTTTTATAATCTTTTTAGTATTATAATCAAAACTTAATTGTGATAATACTAACAAGATTATAAAAATTTTATTTTAAAAGGGCAAGATAATATTCATGTAGCAGACTGTTTCTGACCTATGGTAGTTGCTGCATAAGCCTCTTCTTAAAATCTTAGTTTTCTGTAATTGATTTAAACAGAAATTTTTGAAAGGGCTATTTTCATGACAGAGTTTTCTTTCTTTATTTTCTGTCCTTCCTCTTGTTTTAAATTCACAGATTTAATAAGGTAAAAATGATATTGCATGCTTTCAAGCTCACCTAATGCCTGTAATCTTCATCTCTCCTTCATGCCACAGTGAATTAAGTAGATAAACATGTCACGAGAAATTAAGATGGATGATAAGCTCATTGGCATTATCTTGAAAACAGGAGTCATCACCACCCTCTCCACAGGTATTTGGTTAAAATACTCTTCCCTCACATTGTCAAGCAGCACCTTGAAGAAATATCACACACATTGTTAAGAAAGAGGAAATCAAAAATAATAACTCATAGTTTATATATTACATACATAATAGGATCTTGATGTAAATTAAGAAGACTGAATAAAACATGCAGAATAATTAATGTTTATTTATAGACATTAATTCAACTGATTTCCTAATAATTTCCTAATGGAATAGATAAGAATTGCTTTAGGTAATTTATTCAAAAGGTTGGAGAGAAAAGAAAAGATAATTTGTTTGCTCAAAATGTAAAATCAAAGATAACAGCAATATATTATAATCATTCTTTTTCTTAAGTTTCAACTTTTATTTTTGATGCAGGGGTGCATGTGCACCTTTATTATATGGGAACATTGTGCAATGCTGATGTTTAGAGTATGTATCCCGTCACCCCGTTAGTGAGTACAGTACCCAATGGGTAGTTTTTAAAAACCGTTCCTGCCTCCCTCCACCTTCTAATAGTCCACAGTATCTATTTATGTTCCCATATTTATGTCCATGTGTGCTCAATGCTTAGCTCCCACATATAAATGAGAACACGCAGTGTTTTGGCTTTCTGTTCCAGCATTAAATTTTTTTAGTATTATGACCTCCAGCTTCATCCATGTTGCTGCAAAGGACATGATTTGGGTTTTTTTAATGGCTGCATAGTATTCCATGCTGTATATGTACCACATTTTCTTTATCCAGTCTACTATTGATAAGTACCAGGGTTGATTCCTTAACTTTGGTATTGTAAATAGCACAACAATGAACACAAGAGTGCATGTGTCTTTTTGGTAGAATGATTCATTCTGGGGGGATATATACTCAGTAATGGGATTAATGGATTGAATGGTAACTCTATTTAAAGTTCTTTAAGAAATCTCCAGACTGCTTTCCACAGTGGCTGAACTAATTTACATTCCCATCAACAGTGTATAAGTGTTCCCTTTACTCAACAGCCTCAAATTTTTACATTTTAATAATAACCATTCTGACTGGTTTGGTATAGTATTTCATTGTGGTTTTGATTTGAATTTCCCTGAGTTTAAACATTTTTCACATGAAATCCACACCAGATAGCCATGGTGAGCCATTTAATTTGGACTATAATTTTTGATGACAAAACAAGTTACATTCATCATGAAAACCTGCATGCTAAAATGGGTCTTATGTAATTTTAATGACCAATTCCAGCCAGGCACTTCACTAGAAAACACATACACATACACACAGCTGAAGGTTTTCAAATTTTCTTTCGTCCTCCTCTCCCTCCCTCCATCCCGCCCTTCCTCCTTCTTTTCCTTCCTTCCTTCCTTCCTTCCTTCCGTCCATCAATCATCTGTCAATTTATTCATCCATCCATCTACCTTACTACCCAGTCATCCATCTATCTATCTACCTAACAATTTTAGTGAGTAACATTGTATTCATCATTCCTACTTGTCCTCTTCACATCAACACACATCTATCATTAACAAGTGCTTAGTATACATATGGTAGTCAAGAAATGCTTAATTGAAGTGAACTGAACTAGCACATACAAATGCCACAAAAACTGGCAGCAGACAAAGTACTGACAGACAGAATAGCCTCTCTTCCCCTCACTGTTTAGCACTCTTTCTCTCTCTCTCTATATATATATTATGTATACACACACACATAGAATGTGTATATACACACATATACATATATATGCATATATACTCTCTATATATCTATGTGTGTATATATATGGATTATATATATCTATATATACACATTATATATTATATTGAGACTATAAATAAAATATGTGTGTATATATACACACATAAATATATATATATATACACATTTTTTATACTTATATATAGTCTCATATATAATACATGTCACACATAGAAACATCAAGTAAACTTCCCTGAGCTGCTTGCTTTTCCACTTCCTCTTCAATAGACTATTATTAACTCATAATTTATTCCACCTAAGTAGCGCATGTCACCTATTGTTTTGTATTGCTATCATAAATATTTCAATTTAATTCATCAAATGTTTGCATCTTAGGTTTCCATTTAAATGGTGGATTTCACCATTTATGAATTGTTCCATGAATACTATATCTTAGGAGAATACTTTGCACATGAAAAAAAAACACAAATATTTATTGGTGAATTGACACCATTCACAAAGAATGAAACTGCTTAGTGAGTGTGATTATGTTCATTCTATCCCCCCATTCCTAACTGCGACACTATGAAGATAGATAGTATAGAATAAAGAACCACCACAAAAGAACTTTAGGTCAGGTAGTTGCTGTAAGAAAATGGAGTATATTGGCCTTATTTTGTGTGGCTTACATCATAGAATTTGACATGTATTTAAACCCCTTGATGTAAAATTTACTTTTAAAATATTTATTAGCTAATCTTAGAGGAGTGATTGGATCTTCTTGTTTTTTATACGAAAATTCTTCACCATGGCAGTGTTTTGAAAATATAGCCATAATTTTCTGAAGAAATATGCTGCAGTCATGCCCTATGAAAACACATAAAAATGCTTGTCCAAACCTATGGCTTAGCAGTAACATGTTTTTAGTTTAGAACAAAAAGCCCATTATTTTATACTGTAAAGTAAATATTTTCCAACATTTTGCATGTTACAAAGAAAGATTCATAACTGTCAGCCATAGAATTTTGTACTTAATGTAAATGTGATTTTTTTTTTTTACCATAAACTTCCATAGGACTGGGAAATAAAATCATTGGAATCAATAAAATACTGTATCTGCAATTGAAGAAACACTTATTCCTAGGCTGTTTATAGAGAACCTTTTTTAATTTTGGCCTTAGCACAACCTACAATTATTTTTTATAGTTTGTTATAGGTCTTATAATATCTCTGAATATCCTGCTTCTTTTTAGTAGAATAAAAAAGAGCCAATTAATTTCATAGATCGGGGCATGTAGCATGATGAACAAGTTATAGAATTTGTAGTCAGAAGACAGGTTCAAGTCACAATTCTGCCCTTTATTGACTTCATAACATAATTTTTTGAGTGTCAATGACTTTAACTACAAAATTGAAATAATAATAATGACAGTAGTAGTAATGATACAAACATATGCATAATGCTTATGAAAAGACTTTAAAACTACAAACCACTTTAAAATATTAGTACAAAAGCTTAAGTGGAAAAATAGTAAGCACACTTATTAGGCAAATTTTCTGCCAGGTATTGTTCAGGATGCTTTAAGTGCATTAAATAACTTTATATTTTTATTATACTTCACATTTTACTAAATGAGAGAAAATTTCAATAACTTGTTCAAAGTCACAAATCCAATTAGAACTCATGCTTGTAGGTTTGATCTAGAGCTTATGCATTGAACACATATTATGACACTTTAAAATGCAGCTGGTCAATGATACTGAAATTACTTAGAAACAAGGAAGACCATCATAATACTCCTATCATGATTCAATGGCCAAGGTTTCTATCTTGTCAAAAGTGACTCTGTAAACCTGAGAAAAGGAAATATTGTGAAAACCTAAATAAAACTTATTTCACTGATGTTGACAAACTTGTTAGTGCTCAGAGAATAACAGCATTGCTAATAATCTTTAACAATGAGACAAGTAATTTACGGTACTTTTAAAATTTCTTTTCTTGAGAAGCTAGATGTGGTAAGGACAAAGACCTCTGTAAAATAGAATAACAAGTTATAAATTTTGTTATAAAGAAACATTTTGAGCACTAGAGATTTTATTTCTTTCATAGTATCTTCCATGAATTTTAATTTATTACAATTCTGAAAACATATTTCATACTTTCTTGAAATGCCAGTTATTTAAAAGATATCTAATGTCACTAATGATCAGTAGCATATATAGTTTTAATTTTATTTTCATACTATTTTATCCTGATTCACTCAGTCAACCATTTCACTATATATTGTGGGATATTTTACATAACGAGTAAAATTATAATTGATAATGAAGCAAATATCTTTCTGCAAAACTTGAATCTTCATATCTTATATTGCTTCATGGATAAATTCTTAGGATAGTATTAAGAGGAATAAATACTTTTTAAAAATTAACTATACTGAGGTATAATTTACAAAAATACAAATATAGACATTTTAAATGCGTCCAGTATACTGACTTTTGACTCCCATGTTATCATCACTCTATTCAATGTTTAGACAATTTCTGTCTCTTCTAAATTTTACTTGAGTTACTTCCAACACCTCCTTACCCCACATTACCAGGAAGTTACTACTCTGCTCCTTGTCATTGTACATCATGTTTTGCCAGTCGTAGGCCTTCATATCTACAAAATAATACAAGGCATACTCTTTGCATGCATATTCATTTGCACACCAAAAAGATTTTGAGATATTTTTGTATCAATAGTATATTCAATTTATTTGCTGATTATTAGCTCATTGTATAAATATTCCATTTGTTTATTTATTCAACTTTGGTAGAAAAATTTTCCCCCAGGGGTTGGCTATTATCAATAAAGTTTCTGAGAATATTTATATAAAAGTCTTTTTTGTAGATGTATGGTTTTACTTCTCTTGGGTAAACACGTAGGAGTATAATGTCTTGGTCACATGCTAATTGTGTGTTATACTTTACAAAATGTTGTCAACTGTTTTCTAAAGTAGTTATGGCATTCTGTATTCCACCAGTTCAGTTCACTCCACACTTTTAGCAACATTTAGTTATTAGTCATTTAAATTTAACACTAGTGTGTGTGCAGTGGTATTTATTTTTGTTTTATTTACATTTTTTACAGATAGCTTATAATGTTGAATACTGGTTAAATAATAATTTCGAACGTCTTTTACATGTACTTATTAACCACTCATATAACTTATTTTATAAAATACCTGTTAAAATACTTAGCAATAAATTATTTTCACTTTATTTTGTCTAAAAATCCATTTTTAACTTCATTTTATGAAGCTACAGATATTATCTATTTTCAGCTCTTTAAATGTGTTTTTTCATGGTCTTCTGACCTTCATCTTTTCTCTGAAGAAGTTGGCTGTTTTTCTTATTTTTTTAAATTATATACATTATATCTTTTTACTATGGGTACATTTAAGGTTGTCTCTTTATCAATGCTTTCCCTGAATTTATTATCCTACCCATTGTTGTTACATTTTTTGTGTTTATCCTGTTGGAAGTTTGCTATTTTGTATATTGTATAAAACCGTTCTGGATTCACGGGTTTATAATTTGCATCTTTTTTTTAGAAAATCAGTTATTTTATCAGATATATACTATTGTACCCCCATCTCTTTATGAGACCTCTAATAAGGAAATAGTTTAATCCCAAAATATTTTGAGTCTCTGCTTCATTTTTAGTTTTTACAACCTCTGTTCTTGCAATTGTATAATTTGTGTTGCTGTTTTCTCTGGTTATTAATGTTTTAATGAAGAGCTTAATATGCTACAAAGACTATCAGAAAAGTATTTACTTCTGATGGAAAAATGTTATTTTTTTCATTTTCAGTTCTATTTGTTTTGTTTGATAATTTTAATTTTACTTACTATGTTTATGTTTTTCTTAAAGTACTTCAACAGGTTTACAATGACCCTTTAAGGATGTCTATTAATTTTGTCATCTCCTTTATTCCATCTGAAATTTTTCCTTGATATGGTTCACCCGCTTGTTGTGATATAACAATAGGATATCACAATATCCTATTGTGATATCATGTTGAATATGAGTAGACTTTCTTGGATTTCTTTTTTTTTTTTTAGATGGAGTCACGCTCTGTCACCCAGGCTGGAGTGCAGGGGCACGATATTGGCTCACTGCAGCCTTTGCCTCCTGGGTTCAAGAGATTACAGGTGTGCCACCACCACGCCTGGCTATTTTTTTTTTTTTTTTCGTATTTTTAGTAGAGACAGGGTTTTAGTAGAGACCACGTTGATCAGGCTGATCTTGAACTCCTGACCTCATGATCCACCTGCCTCGGCCTTGCAAAGTGCTGGGATTACAGGCGTGACCCACGACACCTGGCTGTTGGATTCCTTTAATGAATGTTGGCTTTTGTTTTGGCTGGTGGATTAGTTTGATTATTTCAAGGCTTGTTTTTATGCTTTTAAAAATATGGGTCAAAATTACCTTTTACTCTAAGGCTAATTTAACTATAATGGTATGATATGTGGTTTCTACATACCATCACGGGTTTGTAGGTCATACCTACATAGCATCATACCATCGTAGCTTTGGCAAACCATCATAGTTTTGGATTACTTTGTGAGTAAAATGTTGTTGTTGTTGTTGTTTTTCTATCTGGCTCCTCAAAAATCATGCCAACTGGCCATGCATGAACCTCTATTTGGAATTTGAAGACATTCTGCCAGAGGTATTAAACCCCTAGTTGAAATTTAAAAAACAAAAATACTTTTTCTGTGTATTTCTTTCTTCTTTGGTAGTCTATTTTGCAAGTTCTAACTGCCTTCATTTCCTCAAACTCTCATCAAGAACCATCGTAATCTGCTTGGTTTGACTTTCCTTGAGATACAGTTATGAAAATAGCATTAATCAGAAGGCTAAAGTGGTTGTTGGACTCACTCAGTTGGTTTTCTTTATTGCAGGGATTATTTTCATGTGTTACATGTTAACCAGTATCTGAAAATAGGATTTTTAAATTTTTGTTGAATTTTCTGATTGTTCACAGTCAGATACGTCTGGTATCAGATACGTTGTCAGAGGCAGTAGCAGGAATGTAAATACTTTTAAAATAGTTTTTTGAAATGAATGTACAAAAATTTGCCACAGAATAGTATGGCAGAAAAATATACAAATCTCTTGTAATGACACTGCTCATAGATAAGCAAATTTAACGTTTTGAGGTTTATCACTTAAGAATATATTTTCATGCACACAGTACTTTAATCTATGTTTGCATGTATAAATGTTATGATACTAAATTGAATAGTATTCCCTCAAAGCCATGGTCATCCAAAATCTGTGAATGTAACCTTATTTGAAATTAGGGTCTTTGCAGATATAATTACCATTAACTTATACTAGATTATTATGGGCACTAATTGCAATGATTGCTGTCCTTATAATTTGGAAACAAAGATACAGACACACACACAGAGAAAATATCCACATGTAGACAGAAGAATTGGAGTAGTTAATCTATGAACTAAGGATGCCAAGGAATGCTCCCAACCTCCAGGAACTAGAAGAATCAAGGAATAGAGAATCCTTCAGAGCCCTCACATAAGACCAAATATTTATTTTGAACTCCCGGCCACTGAACTATGAGAAAACATTTTTTTCTTGGTTTAAGCCACACAGTTTATGGTAATTTGTTATAAAGCCTTAGAAAGGTGATACATGTGCACATGGAGTATGATATGTAAAATATACTGTATACATTATCATTTTCATAAATTAAGTTTTAAAACATTTTTAAAATGAGCATTTAACTATTGTCTTAAGCATATGCTACTGTGTGATATATAATTGTTTCATAGTTATTCATTATAGATGTCTATTATCAGTCTCCTATTATTAAAAATTTAGATAGATTTCAAATCTTCTCAATAATGCTGTAGGTAACATGATTAGATAGAAATGCTTTAGGTAATCTCTGATTATTTCTTGAATCTTAACTCCTAGAGAAATATGTTGTATGAAAGGTTTCAGATTCCTTTATATAGATAATTTTCCACAAAAGAAAAGTTACAGCATGAGAATGTTCATATTAGAATCTGCTAGATAACACAAAGAATTATTTTAAATTAAACTTTGCTGTCATGACAAATAATTAAATGAAAAGTCATTGTTTCTTTCTTATACACTTATTTGATCACTAATAAGGTTTAACTTTTTTATGTGCTCTTATGCAATTCCTGTTTCTACATATCTGATTTATAAAGCTGTTTTACTAAAATGTTTTGTATATGTTTTCATTAATTAGCATTATAATGTTTTTTCTCAACGTCATAGATTATTTGTGTGTCTTTGACATGTTATGTGTATCTGTGTATGTACAAATATATGCACATATGTGTACATACAGAGTTGATAACAGAAACATCAACCAAAATGGAAAATTTTGACAAGAAAAAAAATCTTCTGGCCACATTCAAAATAGTGAAGTCTCTATTTTGAATAAGCCTTGAATAAGGCTCAGAGTAATTTATCTTTAGATTCATTTTGACTTGGATTACTTTGCAAGTAAAACATTCAAATACTTTACATAGACAAGTTGTGTGTGTATGCACACTGCGTGTGTAGACTGATATGATTAGAACAATTTTATCTTCAAAATTCCCTTTGGAGTTAAATGGACTCAAGAGAACATGGATTACTGATGCATTTACTTTAATTGATAATTAACAAATGAGTTCTGCATAATTTCTTGAGTACATTCACATGAGGATTGGAAGAATTAATATTGTTAAAATGACCATACTGCCCAAAGCAATCTGCAGATTCAACATTTTTTCTATAAAACTACCAATATCATTTTTCACAAAATTAGAAAAATAAATCTAAAACTCATATGGAAAAAAAGAGTTTTAATGGTAAAGCAATCCTAAGCAAAAAGAGCAGAGATTGAGGCATCACATTACCCAATTTTAAATTATACTCTAAGACTACAATAATCAAAACAGCAAGGTACGGTACAAAAAGAGACACATAGCCCAACAGAAAAAATTAGAGAACTCAGAAATAAAGCTGCACGCTTACAACTGTCTGATCTGTCACAAATTTGACCAAAATTAGCAATGAGGAAAGGACTGTCTATTCAATAAATTGTTCCGAGATAGATAAGTAGTTAGTTACATTCAGAAGAATGAAATTGGACCCCTATATTTCACTGTGTACAATAATTAACTCAAGATGTATTAAACACTTAAATATAAGACCTCATATTATAAAAATCCTAAATCACCTGCGGGGCTGGGCACGGCGGCTCACACCCATAATCCCAGCACTTTGGGAGGCTGAGGCGGGTGGATCACGAACTCAAGAGGTTGAGACCATCCTGCCCAATATGATGAAACTTCGTCTCTACTAAAAATACAAAAATCAGCTGGGTGTGGTGGTACGCACCTGTAGTCCCAGCTACCTGAGAGCCTGAGGCAGGAGAATCGCTTGAACCCGGGAGGTGGAGGCTGTAGTGAGCCAAGATCACGCCACTGCATTCCAGCTGGTGACAGAGTGAGATTCCGTCAAAAAAAAAAAAAAAAAAAATCTAAATCATCTGGGAAATACTTAAATGTAAGACCTGTCAGTATAAATATTCTGGAAGAACACCTGGGAAATACCGTTCTGTGCCTTGGCAAAAAATTTGTGACTAAATCCTCAAAAGCAATTTTAACAAAAACAAAAATTGACAAGTGGGACATAATTAAACCAAACAGCTTCTGAAAAAAAAAAAAAAAAAAAAACCCTATCAACAGTATAAACACAGAACCTACAGCATAGGAGAAAATATTTGCAAACTATACATCCAAGAAAGATCTATAAGATCTATAATACCCAGAAACTATGAGGAACTTAAACAACTCAAAAGCAAAAATCAAATAACCCAATTTAAAATTGGGCAAAGAACATGAACAGATAGAAAGTATGCTCATCATCGCTTGTCATCAGAGACATGCAAATCAAAATCACAATGAGACCATTTCACACCAGTCAGAATGACTATTATTAAATTGTCAAAAAATAACAGATGCTAGTGAGGCTGCAGAGAAAAGGGAACACTTATACAGTGGTGATGGGAATGTAAATTTGTTCAGCCACATTGGAAAGGAGATGGGAGATTTCTCAAAGATCTTAGAACCATTATTTGACCCAACAATCCCATTACTGAATAAATACCCAAAGGAAAATACATTTTCTACCAAAAGACACATGCACTCATATGTTCATCGTGGCACTATTCACAAGAGCAAAGACATGGAGTCAACCTAGGTACTCATCAACGATAGATTGGATAAAGAAAATGTGGTACATATATACCATAGAATACTAGGCATTCATAACACAGAATGAAATCATGTCCTTTGAAGCAACATGGATACAGCTGAGACCATTATCCTTAAACAAATTAATGTAGGAATGGAAAACAAAATACTTCATGCTCTCATAAATGAGAGCTAAACATTGGATACATGTGGACATAATTATGAGAACAATAGTCATTGGAGACTACCAGTAGGCAGAGAGAAGGAGGGAGGCAATGGTTGAAAACCTACCTATTGGTTACTATGCTCACTACCCGGGTGGAAGGATCATTTAAACCCCAAACCCCAACTTCACGCAATGTCCAAAGTAACAATCTTGCACAACTAGCCCCTGAATCTAAAAGTTGAAATTATAATGAAAAAAACAATTATTCACTACCCAATATTTACTGGTGGCCGAATCAAGTAAAGTATTCAATTTCATAATTCCATATTCCTGAAGCAAATGTCTATAATATCTATAATCTTACACAAAAATTATGTAGCTCAAAATGGAGAGTGGTTTCAAGGATGGCGTTTGCTGAATATGCTTTAAATACTCGAAAATGCCAATTTTTAATTTAAAATTTTTGGATTTGATTGCTAAAAAAAGAATACATTCACATGAGATGGTATACATGCTAATGGAATATGTATAAGAATGATGGCAAATCCTTAAGTGTGCCAAGTTTAACTTTGCTGTATGGAAACAAATAAAAATAACAAGTTTTTAGCAGCCCAAAAGAGTACCTAAAAATGAACAAAAAATAGATCTCCTAACACAAGTTTAATAACTAACATAATATACAAATGGATGTGTTAGTATGTGACATATTAAATGTACATATACTCATAGATATTCATAAAATTAAAATATTTTCAAATAGTGCTTTTAAAGATTTCTATAAATCTGTACCAGACGTTCAGAGTGTCCTCAGTCTAACATGTATAGAACGCTATACAGGTTCATGGTATTTGTTTCTGTCTGTTTCTATTTTTTTATACCTCTAAGTAGTGCAATGTATGTTACTATGCCCATCCTCATGCCATATACATATAAAGTCTGAAGACAATTTAAACAACATAGGACAATTTCAAACTATGGCTACTGAGTTTTTGATCCACAGCATAAAGAAAGATCGGAAATCATAAACTTATAGTTAGTTGGCATATCTGAGTATCTTTTTAAGCACTACCTCAATAATTGAAAATATCACTATACATATCGGCCCAAGTATTATATTTATATTTTATGATGTATCTCATTTAGACTCCACAAAAAAATTATATTTCTAAAAACAATGTTATGATTTCTCAGCTTATATTTGTAAAATTATAAAAAGAGAATAGGATGTATGTGAAATGAAGTCTAACATTAATTTAAATTTGTTGGTTATGCATTGTTTCTGCAACAAAACAAATGTATGAGCATTTATAAATTCTGAGAAAGTACATAATATTCATAACTTTAATTGAGACAGTTATTAAAACAGCATCATACATTAAAGTAGTAATATGTGTTGAATGACAAACATCCTGACTTTTAAAATTAGAAATA
Source organism: Homo sapiens (assembly GCF_000001405.40). NCBI lineage: Eukaryota > Metazoa > Chordata > Mammalia > Primates > Hominidae > Homo > Homo sapiens. The sequence continues at coordinate 59,750,505 of NC_000004.12, forward strand.
TTAGAATAAATTTTAAACTTCCGTTTTATGTGCCACAATTGAGGAAATCTTACTGAATTACTCACTAAATAAAACCCAAGGTTGTATAGAAGCACATTTTTAAATTATATACTTTTGTAATAGTTTAGATTACAGTAAAAATGTAAAGCATGTGTCAACATCTGTATTGAAATATTTATATGAAAAATGAAAATTATTAATATAACTAATATATATTGAACACTTACCATGTTCCAGATTGTGTTCAAAATGTTTTATGGATTATGACATTTAACCATCACACTATACTATGAAGTAGTAACATTCATTTTTCCTGTTTCACTAGGCAGCTAATAAATTGGAGACTTGGGATTTAAAGCCAGGTAATCTGATTCCAGAATTTGCACCCTCAACCATTAATATACAGAGAATTATTCATTAAATTCCAGTATTACAAGTCTTCAGAGAGAGTACAGATGCAAAGCTCATCTATACTACTTTGATTCCATCTGAATAAATAGGACTAGTGTTGTTGGGTGTGGGCCAGGTCATGTATGCATTAGTACAGGGTAGGGAGAGCACCATATAAAATAACACCTCTCATCTTAGTACTGTGTATCATTGCATACCAAAGGCGTAGCACTATACCTCACATATTAAAATGCACTATCTGTTCAAATCATATTTGTGGAGAGCAAAGATCACCTGGTAGCCACCAAACAGACTATCCATAGGCAAAACTCCATATCTGAGGAATTCAGAAGTAATTAGAGGTCCCTTTTACCTAATGTAGCATTTGGTACCAGGCCTCTTTCCCAAAAATTTATAAGTAGCTAGAATGTCTGTACATCTCCAGAATGCATGTGTGTTGGAACTTATTGTGCAACCCTTGCTAATATCAAGGCAGCAAACTGTCTACAAATGTAATCATTTACCCTAATCTACATGACTAATATGGTCCAAATTACCTTTAAGCTCCCGCTTTAAGGTCCTCTGTTGTTGAAGCATTGGCTGCATTCTGCTGCAGCATTCTTTCTATGTAATAAAACTATCCTTTCAAATCGGTACTGTTGTTGGTAAATTCTTTTACCACCCACTAGCCAACCACTCTCTGCTGCTGGGGCTATGACACCTCACCTGGCAATATTCCACAATCTTTAAATTGGTCTTTCCACAGAATATAGAGTTCTCTCCATTTCTTACTTCTTAGTCCCTCGCTTTTTTTTTTTGCAGTTAGATTAATTTTTTTCTGTAACAGACCCTCATCTATCTGCTTAAAATACATTGCTTATATATTTTAATAATAGACACCTGACAACATCCTGCCTTTTCTTCCTAATAAGGGCTATAGAATGTAACATTCACTTATATTTATCATGTGCTCTTCACTCATCCTATCCCCTTACCTATCTCTAGACAAGATTAAGTAACATCCTGAATCAAGTTTATTTTTTTTGAAAAAGCAATAGTTTCTAATTTAAGTAACAAAACAAAAGAGAACATTGATCTATAGATTCTCAAAAACATGCTATTGCTAGATGGTGTTTTTTTTTTTTTTTTTTTTGCCAAAAAGTTAAAATACAAATTACTGTGGCAATGAGATATCTTTCCCTAAGCATTAATAAGGCTGAGCACATATTCAAATATTTATTGCCCACACATGTTGCCCACTCTGTGAAATGTATTTCATGCCTTTCTTCCATTTTTGTTGTATTGGATCCTTCTCTACATTACTCTGCAGCATATTGTGAAAAATATCCTGATGTAATTAAACAATTTAGTAAAAGGCTGGCATAGTCAATGGTGAATGGTAAAAAGTTTATATGAGGTATAAATTACAGCTCTGTATAGAGTCTGCCTGTTAGTATTGAAAAAATTATTATCCTATTAATATCTTTTGCTTATCTCCCATAAAGTTGGGAAAAGTAAAGTATACAACCTATAGGGGTGTTATGAGTATTAAAGAACACATTTCATCCACGTGCTTAGCATTTAACTGGCACGTTGTAAGCAACTAAAATATGTTGGTTATTACTATTATTTACATGTAAATTAGCTGAAGTTATCATTAGATTATTGCAAAAGAGCTTCTAAGCCATGTAGGTGTATGGTTCTCACATGAACTTACGAGAAATGTCATAAAGAGGCAAGGCACTAAAATTAGGTAAATGCTGTTGACTCCAGGATGATTCTTTCTCTAGGAATGTGATCACTTTCAGTGGATCTGATTTGAATTTCTAACAGGTTTTTCATTTCAGCTTGCGGACATATAATCACTTGAAGAAAGCCTCTAATCTAGAACATTAAGAGTGAGTGTAAAGTACATCTAAATAGAGGAGGAAAAGACATGAATTCCAATACTCAGCTCTTGGAAACTAAGAGCCATGCCCAAAATATACACTTGATGATGTGCATATTGAAAGAACAAATAAAACAAGTACCAAAGATAAATGGATACCTGGACTTGCTTAGTCTGCAGTACCCAATAAAAGGATGAAGAACTCAGAATGCATAGGCAGTCAAAATGAGGTCTCTGCATGGTTTTTTTTTTGCATAAATTTCTTTGCAGTAGTCTATTTCCCCATATGATAAGAAACAATATTCTGAAAACACAAAGACCCTTTGGGTGTATTTTCAGGGGTATCTAGGGCAGGAGAAATATATACTAATTGGGGACTAATCAGTTTGTCAGATGCGTCTTCTCCATGCTGACTTGAAGAGATCAAGGCTAATGAAAGTTCTAGCTTCATTAGCCAATGGTTTTCAAGGTCACCATTCCAGTTAGAAGTGGAAAAGAACACGAAGAAGCAAAAAAGAGGTTTTATAAGTCAGGTCTACAATCGATGCACACTGCATCTTTTCTCTGACTAAAATTCCGTCATGTGGCCACAAATAACTAAAGGAGAGCTAGAAAATATCACACAGAAGAAAAGAACAAGAGTATTGATGAGCAACTGATTGTTCCTTATGTTATACATTTTAGAGATAGAAGGTGTGATTTCTTTCAAAATGTTTCTCTTCTAATATTTTTAACTCCTCATCTTTTAAGTATTAACAATGAAAGTAACCACAAGAATATATTATTAAAATTGCTAAAGTGGTTATCACTATAAACATATTATTTATTACATTCTGCCTCTAAAAAGTTATAAAAATTAAACATAGTGACTGTCAAGAAAACTTTTTGTACTTCAATACTTGTATAGAGAACTGAATGATGAACTGATATGGTAATTGCAAACTATTCATTATTTAAAAGAGGTCTTTAAGCAGCTGCATACAACATAGTACAGCCTAATTTGAGAAGTTGCCTGGTTTTTAAAAACAGCACTTCTTCATGTCTTTTAAGTGGTTTAACATTTTAGAAATCATGCTGGCCTTTACTTCAAATGATTAAGTTAGATTTAGCATCACTGTTTTCTGGAGTTCACAGTTGAATATCCTGGCATGCAGAAAAATGATATCATTTTTTTCCAATTCAAAGATCATAACTAACAAATCCCCAAATCCCAGAACAACTGAGTAATTTTAGTTTAGATTGGCATACTCAGTGCTGAAAGGTAATGTGTTTTCACAATTATTAGTGAATAATGAGTGCAAACAGGCATATTCACTTCTACCAAGTGTGTGAGGTAGGTAAATCAAAGCTCTACAGCTGATCTATTATTAAAGATACATTGGGAATAAAGAGGAATTATATCAGAATCTTTATAATATTAAAATATTGTAATTAATATGCCACATCTCACTGGCTAGGGTAGATTGAATATCATTTCTTAAAAGCTATTTTTTAGATATTTGCAAATATACATACTTATTAACATTCCATTTACTCAATATTAAAATATCTTTTTCATGTCATTTTATGAATGAGAATATAATGTTACCCCTCCCCAAATTATACAGAGTAAGTAGTTCCTTATCTGTTATAAAGAATAAGGATAAATCTCTCAATTCAATTCAAATCAGCCATTGAATTTTGAGATCTTACCTATGTCAGGGTTTAAGGAGAGTATGACAAGTAAAATAGGACATTTATTTTCAAGAACCTGATCAGTAGAAGAGGAAGAGAAACATGTAAACTAATAAGCTACAGCATAATATTATATTTATGAGGGCCATGCATTCTCAAACAAAATTTTAGACATGTAGGACAATAAAATAATATTTATAATAGTGATATTCTGAAAAATTCAGGAAATATAGTTGTATAAGCTATAATAATTTTTCATATGCCAAGAGATACAAGAGAAATTATATTTTTCTTTTGTGTGAACAAGCTAAACGAGAAAGGGGAATGTAATTTGTACAGATTTTGAAGAATGAGAAAGCATTTTCCAGAGAGACAAGAACTTTATGGGAATAGAGGAAGAGTGTAGAAGAAAATTATTGATGCAAACATGTTGCTTAAACAATGTCAATGTGGAAAAGGTTAGCAAAGAGGTTAAGAGACCGGACTCCAGAGATAGCTTAAAATCCCTCTATCTAAGACTTTGTTTCTGTGTATCTTTAACAAAGTCATTAAAACCCCTCTAAAAGATACTTTCCAAATCTATAAAATTAAAATAATACTAGTAAACACCTTCAGGAGTTGTTGAGGGGATGGGGATACATCAAAACATTAAAAGTGCTAAAAATAGTATCTGAAACATATTAAATGTCAACATATAATTATTATGAAATTTTGACATATATATTTGGAAAATAGAAAGCATTAGCACCAGCCAGAGCCTAGATTTAGGTAAATGGCAGAAGGGAATAAAAGGAGAAAGAAGTAACAAGAGAGATAAAAATTGTAGAATATAACCTAGGTTATAAAGTATGTTTTATTCTCTACTAAGGCATTTGGATATTATATTGAATAGAACAAGATTTATATACATATTTGTTAAACATGACGTGACATATATTTTAGTCAGATAATTCAGGTGGTACTAAATGGCGGTGTATTTCTGAGAGAGAAAAAAATAAATAATGCTGCCAATAGTAAAATCAGATAAACTCTTCAATGAATTAGGTAACATGACAAATACAGAAAACCTGTAGGACAAGAGCAGATCCATGAGAAAATATTTTAAAGCTTGGTTATTGTTTCAGTATGGGAAAGGGCAGAGGGGAGTGAGAACTCAAGGGTGAATCTACAAGTGTCTGTTCTGAATTAGTAGGTGCTTAGTGGCCCTGTTAACAGGCTTAGAGAATGAAGCAGGAAGAGAGATTATTAAATCATTTTTAAACATGTCCAATTGTAGTGTCTGCAGGACATTTTGGATAATTTCACAAGAACCTTTGAAAATACGGGCAGGAAGTCCAAAAGGGTTTTTTTTTTTTTTTTTTTTTTTTTTTTTTTTTTTTTAAATATCACCAGCAGTGTGAGGGTAATAGTCAATTTAATGGATGTGAAAGACAGCAATCCAACAGTATGTACAGAATGACAAGAGAAGAGAGCAGAGTTCTAATGAAAATATTATTATGCTGTTATTATACCTGGAGTTGAAAGGGTTCTAGTTTCCATTTTACCAGTTTTATAATGTTAAGCAAATTAGTCAATACTTTTCTGAGATTCAGTCCACTTATGTAAAAAAATGGTTCTATGAATACCTCACAGGTTTATTATAGGAATGAAAGTCATTTGTGGTTAGTATGGATTCATCAGATTAGTGATGGTAGGTATGGACAAAGAAAATTAGTTTCTTTTGACATACATTTTTTTCCTTTTGGGAACAGTTTATCTATATTGTACCATAACTTATACACTAGTAATCAGTATAGTATTTAAATATTTATGTTATGAATTGAATTATGTGCCCCCAAGAAACTTAGGTTGAAGTCCTAACCTTCAGCATGTAACCTTATTTGCAAATAGGGCCGTTGCAATTGTAATAAGTTGAGGTCACACTGTAGTAGGGAGGGCCCCTAGTCCAATATGAGTTGTGTCTTATAAGAAGATGGTCAAGGAAGACAGAGAAAGACCCAAAGAGAATGCCATGTGAAGATGGAAAATTGGAGTAATGTACCTATAAGCCAAAGAAGGCTGAAGACTGACAGCAAACCACCAAAAACTAGAAGAGAAAGAATGATTTCCCTACACCTTTCAGAGTGTACATGAGCCTGCTAAGCAGATTTTGATTTTGGACTTTTAACCTTCAGAACTCAAAGATGATCAGTTTATATCATTTTAATTCATTCAACTTGTGGTGCTTTTCATAGTAGCCCCAGGAGGCTAATGTAATGAATAAGGCCCTTTTCAGTACATCAACTGTTTTCTTATTCAGTCACCATAGGCCTGAAATCGTGCAACTGACAAAGATCAACTGAGTCACACAAAGTCACGCAGCAAGTAGAAAATGAGAAATTTGAATCATATTTTATAATTCTCAGCCCAGTGTTCTTTGAAAGAATAACACAAAATGAACTGCAAAATTGGCATTTGTGTGCTTGTCTAATAACTTACCCACAGTTTATAGAAACAATTTTCTTCTGAATTCCAAACTATGGTCTTACAATGAGACTTTTTATTAAAATCAATTTGGCAATTCTAATTACTCATACTCGAGACTTTGATTCTAGAACTAGAGAACAATAAATAAATAAATAAAATTCATGGGTAAACAGAATAATGTTCATGTTTTCTTTCTGTTTACTTTCAAATGCAAAAAGAGAAAATGAATAATTTTAAAGTAGTGTTTTACCTGTTCTAACTTCTCGTGGTGCATAAAATAGTGACTAACACAAATAGAGTTCTCAATGAACTTCAGTTGAATGAGTGAATGCCCTATCCTGTTAACCCTTTACATATACTTATTTTGGATTAGAAAAGGCAAAATAAACTCTCTCTAAATGTTTTGGCAATAGAGCAAATGCAATTCAAGGGAAAAAGAGCAAACACAAGAAGGGATGTATAGTATGTCTATTCTTTAAATGCACATTTTAGAAATATAATGTTATATCTCTATTGTTATATATCAATGGGTCCTAGTTATATGGACAACAGGAAAATGAAATGAGTACTACAAGAGGAAATAGAAACATTTTTATGTGGGAGTTTATGTTCTGTGTTTTGCGCTGTTGCCACATCTCTTAATAAACCAAGAGAGTTTGTATCCACATTTTACCAGCATGTCATTTAACATAAACAACAATTAAGGTATGTCAAGAAAGATGCCTATGTTCTAAAGCTGCTGTTATGAATACACAAAAGACACATAAGGCCCAAACCTCCTTCAGGGTTATAGAGGTGTTCATTCCAACATAACCATTATGGCTGTTGTTCACCAACTAGGGATAATTTATATACACATTTTTGGTTTATATTTAATATTTGAGATTGGAGCATCCATGAAGATTCAATTGAAAGCAGCACTGTATTTCAAGTTGATTTAATATCTCCAATTAGCATATACGGAAAAGGGGCAGGCCAAAATGACATTTAAAGAAAATTTTTCAGTGGTTCTTTTCCTCCTCCTCAGTAAGTTTGTTTTACTTCATGACCTCAGTATTACAAAAAATAAATGAGCAGAACATTGACTGCAAGACTTTGTCATGATATTTCCTATGTGCAATGGCTAGGCAGGAAATGTTCATTTCATACACCATTTGAGCCTAGCTGCAGTGATTTCACAAAAGCCAACAGGCTTTGAAAAGTTAATAATAAAGAAAATTTGTTTTTGTTATTTTGAGAAAATACTTAACTGTTTAAAACTAGAGATCTATGGAGGTTGGCTAGTCATGGGGAAGTGCAAAATTTATTTTATTTTATTTGGCAGTGCTTATCTATATATTACATTGAGAAGAAAAAAGTACTGAAAGAATAATAACAGAATGTATATTTTATCAAGAATAAAAACATGAAGTATATGTAATATGTAACCATACAGACACTATTCATAAATAACATATTTCATATAGCCTATTTATAGTCATATAATGCAATGGCCATGTATTGCTTTTAAGTAAACACATGAACTTTGCTATCAGGTTTAATTTACTTACTTAATATTTATAATTACTTACTACCTATAGTCATATAATGCATTGGCCATGTACTGTTTTTAAGTAAGTATATGAACTTTGCTGTCAAGTTTTAATATATTTATCTAATTACTTATCTTAAAGTACATTTATTAGTATCTTCTTTCAACAATAGAAATTATTTGAAATATAAAAAATAGCTGTAATTTGTAAGGTTATTTTATATTATTGATAATATCCTTGGAGATTATTTCTATATCACACTGAAAAAAGTTTTCGTTGTTGTGATTTTGTTACAGGATCTTTGGAGTGTCATTTTTCTGGCTGGAAACCTCTATGGCTAGTGGTGCCTTTGCCCAAGTTCTTTTCCTATGTTCAGGAAGAATGAGGTAGGCAGACAAGTGGAGGGTAAGCAAAACAAAGAGTAGCTTATTGAGTGTTAGAACAGCTCAGAGAAGACCTGCAGTGGGTAGCTCCTCTTTGTAGACAGGTCATCCCATCGAGTGCTCAGCCCTGGAGGAGGTCCTGGAGAGGGGTAGCTCCTCTCCGCAGCTGGTAGTTCTGACATCTCTGCAGGTCTCTGAAGCTCTCAGCAGAGAGGGTAGCTCCTCTGTGCAACTGATCATCCCTACGTCTGCTCAGTTCTGGCTGAGCCTGGGGCTTTTATGGGCCTCAGAGGAAAGTAAATGCACATCTATTGATCCATGGGCAGACCGCAAAAGGCACCACAAGTTCCCACTTTAGTCTGTGGGTCTGGCAGCCAGAACTCCAGTCATCAGGACCTCCCTGGCCTGAAGATGGGGCCTCAATGGGGACTCACCGCCTTCTGCCCAGGAATCTGTCTTCCTCCTGCCTCTGTTTATAGTGCCCGGGATCAGCCCTGACTTTACCCTAGGATAGGAGTGGGTGCTGACAGTAGGAAGGAGCCAGGCAGTGCAAGCTGGCACTTTGGAGGCTGTGAGGGCAAAGAGACCTTCCTGGGCTCCCAAGTGTTCAGGAATGCCTGAGTCTGCAGCCACCATTTGGACAGCTGCAGCTGTGCCCAGGAACGCAGGACTCCTGCTGGCTCCAGGCCTCCCAAGAGCAAACAGGGGCTCCAATCCACAGTCACCATTTGGGTGGCTGCAGCCCTGTCCAGGAGGGTGGGGATCCGGCCTACTCTGTGGAGTGGGAGGCCTGGGTCTACAGCAGTGGTTTGGGCAGCTGCTGTGGCAACCGTGGAGCTCCCGAGGCACCTGTGAAGCTCCCGCCCCAACTGGGAAGGGGTGTGGCTCCCACCAGCTACATGGAACACACAGCCTCAACTACCTCCAGCTTGAAGGCAGAGGCAGGCTATCTAGAGCAGCCACTGCTATCAATTTTTTTAAAAGTAGGAGGTCATAGGTACATTAAGTAAGAACCCAGTTTTGATATGTTAACTTTGACTTCAGTACTAAAACTGTCTATGATGTACTTCCAGTTTGCCTCCTAAATGGATGTCCTAAAAGTGAGCTGTTCCTCTGACTTAGTCAACAATAGTCATTTTTGTCTAAAATCTTGCTGAAGCCTCCTAATTTCTCTGCCTCCATTTTCCCCCCTTTTCCTGACTTTCCTCTGGCTCCAAGTTTTTCAGAGAGATTATTCTCTAAGGAAAAAAACCTCTTCCACAAGTCAGAATTTCTCTTAGCATCAGGTTTCCTATAAAATGAGTAATGAATATACACCTCCTTATTTGTTCTGCTCCTTCACAGCCAAGCTGTTCATTTTCATCTATTGCCATCTCCCTTTATTACACCTTAAATTACACTTAACAAACATTTAGGCTTTCTAAACACATTCATAAAAGTCCTCAACACTCTCTCTCTATTTTTTTTTTGTTTTTGGTGTGTGTGTGTGTTTTGATATAGAGTCTCCCTCTGTCGCCCAGGCTTGAGTGCAGTGGCGTGATCTTGGCTCCCTGCAACCTCCGCCTGCTGAGTTCAAGCTATTCTCATCCCTCAGCCTCCCCAAGTAGCTGGGACTACAGGCATCTGCTACCAAGTGCAGCTATATTTTTTTTTGTATTTTTAGTAGAGATGAGGTTTCACCATGTTAGCCAGGCTGTTCTCAAACTCTTGACATCAGGAGATCCACCTGCTTCAGCCCCTTAAAGTGCTGAGATTATAGGCATGAGCCACAGCTTCCAGCCCACAATTTATTTTTTTAATTCAATTCTATACACATGATTTCTGTCCTATTTAGAATTATATTCTTACATCCCTTCCCCCAAAGCTCCTACTCATTATTTGAGACCTAGTTTGAATGCAAGGTCCTCTATTAATATTTTAAAATTTTCCAACAGAAAGGCATTTCTCTTTCTTCTTATTAATAATATTTTACATCTACCTCGAAATTACCCCTGATTATACAATGCATTATTTTGCTTTATGTAGTTTTGTTCCTAATAGTGGCACTACCCTTTACACTTTCTATCAACACACAGCAACTAAGAAGGAACCTGTGAAAGCAATATTCTCCCTTATCTCACTGAACGACTTCCTTCTAGATTTAAAGAACTCTCAAAAATCTATCTATATTTTATCTTTCTCATTGTATTTTTATCACCACAACAATCTCATTAATAACTGCATATTACTTAGCATACATTTTATAGTTAATCCTTTGTTTTTCAATATTTATTCAATTGTGTGTACCTACATAAATTTGATCTAAGACAACATTAATGTTTCCAAATATGGAACTGTGTTTATAACCGATGCACGTTACCAAATTAATTTTCCCATTTGGTAGATTGAACAATAATTTGACATTGGCACTCTCCTTCGTTATCATGTTCAAGATCATTAACAATTTTAGTATTTACAGATTATCATCTGTAATGGAAAACATACACACAAATTAATAGGAAATTCTAATACTTCAAGTAAGATAAATAATATCGTTTGTAAACAAAACGCTTTTAAAATAGGATAGGCAAAAAAAAACTCTTCATTTCTTTACCTGCTTATTCACATTCACTACTACTAAAATTTTATTGCAAAATCATAAACTATTTGCCTTCCAATTATTTATATTGTAAAAGGATAAACCACAAAAGGAAAATGATCCTAACATTCATAAGGTACCATCTTTTAGATATCTTTTAAAACATATACATTAAATAGTAATCAGTTTTTTGCAAATTCGTATTTAAAAATTTATTTGGCAACTTCTGAATCTTATATTTATAACAGGTGCGCTTTTGGCTATAAGTGTAGAGATGAATACAACTAATGCTTAATGATGCCTACCATGTTTCAGGCTTTATGAGAAGTGTGGAAGTGAGATTAATGAAAATTAATATATAGTGCTTAGGGTCAGTCATTGAGGATAGAGTTGAGTAAGGACGACAGATTCTGATAAAAAACCAAATACGCATCACATAAATATAAATTTTAGAAGGTCACGTGCTATGAAGAAACTGAGAGGGGTGTGAGAAAACAGGCGTGGCATGAGCCAATGTCATTGGGCTTGGTAACTGAGGGAAGGCCACACCAAAAAGATAAGTTTCAAAAGAATAACTGAAAGAAAGCATGGAGCCAAAGTAATGGTGGCTCCAGGAATTCTTCAGATATCCAGAAGATAAAGCAAAGGTAAAATAAAACTTTGGGAAATATTGACAACTAAAAGTCAGGACTGTGATTGAGCAAATGCGGGATGTGAGAATATTCTAAGGTTAGATAGAGGTGAGATGATGTTGGAAAGGTAGGTCAAGGCAAGAAGTTCCTATTTCGGTAGAACCAAATAGAAACTCATTATAGGGCTTTCAGATGAGGAATGCTTGATTCTACCCATAACTTTAAAAGATTAGGTGATAGTTAAAGAAGTTGAGGTGAGAGATGATATTATCTTTTCTAGGATACAGGCAGAGGGTCAGATTAAGGTAATTTGGTAAGTAAAACACACAATTTTTACTGATGGATTAAATAGTCCTGGAGCATAGAGAGAACAAATCATTAATAATTACCATGTTTCTCCTTTGTAAATTTATAAGACAGCGGGTAAAATATCAAGTTGTTGATTGTATATAAAGTATTATATATCAGGCAAAATGCACTTTTTTGATTCGTCAGCACATATGTCGTATTTGAAGCATTGATTTTCGATGTGATTGCCAAAGGTGAGGGTGTGTGAAGGTAACAAAATGTTTCCAGCATCAAATCTACAACATTTAGAGATTCAACAGAGAAGGAAAGACAACAAAGGACACCAAGTTAAAGTATCAGAGATTAAATAAAACAATCATTAAGTCAATATTATTTGTATTTTTGATACTTTCATATGATAAATTAATATGCTTATATTCATTTTTGCCATGTCAACTTCATATTTATCTACTGACACCTTCCTTTGAAAGGTAAGATTTAGATAACAGTATTCATTCACATACTGATAATCCCTTTCTCTCAACACACAATTAGAAGTTACTACTTCTAAATCGTGTATTGATTGCTTTTATAACTATAAGGAGTTTTTGTTGTTATTGTTTTAATATTGTTTCATCAAACATAGACAGTATCTATTAAGGAGTCCTCAGTCTGTAACATGGGAATGTGATATTTTCTCCCTGTTATGAGCTGAAAGCTAGTGTCCCCCTCAAAATTCATATGTAGAAGTCTTAATCCTCAATATGATGGTGTTTTGAGGTGGGACCTTGGAGAAGTAATTAGGAATAGATTAGGACATAATAGTGGGGCCCTCATCATGGAATTAATGTCTTTATAAAGAAGAGGAAGAGACACAAGAGCTTTTTATCTCTATCATATGAGGATACAGCAAGAAGGCAGGCATCGGCAAACCCAGAAGAGAGCCCTCATCAGCACTCAATATGCAGGCACCATAATCTTGGACTTGTCAGCCTCCAGACTGTGAGAAATAAATGTCTGTTGTTTAAACAACCCAGTGTCTGATATTTTGTTATAGCAACTCAAATGACTAAGAATTTTCTTAATACCACTTACAAATTTCTGTCATTTATATTTTTGGTTACCAAATTTAAAAGTAATTCCATTCTGTTCTATAAGATTTATTTAGTAATTTCTGCTTTGCTTTTCACCTAATTACAAAATTTGGAATTCAAAATTTATATTATTTTCATTATATAACCGTTCAAATTATTTTCTATGATTATATCTCCTTTTTTACATAACTTTTTCATGGAATTTTATATGGCTTATATTTTCTGACATTATTCATCTGCATTATCTCCTCAATTACTTTTCAAAAAATTCTCCAACACTAGTTATTTTAAGAAATCCTCTTTTTATGTGTGTACATATATTCACACACTAAAATATATTTTCAGCAGATGCCTCCTTTGTGGAGGCCCACATTCTCCTGCTCACATCTGATAGCTTACCTTTGAAGATTTTAGCATAGCTGTCATCCTGGGACTCTCCTTCATTTCTTTCTTAGTTGGTTCCACTCTCTCCTCAATTCCATTGTCTTTACAGTTTACTTCTTATTTACAGCATAGTGTTAAGTTTCTCAAATATGTATTATTTTTATTGCACCATTATAAGAACATCACCTGTTGAAAATTATCCTCTTTCTCATTACTTTTGTTATTTTTCTAGGCATTATCTTCCCAATTTTTATAGATTACTTTTACTTCATAATTTTATGCATAATTTATTAACACACATTTTTATTATCCAATTATTTATTGTAGCTCATGTCTTATTATTTTTATAGGTATAGTAACTTCAACATTTTCTGACTACAATAGACTGGATTCATAAAAAACTTGAAATAGTAATTTTTCAGAATCGAGGCTGTGTCTTTTCTCTTGCTCTACATGAGTCTTTTTTCTGGTTCTTTTCCTTTTTGGCTATCTTTTCATTTCTCTTCTTTTTTTTGTATGTTTACCATTTGTTTCAAAATCTTATATGGTTTAAAATTGCGTCCATGACAGCCTCATCTTTCAAATATATGTCATTTTACAGACCAAGAAATCATAGATAATTAACTGATTATATATTACCTGGGAAAAAAAAAATCAGATTGACCTATTTGAGGAAATGCATCTATCAGACTGGATGTAGGTAGTTAGTGTCACCTTGCACTTAGGATATTTGAAAGAAGAATCACAGAAAGGGGATCATCAGTGGATGGATTATGGAAAGTTCTTGAAAAAGGGACACTGGCCAAGTAGGAACTCCAAGGCTTCTGCTACAGCTATTCTTGGGAAGTTACTCCTTATACAGCATGCAGAATGGAAAAATCAACATATATGGTAGGATAAATTATTTTAGAAACTGTCCTCAAGCAAGAATTTCATCACATTAACTAGGCAACCTTTTCTTAAAGGGCCAGATAGTAAATATTTTAGGTTTTGTGGACCATATGGAGTCAATTGCAACGACTTTGTTATTGTAGCAGGAAAGCAGCCACAGAAAGTAGGTATATAAATGGGCATGACCTTGTTTCAATAAAACTTTATTTTCAAAAACAGGCAACTGGCTTGCTGGTTAATTTACTAATCCTATAGAACTGAGGAATAAAATATATACTTTGAGGGATTTGTTACAACTGCGTTTATCCCTGTGCATAAATTAAAAGAGAAGGATGTTTAATGCTATAGAGGCAAACACATTTTGGCAAAGTACAATTAGAATTTTAAATTAATTTGAATATTGCCAAATTAATTTTCTCTAAAAAGGCAATTATAAATACTAATTTCTGAATTTTTGGTATCATTTTTCAGATATTCAAATTATGGTAGAAATAACCTTTTCTTTGTTCATCATTTAGAGACAAATGTATTCTAAATTGTTTAAACTATTTTTTGAAAGGCTAATTATGTGTTGAAGCAAATCTAAAACTGTGGTAAGTACTTAGGTTGTAAGACTTCCAATATGGAGAAAAAATAAGTACTCGGAGTTTAGATGAGAATGCTGGAGCAGGAGAGACAGAGACAAATTGGAGGAAATTTCTCTTTTAAGTAACTAACATATGCCAAGAAATACAGAAATTAAACCATTAGTTTGGACATGTAAAAGCTGATATTACCACCTTCCCTCCTCAAACTCTTACACACTAAGCTGGTCGATTAGACACATGGAGTTGAGAACTGGACATCATAAGGTTCTTCTGAAAGAGGTCTCAGTCAGCATTGATCTATTAATGACTGTGGCTTGTGGGAAATCTAACATGATGCTGAAAAGGAGTGTAGTGGGAGATTATGGAGGAGTTAGGAAAAGTGAGTCAACATTTTTCTTGTAGAAAATTCAAAATTAATAATTGTTTCTTCTAATCACCCAGATATCTGTGTAATGATATAGACATATAAGGTGAGGATAATTGATGGTGAACTAATATTTCCTGGATTCAATGGAGTTATCGAAATGCAGAATAGGGCTTATATTATCAAAATATTTAACATTATTATGATCAATAGATAAATTATTTTTCAATGTTGCAGAATAAACTAATTTCAAAAAAATGTGCTTAATCTGAGGCTTTATATCTATAAGAAACAAGTATTCATTATCAATAAAATGTTAATAAGTCTGTGTGATACAGTTTATCATATTAGCTATAATGGATTGTTTTTCCCAAGTTGATAGTGATGTGTTTGCTTTAATTGGGGTTATTATGAAATCTCTTGTGTATCAAAGCAGCACAACATCTTCGATAACAATCTTAATGATTGATCATAGTGCAAAAAATTCATGTAGTGAGCCAGATTAAAAAAACTAAGGTGGTAGAAAATGGAATTTGTTTTACCATTATATCCAAATGGAGTCACCACTTAGACTATTCTCTTTTGTTTTCTACTTAGTGTTTTATCTGAGGGAAAGGTAATGATACAGGTGCAATTAGTGTCAACTGGGGGTTAAATAACCATATCAAAACTTCATGGATTGTATAATATACTCAGATCCCTTAGTATGCAGTTGAATGTTGGTCAATTGAAAGAGAAATATTGTTTTATACCATATGCTCATATTAATTAAATTTTGCAATGCATTTAATTTGGTTAATACTTTCCCTAGGGAATAAATAATCTTGTTTTTGTCTTACTGGAGAATGAATTTCTTTCATATTTCCTATAAAATGATTGAATATTGGAAGATGCTACAAGCTTAAAAACATAATTTGCTACTACAGTTTCTGCTGTCACAATTTCCATGTAAAATCACAGTGAATTCACCTTTCACTTATTAAAGTACTAAATTTACCAGTAGGCAAACAAGGGTATGTAAGTGCTATGCTTGATATATGTAGTGACTAAATTTTGTTTTATTGCATCTATATACATATGTCATTAAAAGTAAGTCATATTACACTTCTATCTCAAGAAATTGGTCCTATTTCTATGACTGTGGTGGCTTTTAATGAGAATTAATCAGTAACAAACAAGGGCACTTTCAGAAGAACATGACTTCATAAGAAGATGACTGGCCTCTCAAAGGGCAAAATTATGTTAATGTTTAATAACTTAGTTAAAATAAAGAGGACTTAAATACCTAATTCAAAAAATCAAAATTTTTAGGCTGAGCGACAGAGTCTAATATTGTTGATGATGATGAAAATAAAAAGACTATTTTAAGTGTTCAATATGCAGGGCATGCATGATGACTCATTAGGCAGAGAAAATTATTACTGCCCATTAAAGAATTAGCTCTCATACAAATGGAAAAGTTGATTAGTGAACCTCAGAGTGGCTGGTTCCTAAAATTATAAAATTAATGAATATATGAAATATTTGATTTCACACATAAATATCCATGAAGATAAATTAATTGTTTTATATAATAAAATCATTTAGCTTACATGCTGGATCAAATATTAAATTTGAAATCATAATATAGTTTTGGATCATATTCATCCATGCCAATTTAGTAGCAAATATTATAATATTTTTATAAATTTTCAAAACTTATTTAAATGGAAAAATCTCATAATAACAATGGAAATATTACTATTAAAATAATAGTTTGTGTACATATTAACTGAGGGCTAAAAATGTTTTTGAGATCCACATGGTCAAAGAGTTCCATGTATCCCAGATTTATATTTTAGAATTATAAGAGAAGAAAGACAATGAAACGTGCTGATTAGATTTAACTATGAAGCAGTTACTAAGATAGCCAAAATCATAGAATATTTTATGAAAAACAATCAGTAAACCATATACTTTTCATTCATAATATACCATAACAGATAATATAAAACAATACTTAGCAGAATGTAACGTCTTTAATCTTTTAATTGTAATGAACATATCAGGGCTTAAAACAATAAGTTATTACATAATATTTTCTTCTTTTTAATGGCAAAATCTAATGTCAGCGTTTTGGATTTTTTCTTTTTCTTTTTCTTTTTTTTCTTTCTCTTTTTTTTTTTTTTTTTTTGAGATGAAGTCTTGCTGTGTCACCTGGGCTGGAGTGCAGTGGCACAATCTCGGCTCACTGCAACCTCCGTCTCCTGGATTCAAGCGATTCTCCTGTCTTAGCCTCCCAAGAAGCTGGGACTACATAATGGCACCTGCCATCATGCCCAGCTAATTTTTGTATTTTTTAGTAGAGACAAGGTTTCACTATATTTGCCAGGCTGGTCTCAAGCTCCTGACCCAAGGTGATCCTCCTGCCTTGGCCTCCCAAAGTGCTGGGATTACAGGTGTGAGCCACCATGCCCGGCCCAATGTCAGGATTTTGTGGCATAGCATCTATACTGCTGGAAGTCTTGGAATGTTGGAAACATCATTAGTTATTGAAGTGTAAATTTCTGTTTTAAGAAATTAATGCTGCTTCAGTTTGCCTGTAAAATAAGAATAAAAATTTTTATTCCATAATTTTGATATGAAGCATCTTAAGAAAATGACTTGGGGAGTCACAATATTAACAATAACATTTATAAAATTTGATTTTTTTTTGCCATCTCAAAGTCAAAAATTCTACCTGGGTAAGTTTTTCCTATGTTCCCATGAGATCATATTGAGATAATTGGATTTTTCTTGGGTGCCATTCTCATTAGATCAGTCTGTGGACCCTAGCCAATTATTCCGTATATCCTTTTGCAAATTCATGTCTAAATGAATACTGCTCAGTCTGATAGTGCCCTAGTATATTACTTTGTGAAATTAACCAATTTACATGTACTTGTTAATTATGAACAGTTAGAGCACTAAACATAGGAAACCATGAAAGCACTATAGATTGTGATCTTTTTTTGTGTATTGTGTAATTTTTTTAAAAAACTGAATAGCCCTTTTTGCACACTGAAGCCAATACTAAATCATAAAAGAATTATCTTAATTGGAGCATGTTAGAAATTCAGATTAAACTGAAACTCAAAATCCCGGTTGTAAAACTTGCTTAACATTCAGTTGTTTCTCAATGAATAAAGTAAAGCTTCATGGGTCACTATTTTCACTAATATTGAGTGGAGAGGAAGAGAGGTATCAGATGCTCATTAGGAAGTAAGAGGCATTATTAATGCAAAATATTGCACACATAACAGGCACTCAATGTGATGCGTTAAACATAATATATACAAGGGAAAATGGAAGAGTAACTTCCAGCAGCTTGTACATTTTTGGAAGTTATCTGGATGTTGTTTTCTTTCTTAAAGTATAATTCTAAAAAGATATAGATCAGAGGAGACAGAGGATGAGATTCTATTAGCTCTCCAGTGCAGCTTTACTGAGTTATTTCTTCTATTACATACAAAGGATAGGGAAAGGAAGAGTTACTCCTTAGTTGGCTTATTTTTCCAAACACAACACACTGAAAAAGTAAGAATGTGTGTACTGAAAATATTTTTTATTCCTGAAGGAAAAGTAGAACTTAATTGATAAAACTAAAACATTACAATTGTTTTATTATAACTGTTTTATCCAAAATATACATATATTTTAAATTATCTTTTCAATGGAATTTGTATAGGAGGATACCTGATTTTTGCCAATATATGTTTTATTTTAGCCTTAGGATGCTCTCTTTTGATTTGAATATAAGAAAGGATCTGAATGAAGGTGAATGTCTATGACTGTGACAGATGTTCAGAACTAATTGTTGCATGAGATTGGAAGATATTAACTGTTAATCTAATAAATAAACACTATTTTTCATCATTTGTCACAATGCACTTACAAATGTACTTTTTTTCTTAGAAAAGTTAAAAAAAGATGCAAAACATAGTAATGTATTTTAAATGGTGTTCCAAATAGAAATGTTATGCATTCATTTTAAGACAATATGGTATTTTAAAATGTGCCAGTTGATTAAACTTTGGATAATGCATTGACAGGTTACATACACTTTCTGAGGATGAGTGAATTTGCACTGATTTCTGAGAAGGAATTGGCATTTTTCTTTCTCTGAGTTTTGAGAGTCTGAATATACTTGAAATTCTCAAAAGAATGTAAATGAAATGGAACTGGCTATGGAGTAAGATGTTCAAGACCAAAATAGAAAATGAACTCACTCAGTGATGAAAATCTAGATTATTTCTATCTAACATAAAATTTCTTGTCAGAGGTAAAAATCAAGAAAGGAAGTTACATATAAATTAATAGCTATGAAGTACATATAGAAAATTATGCCTGAATTGTAGAAGCTAGTGAAACCAATTTGAGATAGGTTTAAGAGTATAAGGAAAATGTGTACATGATCATTGTTATTTCTAGCCCTTGAGGTGATTCTACTTATTTTTACTTCTTATCTCTTCTTTTTTTCCTATTTGTATCATTATTGTAGGACTGAAGTTTCCATGTCCTTGTATGTTAAAGTAAAAATCATAAAATAAAGGCAAAAAGGACAAAATAAAAGGAGGAGGGAAAGTGAGAGAGAGCGCCGCCATAATTTATGTCATTCTTATTTCACTGAGAAATGATTATTTTTTCTTTATTGCTTGCTACATGAGAAATTTTTTTCTGGATAAATACTTCAAAATAAACGTTCTCAGATGGTAATTGTTAAATGTGATGGTACGACCACTAGTGTATAGGACTACATCAAATAGTAAGATGTAGGCCACCTTTTAACTATCCCACAAGAGTAAATTTTTATATTCAAATTGAGGTGTAGTAACAAATTATAGTAAGAATTACTCTGCTTACATTGTACATTTCTGTTTTAATACTATGCATGACAGAATGTGTGTGTGTGTGTGTGTGTGTGTGTGTGTGTGTTTCTGGTTCACTTATAATATTCACCATATAATTTCATGAAGTGGGGGTAGCTTTGCTTCAACTCCTAACATTTCACAAAACTTCCTAATGATGAGGCAGAATAGCATTTTTCACTTATTTTAAACTTTTAATGATCATTTTTCCCCCAATACTTAGCAAAGCAGCTGTTTCTCTCTGAGACTGAAACTTATGCCAAGTTTAAAATGTTAATGTTGAGCCATGTGCTGAAGCATTAAGTATCACCAATTTCCACACTGAAAGATCTTGGCAGTTCTCAGTCACTAAATAAACTTAGAAGCCAACTTACAACTCTAGAGAAAAGAAAAGGAATTCAGCTACTTATCTTCCTCTGGATTGTGACCTCCCTAAATGGACAACAATACTAAGGATTCTTTTAATAATCTAAAATTAATGGAATGTTTATTGTACTGGCTGACCTAAATGGTTGGTTTTAAAATTAACAAAATTAGATTACTGAGCAGGCTGAAAAGAGAAGGATAATTATAAATGAGTGTGCATACCAGGATGAGACAAATGATATTATGAGAAACAAGTAATGGTTTTAAATAAATTAAAGGTTCTTAACTTGGATAATTTTGGGTAAGCCATAAGATAGCCTTTAAAATATTTAAAGATTACTATAATTTTCATAAAAGTCTTCTTATTTCCAGGAAAAAAATCTCCAGACTCTGTGAACCTTATCTTACATTTGTTGTGTCTTTCAAGTCTTTTTTTAAATTATCATATTTTAAAATGTATTACTTGGTGTACATTTCTATAAAATATAATGTATGCAGATAGTCATGTAATGAACTTGTATAATGAGAATACAAAACAATTCTATTACCCCCAAAAAAATCCTCACACTGTTCGTCTAAAATCAGATCATCCCCCAATACCTAAACCTAATATTAGTATTTGGTTAATAGTGATGGATCTATGGTTTTGAGACAGTCATATAATTGAAACCATTTAATATATAATTACCAAACTGGTTACTTTCACTCAGTGTAATGCCTTGAAGGTGAATTCAAGTCGTTGCATGTATTCATAGTTTATTGTCTTTCTCTGAGGAGGATTCCATTATTTGGATGTAGCAGACATTGTGTATCATCACTTGTGGAAAGACATTTGGGTTCTTTCCATTTTTGAGTGATTGTGAATAGAGTAGAATAAAGAATAGGTTTTATATGAACGTATATTTTCATTTCTGTAGGGTTAAGCACCAGCAGTGGAATTGTGTCATATAGTTAAGAAAGGGACACATTTTTATTGGACCTTTTCATGAACGTAATGAAAATGACAGAGGAAAGAGTCAGAAAAGACAATTGAGAAAAATTGAGAATAAAATTATTTACATTAGAAGTTTCTAGTGAAGAGTGAAATAGAAACATTTTAGATGCCCTAGCACCAGACGCATGGAAAGATCTCAAAAAAATGTTAGTTTCTATGGACATGTAACAAATGCAATATATGAATATTAATAAAAGATACTAAAATCAGTGATTTACATAATTCTCACCTATTTAAAAACTGAAAATGTCTGTGAAGGAATTTAAAACATGTAACTATGATACAAATTATGTTCACTATGTATGTTTTTCATTTATTTTGATTTGATTTTACACAAACGGGAGATTCTAGTTGTCCTTGGTGTTGGGTGCTCTAGGACAGTATAGATAAGAAATACAATAGACTATACTCTACAAATTTGATATTTACATATGAGAAATTCAGCAAATAAACAATCATATAGATGTTTGTTCTTTGGAAAACATCAGTCATTTTTATTAGTAAATAAAATGAATTATTACATTTGAGTTTTTTCCTGCTATAATTTAGTGGTGTTTAAACATTTCTACATATATCCCATATCGTGCCCCCATTTACAAGAAGACACTAAGTATTATTCTAGTATAGTTTCTAACAATGTAGCATCATATATCATGCCTGAAAAACTGCTGTTGGCATGTGTGCTTATTTTAAAAATCAAAAATTTTTCATTATAATTACACATTATAAATACAATTCTACCAGTGTGTTGAATGCCTATGAGAAACTCGGCCAGAGTCCTGCTCAGGCCAATGGTGTTACTGCATGAATCAGGGTTGTAAAGAGATGCCAAATGTGGCTCCCTGTGCATAAGCATCATTTGAGAAGGCTTTCTCACTGCTAACATTTGCATGATAAATTTATGGACTCTGGGTTTACCAGCTTGATTGAACACATTGCATTTTGCTAAGAACAGCATGTGAACTAGCACAGTCAGCATCCATATACATCTGGGAAAACTGCAACCATTAGAACTGTGCCATGGGACTGAAGACAAGAAAAGCTTTGTCAACTGTCAGACATTTCCCTCAACTATCTCTTTTACAGGTGATGAATGAAATGTGTTGCTAATATTCAACATACTATTTCATATATTACTCTCTGGACTTTGATTGTTCCAAGGGTAAAGAGAGAGGGTGAGAAAAGGCACAGGAATTGCAGAAATATTCACTTTTACTGATAAGGAGGCAAGAAACAAAGAAAAATTATAAGCATAAAAAGTGGGTCTGAGAAAGCAGCTGGAGTTTTCACTGGCGCAGCGCAATGCTATACATCAATGATTCACTTTGGAAAAGATCATTAGTTCCTCTGTCACCCGCAAAAAAACAGAGGCAGGATATTTCCTAACAATGAGTGTGTAAATTATCTGAAATAATTGAGCGAACTAAGCCTAGTTCTGAAGAGTTCAGGAGTTTGTCCACAGGTAATTCCATTTGAGAATTAATTTTAGTCTATTATTCATGTAATTTATACGTAAGAATTTTTGTCTAAATGATTAAACGTATTCAGTTGACCTTTCAATTTAATTTTGCAAGGTATAAACTGCATGAAAAGTAGGTTTTTAAAATCTGAGCTTAATAGTCACCATGACTGTAAATGAGAATAACAACTTTGTTAAAAAAAAAAGAAAAATGAATAAAAAAGTCAGGCAGATAATCCTTTTGTTCAAGAAATGGGATAACTGTAATGTTAATGATAAACAGGGATAAGGTGTTACTTCAGAATTTGGTAGCTCATTTTGAAAAGCTATTTAGCAGTTTGATTAGGCCATTAAGACACTACTGATTTTGTTCATGGACATTTAAATGCAGCTTATAAAGGCGATTGTACGCTTTCAGTTTCATTTCTTAGTACCAGTGACTAGTCTTACTGGTACAATGGGATGTGAGAATGGGATAGGACTCGGGAATGTGTGAAGACTCAGATATGTGGTAGGGCTTAGAAAAGGCACAGTGTTCAGTGATGATATGGAATTTCAAATTTCAGGTGAGGTTCAAGATTGTAGTTAATCAGGAATGCCTCATATATGGTTGGTAATTAAAGAAAATCTTTTTAATTGGTTACATTGCTCTTTCAACACTAACACCACAGATTGCTTTGCTCTGTATAACTCGTTATACTGTGGAACCACTACACAGCTGACAAGTGTCTATGTTTCCCCAGCGTGCTTAGGAATGCTTTGGTAAAGGAATTCATTTGCTCACCTTTTGACTGATTTGCCTATGGTTGTATTCCCCTAGGATAAAAGTGTCACTTAAACTCAATGAAATATCCCCCACTGAAAACTTATAAAGGAAAACAGATATAAACTTAGAAGGAAAGGACTATACCAAGTTGTCAGAGTTAATAATAGATTGCAATTCTGTTGAAATCATAGTCAGAAAAGAGAATAGAAAATTGATAGATGGCCAAGCCAGTCATACATCAATGGAGTCGAATCAAGAATCAATATTTGGAGAAATAAATTCAAAATTAGCACAGCTTGAAAGATAAAGCAAAAAAAAAAAAAAATGAGGGCATTTGGACAAGGGATTCAGATGTCAAACAGGATGAGAATGGGCTGTAGTTTCATTAGATTGGGTCCAACCATGAGTTTCGTGACACTTTCTTCCCAGGACATGTATCATCTCCAGACCTTATTCTGCCTCTTCCAAAGTCCTGACTATTGAAATAAATGACTCGCCAGATTGGCACTGGAGACTTGCAGGTCATCCATGGCTCCTTAGAAACAGTATATACTAACTGGATGCGGTGGCTCATGCCTGTAATCCCAGCACTTTGGGAAGCCGAAGCAGGTGGATCACCTGAGGTCAGGAGTTTGAAACCAGCCTGGCCAACATGGTGAAACCCCGTCTCTACTTAAAATACAAAAATTAGCTAGGCATGGTGGTACCCACCTGTAATCTCAGCTACTCGAGAGGCAGCAGCAGGAGAATCGCTTGAACCCGGGAGGCGGAGGTTGCAGTGAGCCGAGACTGCGCCATTGCACTCCAGCCTGGGGGACAAGAGCGAGACTTCGTCTCAAAAAAAAAAAAAAAAAGAAAAAAAAAGAAACAGTATATAATATTAGAGATCCTTTTCCACTGATTTTGGGAAATAAGTTGCTAGTAACCAAAATATATTTGCAAACTCTTAGAATAAAGTAGTCATAAGGCATTACGGGTAGATTGTTTATTTGAGGAAAGAAAATTCCTGTAAATATTAAAGTTTCTAAACATCTTTTTATTCCATCGTTCTCTCTCTTTGTCTCTCTCTCTCTTTCTCTCCTCTCTCTTGTCTGTCTGTTTATCCTCCCCCTCCTCCTTTCATCTTCCTCTTCTTTTCTGTCTCCGCCTCCCTCTCCCTGTTAAACTCACAATTAAATTTTGGCCTTCCTTTAAGATACATGATCTTGCAGACTACTCAATTTGGGAGTCACATTAGTGGATCCTATCGTGCTGTGAAAGAAGTAGCTCTACTTTTAAAGCCTGGCAGGAATGAGAAGAAAAGGATAAAGAAGCCCTCTTTTATTTATATAGAGTTGATGTCTTCTTAGTTCACATAGCCTCACCCAGTGCACAGGGGTAGCAAATTATATAGGAGTTTGAAAGGAATGACCTCAGCTGTTATAACAAAAACTTTTCCTGGGATATTCTTTGAGTTATATAGCTAATCCTTAAAATGATAGGTGTCACATATTTTTCTGAGCAGTAAGGACATTACTATTATCTCCATTTGATACATGTTGACCACTGAGTCATACAGAGATTAAGTAGCATAAAATTGCACACATAGCACATAGTAAAGCTAGGATTTATCCCAGGCACTGGATTTCCAGGTCCATTTTCATAACCACTATGTTCCACTGCCCAACTTTCATTGAATACTTACTGGGTAATCCACATTTTTCTCAATATTTTTACATCTATTAACAGTTTAAATCTTCACAGAACCTTAAGAAATTGGTGTTATTATTGTTTCTATTAATATTTTGCAGGGAAGTAAACTAAGACAGATATCTCAGAGATATGGGATATAAGCCAAGACAGTTTGGCTTCGGAGTTTTGATTACCTTAGCCTTTAAAAGGCTGGCAGAATTATGAATTCAGTTTTTAAACAAATGAGAACATAACTAATATGTACTTGGCACTGAAAACTGAAATAAAGTCATATAGTTCTTGTCTAAGCTCTTAATCTAGTAAAAACAATAATTATAGAAAATGTTTGAAAGAAATGTGTTACATGGGAAAAGTCAGTCTTGAAATGTATATACATGCTCTAGAAGAGATCTTTGAGTACAATGGCAGAATTCAGAGTTTAGAAAAAAATTTGCCATCATCTACCCTTATTACATTTAAAAATAAAGTATAAGATATCTCAAATACTTTTAATTCTACTCCAAAATTCCTTAGTTTAGCAGGAAACTTGCAAATGTGAGGAGCTGTTGATATAAGTGCTTTGAGAGGTAAAAACTGTGGATTAATTATAACAATTATTACTCTGACTTATAAAGAAAGAGAAAAAATTTAAATCAATTTTTATCAAATTTGTTACTTCTATGCTTATTTTCTATTTTGTCATTTAAAAAGCCAAGTTTGTATCTTTATTTATTAAAATAATGTTTTAGTATCTCCAGAGACCATTGCTGGTCACCTTGAGGCTATAAATGCTTATGAGAGGACATTTTACTTGTTAGAGTGCTTTTTTAAATTTAAAGTGTCTTCACTTAAAGATGTAAGCCATTGTAATTTTTTCCAATAATTAGTTGACATAACTATCATAATCTAGCTTCAATCAACTCAAAAGACTTAGAATTTTTCTTAAATTTAGATGCAGATCTAAAATTTTCAACTTTTTTTAAAAACTAAAGTAAATGAACACTTTATTCCTGCAAAGTCATAATCAGAAACTTGATTTTTCATAATATTTTCAACTGGCAATGATCATTGTTAGACTTAACTTCAGTGTTACAGGGCTAAAAAGCATTGCAGGGGTAATCAGCCTTTTCCTAATAATCCATTAGCACAGAGATTAATACATTTATTTGAGAAAGACCTTATTGTTATCTATTTGAGACAGTTGGAACTTGTATCTATTTGAGAAATACCTTACTGAGTGATGCAAATACCAGTGATTTCTGAAGCCATTATCATTTAAGAATTACCATTATTGGTAGCTAGTTCTTAAATTTAAGGGCATCAGTGCAAGAGCTACAATTTAAGGGCATCATGTAAGTGAAAGATTATTGTTTCTGCATGCAGGGCTGGATGTTCCTAGAAGATGTAGCCATTCAATTACCTGTATTTCTGTTTTTTAATGTGGCTTCACGTTGGTATGTATTATGTATTAAACACCTTAGAGTGTTTAAACAATCTGCTTAGCCAATTTATTTTTTTTTTAGAACCAATGGTAAAAAGCTATTATCCATTTAAGGGCATCTGATATTTCAGGTGAAATGGATATAGTATCTCTAATCGCCAAACAATTACGCTAGGCAAAAAAACTGAAAAGCATAGAGGTCACTTGGTTTTAAATCCAACTCTCTGATTTCAGTCTGTACATAACATCTTCTTGCTATTCATAAAAGAAAGGCATAATTTACATATCACTAGTTGCAATCGAAGTAATTAGAAACTAGATACAGTCCATAAAGCTGTTTTTCAGATTTCATGAAAATGTGAAAATTCTAAGGTGGAGAAAATACACACGTTCTCTCCTTTTCAGATTTACTTTTGTTTTGGGAAATGCCGATTTTCCCAAACAAACTTACACTCTCTCTTTGAAATAACATATTATAAAAAGAAATAGAAGCTACATGAGTCTTAAAATATGTCTCTATAAAGAGGAACTGATTCTCCAAACTTTGTACTTCAAAGCTAGAAGGATATTCACATACAAATTGTTTTGGTGTTTCAATAATAATGTATTGAAATACTAAGCTTTATCCTTATAAGCTCATAATGTTAATAAGGTATGTAACTTTTAGTCTTGCCTTTACCATAAATTACATGATCAGACAAGTCATTTCATTTTGCTCCTCACGTTTATCACCTATAAAATAAAACAAATTGACCAGAGGATATAAAGCCCACTGTTTCTTGAAAAATTTCTGGTTTTGTCAAAATGATTATTGGTGAGTGAGTGTATTTATTTAGAAAATGTCTATACATTAAGACCAAACATGGTGAATCCTGATTTGAAGCCATTTTTACTGCTCACTATATACTTATTATTTAGATTAAACCTGCAGTAATAAAAGACTCTTAGCAAATAAGATGCCTGAGTCAGCCTGGTATATGACAATTGTCATGACTGTTTTCAAGGAAGGAGTTTGCAGGACCAGGAAGTTTGAATTCTCCACTCCTACTATGGCCACAAATTTCCAAGTGCTCTATGCACAAGGGACATACCTGGTACCTCGTATGAATAGATAGTGCTTAGACATTATAGTACAGTGACAGGGATGGCAAACTTAGATGCATTCAGAGGCCAGGCAGATGATGAAGGGACCAGGTGCATAACATTTGGAATAAAAAACCTATGGTGACCCGGAGAATATATGCTTCATGAGGATATTAAATGTAAAGTTTAAAATATTCTGCCATTTAGATACATTGTATCTGCCACCTTTATTTTCTTTTCCTAAAGAACTTTTCAATCACAACCCTTTCTTTATGTGGAATACTAAACTTAAGATCTCTCCAAATTTAGGGAAAGTTTGAAGTCTTACTTTTGTATTTCCAGGTTTAGACATAGTGAAGACAGTCTACTTAACCTCTTTAGCCTGGACCTATAATATTGGCTTTATAAGTCTTATACCAAGTTAACTGTTGAGAGATGGATAGAATAAAATGAGTCTAAGACACAGAGAAGAAGAAGCAGAGATGTATAAGGCATTTATCTCCCCAAGTGTGCACATGATCTGACAATATATATGTTGTTGAGTAGGCAGATACCTAGACATGAGCAGGAGTGGGCAGCCCCCGAAAAAAGTGAGGTCTGGAAAATTTTTGACCTCACAAATCACTGAAAAGATGCATGCTAGATATGAGCAGAGAGAGGGGAAAATACCCATGCAGGAAGGAGTGTCCATTAAGATGCCCAGTAATTATTGACTCTGCAGTTAAAATGTCAGAATGTAGCTAGGTACATGGTAACAAGGGGGAAGAGGGCTAAGGGGAAATTCCTGAAAGATAAATGACATGATTAGTATCCAACACTGGCTCACACATGTGCACCAACTAGCAATAAGGGAGGATCCCACAAGCCTGGGGTAGGAACCAGGCAGGGAAAAGGAAGGGACTTAAGGCAGGAATGGAAAAACTAGAAAAAGAAAAGAGGCAGAGACTTAAGACAGAGGTGGGAACCTCAGGGGAAAATCCAACATCATAAAAATTCAACGCAGATCTCTTGGAGGGCTACTGGCTCACTCCCTTCAGCAGCCTGCTCTGTCACAACTTTTCAGAGTGTACTGTCTCTCTAGATAACTCTGCTCTCTATTTTCCTTCAATAAATTCTGTTTTTGTCTAAATCAGTCACTTGGTAGAATTCTTTCTCCAAGTAAGACTAAAAACCCAGGATGATTCCTATAATTCCCAGTTATATATAATACACACACATACTCTGCATGTATATGTATATCTCAGTAAATATATATGTGTGCATATACACACACACATATATATATATCCCAATAAATATTTAACCTCATTGCTTCAAGGCCTTAGTGGATTAATAATAGGCATAATTTTTTGACCCTCCTCACATTAAGAAATTTGGTCCATGTCTCTCTTCTTAAATATGGGCAATCTCTGTTACTACTTTGACAAATGAAACAGGATAGAAGCTATGCTGTGCCAGTTTCTGGTTCCAGGTCTTAAGAGATTAGCATCTTCGGGGGATTGCTGTCAAGATGGCCGAATAGGAACAGCTCTGGTCTGCAGCTCCCAGCAAGATCGATGCAGAAGGTGGGTGATTTCTCCATTTCCAGCTGAGGTACCCAGTTCATCATTGAGACTGCTCAGACAGTGGGTGCAGCCCATGGAGGGTGAGCGGAAGCAGGCTGGGGCATCGCTTCACCCAAGAAGTACAAGGGACTGGGGAATTTTCTCCCCTACCTAAGGGAAGCCATGAGGGACTGAGCCTGAGGAACCATGCACTCCAGCCCAGATACTGTGCTTGTCCCATTGTCTTCGTAACCCACAGACCAGGAGACTCCCTCTGGTGCCTACCCAACCAGGGCCCTGGGTTTCAACACAAAACTGGGTGGCCTTTTGGGCACACACTGAACTAGCTGCAGGAGTTGTTTTTTTTTTTTTTTTTTTTTTTCCATACCCCAGTGGTGCCAAAAATCACAGCAAGACAGAACCGTTCACTCCCCAGGTAAGGGGTGCTGAAGCCAGGGAGCCAACTGGTCTTGCTCTGTGGGTCCCACCCCCATGGAGCCCAACAAACTAAGATCCACTGGCTTGAAATTCTTGCTGCCAGCACAACAGCAGTCTGAGATCGACATGAGATGCTAGAGCTTGGTGGGGGGAAGGGCGTCCACCATTGCTGAGGTTGGAGCTAGAGGTTTTACACTCAGTGTAAACAAAGCAGCCAGGAAGTTTGAACTGGGCAGAGCCCACTGCAGCTCAGCAAGGCTGCTGTGGCCAGACTGCCAGATTTCTCCTCTCTGGGCAGGGCATTTCTAAAGAAAAAGGCAGCAGCCCCAGTCAGGGACTTACAGATAAAACCCCCATCTTCCTGGGACAGAGCACCTGGGGGAAAGGGCAGCTGTGGGTGCAATTCAGTAGACTTAAACGTCCCAGCCTGACCACTCTGAAGAGACAAGCTGACCTCCTAGCACAGCATTCGAGCTCTGCTAAGGGTAAGACTGCCTCCTCAAGTGGGTCCCTGACCCCCATGTATCCTGACTGGGAGACACCTCCCAGTAGGGGCTGACAGACACCTCGTATGGGAGAGCTTTTGCAGGCATCTGGCAGGTGCCCTACTCGGACGGAGCTTCCAGAGGAAAGAACAGGCAGCATTCTTTGCTGTTTTGCAGCCTCCACTGGTGATACCCAGGGAAACAGGGTCAGGAGTGGACCTCCAGCAAACTCCAGCAGACCTGCAGCAGAGAGGCCTGACTGTTAGAAGGAAAACTAACAAGCAGAAAGGAATAGCACATCCACTCAAAGGCCTCAACCAAAGGACACCAACATCAAAGACAAAAAGTAGATAAATCCACAAAAATGGAGAGAAACCAGTGCAAAAAGGCTGAAAATTCCAAAAACCAGAACGTCTCTTCTCCTCCAAAGGATCACAACTCCTTGCCAGCAAGGGAACAAAACTGGACGGAGAATGAGTTTGATGAATTGACAGAAGTAGGCTTCAGAAGGTGGGTGATAACAAACTCCTCCAAGCTGAAGGAGCATGTGCTAACCCAATGCAAGGAAGATAAGAACCTTGAAAAAAGATTAGAGGAATTGTCAGTTTAGAGAAGAACATAAATGACCTGATAGAGCTGAAAAATCACAGCATGAGAACTTCATGAAGCATACACAAGTATCAATAGCTGAATGGATCAAGCAGAAGAAAGGATATCATTGATTGAAGATCAACTTAATGAAATAAAGGGAGAAGACAAGATTAGAAAAAAAAAAGAATAAAAAAGAACAAACAAAACATCCAAGAAATATGGGACTATGTGAAAAGACCAAACATATGTTTGATTGATGTACTTGAAAGTGACAGAGAGAATGGAAAGAGAATTTAAACCAACGAAGATCAAAAAAGACAGAGAAGGGCATTACATAATGTTAAAGGGATCAATACAGCAAGAAGAGTTAAATATCCAAAATATATATGCACCCAAAACAGGAGCACCCAGATTCATAAAGCAAGTTCTTAGAGACCTACGAAAGGACTTAGACTCTCCCACAATAATAGTGGGAGACTTTAACACCCCACTGTCAATATTAGACAGATCAACGAGAAAATTAACAAGGATATGCAGGACTTGAACTCAGCTCTGGACCAAGTGGACCTAATAGTCATCTACAGAGCTCTCCACCCCAAATCAGCAGAATACAGATTCCTTTCAGCTCCTCATCTCACTTATTCTAAAATTGACCACATAAAAAATTGGAAGTAAAACACTCCTCAGCAAATGCAAAAGAATGGAAATCATAACAGTCTCTCAGACCACAGTGCGATCAAAATAAAACTCAGGATTAAGAAACTTACTCAAAACTGCACAATTACATGGAAACTGAACAGACTGCTCCTGAATGACTACTGGGCAAATAATGAGTAGAAGGCAGAAA
Organism: Homo sapiens; assembly: GCF_000001405.40. NCBI lineage: Eukaryota > Metazoa > Chordata > Mammalia > Primates > Hominidae > Homo > Homo sapiens. The sequence continues at coordinate 59,782,227 of NC_000004.12, forward strand.
TAAAGCTGTTCTTTGAAACCAATGAGAATGAAGACACAACGTACCGGAATCTCTGGGACACATTTAAAGCAGTGTGTAGAGGGAAATTTATATCACTAAATGCCCACAAGAGAAAGCAGGAAAGATCTAAAATTGACAGCCTAACATCAAAATTAAAATAACTAGAGAAGCAACAGCAAACAAATTCAAAAGCTAGCAGAAGACAAGAAATAACTAAGATCGGAGCAGAACTGAAGGAGATAGAAACATGAAAAACCCTTCAAAAAATCAGTGAATTCAGGAGCTGATTTTTTGAAAGATCAAAAAAACAGATAGACTGCTAGCCAGACTAATAAAAAAGAAAAAAGAGAAAAAGCAAATAGATACAATAAAAAATGATATAGAGGATATCACCACTGATCCCACAGAAATACAAACTACCATCAGAGAATACTATAAACACCTCTACGCAAATCAACTAGAAAATCAAGAAGAAATGGATAAATTTCTGGACACATACACCCTCCCAAGTATAAACCAGGAAGAAGTCGAATCCTTGAATAGAACAACAACTAGTTTTGAAATTGAGGCAATAATTAATACCCTACCACCCCCAAAAAGTCTAGAAACAGAAGGATTCACAGCCAAATTCTACCAGAGTTACAAAGAGGAGCTGGTACCATTTCTTCTGAAACTATTGCAAAAAATAGAAAAAGAGAGACTCCTCCCTAACTCATTTTAGGAGGCCAGCATCATCCTGATACCAAAACCTGGAAGAGATACAACAAAAAAGGACAATTTCAGGCCAATATCCCTGAGGAACATCAATGCGAAAATCCTCAATAAAATACTGGCAAACCAAATCCAGCAGCACATCAAAAAGTTTACCCATAAGATCAACTTGGCTTCATACCTGGGATGCAAGGCTAGTTCAACATACAATAAACATAATCCATCACATAAACAGAACCAATGACAAAAATCACATGATTATCCCAATAGATGCAGAAAAGGCCTTCGACACAATTCAACAGCCCTTCATGTTAAAAACTCTCAATAAACTAGATATTGATGGAGTGTATCTCAAAATAATAAGAGCTATTTATGACAAACCCACAGTCAATATCATACTGAATGGGGAAAAACTGGAAGTATGCCCTTTGAAAACCAGCACAAGACAAGGATGCCGTCTCTCACCACTCCTATTCAACATAGTGTTGGAAGTTCTGGTCAGGGCAGTCAGGATAGAGAAAGAAAGGGTATTCAAATAGGAAACGAGCAAGCCAAATTGTTTCTGTTTGCAGATGACATGATTGTATATTTAGAAAGCCCCACCATCTCAGCCCAAAATATCCTTAATCTGATAAGCAATTTCTGCAAATTCTCAGGATACAAAATCAATTGCAAAAATCAGAAGCATTCGTATACACTAATAACAGAACACAGAGAGCCAAATCATGAGTGAACTTCCATTCACAATTGCTGCTAAGAGAATAAAATACCTAGGAATACAATTTACAAGGGATGTGAAGGACCTCTTCAAGGAGAACTGCAAACCACTGCTCAAGGAAGTAAGAGAGGACACAAACAAATGGAAAAACATTCCATGCTCATGGATAGGAAGAATCAATATCATGAAAATGGCCATACTGCCCAAAGTAATTTATAGATTCAATGCTATCCCCATCAAGCTACCACTGACTTTCTTCACAGCATTGGAAAAAAACTACTTTAAACTTCATATAGAACCAAAAAAGAGCCTGCAGGGCCAAGACAATCCTAAGCAAAAACAACAAAGCTGGAGGCATCACACTACCTGACTTCAAACTACATTACAAGGCTACAGTAAAAAAAAAAGCATGATACTGGTACCAAAACAGATACATAGACCAATGGAACAGAACAGAGGCCACAGAAATAACACCACACATCTACAACCATCTGATCTTTGATGAACCTGACAGAAACAAGCAATGGGAAAATGATTTGCTATTTAATAAATGATGTTGGGAAAACTGGCTAGCCATATGCAGAAAACTGAAACTGGACCCCTTCCTTACACCTTATACAAAAATCATCTCAAGATGGATTAAAGACTTAAACATAAGACCTAAAACCATAAAAATCCCAGAAGAAAACCTGGGCAATACCATTCAGGACATAGGCATGGACAAAGACTTTATGTCTAAAACACCAAAAGCAATGGCAACAAAAGCCAAAGTTGACAAACAGGGTCTAATTAAACCAAAGAGCTTCTGTACATCAAAAGAAACCATCATCAGAGTGAACAGGCAATGCAGAGAATGGGAGAAAATTTTTGCAATCTATCCATCTGATAAAGGGCTAATATCCAGAATCTACAAAGAACTTAAACAAATTTACAAAAGAAAAGAAAATCAAACATCCCCATCAAAAAGTGGGTGAAGGATATGAACAGACACTTCTCAAAAGAAGACATTTATGCAGCCAACACACATATGAATAAGAGGTCATCATCACTGGTCATTAGAGAAATGCAAATCAAAAACACAATGAGATACCATCTCATGCCAGTTAGAATGGCGATCATTAAAAAGTCAGGAAATAATGGATGCTGGAGAGGATGTGGAGAAATAGGAATGCTTTTACACTGTTGACAGGAGTGTAAATTAGTTCAACCATTGTGGAAGACAGTGTGGTGATTCCTCAAGGATCTAGATCTAGAAATACCATTTGACCTAGCCATCCCATTACTGGGTATATACCCAAAGGATGATAAATTATTCTACTATGAAAACACATGCACATGTATGTTTATTGAGGCACTAGTCACAATAGCAAACACTTGGAAACAACTGAAATATCCATCAATGATAGACTGGTTAAAGAAAATGTGGCACATATACACCATGGCATACTCTGCAGCCATAAAGAAGGATGAGTTCATGTCCTTTGCAGGGACATGGATGAAGCTGGAAAGCATCATTCTCAGTAAACTAACACAAGAACAGAAAAACAAACACTGCATGTTCTCACTTATAAGTGGGAGTTGAACAAGGAGAACACATGGACACAGGGAGGGGAACATCACACACCGGGGCCTTTCAGGGGGTCGGGGGCCAGGGAAGGGATAGCATTAGGAGAAATACCTAATGTAGGTGACGGGTTGATGGGTGCAGCAAACCACCATGGCACACGTACACCTGTCTAACAAACCTGCACGTTCTGCGCATGTACCACAGAACTCAAAGTATAATTAAAAAAAAAAAGAGAGAGAGAAAGATTAGCATCTTCTATTTCCTGTACCTTGGAAGACTTGCTTTTAGGATACTACCACTATGCCATGGAGAACATAAAATGTTCTGTAGAGACTCTCATTTGGACAGGAAGTGAGGCTCCTGAATGACAGTTATGGCTGAATTGCCAACTGACAGCATCCATCAACCACATCTGTGAGCTGTCTTGAAAATTATACCTGCAGCCCCAGTTGAATTTCCTCAGCTGACCTGATTGACATGGACAGAGATAAGGCCTTCACACTGGGCCCTGCCCAAAATTCAGTTTCAGAATCAAGATAAATTATTTTGTTTTAAGCCATGAAACTTTAACAGGGCAGTTTATAATGAAGAAACAAATAATAACAAACGATCTATCAAGCTAGAGAAAGATCCCACGTTCATTTCATGTTGCGATACTTCACTAGTATTGTAAAGGGAAAGTGAGAAAGAAAAAGAAAGACAGAGAGAGGGAGAGGAAGAGAAAATTGAGAGAAAAAGAGAGAGATTCCAAACAAAATGATGATGTCTCAAAATAAAATAAAATTTTTCATCTATTTGTCTAACACACACACACACACACACACACACACACACACACACCCTCTATTGCTTGTTATCCCACCCTATTTTATATCCCTGAAGATTTATTTGAGTCCTTGAGAAATCCTCTTATGAACACTAGAGCTCCTCTTAGGGTTAGTGGGGAAGGGGTATAACTGAGCTTTCCCTATAGACTGGAGTAAATGTGCTAAGCTAGAATGTCTTCTGCTTCTTCCTCCTCCTCCTCTTCCTCATCTTTCTCCACTGCTCCTCCTCTTCTGAATTTAAAAAGTCTATATATGATTTTTGTTTCTTACGTAATTGAGTTCCTAAATGTGTCCTAGACTTAGTTTCTTTACACCCTTTAAAACCTATGCTTTCAGAAATCCTTAGGTTCTGGAGTCCCCTAATCTTGGTTGGATATCTTCTTGTGCTATTTGCTATTTTTATGACATTTGTCATTTACTAGCTGAATTAGTTCATTTCCTCACTGCTATGAACAAAACCCTAAGACTGGTAATTTATAAGGAAAATATATTTAATTGACTCACAATTCCATCGGCTGTTAAGGAAGTATGATGCTGACGTCTGCTCAGCTTTTGGGGAGGCCTCAGGAAATTTACAATCATGGCAGAAGGCAAAGGGGAAACAGCCCTTCACATGGCTGCAGGAAGAGCAAGAGAGAGATGGGGAAGGTGCCACAAACTTTTAAACAACCAAATCTCATGAAAACTCAATCACAAGACAGCACCAAGGAAATGGTGCTGTACCATTCATGAGAACTCCACCTCCATAATTTAATCACCTCCCACCAGGCCCCAATTCCTGCTCTGGAGATTACAATTCAACATGAGATTTGATGGGGTCAAAGATCCAAAGCATATCATCAACCTTTTTTATGAATCAGGTTTTTAAAAAATCGGTTAATAATGGCATCTATAATTTGCTGTGAGGATTTGACAAATTAAAATTATTTGTCGATAACAAAAATGTCCATGAAAAACTTGATTGAAAATTAAATAAGAAAATTCTTCTAAAGCTTCCAGTAAGCATCAGTTAACAAATGGTAGTTTCTGTTTCTCTTATTGTTTTTGTTAAAAACAATATCTTCTACATGTGAGTAATGGTAAAATGGGATAACAATGTGATTTGTTTCAAATAATTTATTTTTATGCTGGTATTTCCCACTTTAGGATAAATGAAAATATAGATTATTGAATCTGAAAATAAATCATATTATTTATAAATAAAAGCATAACGGAAGATTAATTTGGATTCAGATATTAAGAAGACTGAATAACTGATATGAAATATTCCTACACACTAGTTTTAAAATGATATTCTACAAGGAAACTTTGAGGGTGTTTTGAAATGACGTGTTTATGGTAGACAAATGTATCATATGCTCTTATGAATATTTAATATGTCAGGAAAAGATCCAACTCTAAATTTTCATGTTAGAGTCAGCTTCCTAAGACCACTCTATGCATAACTGTGTTACACAGGTTTCCTGGAATAGACCTTGAAGTGGAGGATTGCAGGCAGAATCTTTGTTGTGGAATGCTCTTGAGATACACACCTGTAAAGAAATGAGAAATGCAGGATTAGACAGAGGGGGAAGCTGCCAAACAATAAGGTGACAATGGAGGATTCTGCTGATTCTATAAACAGCTCTGGACTTAAAATGAGCCTTCAACATTGTTCCAAATTGAGTCATAAGAGTTCAACTTTGGTATCCCCACCATAGGATGACAATGGACCTCAGGATGCATTCACACAATGGGCATACTCTTGACCTATGCAGTTTCCTGTGGTTGAGGGTAATTCCTAATTGAGTGATGAAGCTGTAAATGGTCTTCCTCATAAACTGGGAAATGGGTTTCTTGGAGGCCCTGAAGAGGAAAACTGACAGAGTATCACAATAACAGCTACAATATCCTAGATCCAAAACAAATTTAAAATATTTATTAGGGTGATTCATTTCTTCATTTCTTTCAAAACATGTTTACACAAACATGTTTTGAAAACATTAAATATATTTGATATAGTTTAGTAGGAAAATACTCAAAATCAGCATTGTGAAAAAAATGTGTTTCTTATACAATTAAACTGCATTTGAAGTAGATGGCAACGTTATACAAATCTCAAAAAGTTTTTCTTTTCTTAAACAAGGGCCCCAGTGATGTACTACACTGTAATTAACACTGAAATTCTGGGAACTACTCTATCATTTCCAGTCACTATAGTTGCAAAGCTGGGAAGTAAACACTGCACATAAGATGATTGATTTCCCTTGGAATACAACAGGCTGAAGTTCCCTTCATTATACAAATTAATAAAATTCAAACTACATAAAATATATATTAGTCATTGATGATTAATTCATCTATATCTGGGTACCAAAGGTCTGGGCTACTTAAACCATGTAGATTTTTAATCTTTTCAATTTAGAAAGAAGAACTTGTGTATCCACATCCTGCTTTGTAGCTATAAATATATCAAAATTCTAGATTGGGGAAAATTGTAAGGGAAATCTGAAGCTTTCATATAGTGTGAAAATAATTCAGCACATATGGACAATTTTTGATGTTTGCAATAAGCAGAAAGATCTCTAATGGAGATGGCTTTATGACATTGTTTAGGAAAGCATAAAAATAAACTTTTAAAGTGCTGTTGTATAAAAGTAAAACAACAGTTATTTCTGTGTTTTGAAAGCTGAAACTAAATAAATGATAGTAGAAGCAGAGGTGCTTTGTTACAAGGGCTTCTCAAGCATTTACAATTAATATCTTTAATGGCAGACAGAAAGAAAACTGCTTCAACAATATAAAGATATAGCAGTTCAAAGTGGCAACCAAGCAAGATATTACTTTGAAATGTCCTGCTTTAACAGTATACCTGGGGACTTGGTATTCTCTTCTAAACTGGGTTTAATATAAAGCAAATCCCACCACAACTGTCTTCAAGCTTTCTAGTAAAATGGCCCTCCAGAAAGATGATCTTTAATGTTAACCCCTGTCAAAACGACAGCTCCCCAAATGGAGAAGTCAAATCTCAGAACAAAACAATAGAAAGTTTCGTAGAAGTTAGTAAAAAAATAAAATTTTGAGTGTTAAATGATTCTCACATATTGAATACCATTTTACTTATTTTCTCTAACAAATCCATTCACCAGTGTCATCATAATTTATGACCTTTAATATAGTACAATGCTACCCTTTCATAAATGTACTTCAATGAAGTAAGATTACTCCTATATATTATTACTATGGATACTACATCATCCTGTCTCTGTGCTCAAGTTGCCATGAGCTAAAGCCTCAGTAATAAAGGTAGATGTATTTATACGTACGTCTATTCCTATATTTTATCAAATATTTATGTATATATGTATCTATCTATCACAATATCTAAATATTAGCAAGTTTATGAGTCAGTGATATTGATAACAATATCTTCAGTAGAATTAAGGTTTATCTTATTTGAGGTCAGAAAATAAAACCATGTTAGATTTAGCTTAGAACATGTATACCTAAAAAAGATTGCTTAAATTAGCTTATAAGTGAGAACTGTGATAAGTATGTTAAGCAAACAACTTACTGGATGTTATTTCTTCCATTCTATATACTCTTAACTACCACGTATAATAAAGTCCTAAGAATCTAGTTTAGGAAAGTAAAATAGAAGACTGAAGCAATAATTTAGATCATTTAATCTAAAAAAATCCCATCATTGTGCCAATTCTTTGGTATTTCAAGGATAATAAGATCAATGGTCTCCATGATTATTGTTAGTATTATTTTTATCATTAATTTTCATTAATTTATCATTTATTTAATACTTTCTTGAGAATATCAGTATATCTTAAAATCCTGCTAAATTTTACATGTATAAATTCTGGATATTACTAAGCTGACCTAAACTTCATATCTCCGAAAAGAAAAACTAAGGTGACAGTACAGTTAAAATTAAGTTTTAGTTTCAGATTCTGAGGAAATAATGCATAAATTTGAAAAATAGGTATGTTCTTATATAATTATAAAATAAAAATGTTATTTCTATCTAAATAAAATATACAATGTATTAATCTAGATTAATGAACTTGCTCTAAATACTTTGTACCAAATTACTGTGTTCCCATCTATTACAAAGTATGATTTTTACTACTTTGTACATATGTGTATCATTGAAATATAACTGTTATGTCTCCTTATATTTTGTTTCATTGTAACATTTAAAACATTCGCGTTATTTTAAAAAATAATGTATATGCTAATACTCATGAGAAGTATATGAGAAGGCTTATTTTTGTGCCTGATATTTCTATAACTGTAAAGCAAAAGGGAGAACTTCCTTTCCAAAAACATAGACGTTAAGGAAGTTGATTTTTGTTTTCTTTCACAGATGAGGCCTGTTCTTCATAACTGTTTTCTAGGTGATTGGCTATTTATCAACTTGCTCCATAATCTGTTTAGAGTTAAAGAGGACCGCAGAAACTGCACGTCCAGGTGTCACAGGTTACAAAACTAATAATTAAAAAAAAATTTTAAACTTATTTCAGATTCCCTCCTGAAGTCTACTACATTGTTTATACAGTTGGAGGACAAAGTCAGCCACTGCCTGAATTTATATTCTGCACTAGGCGATTCAGGAAACAGTGAGTCCAAGTATTTCTTACTCTTAAAATTGCGTTCAATGGGACTGCAATTTCCTTTCTGCTTCTCTGAGTCAACTGCAAAGTCTCAGGTGTTTTCACAGTTGAGACAAGATAAAAAGCAGCATCAATGAAAACCATGGGGTTCTATGGAGGCATCATTGTGTAGTGAGTAGAAGCATGCTGCTCTAGCTGTATCTCACTGGGTTCAAACCCTGACTATACAGTATATGGTCCATTAAGGGTCAGGTGACCACAAGAATTTCTATGCTGGTAAAATAGGTTTATAATAATGCCAGTTAATCTAAAGATGATTTAAGTGAGGAGTATTTGGTATTTTTCAAGCACTCAATAATCATTAATTGTGATCATAATCTTCCCCTTACCTACTTCCAATATGTAAATAATTTACATTTATTAAACCAAAGAAATTTAATCTTGCTTTTCTGAAACAACACAATTCAATTTCAATTTTCTTTACATAGAGAGAGGGAGCATCTCACCGCAGATAAAGGTGTATGCATATTTTTTCTCCACTCAAAATTATGCTGACACTCAAAAACAAATATTTAGTACAATATCAATTCATATGTTAATTATGCTTAGAGGGAATTGGGCTAAACATGCAGCATTCATTTAAAATGAGGGCCTCCCATCATACTTTGCTGATGATATTAAGTATTGAAAGCCAACTTTTTCTACCTGTTTACTATTATGTCATAGTAGCATGATTTCCCAGATGGCAGACACTTTGTCTTTTAGTACATAGCTAGGCATTTCATGTTTATAACAGTGACTGCTCAGTAATTATGCATTGCCAGGAAAGATAATTACTATAAAAATTATTTAGGAAATTATTCAGCAAATAGTAAATAAATAGTATTAAGACGGTTGCCGTTATTTCTGAACATCTTCAATTTCCCTGAATTTTCTCATCTGAAAAATGGATATATGCACTTCACAGCAGCCCATTGTGAGAGAGAGTAGAGTCAATATAGATAAAATTCTCCAAAGACCAAAAGTTTATCTAGCTCATAATATGTTCTTCATGAGTATTCATTTTTTTAATTACTGTATCTTTTTATCTCATTATGACTAAAATTAAACATTTTATTCTCTTTCCAAAACCTTATGTGTCTCCTGTGTTCCCAATATGCTGGACATCAGGTGTGGGCTATAATAGTACCATGATTTTCCTTTGGAGACTCCAAATCCTCAGTACACATTATTCCACCTATAACTCCATAGATGCCACAAAATCCAGACCTCAGTACAGAGAGTGACTTACATGAACTTTGCTAAAAATTTTGGACAAAGTTTACTCCCTTTTGATTCTGAATGGATAGAGTAATGTTGCTGTCTCAGTGTAGCACGTTCTGAGCCTACTGAAGCAGCAGCTGATGTTGAGGCAGAAATGAAAGATGCAGAGGCAGAGTCCTCATAACACTGTCTGAACACCTGAAAACAAGTGAACACTGATGAATTTTACTGTTCTGTTTTAGCCCAAGGTCAGTAAACATCTTCTGTAAAAGGCTAGATTGCAAATATTTTAGGTTTTATGGAACATATGGTTTGGGTGCAACTATTAAGCTACAATGATGGATATGGCTGTGTTCCAATTAAACTTGATTTACAAAAACAGGCAGCAAGATCAATTTGGCCATGGACCATAGTTTATTGACTCCTGTCTTTTCCTGACAAAGTAGAGTTTCCTTACTTGGCAACCAAAGCAGTTAGTCTTAACTAATACACCCTGTATTAGGCACTGGATTAACAGACGTTTAAGCCAAAAATTTGAAAAATAATCATTTTTACCTTTTCCCTGTTCCCTTGCGGCATAAATATAACATCAGAAAGTATACCTCTATTAAATGTTTCCTTGGTCTGTTTACTCTTTCCATTCCCACCTATAACTTGTTATTTCAAATCACAATCATCTCCTCCTTGACATTCTATAAAAGCTCTTTACATATTCCTTTGAGTCCAGGATTCTTTTCAATTCTTTTTCACATGGGAAGTCTTATGATATTTCCACAATACATATATTGGCATGCTGTGGTCATATCCAGGTGATTGTTTATGAACCTTTGATATGGATAATATCTCCTGTCATAAAGTACATATTATCTGACTTATTTATTAAATTGTATCTTTTGTTTCTAGAATATAAATTATGTGAGGATCACAGCAAATTTTTGTTTATGGCTTTCTTCAATTGTTTATACATGTGGTTGATATAATGTGAATAACAAATACACATTTCTAAAAAGGAGGCCAAATGATTCATCAGAGAAAGTAAATATAAAAAGAATGCATTTTTTTCTGAATAAATACAGACTTAAACCATGTAATAAACTTCTGCATTTAGAAAACCATTAAGGTCTATAATACATATTTACTATTCTATGGTAATCTCTTAGATTTATCTTGGGCCAACATATTAAAATTTTATTGGAATAAAAACAGAAAAGATATTTTTAAAAAATATTACTTTCATATGCCTAATTTTCCAATTGTCTTTCTATTCTCATTGGCTCTTAAAATTTACTTTTTATTCAATGTCCAGTTCAAGTACAGACTCTCATTGTCTTTCTAATTTATTTCCTGTAGGGTTAGTTTGTTGTTTTTGACACATTTTCTGAATCACACATTTTTATATTTCATATTGTATGTGAATTAAATTGCTGCAGATTCTTCCTATGTGCATGTCTTTGATGCACATGTACAATGAATGTTCCCAGAAAGAATTAGTAAAGAACACATTTTAACTTCTTTTTACGTCACCAATTTCAGTATAAAGCAGTGTATATAGAAAATAGTCACTAAATTCTTATTAAATGAGTGAATTTCAAAGGAAAATGGAAAATGGATGATCATAAAATTACATCTGGAAGGAAGTCATGCCCAGAAAAATTACCTAATGACTGCACACACAATTTTTACTAACATTATGCTGAAGGAAACAAGTGTATTACAATAACGTGAAACACAGCAGATGATTGGTTTACACTTCACATCATTCAGTTGGTATTTTGGTGTGGAGAAATAATATATGATCATAACAATAGCATTTAAAATTGTCTTTATTTGATCTTTATTCTAACTAGTGATATGGATCACACAAAAGGTGTTTAGGATCTTTCTTCTATGGCATGAGAATATTTTTTAAAATATATTTAGCTGTTCAAAAAGTACAATGATATAAACAGAGTGTGGAAAACTTATGAGAAAAAACAGGAATTATAATTAATGATGTATTCAATATAAACCAAAAATAAAGTGCCAATCTCAAACCATTTTTTAAAACATGTGGTCTGAAATCATCAAAACTGACTCTAGAAGCAATCAATACTAAAATATTTGTCATACAAATAATTAATGAGAATGTTATCAAATAATTCCTCTAATAAAGTCCCTGGTCACAGAATTCATATTTCAGAAAGGAAAAGAAAGAATACATACTTTCTTTAATATATAAATTGATTCAGAACAAAAACATGAAAAAACTAGAAATTACTTTTATAAAGCTAGCATAAACTCAAAAATAAGTGTACCTGTGTATGTTTATGCACACATATGAGGGCACGTGTGTATGCGTGTGTGTGCACACCTCACATGTGTATGAACTACACACTCAAGATGAATTCTATTTAAAAACATAAATGCAGCAAATCTAGTAACAGAAATTAGCAGAAATTAAATCATCAAGTAATTATCTCAGGGACATAGGATTTTCACTATCATATACATATCATAGATGTATGTGATCTGTGATCATTTGAATGAGGGCGCAAAAACAAATGCTTAAATATTTCAGCATAATACAGCATTTACATCTGTGTGGTATAAATGATATTGAATAATATCATTAATTCAAAAGACCAAATTCAACAAAATCTGACCTATAATACATATATTTAGTCTTCCTCTTTCATCATTTAATTTTTCTATTCCATAATTATTATCTGGTTTGAATTAGCATGGTTATCATATGTTCAGATAAATATATTTTTATAGGCAGGGATCTTTAAGTTGGTAAAACATTTTACTCTTTTTAAATGTTTCTTTGTAATTCCACTTCCACCCACCTAGTCTTCCATATACACTTTAGAAAGAAATTATTAGGTTTCAAAAAGTATCCTAGATGGAACAGACTAATATTGCTGTGAATTAATAGCAAAGGCCGGGCGTGGAGGCTTATGCCTATAATCCCCACAATTTGGGAGGTGGAGTCAGGTGGATCCCTTGAGGTCAGAAGTTTGAAACAGCCCTGGACAACATGGTGGAATCCTGTCTCTACTAAACATACAAAAATTAGCTGGGTGTGGTGGCACGTGCCTGTATTCCCAGCTACTTGGGAGGCTGAGACAGGAGAATCGCTTGAACCCGGGAGGCGGAGGTTGCAGTGAGCTGAGATGGCGCCACTGCACCCCAGCCTGGCGATAGAGCGAGACTCCATCTCGAAAAAAAAAAAAAAAAAAGAGAGACTGGAAATAATTGAGGTCTTTAAATATTGAGTTATGCCATGCATTAACAGTAATTCTCTAATTTTTTTCTTTTACATAGTTCAGTAAATTTTAATAGATTGTATTCCAGTGTATTTATTGCTAATTTATTCCTAGGTAATTTGTAAGAAGACATAAATTTCCCACTCTAAAATGAATTTCTTATATAATTTTCATTTTTCTTTTGATAATGTATAAGAAATATGTTATTTGTTTTATGCTGATCTTATAATTAGCCATTTTTTTATAATTAGCCTTTTTTTTTTTTTTTTTTTTTTGAGACAGAGTCTTGCTGTGTCGCCCAGGCTGGAGTGCAGAGGCGCGATCTCGGCTCACTGTAAGCTCCGCCTCCCGGGTTCAGGCTATTCTCCTGCCTCAGCCTCCCGAGTAGCTGGTACTACAGGCGCCTGCCACCACGCCTGGCTAATTTTTTGTATTTTTAGTGGAGACCGGGTTTCACCGTGTTAGCCAGGATGGTCTCGATCTCCTGACCTCGTGATCCGCCCACGTCGGCCTCCCAGAGTGCTGGGATTACAGGCGTGAGCCACCGCGCTGGGCCCCTGCCATGTTTTATACATTCTTATTAGTTCTTTTTATCTTAGCCATGTCATTATGACTTCTGCAATACATAAGAATCTAGTTTCTTTCTGCTTGATATTCACTCTTTTATGTATTTTCTAGTTTTATTTCTCTTATTTTATTGAAAATCATCTCCAATTTTTCATTTAAAGTTAGTTGTAACAGGCATCCTAGTTTCCAAAATAAAAGATATCTTTCTAATGTTTTGCTTTAAACATAATATACAGTATGTTTCTCATAGATGTGCTCTATCCAAACAAGAACTTTCAATCTTATGATTTCTAAGAATTATTATTAACATTTATTTGGTGTAAATATTTATTTTTAGTGTATTTTTCTAAAACTATGGAAGTAATTGTATAATCCTCCTTCCTTAATCTTTTAATATGGCATGCTTACATACATTTTTTAAGGTTGTATTATCCTTGAATTCCTGATGTAAGTGTTTTTGTAATACAGTAAAAGCTTTATTTAATTTAAAATTTTCATTTTGGAATAATTTCAGACTTACAGAAAAGTTGACTTAATAGTACCAATAACTACTATGTATCAAAAGTCCCCAACTGTAACATTATACTATAATCCCTTTACCATTGTCTTTTTCCTTAAAAGACTCAGAGGTTTTGTTCGTTCAAGGCATTCTCTTAAAGTTGTACTTGAATCAAAGAAGAAATTTACAGGGAAGTTGGAAAACCTTTCATAATGAATAATAATGATACTACAATATATCTCATTTTGTGGGATGCAAACGTAGTAGTATTTAAAAATATTTATAGTTTTGTGTATTGATCCTAGAAAAGATAACGCAAAATCAATTATCTAAACATCCACAATAAGCTACCAAAACAGATTACACTGAAACTAAAGGAAGAAGAAGAATGGCAACAGCAAATGTAAAAGTAGAAATTAGGGACAGAGAAAAATACAAGGAAAAATTTGTTCTGTGAAAGATTAATATATTTGTTTGACATATGGTAAGTCTAATAACAAAAAAACACACCAATATAAGGAATTTTTTAAATAACATTATGTACAGAATGTACAGAGGTGTATAGTTTATTTTCCAAATAGCTTGTGTTTTTCTAAGTATCTTATTTTTATTGATTTCTAACTTAATATGCTTGTGATCAGAGAATGTACTTTCTATGATATAAAAAATTCAAATATATTGAGATGATGTATGACTTATCATATATTCTATCTTGTTAAATGTTTGATAGCATTTACCAATTGAAAAACATATATTGGTTATAAATGTCAAATATTTATTTCTGTTTTATTTTTTAACTCCTCTATTTTCATACTGATAGAGTATTCATTTGATCAAGTGGTGATGGAAAGGTGTTAAATTGTCTTTATTTTATTTTAATGGTTTTGGGGGAAGAGGTGGTTTTTGGTTACATGATGAGTTATTTAGCAGGGGTTTCTGAGATTTTGATGCACCCATCACCCAAGCAGTGTACACTGTACACAATGTGTGGTCTCCTTCACCCTCCTTCCACCTTTCCCTTCAAGTCCCCAAAGTCCATTATATCATTCTTAGGTTTTTGTGTCCTTGCAGATTAGCTCCCACTTATAAGTAAGAAAATGCAATGTTTGATTTTCCACTCCCGAGTTACTTCACTTAGAATAGTAATCTCCAACTCCATTCAGGTTGCTGCAAATGTCATTATTTCATTTTTTTCTTTACTTTTCTTTTCTTTTTTTCTTTCTTTCTTTCTTTTTTTTTTTTTTT
This sequence comes from Homo sapiens, assembly GCF_000001405.40. NCBI lineage: Eukaryota > Metazoa > Chordata > Mammalia > Primates > Hominidae > Homo > Homo sapiens. Next base: position 59,797,476 of record NC_000004.12, read on the forward strand.
TTGTTTAGATGAAGTTTCACTCTTGTTGCCCAAGCTGGAGCACAATGGCATGATCTCCGCTCACTGCAACATCTGCCACCCAGGTTCAAGCGATTCTCCTGCCTCAGCCTCCCAAGTATCTGGTCTTACACATGCCTGCCAACACGCCCAGCTGATTTTTGTATATTTAGTAGAGACAGGGTTTCACCATGTGGACCGGGCTGGTCTTGAACTCCTGACCTCAAATGATATGTCTGCTTTGGTCTCCCAAAGTGCTGGGATTACAGGCATGAGCCACTGCGCCCAGACTGTTATTTTATTTCTTTTTATGGCTAGGTAGTATTCCATGCCACATTTTCTTTATCTATTCATTGGTTGATGGGCATTTAGATTGGTTCCACATTTTTACAATTGCAAACTGTGCTGCTATAATGTGCATTTGTCTTCTTCATATAATGACATCTTTTCCTCTAGATAGATACCTAGTAGTGGGATTGCTGGATCAAATGGAGGTACTACTTTTAGTTCTTTAAGGCATCTCCAAACTGTTTTCCACAGTGGTTATACTAGTTTACATTCCCACCATTAATGTAAAAGTGTTCCCTTTTCACCACATCCATGTCAATATCTATTATATTTTGATTTTTGAAGTATGGCCATTCTTGCAAGAATAAGGTGATATCTCGTGTTTTTAATTTGCATTTCCCAGATAATTAGTGATGCTGAGTATTTTTTCATGTATTTGTGGGCCATTTGCATATCTTCTTTTAAGAATTTTCTATTCATGTCCTTAGTCCACTTTTTGATGGAATTTTTCTCTTTCTCTTGCTGATGTGTTTGAGTTCCTTGTGGATTCTGGATATCAGTGCTTTGTCGGATGTATAGATTGTGAAGATTTTCTCCTACTCTGTGGATTGTCTTTTGCTGATTATTTATTTTGCTGTACGAAACTTTTTAGTTTAATTATTAAAGTTCAATCTATTTATCTTTGTTTTTGTTGTGTTTGCTTTTGGTTTCTTGGTCGTGAATAACCAAGCCAATGTTTTGAATGTTTTTTCCAATGTTATCTTGTAGAACTTTTATGGTTTATGATCTTAGATTTAAGACTTTGATCCACCTTGAGTTGATTTTTGTATAAGGTGAGAAATGAGAATTCAGTTTCATATTTCTACATGTGGCTTTCCAAATATTGCAGCACCATTTGTTGAATAGGGTGTCTTTTCCAAACTTTATGTTTTTATTTGCTTTGTTGAAGATCAGTTGGCTGCTAAGTATTTGGTTTCATTTCTGGGTTCTCTATTCTGTTTCATTGGTCTATGTGCCTATTTTTATACCAGTACCATGCTGTTTTGGTAATGATGTCTTGTAATATAGTTTGAAGTTGGGTAATGTGATACATCCAGATTTATTATTTTTGCTTGGTCTCGCTTTGGCTAGGCAGGGTCTTTTTTGGTTCTATATGAATTTTAGGATTATTTTTTCTAGTTCTGTGAAGAATGATGATGATGGTATTTTTAGGAGAATTGCATTGAATCTGTATATTGTTTTGGACAGTATGGTCATTTTCACAATATTGATTCTACCCATCCACTAGCATGAGATATGTTTCTATTTGTTTCTGTTGTCAATGATATCTTTCAGCAGTGTTTTGTAGTTTTCCTCGAAGAGATCTTCCACCTCCTTGGCTTTGTATATTCCTAAGATATATATATATATATATATACACACACACACACACACACACACATACATATGTGTATATATATACATGTATACATATACACACACACACACACACACACACACATATATATATATACACATAGCAGTTGTTGTAAAAGGGATTCAGTTCTTGATTCGATTCTCAGCTTGGTTGTTGTTGGTGTATAGCAGTGCTAATGATTTGTGTACATTGATTTAGTGTCCTGAAACTTAACTGAATTTATCAGATATAGAAGCTCTTTAGATGAGTCTTTAGAGTTATCTACGTATACAATTATATCATTGGAAAACAGTGACAGTTTGATCTGCTCTTTACTGACTTGGATGCCCTATATTTCCTTCTTTTGTCTGGTTGCTCTGGCTAGGACTTCCAGAGCTATGGTTAATAGATGTGGTGAGTGGGCATCATATTCTCAGGGGGAATGCTTTTAAACTTTTCCCTGTTCAGTGTGATGTTGGCTGTGGGTTTGTTATAGATGGCTTGTATTACCTTGAGGTATGCTCCTTCTATGCCAATTATGCTGAGTATTTCAATCATAAAGAGATTCTGAATTTTGCCAAATGTTTTTTTCTGTGTCTATTGAGATGATCATATAATTTTTGTTTTTAATTATGTTTATGTGATGTATCATATTTATGACTTGTATATGTTAAACCATCCCTGCATCACTGGTATAAAACCCACTTGAAATCCTTAGATTATAAATTTGGCTGTTCTTTTTTAGCTATGTAAAATTTTACTTTATATAATTTGAAGTTATATTATTAAGAGCATAAGAATTTAAAATTGCTTTGTCTTTTAAGTGAATCAATTATTTTATTATTAGAAAATGTTTCTCTTTCTCTTTTGTACTGTTTTTCCTCTGAAGTCTACTTTAGCTGATATTCACATTAGAATTCATATGTTTTTATAACACTGGAACTTATTCCAGACACAGGGCATAATAAGGACTAGGTTTGTACTCTTGCCTTAAATAAACTAAGAAATTTTTGATAAAATATACATATCAATGGTCTTCAGACAGTGAATATCAGATAGTATAGGACAGTGGCCTCAAGACAGGGAAAACGAACGTATGAACTAAATCATCCGTCCATCTTATTGCCTTTACTGAACACGGAATAAATTTTCTGAGATTGGATCAATAGAAGTATAATCATAAATACAAGTAAATGGATATGACACATTGACGAAGTATTAAATTTTTTATGCACAAGAAACATCATCAAAATGAGTTAAATTTACATTTAAGTCTTTAATTCATCGAGTCAATTTTTTGTATATGATGTAAAGAAGGGATCTAGTTTCAATTTTCTATATGGCTAGCTGCTTATCCCAGCATCAATTATTTAACAGGGAGTCCTTTTCCCATTGCTTGGTTTTTTCGGGTTTGTTGAAGATCAGATGGTTATAGATGTGTGGTCTTATGTCTGAGTTCTCTATTCTGTTCCACTGGTTTATGTGTCTGTTCTTGCACAAATACTATGCTGCTCGGATTACTGTAGTCCTGTAGTATAGTTTGAAGTCGGGTAATGTGATGCCTCCAACTTTGTTCTATTTGGGCTCTTTTATGGTTCCATATGAATTTTATAATAGATTTTTCTAGTTCTGAGAAGAATGTCAGTAGTAGTTTAATGGGAATAGCATTGAGCCTATAAATTGTTTTGGGCTGTATGGCCATTTTAATGATATTGATTCTTCTTGTCCATGAGCATGGAATGTTTTTCATATTCATTTTCGTCATCTCTGATTTCCTTGGGCAGTGGTTTGTGGACTGCAAAAACCTTGGAAGACCACCTGGGATATACCATTCAGAACATAGGCACGGGCAAAGATTTCAGGATGAAGACACCAAAAGCAATTGTGACAAAAGCAGAAATTGACAAATGGGATCTAATTAAATTAAAGAGCTTCTGCACAGCAAAAAAAAAAAAAAAAAACAAACTATCTTCAGAACGAATAGACACCTACAGAATGGGATAAAATTTTGGCAAAACATGCATCTGACAAAAGTCTAACATCCAGCATCTACAAGGAACTTCGCCAAATTTACAAGAAAAAAACAAGGCCTTTAAAAAGTGAGCAAAGGAAATGAACAGGCACTTCTCAAAAGATGACATACATGCTGTCAACAAGCATATAAAAAAACTTCAACATCACTGATCGTTAGAGAAATGCAAATCAAAACCACAATAAGATACCAACTCATGCCAGTAAGAATGACTATTACTGAAAAGTTATAAAGCAGATTCTGGTGAGATTGTGTGGAAATAGGAACACTTTACATGGTTGGTGGGAGGGTAAATTAGTTCAACCATTGTGGAAAACAGTGTGGTAATTCCTCAAAGACCTAAAGACAGAATTACCATTCGACACAGCAATCCCATTAATGAGAATATGCCTAAAAGATTGTAAATTGTTCTATTGTAAAGACATATGCATGCATATGTTCCTTGCAGCACTATACACAATAGCAAATACATGAAATTAATCCAAATGACCATCAATGATAGACTGGATAAAGAAAGTATGGTACATATACACCATGGAATACCAAGAAGCCACAAAAAAAAATGAGATCATGTCCTTTGCAGGGACATGGATGGAGTTGGAGGTCATTATCCTAAGCAAACTAAAGCAGGAACAGAAAACCAAATACTGCATGTTCTCACTTTTAAGTGGAAGCTAAATGACGAGAACATGGACACATAGAGAGGAACAATACACACTGGGGCCTATCTGAGGGTGGAGGGTTGGGGGATGGAGAGAAGCAGGAAACATAACTAATTGATACTAGGCATAATACCTGGGTGATGAAATAATCTGTACAACCAACCCCCATAATGCACATTTGCTTATGTAACCTGCATATCTTACACATGTACCTAGATCTTAAAATAGAAGTTTAAAAAAGAACAAAATGAGTTAAATTATTGTGTAATTATTTCAAATTAAATTACATATACCAACGTGTTGAGATCTATTGATTGTGAAGAGTTCTTTTACTCATCTGACAAGCATTTAGTGTTAAGTGTTCTATTTGCTAGGCAATAGGAAATAGAAGCTGGAAAAAGAATGCTGAAGAAGATGCCCATGCCATTAAGAAATTTGTATATATTTATATATACATATGTATACACACATATTATTTGTATTTATTAGAACAAATTAAGACATTAATGAACAACGGTGCAAATAGCAATTAACAATAACAAAAGTAACAAAATAATATAAAATATTGAGAAAATATCTGGTAATCAGAGTGTTTGCTTCTACTTCCTGAGATTTCAACAACTTAAAATAACTCTTTTATTTAGCTCATGATTCTGTGGATCAGCTGAACAGTTCTGATCTAGGTTGGTTTTGGTGACCTCAGGGAGCTCATTCATGCTTCTGTGGTTGTGAGTTAAGAGCCTGGTTGGTGGCTGATGATTCTGTATGGCCTTCTACACTTATCTAGCCTTTGGCTCGGTGTCTGCAGGGCTGGCTTCATTCCTTTATTTTCTCCAGATGGCCTCTCATCCTCCAGCAGGTTATGTCCTTTTGTATGATGGCCTTAGTGATTCAAGGACACCAAAAGAGTGCTCATCATTGTACAAGCACTTTTCCAAGCTGCTTGTGTCATTTTCTCTAATATTGCATTGGCCAAAGAAAGCAACATGATCACGGCATATTTAGGGCATAGAGAAATAGATTCACTTCCTGGATGGGAAGATGTACACCTTCACATTGCAGGAGTATGGCCAGAGCAAGTGGACATTTGTGACTACTTTTTAATAGGATATTTCCCAAAGATACTAACTTAAGGGCATATGGCCATTTTTATACATTAAGACATAAAGAAGTAAAATCATTCAATATCATCAAGAGTATAATAAATTAAACTTCAGTATCTTTTGAACATGTCTATCAAAGCATTAAGCTTTTTGTTTTATAATTCTCTCAGTTTTTAGGGAGTGAACACTGAAAACAGGTGATTCTGTTATATTCACTTTCCAAATACACAGCTCGAAATCTGGCATGTGGTAAGTACTGAAATGTTTGTAACAAGAATGAATAAGTCCTCAAAAATCTAAACATAGAATTATCATATGAGCCCAAAAAATCTACTTCTAGATACCTAGTCCAAGAAATTGAATGTAGGTGTGTTAGTTAGCTAAAGCTGCCATAACAAAATGCCACAGATCGCATGGCTTAAACAACAGAAATCTATGTTTTCACGATTCTGGAGGCTAGAAGTTGAAATCAAGGTGTCTTCGGGATTAATTTCTTCTGAGGCCTCCCGCCTTGGCTTGCAGATGGCCCTACCTTCTCTCCAAAGTCTTCATATAATTTTCTCTCCGTGTGTATCTGTGTCCTAATCTTTTCAGTTTATAAGGACATTGGTCATAATGGATTATGGTCCCCCCAGGTATTACATTTAACTTTAATTACCTCTTTAAAGACCCTCTCTTCAAACACAGTCACATTCTAAGTTAACTAGGGGTTAGAATTTTAACAAGAATTTTTGAGGAGAACGCTTCAGCCTATAACAGTGGAGATTCGAGCCAATATTTTGACATCAATGTTCATTGCAGCATTATTCACAATAGCAAAAAGAGAGAAACAACTCATGTCCATCGACAGATGAATGGATGAACAAAATGTGGATAAACAAAATATATCTGTATATTATTCATATATATGTACATATATCAGTATATCTTATTAATATAAATATGTTTATGTTTATTATTCATTAAAAATAAAATGTTAAATGTTGCAACATAGATGAAACTTGAAATTTAAGTGACAAGTCAGACTCAAAAAGACAAATATTGTCTGATTCTACCTATATGACACATCTAGAATAAGCAAAATCATACAGACAGAAAGTGAATTAGAGGATTATTAGTTACCTGAGGCTACAGAGAAAAAGGAATGGGGAGTTATTTATTTTTACTTTTTTATGGAGTTTCGCTCTTGTTGCCCAGGCTGGAGTGCAATGGCGTGATCTTGGCTCACTGCAACCTCCGCCTCCTGGGATCAAGTGATTCTCCTGCCTCAACCTCCCAAGTAGCTGGGATTACAGAGAAGCGCCACCACGCCTGGCTAATTTTATATTTTTAGTAGAGATGGGTTTCACCCATGTTGGTCAGGCTGGTCTCGAAATCCTGATCTCAGCTGATTCGCCAGCCTTGGCCTCCCAAAGTGCTGGGATTACAGGCGTGAGCGACTGCACCCAGCTGTGTTATTGTTAATGGTTACAGAATTTCCATCTGGTGTGATGAAAAATTTTTGGAAGTACTAATAGTGATGGTTGCATAACAATTTAAATGTAATTAATGCCATTGAATTGTACACTTAAATGCTTAAAATGGCAAATTTTATTCATGCCACATATATTTTATCACCATATTAAAAAATTAATAATGTAATATACTAAAAAACATTGAATCATATACTTTAAATTGGTGAATTGTACAGTATATACATTTTATTTTAACAAAGTATTTTTTTAACTTCCAGGGCACATGTGCAGGATGCACAGGTTTGTTACATAGGTAAACATGTGCCATGGGTGGTTTGCAGCACCTAGCAACCCATCACTGAAGTATTAAGCCCAGCATGAATTAACTATTTTTCCTAATACTCTCCCACCTCACCCCACAACAGGAACAACAGTATGTGTTGTTACCCTCCCTGTGTCCCTGTGTTCTCATTTTTCGGCTCCCACTTATGAGTGAGACCACGCAGTGTTTGGTTTTCTGCTCTTGCGTTAGTTTGCTGAGGATAATGGCTTCCAGCTCCATCTATGTCCCTATAAAGAACATAATGTCATTCCTTTTTGTGGCTGCATAGTATTCTATGATTTATTATTAATGGACATTTGGGTTGACTCCATGTCTTTGCTATTGTAATTAGTGCTGCATTGAACATACATGTAAATGTATTATTATCATAGAATGATTTATATTCCTTTAGGTGTATACCCAGTAATGCGATTGCTGGGTCAAATGTTATTTCTGGTACTACATCTTTGAGGAATCATGATACTGTCTTCCACAGTGGTTGAACTAATTTACATTCCCACCAACAGTGTAAAAGTTTTCCTATCTCTCCACAGTCTTGCCCGCATCTACTTTTTCTTGACTTTTTAATAATGGCCTTTTAAATAATATTTTAATAATAATTTAATTAAATTATTATTAATTTAATAATTTAATTAAATTTTAAATAATAATTTAATTAAAATGACTTTTTAATAATAGTTTTCTGACTAGTGGAGATAGTATCTCATGGTGGTTTTAATTTGCATTTCTCTAATAATCAGTGATGTTGAGCTCTTTTTCATATGCTTGTTGGCCACATGTATGTCATCTTTTGGGAAGTGTCTGTTCATGTCCTTTGCCCAGTTTTTAAGGGGGTTGTTCATTTTTTCTTGTAAATTTGTTTAAGCTCCCTGTAGACTCTCGATATTAGACATTTGTCAGATGGATAGGTTGCAAAAATTTTCTCCCATTCTCTAGTTTGTTCACTTTCATGACAGTTTCTTTTGTTTTGCAGAAGCTCTTAACTTTAATTAGACCCCATTTGTTAAGTTTTGCTTTTGTTGCAGTTGCTTTTCACATTTTCTTCATGAAATCTTTGCCCATGCCTATAGCCTGAATGGTATTGCCTAGATTTTCTTCTAGGGTTTTTACAGTTTTAGGTTTTAAATTTATGCCTTTTATCCATCTTGAGTTAATTTTTGTATAAGGTGTAAGGAATGGGTTGGTCCAATTTCAATTTTCTGCATATGGCCAGCCAGTTCTCCCAGCACCATTTATTAAACAGGGAATCCTTTTCCTATTGCTTTTTTTGGTCAGGTTTGTCGAAGATCAGATGGTTGTAGATGTGTGGTCTTATTTCTGGGTTCTGTATTTTTTTCCATTGGTCTATGTGTCTGTTTTTGTATCAGCACCATGCTGTTTTGGTTACTGCAGTTTTGCAGTATAGTTTGAAGCTGGGTAGTGTGATGTCTCTAGTTTTGTTGTTTTTTCTTAGGATTGTCTTGGCTATTCAGGTTCTCTTTTGGTTCCATATGAATTTTAAAACAGTTTATTTTTTTCTAATTCTGTGAAAAATATCAATGGTAGTTTGATGGGAATAGCTTTGAATCTATAAATTACTTTGGGCAGTGTCACCATTTTCATGATATTGATTCTTCCTATCTAAAGCTTGGAATGATTTTTCATCTGTTTGTGTCCTCTCTAACTTTCTTTAGCAGTGGTTTGTAGTTCTCCTTTAAAAGGTCTTTATTTCCCTTGTTAACCATATTCCTAGGTATGTTTTTTCTTTGTAGTGATTGTGAATTGGAGTTCATTAATGATTTCTCTCTCTGCTTTTCTTTTGTTGGTGTATAGGAATGCTTGTGATATTTGCACATTGATTTTGTATCCTGAGATTTTGCTGAAGTTGCTTATCAGCTTAAGAAGCTTTTGGGATGAGGTTTTCTAGATATAGGATTATGTCATCTGCAAACAACGTCAATTTGATTTCTGATCTTCCCATTTGAATACCTTTCTTTCTTTCTCTTGCCTTGGCCAGAACTACTTCTATGTTGAATAGGAATGTTGAACAAAGCTGTTTTTAAAAAAGAATGAAACTGTTATTGTTGTGTTCTTCCAAGATGGTGGACTGGAGGCATTGTTAGCATGCCTCCAAATAAAGTATAGAGAGTCACACTGTGAACTTTTTTTCAAGAAGCAGTACAGTAACTTAACAGAAAAATGGAAAGAAACCACGGAGTCATTGAAAGAATCATCAGGCAGCAGTCTACACCATGAACCAGATAGAAAATGTGAGTCTCCAGAGTGTAAGGTGGAGAGAGATTGACACAATGACACACCCTCCGACAAGACAGCTGTGAAAACCAGGCCATGGGGGAAACCCTTACCCCTATTCAGTGCTGGAGCTGATTTAGTGAGCAGTGGGAAATATATGAGAAGGAGCGGCATCGGGAGGTGCTTTGCATGCACACCAACTCCAGAAAGAATGAAGGGAAGCCATTCCCGGTCCCACCTCACAGGAGACTCCACAGAAGTCAGCCAGCTGACTCAGTTGGTGATCACAGGTTAAGAGAAGCTCACAATGAGATTTGTGATATCATCTTGAGTGAGGATGAACCCCATTGGCCAGAACCAAAGAGCAAGTAGGAAGGGTGCTATAGCCATGAGCACAGAAGCTAGACATCACTGCTTCATAGGCAGACTGAGAGGGGCATGGCCTGAAAGCTGCTGTTTCTGACTCTGTCAGGGAGAATTACAGCCTGGAGGAGTTTTGAGTTCTGAGCACAGGCTGCCTGGAACTCAGGTACCTGCTAGCAGAACACTCTGAGTATGAGACGTGTCTTGCCAAGAATCTACAAGGGACTAAAAATTTAAAAATAAAAATATAAAATATTTAAAAATAGGCCAGGCACAGTGGGTCACACCTGTAATTCTAGCAATTGTGGGAGGCTGAGGCAGGTGGATTGCTTAAGCTCAGGAGTATGTGCCTGTAGTCCCAGCTGCTCAAGAGGCTGAGGTGGGAGGATCATTTGAGCCTGGAAGGTCGAGGCTACAGTGAGCCATGATTGCATCACTGTGCTCTAGCCTGGGAGACCCTGACTCACAAAGTAAAACATAATAAATAAAAATCAATATATGAAAAATAAAAGGTGAATAAAATTAATCAATTGATTGAGATAATAGAAATATTAGCATGAATAAGGAAGAACAAAAAATTGTGTTTGCTTATTCAAGAGTAATATATCTAGGAATTCATGAAAGACATAACCCATGTGAATTAAAAGAGATGTTTATTATAGCATCATTTAAAATCTTGAAAACATAAAAATAGTGTAAATAGCCAGAAACAAAGAAATAATTAAACTATAGTACACCAACTCCACAAGAACATCATATCCTTTTAGAATATAAATGAAAAAACTACAGATGATTGTATAATATTTCTATTATAAAATACATCTGCATAAATAACAGAATATGAACATGAAATTAGAGAAATTAGCCAAGGTTATTCTTTTTAATATTAAAATACAGATGAAATTTTCATTGTTTTCTATATTAGTTAATTAAACATGTCAAAGTAGCACAATTCAACCTTATACCATCTATAACTGAATCAGTGACCGTTCACTAGTCTGTCCAAAAGATTTTACTTCTACTTTGGCTGATGAAAGCTCCCCAACTGCAAGACTGAAAAGCAAAACAAAATAAAACACACAAAATAGACTTCATAGTTTTGAACTAATTCTGCAATGCTAAGGATAAGCATTTGAATTCCTTACAGAGAGTTGCCTTCATATGTGACATTCTGATGTCCAGCATAATTGTCTTAGAAAAAATACAGATAAGAATTAAAAAGAATTAGAAACCTTAATATTCTTCTGTTTTTATTGCTAAGAATATTAAATTTCTGGTATAGTTGGATGAATAAATCCTAGTAATTCATAGAAAATGCAGCAAAAAGATTTACATTTTGAAGATGAAGAGTAAAAAGATACGGCACATTGAACAAGCAGTGACTTGTTCAAAATATAAGTTCTTTGGAATAATATTGCTGAAATGCCAGAGATCTGTTAGTCAATCTTAAGAAACAGCAAATGGAGGAATCTAGAAATAATAATATCAACTTCCATAAAATACAGCCACTACTCACGAATCATATAAATAAACCATTTCTTATAATGAAGCAATAAACAATAACTTTCAGTAATAATGCCAGCCTGGTCTTTCCCCCTTCACCTCCTTACTCACATTATTTGACTTTCATTATATGTTATGTTATGCGGTTTACAAGGTATGTTAAGTTATAAGGTCTATTGTTAAGGTATCAGTGCAATTTTGAATTAAAAAAAATATCCAAACCAAAAGTTATGTCTACTTAAATATCACTGTCTAAATTTTTTTTACCATTATTTTCCATGTAATAGTGAATTATTCATTTCCTGCAGCACCTTCCTGGGGTTAACATCATTTTATATTCATTAGACCAGCAGGTCAAATGAGGCACAGAAAGGCTAACTAGTGTCTATAATTTCAGGCTTTCTACTAACTGAGTTATGGATGAAACTTGAAACTCAGGTCCTTTATGTCCTTTGCTCTAATCAACTGACCATTGATAAGCATTCTTAATTAAGTTTATCTGAAGACATGAAAAAATGGTTTTGTTACCTACATTAATATGATTTCTAACAAACAAAATAATCACAGCCTATTTAATGCCATTGTGAGATATCATTAATAACATTTTTGTTTGTAAATTGCATACATTTAAAAATAGCAAGGTTAATTTCTTTAGCCATGTGAATTATCTGAAGGCAGCTTTGCCCAGTTTTTAACCTTTCCGAGTTGTGAAAATCACCAAAAGTTAAGTACTATTATGTTTCTTTTGTCATTGATTTTGAATTATGAAATGGTTCATGCTTCTTTAATCAAAATCAACTCTATTGCTCTCTATTCTACAGATGGAGCCCTTGAAACTCCCTCTTTTGTAACTTGTAACTACAGCAGTGCTTCAGGATCCAATCTTGTACTCTTTCCTCTTCTTTATTCACATTCTTCATTCATAATATTTTATCTAACCCCATGACTTTAATTTCATTTTTTGGTTGATAATAATTTATTTCTTCTACTTCTACATTCATTACCACATTTGTATATTAAAATGTGAATTTTAAATTATTCTTTGATATCTAATATTTATTTTTAACACAACATATGCTAAATGTAATTATTGACTTACTATTTTCTAATGCATCTTATACCATGAGTCAGATATTGTGTTCATGACCATTCCAACAGAAGCAGAATATAGCTGTACTAGTATTTAAGTGATTATTAGATATCAAGTTCACTAAATTCCCTTAAGGTAAGGCTAGAGCTAAGACTAAGATAAATAAGTTTGAAGGACATTAAAATTCCACAGGATTGTGTAAACCTAACTAGCAACCAAAGGGAAGAGATTTTTTTTACTAGCACAAGATATAAGATGCACCTTATAGGATACATCTTATAGGAAAAGTAATAATTATGTCTTAAGAATTATTCTGTTGGATAGAAAGTAGTCTCAGAGGCCAAAACAAATGAAAGTTGAAACATTTGCAGAAAGCAAACCTTAAAAATCACATTTTCCCCTTAGTGTCTGTCAAATTCTGATAACTCTATGTATTCTTTTATTTAGAGTTGCATTAGATTCTGGAACAAAATGATAAAATTAAGTTCTATCTTACATTTAAACTATCAATTAGATCTTTCTTACAAGATATCATTAAATGAACAACACCTTCTTCTAGATATAAGCCTGCTGCTGCTGCTGCTGCAAAAATGGAAAACTTGCTCATTTATATCTTGACATTAGTATAAAAGCATCTTTTTAAAAAGTTAATAATTTGAAGTCTATTATTACTTAAGTTGGCGGTTTAAATCATGCTACCTATGTGGTCTAAAAATTCTTGTGCAAATAATTACGTTACATAGTCTCTCATTGGAAGAACTCTCAGGTAGCAGACAGAGGAAAACACAAAATCCAACTTTAACCTTTACATATTAATAAAACTCTAGATACTATGGACTCAATGTAAATAATAATAATAAATACATAGAAACAAAAATACTACAAATGAAAGCCAGCAGAATCATGCAAATGAATGCTTCAAATTTTGACCTTTTCTTTTACAGATAATAAAAAGTGGCATTCTATGTTTTGTAATATAATAAGGAGGCTTGAAAATAAGATATAAAATAACTTTTTAAAAAACAAGAAAGTTTAAATATCATAAAAATAAGAAATGTAAAATGTAATACTGAAATCCAAAACTAAATAGATAATCATCACATTATACACATCAAAAGAGGGCATTATTAAAGTTGGAAGAGAAGTGCTTATATTTTGCTCTGTGTGGATGGTGAAAAATATGGAGAAGAGAGATTTAAAAACATATTGGTTGTTGTCACAAAGTCAAATAATGTTATTTTCTATATATTAGGTTGAACCATATGAATCTGACATTTGTAAACAAAAATGATTAAATATCACGGATGTTTTTATAACTAACCCTATAGGAAATCCCAAATAAACCACTAATTAGTTATTAGCATTACTAAGCAAAATTAGCAAGATTATCAGACACAAACTATACATCTACATATCAGCAACAATCAGTACAAGGTTATGATTAAATAAATGTACAAATAAAAACAATACAAGCATACATAAAAACACACTAGACAAAAAAGGAACTGTTTTTGTGGATAAATGTACTAAAATGTATTGGAAAGCATTAATGAATTTTAAGATAAATGGAAGGAAATAATAAATATAAAGACATATATAAATTCTTTTTATAATAATATATTAGATCAATGCAAACTGACTCCAAATTCCAACAGAGTTCCTCATGGAAATTCACAAATGTTTTCAGAAATGTATAATAAAGAGCTGGAAATAACGTACTCATAAATAAAAAGATTAATGAAGGGGATACATACATTATGAGGTTTTAAATCATGCAATTTCACATCATTTCTTATAAAGTTTTAAAGCATTTAGGTTTATGTTTACAAAGTTTAAGACATTGTGGGATTTGGGAACAAGCCCAGAACCCTTTTTTTATATGTATTCATATATATTTAATATATATATAAACTTGAAATATCATTACATGCAATAGCATATTAGTAGAGAAAAAATAAACAGTTTTCCTAAGAAAATAATACGCCTAATTAAAAAAATGCAATTTGATGCATAGTGCAAACCATACTCATACAATAAACTATAACATTTTAGAAAACCATGAAAAATGTATCATCACATTAGAAAAGAAAAGGATCACTACCTTAGACTATAAAAAAAGTTAATAAAAATAAAAAATATAACAGGAACAAAAGCAAACTATAATGAAACAGTTTAATTAATTTTACATAAGAAAAAGTATAAACTTAATTAATAAAGGAATTCTTAATAGAACAAGCGACATGTTACACAACAGCACAATATATTGCAACACATGTGACTAATAAAATATTAATAATCATAATATATAACTAAATAATTTCTACAAGCCACTACAAACAGAAAACATTGACAAAAATATTAATCGCAATATATAAATAAAGAATTTCTACAAGCCACTACAAAAAGAAAACATTGAAAAAAGGAACAAAAATACGAATAAGCATTTCACAGGAGTGAAAACATTAAAGATAAACATATGAAAACATTCAAATCCACCATATTGAAGGAAGGAAGGAAGGAAGGAATAGAATGCACACATGCAGCAGATATTGGTAAGGAGGTGGAATAATAAACCCTCTTTTTACTGCTAGTTGGAATATAAACAAAGAGTCATCTACTTTAAAAAACAGTTTCACATTGTCTAGTACAACCCACATGTTCTAATTTTCAGCCATTCTACTCTTAGTAATTTACCCAGAGAAATGTTCTCACCATGTGCTTGAGGGACAAGTATATGAATGTTTAAAGCAATATTGTTGGCATAACAATGAATTTTAACTGGCAAATGTTTACTAATAGTAAAATAAATAAATAAAGTTTTGTGTATTTATACAACAGCATATTACATACATAATTTTTTAATAGTTGAAAAAAATGACTTACAGTTCTTCAGAGAGAAAGATTGATTTCAAAGATACACTCTTGAATGACAAAACAAATTACAAAAGAATACTTAATGTCTAATTTCAGTTATATAAAGTAACCTAAGGCAAAATTAAATAATATGACAATAAAGAACACAGATACATGTTAAAAATGAGGGAATACTTAACACAAAAATAATTAATACAAAAATTTCATATAATGCTTCTACCTGGAAGGGGGAAGTAGACAAAGAACAAACAGCACACAGCTGACTTGTGAGGCACTGGTAACTTTTCATTTCTTAAGCTGGCTGGTGGGAATATGTTTTTCATTTTAAAATACTGTTTATATTATATATATATATATATATACACACACATAAATATTATATACTTCTTATAGAGAATGCTGTATTATTCAACATATTTTGAAAGGAATAAAGAGAATAAAACCCAATGACCAAAATTTGGCACACTCTAACTTTTAAATGTCTACCAGAGAACTAGGACTATGGACAGTACTATAAAAGGAAAACTATGAATGTATGAGAAAAGAGGCTCTATATAAAAATTGCTTTAGGAATGGCAGAATGGTCTATTAGTCTATTGCTACTGAGGGAGTGAGTGTAGTAAAAACAGAATGCTTTTAGAGTTTGGAACACAGAGGTCATTAAGAGACTTTTATGAAAATGAGCCTCTTTCTCTCTCTCAAAATTCTTCTGTTTGATTCAGACGCTTGTATTCCTGCTGTTTACTAATGTTTTCTTTTCTGGGAAACATAATAAAAATAAAAATAACCAGAATATAAATACTTCTCCTTTTCTGAATAGAAAAAAAAAAATCTGTCTCAACCCATCCCATTCCTTTAGCTTTTTCAAGCTCTATCATCCTCTCTTTATTCTTCATGGCACTTTCTTTCCTTAGTATTTTCCTTTCTTTTACCTCCTCTTGCATGGTGGGAAGAGCAGCTCAGTTATACTCATATACCGCATAGCAATATTTCAGTAAATAATGGACCATGTATGAAACAGATTATAATACTGTATTTTTACTGTATTATACTTATGTATACATAATTTTACATATATACATAATTTTACTTATGTATACCATAAGATTATAATTCTGTATCTTTTTATATGTAGAAGTTATTAGATACACAAATACTTAGCAGTGTTACAATTACCTACAACATTCCATGTAGTTACCCAGTATACCGGTTTGCGGTTTAGTAGCAATAGGATGTACCATATCACCTAGATGTGTAGTAGGCTATACCATCTAGATTTGTGCAAGAACATCCTATGATATTTGAACAGCAACAAAATCACAGGATGCATTTCTCAAAAGGTAACCTGGAGTTAAGCCATGCATGACTGTACTCACACAGATTCTCTTTACTTGCACTGTTTAAACTTGGGTTCCCTGGAAAGAAGAAAGTCCAATACCAAAGTTACTGTATTTTCATTGTATTAGGGAGGAGAGCTACAGGTAAGCCAGAGTGGGGGAAAAATAAATGAGTAAGGAAAGAAGGGCAAACCGATAACAAATAATTTAACAGAGTTTTCAGTTAATTTCTCAGTCTTACAGAATCATATCTTGGGGGGTTATATAATCCCCTTCATCTCACAAAAGTTTGGGTGAAGAAGAAATAAGTATTTATCTGTATGGTCCCTTTCCTCATAGTCAGAGATTTACCTTGAGGGATGTTAACTTTCTGGCATGTCCAGGACATACAATCATACATGCCAGTGTGGCCTGCAGTATCACATGACTTGACAGCGGAAATCCCCCTAGTAAGAGGATAATGGAGGGCAGAAGATGAGAGGGAAAAGCCATGGTCAGGAGACAAGTCATACTGGCTTGTGCTAACATGAAATCAATGAACATCTCCGCAGGGTTGACTGCTGCAGTGATTACTGGAGTAAAAAATATGCCCAAGGGTCTCAGTACGATGAGAAGCAGAGAATATGAAAGATGGTAAATAGAAATGTCTGCACTATGTCTGTAGCTCTTTAAACACTCTGATTGTCAGTTTGCTTGCTGGTATAAATCTGGGATTGATGCTTACTTAGGGCAAAGTTTCTAAACTGATCTTCCTTCTTCCTTATCTCTCTTATCTCTAGACAGATACTCGCACACACCCACACACACATATACAGAGAGAGAGAGACAGTAAGAGGGAAAGATAAATACATCACAGCACTGAATGCAGGTTGAGGAAACATTTTTATCATGATTTTTGCAATCAGCCTAGTCCCTTGATCTGACTAAAAAAGGATGTGGGTGATTGTTTTAAATAATTATATATTAAGTTTCTTGTAACCTGAAGTTCATAGGCACTGAATTTTCTAAAGATAGATTTGAGGAAAAAAATTTACTATATGGGACAATAAATTTAAATTTTTTTCAGAGTATATTTGTTCATATATTTTATATACATATCATGTTACCTGGAGATCTAATAAACTATTTCAAAATGTACCTCTTAGGAGCACCCAAGATACATGGCAGCTGTATTTAATAAGCTGCTAAGATTTTCCTGTTTTAAACATTTTCTAAAGTGGGTACAAATAATCAACAGTTGTATGACTCACCTTTTGAATTAAACACAACTCAGTTGTCAAAGAACAGTAAGCTCTTATGGGGATATCTGCAGTTGTAAGTAATGCTTGAATTTAATTTTACGAGCCAATATCTAATAGAATAAAACTAAAATCACTGTACAATTGACTTTATGTTATCTTTATGCACATTAAAACTTACATGTTTTTCTATGTATTTCTTACCTGATACGCAATTAGTCTATTTAAATAGACATAGGCAGCATCCCTGATGAGACACAATGCAGAATCTGAGGTTCCACCATTTGAGCACTTAACACTCTGTTTATAAAATATAATTCAAATAGGTCTCTCTGTGAACCTACATACTGTACTTGAAGGCTTCTCCCCATGCTTGAGGTGCGCCCTTCGCTTCCTTTTAAACAAGATATGATGTTTGCTGTAGAATGTTTTTCAACCGTGAAATCTTATCTGAGCAAAACACAGATGTACTTTGTGAAACTTTAGAAAAAATTTCTACAAACGATAACAGAATAAATAAAATAGATGAAGACAAAATTAATAACTGTCAATACCACATGTGTGTGATTCTTCCTTCCCAAATGGATTATGTAGAGCTCATGGCAGGTAAGCCAAGTGTGGACCAGCCTCACCATGTCCTTTAAGGAATATAGTTGGATGACTAGTTTAACTAGTCACAAGATTTGGAAAGTTATAGGAATTATTTCTGTTTGATTCTCTCTTGTATGAAAGAAAGAAAAGAAAAAGAAAGAAAGAAAGAAAAAGAAAGGAAGGAAGGAGGGAAGGAAGGAAGGAGGAAAGGAAAGAAGGAAGGAAGGCTGGAAGGAAGGAAGGAAAGGAAGGGAGGGAAGGAAAGGAAGGGAAAGAAAGAAATTTGCTGTTTGGTTAGAACTATTCAGCAAATTTTTCTGTAATCTTTAAATAAAATAGACAAAATGCCACTTCAAATTACAGCTTATTTTTCTTTATATCAAAGTTTCTGAAAAGTGGCACTGTTGACATTTGGATCAGATCATTCTTTGTTGTAGAGGCTGTCCTATGCATTGTGGATGTTTTTCAGCCTCTCTGCCTCCATAACTCACTACTCATCAGTAGCACACTCCCCCACCCATGAGGACAAACAAAACTGCCTCCAGACATTATGAAGGGTCACCTGGGGCAAAATATCCCACCGTTGAAAACCACTGTTCTATAATAAAGCTCATCAAACAAATTTTATTTTATTTTGTACAACACAATAGTTCTGACATAATCTAGCTATCGTAGCTATAGATTCAGGTATGCAATATTTAGTAATTAAGGATTTTCCAGTTTTATAAAGAAACCTGTTTTCAGTTTTATAATTTCATAATAGCACCAAAGTTTATGATTAAAGATGTAGATACCAGTGTAGCAAAAAGTCATGGTAGTTAATGGTTTTGAACTATTGATTCGATAATCAATAAAATTTCTAGATCTAAATAAAATATGCACTAATTAATACTTATCATAAAGATGGTCAATTGCATTGACCATGTTTTTTCTATTCTGTTATGAAGCATATAAATACAGAATAGGAGACGGCTCAAATTCTTTTCTATCATAAGTGTTAAAACCCCATGTTTTAAAAGTATAGTTCTGCTTTTTAAAAAACTACCTATGAGAAATAGAAATTTTGGTATAGCGTGTAGATAAATGCATCTCAAATCAACAGCAAATACCTAATTTATTTTGAAATAGTGGAGTCATTATTCTTACATTAATGAGAATAAAGATACTTCACTGTATACATTTTTTTCAATATTATCCTTAAAAGTCTTAGCACTGACATACAACATAAAATTAAAATAGGAATGAATGAGTAATGGAAATAACTTGAAGAAACTTAACTAGCAAGCTTAGAAAAGTAGATGGTTACAATATAAGTACAAGAAATTCACATAATTTTTGTATTAACATTACTCAACCTGAATTCGCAATAAAAATATATATTCAAAATAGCAAGCACAATACAAACCAACTAGAAATAAAGTTAAAAATTAATATATGGGTTCTAAAAAATCAAATAATAATTCTGAGTGACAGAAAAAACACAACGTTCAAAACAAGAAGATATATTATTTTTATGAATGAAAAGACTAAATAATTTGAAAATTATATTGTAATAGGAACTAGTATATATTGAATATGTCTTATATTCCATGCATTATAAATATTTTAAATAATGTTTTCAAATGATCTTTTCAAAATTCTAAATGGCTATTATGATGAAAGCCACAATTGGATAATTACATTTGTAAAATTACTAAGTGGAAAAACCAATCTAAGAAATTAAGCAAAATATGAGCTCCTCGTCACTCTTTCATTGTTCCCCTATTAGCTTTTAATTGTAAAACATTAATTGAGGAGCTTTTACTAGTTATTGTCATAATGACGTGTTTATTTTTTGTTAATCTGAAAATAATTATAATTCTATAGTTAATATATGTTGAGTATCTTATATGACAGGAACTATACTGAAATTTGAAAGATATTTTAAAAGTAGCACTTGTGGCCTGCTTTTTTCCTTTTTATATAATGGTTATTTTGTGACCACATTTATTATTAAAAAAATTCCATTTAACAATACATTTAAATAAATTAGGATAAAAATCCTAATTAAAAGTAAACATCTAACAGTGCATATAAGACAAAATTGAAGATTTCATTCATATATTTCAGTTTTTCAAGATACGTTAGTTTCTCTTATTTTATGTGATTTCAACTTCAGTATTTAGCCATACAAATTTGAATATATATTTCTGTCATGGATTCTTAAAAAATTCATGTATTTATTGCTATTACAACCACTGTTTTTCAAACTGAAAGATTTAAAAAGTATAAAATGTAGAGAAGGTTTTAATACTTTCATAATTACACAAAAGAACAAAATCACTTTATTAGCCTTCTCTCTTGATTTAATCTGAATTTTTCCCTCTGCTCATAATATATACATCCATAAAAAGGGAGTATTTAACATAGTAATAATTATGTAAGAAAATATGAGAAAAAATCAAGAAATATAAGCTCTTCAAGGAGTACTAATAATCACATTAACTTGAAAATTGCCTGGCATGCATATAAAGTCTCTTATGCTTCATGTGGTCCTAGGGGATAGTCTGTTGAATTTTAAAAATAACTTTTTTTTTCCATCATTGCTTGCTACAAAATGGTTCGAAATATTATTGCTTTAATTGACTGAAAAACATGTCTTTAAACTAAAATCAGTGTTTTAAACAATTAATAATAGGATAATGCTGTATTATTATAACGCTTCAAAATTTATGCAAAAACTTTAAAATTTATACAAAGTTTTGCAAGCAGTAGCCTATCCAGCCTTTAAAGTTTAAGACGATTTTTTGCTAAAATTACCATTTAAAATTAAAAGTTATAGCAGAGACCAAATGACTGTGGAGATAGAATTTGCCTTTCAGTTTCACTTTTATTGTCTACAGTTAGCAGCAGCGCAGATGCCAGCAGACTGGGCGGTGATGAAGGGCGATTCACTTTCACGCCGTTTTCAGCTAATTAAATACAAGATGAGAATAAGAGATCATAATGTGGTCCCTGATATTTAAAGTGTGATTTACTTCTTATAATTCAATCTGGTGACATTTTTTTGTTGGATGGTCAAAGAATATTATGTGTTTTTCACTAAGTTCAACTGCCTCTCAGAAGGCAATTCTAGGGAAATTTCAGCAATAGAGATGGGTAATGGGCTTTTTCTTGTGAGGTGAATTCTTCCAATTATGGTCACTTAGTGATACTGCTATAAGAAATAATTTGTTGCATTTTTTCCCTTTGTATTATTGTTTCCAATCAAATGGAAAAAAAAAAAAAAAAAACCTAAACAAATGTCTTGTTGGAAATCATATGTTGCCATTTATCTACTGTAAACCCCCCAAAAATTTATTCGACAGATTTTTACTTTTCTTTTTATTTACGTATTTATTTATTTATTTGAGTTGGAGCCTCGCTCTGTCGCCTAGGTTGGAGTGCAGTGGCGCGATCTCAGCTCACTACAACCTCCATCTCCCAGGTTCAAGCAATTCTCCTGCCTCAGCCTCTCAAGTAGCTGGGACTACAGGTACGTGCCACCACGCCCGGCTAATTTTTTTTCTTTATATTTTTAGTAGAGTCAGGGTTTCACCGTGTTAGCCAGGATTGACTGATTTTTAAAAATTAATTACCAAGAAATAGCTTGCAATTTGGTGTTAAATTTTAAAAATACCCAAACCAAAGGGAAGGAAATCTAGCTAGAGAGACAGACAGACACACACACACACAGACACACATCCAAATACACAGAAGCTTAATTTTTAAAAAGTAACATTTTGAAAAAAAATAGATCAGATATGTTGTCAAATTTTTGCTTAAGGCCATCAGCAAAAGTGAAAAATATCTAGTGGATTAAACAACCACAAAAATTAGCTCATGATAAACACTAGTATGTTAAAATATTTATTTTAATTATATTTTATTTATGAAAACTTATAAGCAGTTAGATGTTATTTTCAACTTAAACCTAGAGTAACTCTTTAATTGGCATCATATTTTAAAGTTACATTTAATTCTGGAGATAATTAAACACAATTTTTGTTTTCCATATCTAAGGTTGCTTGTACATAATGTTGTTTAAGATGAACTCATTTTTATTTTATTTTATTTTATTTTATTTTATTTTATTTTATTTTATTTTATTTATGAGACGTAGTCTCGCTCTGTCGCCCAGGCTGGAGTGCAGTGGCACGATCTCGGCTTACTGCAAGCTCCGCCTCCTGGGTTCAAGTGATTCTCCTGCCTCGGTCTCCAGAGTAGCTGGGACTACAGGCCCCCGCCACCACGCCTGGCTCATTTTGTGTATTTTCAGTTGAGACGGGGTTTCTCCGTGTTAGCCAGGATGGTCTCCATCTCCTGACCTCGTGATCCGCCCGCCTCGGCCTCCCAAACTGCTGGGATAATAGGAGTGAGCCACGGCGCCCAGCTGATAAACTCATTTTTTTATGTGGAGCTTCCAAAAAATATTAAAGGAAGCATCATTGCCTCCTTTAAGAAGTGTCATTCTTTTAAAAGGAGGCACCAAAATAGTTTTGATTTTGTAAATTTGAAAAATAACAGACAGATCAGGATATGTCAAACCTAGTAGATTTTTTATATTTCTGACTCTAAAAGAGACTAAGTTCATTTTCTTCATAGAATCGTAATTACATTCTCATTTTGCAGATATGGAGTGCAAAGTGAGGGAATATTAAGTAATTTTTCTATGGCTAAACAACGAGTAAAGAGTGGGGCCAATTTGGATTAAAACAACCTAGTTCCAAGCTCTATGCCCTTGGCTGCTATATATTATGCTGTCTTATATTTTGCAAGTTAAAAAAAAATTGAACTAGAGAGATCAAGTGACTCATTAAATTCCACAGAGTAAGAAAGCAGCTTATTTGGTGCAACAAGTAATTTGGATCCTCTGTTATGTGTAAATTTAAACCTAAACATGGTCAATCAGTACTGGATTTAGTATTACACATAACACTATATAGATGGTATCCGTTAGCCAACATTTCTTTTTCATAAGAGTTTTCACAGTAATTAAGAAATATTTTAACAACATAATCCAAGTTTCTTTAGCACATTTTTAAGAAATGAAAGATGGAGAAGCTGACAGAAAAAATAGACATCAAAATGATTCCATGCATTTAGCAACCATGAGAACAGATTATCTTTCTGGGAATACCTGACAAGGCGCCCCCAAAATCTTAGGTTCAAATGGTACTTATCTGTCAATTAAAACTGGAGCTGTCACCAGAAAATGGCATTTCTTTCACATATTTGACAAGAGACCAGATTTAGTTTACTTTATCAAAGTTCTAAATTGCCACGTTAAACAATGTAATTTTGGTCTCCCAACGTAATTACACTGTATCTCACTACAGTCTCTGAAAGGAAAATCTTTCTTCCGCTCAAAAAAAAAAAAAAAAAAAAAAAAAAAAAAAAAAAATTAAGAGTCTTTACAGAGCTTTACCCCTCTGGAAAAAAGAATGATACTAGTTTAACAGTTTTATTTTTGCAATTGTCTCTTTTATCCTCAGTTGCAATGGTAAACACCCACTGACAAATAAATAGTACTGGATGATTGTTCCTATTCCTACATGATAAATATGGTTTTAGAAAAGAGAAAATAGGGCAATATTTATAAGAGAAAATAGGGCAATATTTATAAAGTATATGCATCTCCCTGATCCTAATCCCCTCCCAAAATGATTCCATAATCTAAGTCCAAATCCTGCTCTTTTCACTTTCACCTGCCTGTCAATTGTCAGTTTAAGTAAGTCTGCTATATATATTTTTTCTTTTCTTTCTATGAAAAATGGTAGAAATTTTCACATGACAGTTAGTAATTGCAGAAGTTCCACAGGGACTAATATTCAATGTGCTAGTTGAAGCAAGATAGTCTGGATACAATTATTAAAGTCATTTCCCAGAGCACCACAGGTATCCTCTAAAGATGAGGGGTGAATAGATTTATTTATTGCTCTCATCAAAAACTTGAGTTTGATGAATAAACCAGTTTGCCTCCATGTGAAGCTCTCTTCCACATTAGATCAGCTTCTGCCTACTCCATTGACTAAAAATAGGGAAGACATTCTTTCTCCCCCTCCCTTCAGCTGAACACTCAGCCCTTTCATAGTGCAATGCATCCATCAGATGCATACTCATTACTATTTGACATAGCTACAACAAATTTAAAAAATGGTCTATATATTCTAGTTTGTGAGTACAGCAAAATAAAAATTAAGGGTTCAACAGTAATTATGAAGTTAATATGAATAGGAGAAATTGACAGGTGGAGTTTTCAATATCGCAATCTGATGTTGAGTAGCTGGAGCTATGGAGCTGGCAGTGGGTGGAGAGAAAGGTAGAGAGGGCAGACATACCGTGTTTTGATTTCTGTTCCATTCCAGTGAGTAAACAAAGCATTTTGAATATTCTAGGTGTTCTTGTGATTCTAAGTCACCTTATAAATTTCAAAAAAGATTAAAAATAAGATACATCTTATAGAAACTTCTCTACTTCAGAGAGTGTGTTGGCACATGAGACAGAACCAATGCAAAAACAAACAAAATCAACAAAATAAGTTACATATATTGACAAACATGTATTAAACCAGACTCAGCTTATGATTCAGTTTCAAGTAGCAGAAATAAAAGAACGGAATTAACATGCACTTATAATGATATACGATGTGTGGCCAGGTGCGATGGCTCACGCCTATAATCCCAGCACTTTGGGAGGCCTAGGCGGATGGATCACCTGAGCTCAGCAGTTCAAGACCAGCCTGGCCAACATGGCAAAACCCTGTCTCTACTAAAAATACAAAAATTAGCCAGGCCTGGAGGCATGCACCTGTAGTCCCCGATACTTGGGAGGCTGAGGCAGGAGAATTACTTGAACCTGGTAGGCAGCGGTTGCAGTGAGCCAAGATCGTGTCATTGCACTCCAGCCTGGGTGACAGAGCAGGACTCTGCATAAAACAAAGAAAGAAAGAAAGAAAAGAAAGAAAAAGAAAAGAAGGAAGGAAGGATGGAAAAGAAAAAAATATATTGTGTGTCATTCTTGATTCATTTTCTTTCAATATAATGAGAAAATATCCCACTTATTATCACTTCTTCGTGAGTCATTAGCATCTAAAAAACAATAAATACCTATTCCTGGAGTTCACAAAATATAAAAAAAAAGCAATTGAATTTTTACCAAAATTTGATATAGATTAAAACTCTTTCAAATTTAATTCCAACATTGGATCATGAAATTAATTTACTTGGTTTCTTCTACATCAGAGAATGCACAATTCCAAAGATATACCCTCTTTCCCCAGAAAGGGTGAAAAATAAATTTTCTATTTTCCCTTTATCAGTTGTGTAAACTTTGAAGTAGACTCAAATCTCACTGCCTACACTGGTTACTTTTATTATCTCCACCATTACTTCTGCCAAGATTATTTATTTTCCTAGATTGCTTGTTTGATGAGAAGGCAGATCTGTGTCAATGTGAGGAGCTGGTATGGTATTTGGAAAAGCACCAACTAATTGTAAAAATACCTGGTTTCTAGTCACGGCACTGGCTCCCAGAAGCTCAATTGCTGCCAGAATTCATCTAGTACGCTTGCTATATTCCAAGCACTTGTCAACATTCTTGAAACATATTAGCTACTCAATGAATATTCATTTGAAGGAATGAGAAAGGGAAGAAAAGAGTTGGAAGTAACTTAATGCTTTTGATAAATCCATTCTAGTTGAGAAGAAAGAGAATGATAGAAGAATCATTCTATAGACAAATAAGTCACAGTAACTAATCTGTGATAAGAAAACAAATAAAGAAAAGAGGAATTAATATAGAATTAATAGGACAGGATATAATTTAGCAGGTAAGCGAGGTAGGCCTCCATTCATTGAAGACATGTAAGTCACATGTCCCCTGGCCTATTATAGCTCTTTAAAAGTCGAAAAGACAAATCATCTGAGACTGAACTCATATCTCTCTCTTACCACATACCCAAATGTGTCCCTCCTTCTATTTCACCCGTCCCAATAAATGACTCTATCATTCACATGGTTATGGTAGCTAGAAACTCTCGAGCCATCATTGTCACATCATCCTCTTTCAATTAACATGTCCAGTCTGCCACTAAATCCTAATGATTTGACTTTCTATTATCTTCCAATATTCATTTCCCTAATTTTTCATCCATACTACTACCTATACCACCAATTTAGAAATTTATCTCCACTTAAAAAAAAGATTTCTGTGGATCCACTTTGGTCTTATTCTAATAATACTACACTCTCACAGTAGATAAAGCAATATTTTCATAGGTAAATCTAACTGTGTCAGCTTCCTACCTTAAAATTCTCAGTGGCTTCTCATTTTTGTTCATATAATGAAAAAGGAATCTCTTATGGTACTCTGCAAAGCCCTGCATGGTTTTCTTTTGGTTTCACGTCTAATGCACCCCCACTCCCACCCTCCTTTCTGTCTTTCCTATTTTTTTTAATATTATTATTTGAGACTGAGTTTCTCTCTATTGCCCAGGCCAGAATGCAGTGGCACGGTCTCGTCTCACTGCAATCTCCACCTCTCAGGATCAAGGGATTCTCGTGCCTCAGCCTCTCAAGTAGCCGAGGTTACAGGCACCCACCACCATGCCCAGTTAATTTTTGTATTTTTAGTAGAGATGGGGTTTCACCACATTGGCCAGGCTGTTCTCGAACTCCTGACCTCAGGTGATCCGCCCTCCTTGGCCTCCCAAAGTGCTGGGATTACAGACATGAGCCACCATGCCTGGCCTCCCACCCTCCTTTCTTTTCTCCAGTGTCACCTGCTTTATTTTATTTCTCATCTGTTCAGCACAGCTTCTTCTACAACAGAAAATATTTTTTTTCCACCTGACTGTAAATTTCTTTTTTCTTTCCCTGTCCCTCCTTTTTTGCTATAGTTACAGCATATCAAACCTATAATTCTCCATTCTATCATCTTCTCATGAAAATCTTGAATAGTAATTCTGACCAAGTTAATTTTTGTTATCTATCCTTTAAAGAACTTACCATAGTTTCAGCTTCACATTTATTTGTATAATTGATTGATCATTGTCCATCATGCTCATTAAAATGCAATAGGACTAAAGATTGGAAACAAAAAAAAATGCAATAGGAGAGCACAGTCTATGTATCATTTTGGTCATGATTTTGTCTTTTATTCTGTACAGACTTCCTGGAACATATTAAGTTATCAAATTATGTCAATTGTAAACGACGAGAAAGAGGAAGGGAGAATGAAAGAAAGGGACACACCTAAGAACGTGAAGAGTGGGCTGGCAAGGGTGGGGTAGGGTTGTATGGCATTCAGTCCCTGAGGGACCTTAACATACTTACATGCACAGGAACTCGGCATATTTTCAGAATCAGAAATCAGAGAACAGGAAAGAAGGGGCAGCATACAGGCTACACTTAGCATAACACGCAAGGATGAAGTCATTCGGGGCTTGATAATCACTAAAAATAAAGGTATTTAGCAGTGATTGGCTACTACATCATGCTGAAATGTTCCAAACTCTTCACATATACTAATCTATTTAATCATCATCACAATCCTGTCTATTATATTTTATTATTATTCCCGTACGCTGATGAGAAAACTGAGGCACAGAGGATATAGTTAGTTATTTAATAGCTTAATTAAGATGCTACAACTAGCACAGAAATGAGCCAGAATTTAAAGCAAGTCAGTCTCACTACAAAGTCTGGGTACTTGAATGCTACACCAAAGAATTTGGATGCCACCATAGTATTATAGAATAGAACTATAATAGAAGAGCAATAGATCATTTCCTTCACCCAAAAATTTTTGAGTTTTAAAATAAATCCATGTGTCTCACTCAATATCATCGTGCTGCCTTTCACAAATATGTCAGTGTTTTGTCTGTCAAACCCATTATCTTCTTTTTCTTAAAATTTAAACTTTTGTTTTATTGTGATAAAAACACTTAATATGACGTGTACCCTCTTAAAAATGTTTAAGTATATGATGCAACATTGTTAACTATAGGGGCAATGTTGTACAACAGATCCCTAGAACTTATTTATCTTTTATAATAGAAACTTAA
Source organism: Homo sapiens (assembly GCF_000001405.40). NCBI lineage: Eukaryota > Metazoa > Chordata > Mammalia > Primates > Hominidae > Homo > Homo sapiens. The sequence continues at coordinate 59,826,063 of NC_000004.12, forward strand.
TACTCACTGAACGACAAATCTCATTTTTCCTTCCCCATAGCCCTTGAGAACCACCATTCTTTGCTCTGTTTCCAGGACTTTGACTATATTAGATACCTTATTTAAGTGGAATCATGAAGCTTTTGTCTTTCTGAGACTGGCTAATAGTGGCCATCAGAAAGCAAATCTCTTAACTAAGCTCACTTCTGCAGAGATTAAGACCTACGCTTCTCAGGAAAAAGTATATGCCCCTCCTCTTCATGCCGGTCTTCTGGAACCCTGCACATTCCAAAGGTGTTTCCCCTTAAAATTTAGAAGAGTTCATGGTGATGTAGAACAACCTCCAGCAAAAAGCTGGTAATACTGCTTTTTAAAGCTGGCAATTAATAGAAAGGATAGGGGGACGCTGAATAATTCTGGAGTTTAGGATAATTTTATGCTTTGTTTTCTTTAGCTTCAAGGAAAGTAAAAGCCACACTTGAATGTCATCCATATGTTCCTAAAAATGTTTATCTAACATAGTATCATTTCCAAGAAAAGTTCATTCTAAACAGTATAGGCAGGCCTCAACTAAATTTGTTTGTAGCCATTTTTTTTAAATAATCAGAAAGAGAAAAAAGCTGACAGAGAGTAATTTAGTAAGCCATCAGGGTGGAATGGGAATCGAATTAGAACTAAAACTCACAATGCCTACCCTTCTTCATAAACATTCACACACTTACATGGAAGACAAAACACAAAATAAATATGTGCATAGTATTTTAACTTTAAAAAGTATAGGGATATATAGATAAGTTATGCGAAAGAAGGTAATACATCTAATCTTTGCTGATGCTCAATAACTATAAATAAAAGTATAAATGTGTACATGATGGATGAATGCATAGAAGATATTTTTCTTCTATATAAAAATAAACCTCTTTAAAAATATTTGTGTGTAAAATTCAGAACATATTATATGCAAAATAGTTATTAAAATAAAATATGAGGATAATCTCACTAAGATAAAATGAGTTCTATTTTTATTCAGTTGGTTTATATATTGTAACCAGTGATTTGTCCTAGCTTTCAAGATACAACTTAAAAACACTTAGAACCCTATAAAACATTTTTAAGATAAAAACTATTCAAATTAGAGGATGTTAATTGTTAATCAAATTATTGTTACCTAATTCATTTATTATTTGATTTAAAATTCCCTGAGGACAGATGCAGCATTGTATAGATATTATTTAAATCAAACAATAGTAAAAGTTGAACACAAGGTTCACCAAATCTGATGTATTTCAATTAAAAAAAACATAGAAATTCAAAAAATGTGTGACGTATGTACATTAAGGAACAAAAAGGAACTATAATGAGGGCACTAAGCCCTTCTAGAGAATTTTATAAGTTGTTAATAGAAAGGAGAAAAAAATAAAGTGATTTTTGTATTAGCATACTTGAGAGAACTTTGGAAAAATTTCTATTCCTAAGGCAGTTTTCACAGAGCATCAGATGGTGCCCTTGACAAAGATTAACGTCTTAAATGAGAAAGTTATAGAGCAAGTAGAATAATTCAAGTCCAATAAATCACCAGGACCATATGGTATATATCCAAGATTTCTGAAGGAAATAGTGTGAACTTTCATAGATACAAGGGGAAAAAAGCATAAAATATAGCCTTAATTGTAGCATGTGCTTTAAAAGATTGGAAGACTACTAATTTGGTACACAGTATATGAAAGGAAAATATCTAGAAGAGGATCAAATAAAAAAATTCAATGCTTTCTGCTTGTACATGTGATATTGAGTAATCTTGTACATTTCTGTACTGTATTCTTCTCACTTTATCTTTCCTGTATTTCTCATTTAATAAAGCTTTTCTGTCATCTCTCTTCCTGATCTTGGCTATTTTCCAACTACATACTACTTAATAAGCCAGTGGTTGACATCCCTGGATATTGAAATTCATTTTCACTTGTCAAGCCAAAAACAGGTTAATTAGTAGTGTTATCACCCTGGGTCTTTCTCAGAAAATTTGCAGTGTTTCTTTTTCTTTTTTTTCTTTCTCTCTCTCTCTCTCATGGTGGTTGTGTTGTTGTTTTGTTCTGTTTTGTTTTGTTTACATGAAAATAAATTGAAATATGCTAATTTTCAAACAGAATTGATATTGTTGTATTTTGTTTTTCAGCCATTAACTCATTCTGTTGGATTCTATGTGTTAATCAAGAAATCTGTTATCATTTGAGAGTGTAAAAAATTAAATAAATTTGTTTACTTTTTATTAATGTATCAGATACATACAGAAAAGTGTACTAATAATAATTGCTTAAACTCAATGGACTTTTACACATACATGTACTAATATGTGACCTCCGGCTAAATAATCATAAAACACATGTTATCAAGAAGTCTCTTTACCCTCTGCCAATCATCAGTATATTCTCAAAGGTAATGATTATTCTGAATTCTACTATCTTAAGTTAGTATTCTGTTCTTTGATTTCAAATACATATAATCATATTGACTATTGTCTGGCTCCTTTCGTTCCAAATAATGTCTGTGGGATTCATCAATGCTATAGTATCTATTAATAGGTTAATCTTATTTTATTTATAGGTAGAATTCATTTTATAAAAATATAGTAATTTATCCACTGTCTTATTGACAAAAATTTGAGCTGTTTCCAGTTTTTGTCTCGTGTTAATGAGCAATAAATATTTTGTATTCATGTCTTTTAGTAAACATATGCACCATTTTTACTTGATTATAAACTTAAGAATAAAATTGTTAGTGATAGGGTAACCATTTAATTAAATTAAGCAAATAATACCAAACTGTGTTCCAACATCTTAATATCATTAACACTGAAATAGTAATATATATTTGAGTTCAGTTGTTTCACATGTTAACCAACACTTGGTATCATCAGTCTAACTCATTTTTAGTCATTAAGTGAGTAGTGGTATCTCATTGTGGAATTAATTTACATTTTATTGAGGAATAATTATGTTAATACATTTTATTAAGTTTATTCACTATTTGATTATGACTCTTTGTAAAAATACGTATTAAGTTTTTGCTCAATAAAAAAAATCAAGAGTTTTATCTTTCTCTGATTCCTAGAAAAACATTACTTATTCTAGATTGGGTAACTTGTTGAATTTATCATCTATTTATCAATTTATTCATTTGTATATAGATGTCATAAATTTTTTTGAAGTTCAGTGAAGGTTTTTTACATTTCTGCTTTTGGAATCTTGTTTAAAAAATCTTTGCTTGCATTTAGATCATATAAATATTTGTCTATAATTTAATCCAAAAGTTATATTGTTTTACACTTCACATTTAGGACTATGATTCTTCTCTAAATATTTTTGAGTAAAGGGCTAATGTTTACATTTTTTTCAAACAGAAGTCAATATTTTTCTGCAATATTTATTTGAAATACCAATTTACCTCACTGAATTTCATTGACAACTTTGCAGTCAGTCAAACTGAACTGAACTTTCCGTAATGTTCTATTATTCTGTTGCTTACCCTGTGCCATAGGAAGAAATTTAAGGTCATAGCTTAGAACCTCCTGAGGGTGCATAAGAACCTTCTAACTACTGTAGTGGCATCATCAAAGACTACTCAATAATAACAACACACACACACACACACACACACACACACACACACAAACACGTACAATGAGAGAGAGATTGAGAGGAAAGAAAAACTTAAAGCAGCCATAGAAAAAAATACTTGTCAGTTTTTATCAACCATATGAAGAAAAATAGTAAAGATTTGTTTTCCATAATTCAGCCACAGAGAATTTTTAAAGCATGTGTCAGACAATGATAATCTTTTAGTTGAACACTACTGCCGTTTTTCATTGCATTTAGTTGCCCAACAGTTTACCACGACATTTTAACTCCTACATATTGTGGATTACGACAAAATCTGCAACCTCGCCTTAAGCCACCTTCCTCTGGTTCTTGTTTTAATCTGTTTTCTCCTGCTATAACAGAATACCTGAGACTAGGTAATTTATAAGAAATAGAAATGTATCTCTCACAGTTCAAGAGGCAGAGAAGTTCAAGATTAAGGGACAAGAATCTTGTGAGGACCTTCTTGCTATATTGTTCCTTGTCAGATGGTACAAGACAGAAGGGCAGAGAAAGGGCAAGACAGAGATAAAAGGAGACCAAACTTGTCCTTCAATAAAAATCTGCTATCTTGGATAATGAACCTAATCATAAAATAATGGCATTAATTCATCCACGAAAATAGAGCCCTCACGGCCAAAATGCCTCTTAAAGGTCTTATGTCCTACTACTCTCATAATGGCAAATAAATTTCAACATGAGTTTGAGAAGGGAAAAACATACAAACCATAGCAGCTCTCAATGGTAAACCACACTAGATTTTTCAAACAAGCTAGTGTTGTTCTATCTTAGTCTTTGAAATTCCTATTGCATTTGGGATACTAATTCCCTGATTTTTGCTTTGCTAAGTATTTTCTAACATTCTGGTATCATATTACATTTCCAACACTGATACATCATCAATCACCAAATTTAAAATGCCCCACCTCACTTGATCCACCCCAACCAATTTCTATTTTATCCTCCCATTTTATTTTATTAAAGCATTTGCCAATCTCTGAGTCTCATTTATGTATTTGCTTTACAATCAATTATGTATTTATTTATTAATGTCTGCTTGTTTTCTACTATCATGCATTTGTTTAAACTTTTTATATAAATTAATTTTATTTAAGTATATTAATATTGGTCACGAGTCATATTTATTGACAATTTATATCTTTCGTCAAGCTCTAAAAATATAATGCGGACTGTAACACAGTGAATGATATAGGATTGAACTATTTTAATAAAAAGATAGTTTATTTCATTCTAAAATACACAGAGAGATGAAAAATAAATCAAACATAGAGGTTTTCTGATAATTTTAGGCTTAGACTGACTATGCAGAAAACTCTTGGAGTCTTCCTACTAGACAACTTGACACTATGTGAAATAATAAAGGCAAGTATCAATCCAGAAGGTTTAACTCTTATAAAATGACAGTAAATCATATAATAGCTAAGGACTGTTGAATGTTTACGTGCATGTGTTGGGGGGGCAGGTGGGTGTTTTATTCCTTTCACATTCTAGGCTCCTTTGGAACAAGCTTTTTTTTTTTTAGCAATTGCTCAAAAAACATTCTTGAAGTTATAAGTCAATTGGAATTTTAATCTAAGTGAATAAACTAATTATTTAACATGCTTATTTCCACACACTGTAAGTTCACAAATTGCAAAAAAATAAAAACCTGTGTAATTATTTGTCAGTCCTTTATACTCACCCATTTTTGTTCTGTCATAAAATAATCATATACTGATTTTCCATAATCTTTAGGATTGTAAACTTTAGGGATTGTAACTAGACTCCTTTTAATTCTCACCATCAACATATTCAAATATTCTACTTCTTTCCTAAAGATTTGTGCTAAAATTCTTAAAGGCCCACGTGGCAAAGAAAAGGCAAAAAACTGTAGAGAAAATAACTTATTATTGGTAAAGATGAACAAGAAAATAATTGCCTTAGTTTTCTTATCTATAAAGATGAAATATTGACCTCTCTCTCTCCAGTCAATCACAACTCTAACTCTCCATAATTTTATGTATTAAAAATGAATAATATATACTAATGTTCTTCATAATTAGGATGAAATATTACTCTGCATTTACAGGAACAGTACTGGTGGCTTCAAATCTCCTCTTCTCCTTAGCATGGAGAAGTCTGGTGCTCCTCCAAAAATGGCTGCTACTTGCTGCCTGGAATACAAATGTCCAGTAGTGAACAAATGTAGATGGTCCCTATACTAAAATTTTGGCAATGGTAGAGTCAGTGACAAAAGGTGCATGTTTTCAGCAACAGTAGCGGCTTCTCTGGCAACAACAGAAATAAGTCAATTAGGTCCTTAGTGGTTTCTACTCACACAGGGAAACTGAGGAGACTCTGGCAAAAACAGAGGGTATTATAGCCAGCCAAGAAGAGAGAAAATCTTACAAGATTGTGCAGGAAGAAACAGAGAACGATAAGCCATTTGTTTTGGTGTGAAAGAGTTGAAACCAATAGCGAGGGGAATGAAGCATAAGTGACATCTAAGATGTGTGAAAGGAAGAATTTTATTCTGCCAACATCCAAAATGTGATGAACCGTAACAAACAAGAATATCAGCAAGGAACTGTTCTCCAGATGCAATAAGAAAGAAAAGTCAGCTAGGGCTACAATCATTTTAAGACAGAAGGTTTTTATTTTTTCTATCCATTTTCAATAACAATTAAGCTTTCTGAGCAACAGCAGTAAGCATTGGAAAACGTTTTTTAAAAAAATGAGAAAGTATCAGTTTATCTTATCAGGTAATAAGCATGCTATCAGGAAATTGAAAAGTTTTTGTCTGATCTTTCAAGCTAAGAACTTTGGATAATATAATTTTTGTGTTTTCCTAGCAATGAGTTTTCTTGACTCTCAAAATACAGAGTATACTAGTAAGAGTATGAAATGCCTGCATAACACAATTCATTTTGAATTGTGGAAAGAATGTAACTAACTCATTTTGATTCTTTTTTAAATATGTTAAACAAAGTCTCCAGTGATCTTAATAAAAAAGAATAAGGTAGCTCCAGGTCACTCAGACAGAAATCTCTAAGTTGAGCTTGTTCCATTAAAACCTAAAAATCTGCTTTCCTTTAGCAGTTTGGTCAATGTCTCCTTTTAGAGCATGGTGTCCCTTTTGGATATTTTTTGAAGTTTAGAAAATAAATATAAGGAAAGGAAGAGTTTATCCTTTTCTAAAAATTAAGTATCATAAATAGCTCACACAGGGAATTCCTACAATGCTTAAATATTTATTAATAAATTTGTTTAAAAATTGTGATTGAAGAAGCTGTCCCTTAAGATAAGTAGTTCTAGAAAAAGTGAAAAATAGAATAATTAAAAATACTACATATATATATATAGAAACCTTGCAGCTAGGAAAATCTTTGACTCTTTTTTTTAACCTACAGTTAGGCAAACCAAATATTCTTAACCTAGATATTCTGAAAAGTCAAGGATCTCTATGATGAAAGTCATCTTTCTCTAAACATGCCCTTCAGCTAGTCCGAGTGCAGTGGTGATTACAACTGATTGATCACAACCAGTTACAGATATCTTTGTTCCTTCTTCACTCTCACCACTTCATTTGACTAGTCTTAAAAAATAACTAAATTAGTGAATAAATTTTTTATTCTCTCCAAACATATATCCAATGGGAAATTTTCCCCTTGCTATCAGTGAGAGGCACTGTAATGTAGAAAAAAAAAACATTAATTTGGACTTATATTCCAGATCTGTTATTATACAAAATAAGTTATAGTTGATCCTGCATTACTTCATCAGTACAAACAAAAACTAATCCTGTACTTAGGTGATAATAAATTTTTGTAAGGATATGGTATGATGGAAGTCAAAAGTCAGTTATCAAAAATATTTTTCTGATTCTTTTTTGTATCCCCTAATAAAGTAAAAGCAATAATATTTTTACAAGTCAGAAAATGTATATTAAAATAAAGAACGAGTTACAAAAACTGAATTAAGAGGCCATATGAGAGAGCTAAATTAAGTTAGAGATTATCTAGCCTTAAACACGAGTTACAGATGTGATAATTGGGCCTAGAAGAAGGAATCATTTTATTAGGCTCATGTTATATAATAATAACAGAAATGGAATTACATCATGGTCTTCCAATGATTCCATCAATTAAAGCTTATTCCACTTGCCTTCTGAATATCCCATCATTAATATCAGTAACTACTGATTGAACGCATAAAATGTGAAGTCACAGAGCTAAGAACTAGAGATTTGATAATGACTGCAGTGATTTCAGTCCTGCTGTAAATGAGTTTATACTATCTGGAGTAGGAAATGAAGGAGTAAAAAGGCAATCATTATATAATAAAGTAAGCTTTAAAAATATAAAGAAATTAAAACCATGTTACATTGTACTCATTTTGGCAGCATATACTAGAATTGGAAAAATACAAAGAAGATTAGTATGGACCATGAACAAAGATGACATGTAACTTTGCGAACCATTCCATATTTTTGATAATAAAAACACTCAACAAACTATGAATAAAAGGGAACATCTTCAACCAGGTGAAGGGCATCTACAAAAACCCACACTAACACTGAATTTAATGGTGATGCTTTCCCGTGAAAATCAGGAATCAGACAAAGACGTTTTCTCTTACAATTTTGATCAACATTTTCCTGAAGAGTCTAGCTTGGGAAATTATGCAAGAAAAATAAATAAAAGGCATGCAAATTGGAAAGAAAGATATTAAACTATTCTTATTTGTAGACATCATGATGATGTATATAAGAAAATTTTAAGCAGCCAATAAAAATACTATAAGGGAGTTCAGCAGGTATCAAGATACAAGATCAATATACAAAAATGAACTGTATTTCTAAATACATGTAATGAAAAGTCCAAAAATGAAATGAGGAATGCAATTTCATTTACAATAGTATCAAAAAAATAAAATATATAAAAAAAATTTAACAAAAGACGTGCAAAACCTATACTGTGAACAAAGTATAAAACATTGCCAAAAGAAATTAAGAATCTAAATTATTTTTTAAAATTTTATTTTCATACATTGAAAGATTTAGCATTATTAAGATGGCAATACTCTTAATTGATATATAGGTTCAATGAAACCTTTATCAGAATCCCTGCTTAGTTACTTGTAGAAATTGACGAGTTGATTCAGAAATTTTATGGAATTGCTAGGGACCCAGAATAGACAAAACAATCTTGGAAATTAAAACAAAAACACACCAGAAGGATTCATCTTCCTAATTCCAAAACTTACTATGAAACAATGGTAACCTAGAAACTGTAGTACCAGCACATGGATAGACATGTAAATCAATAGAATAGAAATGAAAGTCCAGAATAAACCTACATATCTATGATTAACTGATTTTGAACAAAGGTGTCAAGACTTGCCAATGGAGAAAAATATTCAGAATTTTAATTCTGAATTATAGTTATTATTCAATATTAATATCTAATTATTAATCTAATAATTACATCCAATAATTATCTAATAATAATATATTATAAACTGAATTATAATTATTATTAAACTTTAAGATGATCTGGAAATTGCACACATCACTTTTACTTATAAGCCACTGGGACAAACTTCTATGTCCAAAGCTACCTATAAGGCAGATTGAGAAATCTCAATAAACAAACACACAAGTAATACACAAAGGTACTGCTACCAAGTGGAAGAAAGTGTGTGTGTGTGTGTGTGTCTGTGGGTGTTTGTGTGTGTGTCTGTGTCTGTGTGTTGTGAGAGAGAGAGAGAAAGCTAAAAGGCAATGGTTTGTCTCTCCACAACTTCTCTATTAAAAATTTTCACATGATCTTTCATTATAATTGTGATAAAAGTAAAGCTTCTGACCATGGTCTAAAAACATTATATCTTCTGACCCCTCATCTGCTGCCACTGTCCTCTTTGCTAATTAAACCAAGCAAACTTTCCTTCTATTCCTTTCTATTTCTATACCAAGCTTGTTTAAACTTAGGATATTTATATGTTGCCACTTGCTATTCTTTGCATTAGAAAAATGCCTTCTTTCATATTCTGTCATGGTTAGGTCTTTCTCCTTATTCAATTTTGAGTTCTTTAGGGATGTTTTCCCTTGAACACCCAAACTAAATTATACTAAGTGTATCGTTCTCATGTTCTATCCTCCACCCACATAAAATTAACAGCCACTAACTGTAATTAGTGCTTTCAGAAGAATTACAGTGATTCCCCTATGTAATAATCATTATTGCCTTCAACATGCTCTCATTTGTTTGTTTGTTTACTTAATATCTGTTTTTGCCCACAAAAGTAATCTCAGTGAGAATAATCTTTGCATTTTTCAATCATCTTGATGTCAAACAAGCAATAAGTAATTATGTGTAGAATGTGTGATAAAACTAGTAATTAATGTGAGGGTAGAGGTAGTACATGAAACCAAAGATACATAGAAAAGGAATACTTTATCTTGGGTTGGGAGAGGAAGGACAAGTTTCCTGGAAAAACATCCTTAATTATGATTTTAAATGGAGCCAACTGAAGCAAAGGTAAAAGAAACAATTCCAAAGGCTTAAAGGTTAAAAGAAAGAGGAAATATAATTTATTGAAGAATCTTCTTAAAGAAGTGTCCTAGGGCTGGGTTATTACTATTTTTGCCAACTTTACAGAGTTATGATTGGCAAATACAATTAATTGTATACATTCAATGTATATAATATATATACCTAGTATATACATATACATTATAGAATTATTACCACCAAGTTAATTCTCATACATATTATCTTGCATATTTATACCCACATTTTTGCGAATAAGAATCCTTAAGATCTACAAACTTAGCAAATTTCAAAAATATAATACATTATTTTTAACTATAGTAATTATGCTTCAATTTGAATTCTAGAATTTATCTGATAACTGAAAGGTGTGCCCTTTGACCAAAATTTTCTCATTTCTCTAATCCCCCAGGCCCCAGCCCCAGGTAAGCACTATTCTACTCTGATTTTATGAATTCAACTTATTTTTTATTTTAAAATAAGTGATATGATAATGATGCAGTATTTTGTTTTACTGTATCAGGTTTATTTCATTTACCATAATGTTCTTCATGTTTATCCATATTGTTGCAAATTATAAGATTTTATTCTTTTTTAAGGCTGAATAATATTTTAGAATGTGTGTGCATTTGTGTGTGTATCACGTTTTCTTTACGCATCAATCCAGTTACAGGCATTTGGGTTTTTATATCTTGGCTATTGTGAAAAATGCTACAATGAATATGATACTCATTTCATTTTCTTTAAATATATACTAAGAAGTGCAATTGCTAGAGCATGTAGTAGTTATTCTTTTAATTTTTGAGCAACCTCCACACTGCTTTCCATTATGGCTATACCAATTTACATTCCTACCAGCAATGTACAAGGGTTCCCTTTTCTCTACGTCCTCTTCAACAGTTGTTTTTTTTTTTTCTTGACTTTTTGATAATAGCCATTCTAACAGATGTGAGATGACATCTCACTGTGGTTTTGATTTGTATTGCCCTGATGACTAGGGATGTTGAGCACCTTTTCATATATCCGCTGGTCATTCTTATATCTTCTTTGGCAAAATGTTTATTCAGAAGCCATGTTATATACAACAGAAAAGGGAATAATAAAATTCAAGACTGGAGAGGTAAGTCAGAATCAGATCATAACAAAATTATCCATAGGGTGGTTGTCACTTCGTAAAATAGTTCTATGCTCACTATATGTCATATTCCTTAATTTTACTCAGATCATTAAAAGGCTTAAAATAGTTTTTTAAAAATATAGAAATAGCTCTAACAATTGCAAAGGTTAACCTATCTTAAATTTAAATTTTCAGATTCCATTTTCATAGTGTCTTGCTACCTTATTATCTTGCTTCATAATGAATAGTTTCCTGCAGCAGTTCACAGCATAAAATTCTAGAACATTCCATTGAAAATATTATAAGGGAAAATGTTTTAGCACTTTGTACACGAGTACAGCAATATAGGGTCTATGTATAAAATGTCACATGCAATAAGGAAAAGAAAAAAAAGTCTCTGAAAATACCATGCATAGAGGAAATAGAGTCCCTGCAATCTCCTAAAAAATTTCTGTGGAAGACATTAAACTTCCTTTTATTCAATGCTACCTTAATCTTTTAATACCTGTGTTTCTTTAACAAGGCATAAAGGTGTCCCACAGCCTGGTCTGAATGGTGTCTTTCTAAAGCTTCCTATGGAGAACTACTTCTAACAGCCCAGTGGTGATGGAGAGTTTCTTTCCGTTATTCAGAGTAAGAGGATTGAAGCTCTGCAGGAGGAGCTCACCCTTTATCCTACCAATAGTAAAGCACCATACATTGGCTTTACACTGATCTTCTGAATGAGATGAAAGAGTTTCATTTCTATTATGCATTTACATTTTAGCTAGTTTTATTTTTTTTTAAATGCTATGGGATACCACATTAGAGAGCATATTTTCGGACATACCAGGATAAAACTGAAGCTCTAAAATCAAAATGTACACTAACCTCACTGTTAAAACTTAAATCATTTACCTTCTATACTTTATTATTTATAATAAGAAAAAGGTTTAAACTTTTTGACTTCAAATACAAGTTTTCTTCCTTTTATTTTTTTCTTTTCAGAAATAGCCCTCCTCAGAGAGTTTCTCAGTCATTTCAGGGATGTTCGCGTCGTGCCTTCCACAGAAAGTTACCAATGGGCTCCTCTGCTGCTGTTGCTTAATCTCCTTGCCACCTGGCCATCTTGAGCCCCATGAGATTACTGCATCATTCAGAGGCTTTTCTAAGGACATTGCTCACAACAGCATCTGTGGTAGGTAAGAAAGAAGGATCTTCTCCTGTCTTCCAACCTTATATGAGAAAGACCTATCTCTTTAATCCACCACAGTTCAGCAGAGAAGCCACAGTAACTAATAATGAGACTTTACTGGATGTTTGGTAATAATGAAAGGCTACTATTTTCTGGAAAATAACTTACAATATTGTAATTCATGGACAGCAACCTTCTGAGAAGTATCTCTCAAGCTTGATACTTCCCTCAATCCCAGGGTCATGAACGCCTCAGTCAACACCATAGGCATGGCTCAATCCCCCTCTACTTTCCAGTGTAGTCCGAATTGTCTTCAAATTCAAAATCAACCACAATATTTGTTCTTACCATTGAGCATAAGCCTTTTTTTCCCATTATTGGTGGCTCGACAGAATAATTAGGATACAAAGGTCTTTTGCCCTCCAGAAAATCTGCTCTTCCATCCTAGAAATATTATCTGGACTTACAGCTCTAGCTGAATACAGTCCCACTTTAATTCTTTTCTCAAAATCTGAGTAATCCGGATTTAAATAACACTTTTTGTAGGACAGCAGTAGCCCAGTTAAGCTGCCGCTGCATCAAGCTCAGTGCAGTTTTATTTTGTTTGGTTTTATTTTGTTTTACAATCTCTGTTCATTAAGAACACTAAAAATATTGGGGTCCAAAATTACTTCATTATATTTTAATATAACAGATTTTGACAGATTATTATATTTTGTACTTAATTGAAAATTCCATAAATAAAATCCATACTAAATCAGAAATATTGAATATGAGATGATTTGAGTAATTCTCAGACTTTAATAATTCATATACTTTTACTAAGTTTTTTATATACTTTAAGTTCTGGGATACATGTGCAGAAGATGCAGGATTGTTACACAGGTATACACGTGCCATGGTGGTTTGCTGCACCCATCAACCCGTGACCTACATTAGGTATTTCTCCTAATGCTATCACTCCTCTAGCCCCCAACTTCCTGACAGGCCCTGGTGTGTGATATTCCCTTCCTTGTGTCCATGTGTTCTCATTGTTCAACTCCCACTTATGAGTGAGAACATGAGGTGTTTGGTTTTCTGTTCCTGTGTTAGTTTGCTGAGAATGATGCTTTCCAGCTTCAACCATGTTCCTGCAAAGGACATGAACTCATCCTTTTTTATGGCTGCATAGTATTCCATGGTGTATATGTGCCACATTTTCTTTATCCAGTCTAGCATTGATGGACATTTGGTTCCTTCAAAGTTTTTGGTATTGTGAACAGTGCTGCAATAAACATATGTGTGCATGTGTCTTTATAGTAGAATGATTTATAATCCTTTGGGTAATGGGATTGCTGGGTCAAATGGTATTTCTGGTTCTAGATCCTTGAGAAATAGCCACACTGTCTTCCACAATGGTTGAACTAATTTACACTCCCACCAACAGTGTAAAAGCACTCCTAATTCTCCACATCCTCTCCAGCGTCTGTTGTTTCCTGACATTTTCGTGATCGTCTTTCTAACTGGCGTGAGATGGTATCTCATTGTGGATATGATTTGCATTTCTCTAATGACCAGTGATGATGAGCTTTATTTCATACGTTTGTTGGTCGTATAAATGTCTTCTTTTGAGAAGTGTCTAAGATTTTGAAAACAACTTTTAATTAAAGATTTACCTTTCGTCAAGCTAATTTCACATGTCATATTGCACAAGCCTATGATAGATGTTTAAGTAAATATTATGGCAAACATTCTGCTTTTATTCTAAATACTTTGAAAATATGAGAATTCTTTCAGTTCAGATGACCATCTAAATAGATAAGAACATGTAGAATGTTGTATCAATGACCTGAGATCTTCTCATTGTTCTCAGTCTTGTTAAAAATGAGATAAAGTGATCATTTAAAATGCATTTTAAATATCTACAAACCTTTTCATATTAAAATGTTAGATCCACATAATACACAGAAAAGTAAATATATTTATTTATTTATTTATTTATTTTTATTATACTTTAAGTTTTAGGGTACATGTGCACATTGTGCAGGTTAGTTACATATGTATACATGTGCCATGCTGGTGCGCTGCACCCACTAACTCGTCATCTACCATTAGGTATATCTCCCAATGCTATCCCTCCTCCCTCCCCCCACCCCACCACAGTCCCCAGAGTGTGATATTCCCCTTCCTGTGTCCATGTGATCTCATTGTTCAATTCCCACCTATGAGTGAGAATATGCGGTGTTTGGTTTTTTGTTCTTGCAATAGTTTACTGAGAATGATGATTTCCAATTTCATCCATGTCCCTACAAAGGACATGAACTCATCATTTTTTATGGCTGCATAGTTATTTCCTTTAAAACTTGCAAACTTATGTGAATTTAAAACAAGTCAAACTCATAGAAGCAGGGCGTTGAACGGTGGTTGCCAAGAGTTGGGGAATGGAGGAAATAGAGAGATTTTGGTCAAAGGGTACAACTTTCAGTTATAAGATGAATAAGTTCTGGAGATCCAATTTATAACATAATGACTATCATTAATAATACTATATTGCATTCTTGAAATTTGGTGAGACAGTAGATTTTAAATGTTCGCACCACACACACCAATAAAAGGGTAACTGTGTGTTGTGATGGATATGTGAATTAGCTTGGTGGTGGCAATCATTTCACAATGTGAAATGATAACTATTCATAGTAAGGTTAGTAACTCTTACCATATTCATTCTACATACAATCATACAATTATTGCTTGGTCTTCCTTAAAGATTGGGAGCAACTACCTTTTGCTGGAAAAGAAGAAGGTCAGTCAATGATCCTTTAGGCTTCTTAGCACAAAATGTATGAAGGCCAACATGCTGTCAGGCTCCATCATTACAGTAGAAATTTAAATACATTTAGTACATGCAGTAATTATCAGTTAAGATTCTTCGTTTTTGATGAATAGAAGTATTGTAAAAGCATTAAATTAATAAAATGCTATAAAATTATAAATCTGTCCTGACTGTTTGAATATAATGTTACAGTGCTATGAATAATTTTTTTTAAAAAACCATAAGTCCAAAGGAACTTTCATCCTAGGAGAAAAGGTAAATATTTATTACATATTATAATAGTAGTGGGATAGGATATATTACCTGGGTGATAATCCAAGGGGATATGAAATAATTATTTCTCCCGAGTGATAAAAAATTCATCAGTAATGAACTTTGTCTCTGCCTTGGTCTTTTCTCCCTTCTACTAATAGCACTCTGATTCTCTTCTGAAGAATCAACTTTAATCCACTTTCAGTCTGCATAATCTTAGTAAGAGTCATTCTCCTCAACCTTATCCCACTTTTGTGCTCTGGGAATTAACCCATGACCAGGATCAAACCAATCAATAGTATATATCATTTTGGCAAGTTCATTGTCTTAAGATTGACACATGACCCAAGTCTTAACAATGAGATCCAATTCTGCCTCCTGGAAAAATAAGCAACCTGTCACTACTGAGGCCATTAGCCGGCAACTCCAAAGATCTATCACATTGACAGAGCTCTTCTGAGAGTAAAAACAATTCATATTTATATACATATATATAATTTCTTTATATATATGAAGAATATATAATTTATTTATATATATATAAAGAAATTGGGGCAAAGAGAGGTAAGCCTTTGTAAATATGGTTTGAGTTTCTGGAGACAGATATTCCTAAAAAGGAAATCTTTGCTGTTATTTTTCAGTTGAAGGAAATAATAAATTGTTCCTTTTCAGTGTTTGAGCTCTCCATTTTAAAAAATGTTTTCCTAAAACCAATTTTTTTTTCATAATCAAGATTCTAGGCAGGGCTAATACTTTATCAGAAAGGAGTTTAGACGAGCTTTCAACATGCAGAGAAATTTGAACATTTCTAGCCAGAGGGAAAATGTAAACAAAGAAAATGATCCAGGGAAGTACACTTAAGGTGTGGTTTCCCTTGACTATAACACAGGGAAACAGAGGTGCCTTAATGGAATATATGCTACACAAAGAGGTATGGGGCAAGACCGTGCACATTTTTCAATGTCAGAATCAGAAGTTACAATTCTATTCTACAAGCGAAAATGTGTCATAGACCATTTTAGATAGAGTAGGAGAATGACATTATCAGGTCTGAAACTCTGGAAGATTATGCTGACAACATTTTACAGGATAGTTTTATAAGAGAAAATACTAGAGAAAGAGTTTCAGGGTCATGTGGCTGACACAGGAATAAACCACTTTTGTGAAGCAGCTGTACCTAGAGGAGATAAAATACAAGTGGATGAAGAAGTCTTATGCTTAGTTCATGACTTTCTCTATGACACGATCATGCCATTCACTTTTATTTAATGTGACTGCAAAACATATTACGATAACCACAGGGATGTCAGTGGAAACTGATATGTAAAAGAACAAAATGGGAGTTACAGTTTCTGTGCTCAATTACTAAGAAATATAAACAAAAGCTATCAGAGATATCTCACATTAAGTGGAGATAATAACGTAATGATCAGTTTGGCCACAGTAAAAATATATTGTTGTATGTATGTTTAACTTAAATTTTATATAGGATAATACCACTGTGAACTGTTAAAAAAATTTTTTTTGAAATGTCATTTAAAAAGATGCTACTCTGTCATAAATGAGCCTTTGCCTGAGGCATATTTGATATAATTTAAAAAAAAAATACTGTAAAGAGTCCATTGCAATTAATTTTGTTTTATTGAAATTACAACTCTCTTAATGTGATGATAAACACATTTAGAAAGTTACAATGGTAGAGAAGTCTAGGTCAAAATTTGAGTTTAAACTAAGGTAATGATGAAATTTTAAAAGTGTGGGCAGATATGAAGACCATAAAAAAGACAGAATAGGATATTATCCAAAAGAACTTCCCCAACCAAGCAAGGCAAGCTGACATTCAAATTCAGGAAATACAGAGAATGCCACAAAGATACTCCTCGAGAAGAGCAACTCCAAGACACATAATTGTCAGATTCACCAAAGTTGAAATGAAGGAAAAAATGTTAAGGGCAGCCAGAGAGAAAGGTCAAGTTACCCACAAAGGAAAGCCCATCAGACTAACAGCGGATCTCTCGGCAGAAACTCTACAAGCCAGAAGAGAATGGGGGCCAATATTCAACATTCTTGAAGAAAAGAATTTTCAACCCAGAATTTCATATCCAGCCAAACTAAGCTTCAAAAGTGAAGGAGAAATAAAATCCTTTACAGACAAGCAAATGCTGAGAGATTTTTGTCACCACCAGGCCTGCCTTACAAGAGCTCCTGAAGGAAGCACTAAACATGGAAAGAAAAAACCGGTACCAGCCACTGCAAAAACATGCCAAGTTGTAATCAATGCTAGGAAGAAACTGCATCAACTAATGAGCAAAATAAGCAGCTAACATCATAATGACAGGATCAAATTCACACATAACAATATTAACCTTAAATGTAAATGGGTTAAATGCTCCTATTAAAAGACACAGACTGGCAAATCTGATAAAAAGTCAAGACCCATCAGTGTGCTGTATTCAGGAGACCCATCTCATGTGCAGAAACACACATAGTATCAAAATAAAGGGATGGAGGAAGATCTACTAAGCAAATGGAGAACAAACAAACAGAAAAGCAGGGGTTGCAATCCTAATCTCTGATAAAACAGACTTTAAACCAACAAAGATCAAAAGAGACAAAGAAGGCCATTACATAATGGTAAAGGGATCAATTCAATAAGAAGACCTAATTATCCTGAATATATATGCACCCAATACAGGAGCACTCAGATTCATAAAGGAAGTCCTTAGAGACCTATGAAGAAACTTAGACTCCCACACAATAATAATGGGAGATGTAACATCCCACTGTCAACATTAGACAGATCAATGAGACAGAAAGTTAACAAGGATATCCAGGAAATGAACTCAGCTCTGCACCAAATAGACCTAATAGACATCTACAGAACTCTCCACCCCAAATCAAAACAATATGCATTCTTCTCAGCACCACATCACACTTATTCCAAAATTGACCACATAGTTGGAAGTAAAGCACTCCTCAGAAAATGTAAAAGAACAGAAATTATAACAAACTGTCTCTCAGACCACAGTGCAATCAAACTAGAACTCAGGATTAAGAAACTCATTCAAAAGCGCTCAACTACATGGAAACTGAAAAATCTGCTCCTGAATGACTACTGGGAAAATAACGAAATGATGGCAGAAATAAAGATGCTTTTTGAAACCAGCGAGAACAAAGACACAACATACCAGAATCTCGGGGACACATTTAAAGCAGTTTGTAGAGGGAAATTTATAGCACTAAATGCCCACAAGAGAAAGCAGGAAAGATCTAAAATTGACACCCTAACATCACAATTAAAAGAACTAGAGAAGCAAGAGCAAACACATTCTAAAGCTAGCAGAAGGCAAAAGATAACTAAGATCAGAGCAGAACTGAAGGAGATAGAGGCACAAAAAAACCTTCAAAAAATCAATGAATCTAGGAAATGGTTTTTTGAAAAGATAAACAAAATTGAAAGACTGCTATCAAGACTAATAAAGAAGAAAAGAGAGAAGAATCAAATAGATGCAATAAAAATGATAAAGGGAATATCACCATTGATCCCACAGAAATACAAACTACCATCAGAGAATACTATAAAAACCTCTACGCAAATAAACTGGAAAATCTAGAATAAATGGATAAATTCCTGGACACATACACTCTCGCAAGACTAAACCAGGAAGAAGTTGAGTCTCTGAATAGACCAATAACAGGCTCTGAAATTGAGGCAATAATTAATAGCCTACCAACCAAAAAAAGTCCAGGATCAGACAGATTCACAGCCAAATTCTACCAGAGGTACAAAGAGGAGCTGGTACTATCCCTACTCAAACTATTTCAATCAATAGAAAAAGAGGGAATCCTCTCTAACTCATTTTATGAGGCCTGCATCATCCTGATACCAAAGCCTGGCAGAGACACAACAAAAAAAGAGAATTGTAGACCAATATCCCTGATGAACATCGATGCAGAAAGCCTCAGTAAAATACTGGCAAACCGAATCCAGCAGCACATCACAAAACTTATCCACCACGATCAAGTTGTCTTCATCTGTGGGCTGAAAGGCTAGTTCAACATACACAAATCAATAAACATAATCCATCATGTAAACAGAACCAAAGACAAAACCACGTGATTATCTCAATAGATGCGCAAAAGGCCTTCGACAAAATTCAACAGCCCTTCATGCTAAAAACTCTCAATAAACTTGGTATTGATGGGATGTATCTCAAAACAATAAGAGTTATTTATGACAAACCCACAGCCAATATCATACTGAATAGGCAAAAACTGGAAGCATTTCTTTTGAAAACTGGTACAACACAGGATGACCTCTCTCACCACTCCTATTCAACATAGTGTTGGAAGTTCTGGCCAGGGTAATCAGGCAGGAGAAAGAAATAAAGGGTATTTGATTAGGAAAAGAGGAAGTCAAAGTGTCCCTGTTTGCAGATGACATGATTGTATATTTAGAAAACCCCATCGTCTCAGCCCAAAATCTCCTTAAACTGATAAGCAAATCCAGCAAAGTCTCAGGATACAAAATCAATGTGCAAAAATCACATGCATTCCTGTACACCAATAACAGACAAACAGAGAGCCAAATCATGAGTGAACTCCCATTCACAATTGCTTCAAAGAGAATAAAATATCTGGGAATCCAACCTGCAAGGGATGTGAAGGACCTCTTCAAGGAGAACTACAACCCACTGCTCAAGGAAATAAAAGAGGACACAAACAAATGGAAGAACATTCCATGCTCATGGATAGGAAGAATCAATATCGTGAAAAATGGCCATACTGCCCAAGGTAATTTATAGATTCAATGCCATCCCCATCAAGCTACCAATGACTTTCTTCACAGAATTGGAAAAAAACTACTTTAAAGTTCATATAGAAACAAAAAAGAGCCCACATTGCCAAGACCATCCTAAGCCAAAAGAACAAAGCTGGAGGCATCAGCTAAAGTTGGCTTCAAACTATACTACAAGGCTACAGTAACCAAACAGCATGGTACTGGTACCAAAACAGAGATATAGACCAATGGAACAGAACAGAGCCCTCAGAAATAATACCACACATCTACAACCATCTGATCTTTGACAAACCTGACAAAAAACAAGAAATGGGGAGACGATTCCCTATTTAATAAATGGTGCTGGGAAAATTGGCTAGCCATATGTAGAAAGCTGAAACGGGATCTCTTCCTTACACCTTATACAAAAATTAATTCAAGATGGATTAAAGACTTAAATGTTAGACCTAAAACCATAAAAACCCTAGAAGAAAGCCTAGGCAATACCATTCAGGACATAGGCATGGACAAGGATTTCCTGACTAAAACACCAAAAGCATTGGCAACAAAAGCCAAAATAGACAAACGGGATCTAATTAAACTAAAGAGCTTCTGCACAGCAAAAGAAACTACCATCAGAGTGAACAGGCAACCTACAGAATGGCAGAAAATTTTTACAATCTACCCATCTGACAAAGGGCTAATATCCAGAATCTACAAAGAACTCAAACAAATTTACAAGAAAAATCAAACAACCCCATCAAAAAGTGGGCGAAGTATATGAACAGACACTTCTCAAAAGAAGACATTTTTGCAGCCAACAGACACATGAAAAAATGCTCACCATCACTGGCCATCAGAGAAATGCAAATCAAAACCACAATGAGATACCATCTCACACCAGTTAGAATGGCAATCATTAAGAAATCAGGAAACAACAGGTGTTGGAGAGGATGTGGAGAAATAGGAACACTTTTACACTGTTGGTGGGACTGTAAACTAGTTCAACCATTGTGGAAAACAGTGTGGTGATTCCTCAAGGATCTAGAACTAGAACTAGCATTTGACCCAGCCATCCCGTTACTGGAGATATACCCAAAGGATTATAAATCGTGCTGCTATAAAGACACATGCACACGTATGTTTATTGTGGCACTATTCACAATAGCAGAGACTTGGAACCAACCCAAATGTCCATCAGTGATAGACTGGATTAAGAAAATGTGGCACATATACACCATGGAATACTATGCAGCCATAAAAAAGGATGAGTTCACATGAAGTCCTTTTATAGGGACATGGATGAAGCTGGAAACCATCATTCTCAGCAAACTATTGCAAGGACAGAAAACCAAACACTGCATGTTCTCACTCCATAGGTGGGAATTGAACAATGAGAACACTTGGACACAGGGTGGAGAACATCACACACTGGGGCCTGTCATGGAGTGGGGGGAGGGGGGAGGGATAGCATTAGGAGATATACCTAATGTAAATGACGAGTTAATGGGTGCAGCACACCAACATGGCACATGTATACATATGTAGCAAACCTGCACATTGTGCACATGTACCCTAGAACTTAAAGTATTGTTAAAAAAAGAATAGTTAAAATTTTAAATGATTCACTAAAATTTGGGAAATTAATATGAGAACGCATTTCTAATAGATGAAGAAAATATTTATTCAACTGGCCTGATAACACTATGTGTGGATGATATCTGGAATGACAAAGGCTCAGCTCCTTAAAGGAGGGAAGTCCAGACTTACTAATATTGCCGGTGATCCAGAAATGGAAGGAGAAGGAAATTAGGAAGGTTTAGTTAAAACTGGAGAAAGAGGGAGAAGAAACATCTAAAACTTTCAGTAACATGAATAGAATCTACCAGATGTTTATTGTGAATGTATAGCAACCATTGGAATAAATATATAAATAGATAGATACAGTTGGTCTAAATTGTTGTAAAGGAAATACACTTCAACACTAAAACATTTATCAAATAATTCAAATGCAGATAGTATAGGTGTATTAGCATTCTCCAGACACAGAATCAATAGAATTTCTTTACTTCTTTTTTCTTTTCTTTTTTGTTCTTTACCTGAGAGAGATTTATTACAAATAATTGGCTCACAAGATTGTGGAGGTGACAAGTCTCAAGGTGTGCAGGGTGAGGCAGCAACTTGGAGACCCAGGAGAGCCAATGGCGTAGTTCCAGTCTGAAGTCTGGCAGGCTGGAGAGGCAGGAAGAGCCGATGTTTCAATATCAGTCTGAAGGCAGGAAAAAGCTGATATGCCAATTAGAAGGTAGTCAGGCAGGAGGAATGCTCTCCTACTGGGGCATGCATCAGCTTTTCTTGTTCTCTTCACACTTTCACCTGATTGAATGAGGCCCATTCACATTAGGAAGGGCAATTCACTTTACTCATTCTACTGAATTTAATTATTAATCTCAGGAAAAAATCCTTGCAGAAACAAAAAATATTGTTTGACAACATAGCTGGGAACCCTATGTCCCAATGAAGTTAGTGCCTAAAATTAACCATCAAGGTGAAAAAGGAAAAATACAACTGATGCAACAAATAGAAAACATATAGCAATATGGCAGAGTTAATCTCAATCATATAAATTATATTAAATACAGATAGAGAAGAGCTTCAATTAAGAGAAATAAGTGAATTAAAAAATAAAATTAAACAATGTGTCATTAAGAGGAGATATGCATTGAAAATGAAGTAAAGATAAAAGCAAAAATATTGAAAAAGACTACCCTGAAAGCATTAATCATTAGAAATCTGGACATCATACCACACAAACTAGCCTTCAGGGTGTACAGTATTATCAGACATAACAAAAGGCATTTCATAGTAATAATCATAATAAAATCATACCATCAGCAACAAAAACATGTTTTGTAGATATAAATATGTATGAACCTAGAAAATGAGTAAGATATAGAAAACTTCAAGAAGATGAAAAACTAACTCAAATTAATTTATATTTATAAACCACTGCAAACAATAATTACACAACAAATTATTTTCTAGTATAACAGAGTGGTCAGCAAGATAAATTGTGTGCTGGGCCATAAAGTCTCAATTAATTTAGAAAAAATAAAATCACACAGAATATGTCCTCTCATGTTAAGGGAAGTGATTATTGGGTATTTAAGTTTTCCGGTGTAAAGATTTCCCAGTCCACTTGAAGTTCTATACACTGTTTCACATATAATGTAGTACTTAAAATTATTTCCCCTGTTCCCTGTGTCATTTCTATAATTCTTTTAAGTTATCCATATGCAATAATCACTCACTACATTGGGATTATTATGACATTAGACAGTTATCTTTTAGACTCAGAGAGTTCAGTCACACTCCTATGGTAACACGGTGTAAAATTCTGCAATTGAAACTCATACCCTATGCACAGAATCAAGTGCATTGGTGTTCAACATTTTTTTCAAACTCTGTTCAATGTCAAGGGCCCTCTTGCCTTGCAGAGGCTGAAAATATAAATGTAAAATTCTGCAGACACCTTTGCAGCAACAGTTATGGATAATTAAGTGTTCACCCTCAGGGACATTCAAGTGCGATTTAGAATACAGAGTGAAGCAGATGTCACTCTTCTGCTAATTATTCAATTACTGCTGGCAAGTCCAGTGTGAGGACATCTGAGTTTTCATTGTCAACTTCTTCATAATAACAGCTTCGTGGTTGTGAATTTCTCTGATTATAGCTTTATCTGCCCATGGATCTGGAGCTAGGACTTATGGTTACAATTGTCATTTCCATAGGTAGTTTTCTGATTATAGAAAAGTCAGTAATGCTTCAGTGGCTCAATTCCCTAGCATCATTTTAAAAGTCAGTCCTGACAACTAAATCTATAGTGCATTTGTTCAGAAGCCTTGGTGATTCTTTTGGCCATTTATATTCCTTTCTTCTGGAATTAGTGCACTATTTAAGGTACAGACTAAGCTGCTTTAAGAATAAAATAAAAAAAAAACAATGGTTCAGTCAAAGTAAACCAGCATTTCATCTTTCAACTAATAATCTAAATGTTTGAAAAATAGACCAAGTTGCACCCCCACAAAAAAAAAAAATTCTAAGTGGTCATGCGGAGACCCAGTTCCCATTTTTCCTGTTGATCTGTACTCCCCTAACTTACTGACCTCATCTGCAAGGCTAAAACAGTTCACAAGGACCTCATCCACATTCAAACCAGTGACACTGAGAAAGAGGAGGTAGAGGTCAAGCAATCTTCTTGTAAGGATGGCATGCAAAAGTTGCAATTCACAATTCTTTTAGAATTCATTGGTAGTTACTTAGTCATAAAGCTTCAACTGTTGAAAGATAAGTTAGGAAATATAGTGCCAAATGGGTACTGTGTGCTATGTCAGAAACTTTGGGGGATTATACGGCCAAAACAAAGAATGAGAGAATGGGTATTGAGGGAAAATTAGAGTATTTGTCACAATAAGTTAAATAAATTCCATTCTCAACAGTGAAACATGAGAAATACATGCTGGGTTGCAATAATTTGTATAATAGTGTGCTCCCCATAATAATGTAATTCATTCATTCCTTGAATTAACATGTATTGACATCTACCACATCAAGTTATGTAAAAACAGTGGTTCCTGCCCAGAGGAAGCTTATTAAACAGTGTTAAACACAGATACGTAGACTGTAAAAATAATAATGTAGCTAATTCTTTGAGTCCATATATGTGTCATGCTATTTAACTGCTTTATGGTTTTGTTAATTTTGTAAACTCCAGTAATTTAACGAGGTACTTATTAGTATATCTATCTTAATGTTAAGAATTCTGAGACACAGACAACTTATATAACTTGTCTAAGATCATAGAGGTAATTGAATTGGAGAAACAGAGTTCAAATTCAGATATTCTTTTCCCAGATTAATGCAGTTAATCATTATGTCATACTGGGTTCCATTATATGCGGAAAAGTACTCGGATGAAGCAATTACCGAACACCACAGATGCTTGTAGGACAAAAAGTTAAAGTGACATTTTGGCATTATTTGTGGTTCTGGTTGCAGTGTGAAGGTGGGGAGGATGTTGTATACTCATACAATGTGATATTTCTTAGAGATAAAAGGAACAAATTACTGCTACATGCAAAACCAGGTATGAATCTCAAAAACAAGAGTGTATAATGTAAAATTCTAATTATATGAAGTTCTAAAGGGACATCATTAATTTGGTGTGAAAAACAAAATATCAGAACAGTTGTACCCTCGAGGAGGATAGCTGCAAATACCCTCTAGAAGTGTGACTGATTGACAGAAAAGGGCAAAAGAGAAATATGTGGGAGTGAGGGAAAAGTGCTATAATTGATAAGACAGTGTTATGCTACATCTACTTATATTTTACAATTAAGTTGTGCATTTCACTTGGTGTACATTTTACCTGTAATTAAAAGCTTTTGAATGTTAGCAATGGTGAAGACTAAATATTTTGTAATATCTTTTGTGCATCCCAGGCCTGAGGAAATAAGGAACTATATTAAGGTTAAAAAATAGAAAATCATTAAAACTTCCTTTTTTTAACATATGTAGGCCACAAGAGACATGGAAGAAGACAGAAAAGAGTTAATACTCTCTATCTGATTTTTGGCTTGATCAACTGAAAAATGTAGGTGCTATTTACAGAGATGAAAGAATGGAGAAAGAAGAAGTAGGGAAAATATCTAAAGGAAACAGATTCTGATGAATATTGAATCCAAGAGAGTGGATGAATTCTCCCAGATAAAGGATATGAATTAAGAAAAGCAAAAATACTATTTTAGTGTGATTGATATTTGTGGAAAAATACAAGTTACATGGAGAATCAGGATTGAATATCCAGAAAGCAGTTCTAACAAGTGAAATGGCATGATTATACTTTTTTTCTACATAACATTGGTTCTCAAACTTTAGTATGCCTTGTCATCACACACTGCAAGGGTTTTTGAAGTACAGATTTTCACAGATTATTGGATTCTAACTCCAGTTTCTAATTCAGTTATCTGAATGTCAATTATTTATTGTGAGATGATGAATATTAAGATAACTGAAATGACACAGTCATAATCTGTTTGTTTTATATCTTTATGGAAATGCATAGTGACTACTCCTAAAATGAAATATGTCTCATTGTATATGGAGTTATATACACATATAAATATACACATGTATATATGTATAAATATAGATGTGTGTATGTGATATAATCTTTCCAATTTATTATATTCTTCCAAGTTTACTATGACAAGGCTTTTCTTCTGTTTACCTATGATAATTGACAATATTTGTTATAATAAAATTAATAAAGATATTCTTTTATAGTAATAATTCTGTGATCCTTTTTTTCACAAAAGAATCATAACTGTGTCTCTCCAGTGTCTAATATTTTTGCTTTCTAAATTAATAATTATACTTTATACTTTCTCTTTTCAGACTTGCTTTAACCTTTCCTTTTAATGGCAAAACCACAATTACTTTTGCACCAACCTAGTAGTAATAACTGGAAAAATAAATAGATGCTGACCTGACATTCTAATTGCTATCGTAGTTACAATTGTTATAGTAGTTATAATTGTTATAGTAGTTATAATGTCAGGTCTGCATCTATTTATTTTTCTAGTTATTCCTATTAAGTTGGTGCAAAAGTAATTGCAGTTTTGCCATTAAAAAATATTAGACAAGCTGACTCTTAAATTAATAGTATAATAAGACACCAAGACTTCATAGGATTTGTGAATATTTTCAGTTATGCTCTTGAAGAGCATAACATAAAAGAACATTTTGCCTACTCTTTTACTGATTTTCTATTGCATATTATCTATTTCACTTTGAAAACTACTGATAGATCTTACATGTCAACATCTGTTCAACTTGATAGCTAGGTATTAAATCTATCCTATATACTTCATATTGTATTTTGTATGGGGAGAGTATTAATAAAATAATTATAAACTACGGTATTTTTTAAACTAGTTAATAATCTAACAAGCTCCATTGGACATAATATCTAGGTTCAAATTATCATCTACATGTTAGGGTTATATTTTGGGATATGTGTCTCTAAACATTTTAATGTTTAAGAGAAATGAAATTTCCCTCTATATATCTCACCCAGAGTTGATGTAATGTAACCCATTTTGATTTAGTACCTCACTATGATAGTTATCAGTGATAATAAATAAACAATGCACTAACTTTCACTCAACCAGTTGCTTTTGAAAACTTGAAATGTCCTGAGAATGCAGAAAGCATAATCTATAAACATTCAGGATTACAGAAACCAGATACTGTATGGCCTCTGACAGGAATCTCTGAATCTCTTTAAGTACAGTTGTTACAGTTTTGAGGCACCTTGGGTTACTGTGGTTCCACAAGCCCATCATTATTTACCATAGGCACTGCTGCCACCTTTTCTCTCTATCTTTGTCGGTCATTGGCTTGAAATTCCATAACTGCAAAGTGGTCTGAGACCTTAAAGGTTCTAATAGTGTCTTTGTAAATTTTGAGCTAAATTTCAATAGAGGAAAACAAAGTTACAGCACTTGTGATTTATTATCTTACAGTTTTAAGTGATCTAAATCTTCAGAGAGCTATATCTAACACATAGTAGATATTCCAAAATTTTTAGCTGAATCTGAATCTACATATATAATCAGAGCATAAACAAATGAGATAAGCAACAATGTAAGGCAACATTAAATTAAAAAGAATAGAGATGACAGTGAGATTTTGATAAAAGGGAAAATAATACTGTCTGAAGAAAAAAATATTATAACTAAAGTCTAGGCCAAGGAGTAATGTTTTATAAATGTAATTAAACCTAGAAATTTGAAGTCACTGGGAAACCACTGAACATTTTTGAACTAGATAATAAGTTAAAATCCAGTATGTTGGTAATACCCACTGAGGAGGCTTATCTACATCGTTTTTTGTTCATAAAAATTTACTTGGAACCTGATGTTAGGCACTAGGGATTCAGTAGTGATAAGTTACAAAATACACCGGTCCTATGAGGGATATATTAGATTGGTGCAAAATTTTTTGCTATTAATTACAATGGCAAAAATCACAAGTACTTTGTACTAACCTGATACTATATACATTGAAAGAGATTTGTAAGATTAGAAGAAATATTTCTATAGAGTTAGTTTTAAGTACGCTATAATTGCATGAAATAATATACTAACCCTGATTTCAGATGGCATTTTTGAAAAATTGAAGGCTTTTTAAAACCTAAGCTGCTATCTCTAATTTCCTATTCTACAATTAATTTCATAATTCTTAAGAAAATCTATGCTACTTTATAGAAAAAGACACTGTTAATAATGACCTCTGCAAATTTATCTAATCCATAAATTTATCAATATTTGCTCCAATCTTGTCACAATTTTTATTCTCTTTTATTTCTTCTCTGCCTTGTTTCTTGATAAATTAGCTTTTATTTCATCTTCTTTATATAACTCATTACATGCTGACATCTTTCTACACAATTATACTCTGATTGCACTTACTAAAATTACTAAGAGTTTAGAAGTCCAACTGTCTTTAACAAATTGATTTATATTCTTTTGTGCATGATTTAACAATTCCTCTCTCTCTTCTTTATATCTTTGTTTTTCTTTTTAATCAAGCTTCCAGGTGCCATCCATGAGTTAGAAATAAATAGGCAAGACAAAAATTATGAGAGAGCAACATTGTTACAAAAGTCAAGAGACAAGGTACAAAGAAGAATTTCCAACTATTACGTATCTATAAATATTAAAAAGAAAAAGATATAAAGAAGAGAAAGAGGAATTGTTAAATCATGCAAAAGGGAGTAGAAATAAATTTCTTAAAGACATCTGGACTTCTAAACTCTCAGTAATTTTAGTTAAGTGTAATCAGAGTATAATTGAGTCCCAAACAAGGTGTCACAGCCCTGGCTCAGGGAGCTCCTACGTCTTGGCTCCCTGAAGGGCTTCAGCTCTTCTCTCCCTCGTGCTGCTAGAAAGGTGATGAGCAAGGAGCATGTTTCAGCCCTATTTGTGTTACAGTTTTCTCAGCCCCACTATTCAGCAGTTCCCGTGTTCTTATCCCGTTCCCAGGAAGAATTAGGTATGTGGGCAAGTGGAGGGTAAGCAAGGTGAAGAGGAGCTTTATTGAGTGATAGAACAGCTCAGAGGACACCTGCAGTGGGTAGCTCCTCTCCACAGCCAGGGTGTCCTGACAAGTGTTCAGCACTCCGCAGAGAGGAGACACGAATGGGTAGGTACACTATGCAGCTGGCCGTCCCAATGTCTCTTCAAGTCTGGCTGAATCCAGGGCTTTTATGGGCTTCAGAGGGAAGTGCATGCTGACTGGTTCCTGGGTGGCCATGGGCAGGCCCAGAAAAAGCAGAGTAAGTTTCCACTCCCGTCCGGGGACTGGCAGCCTGGCCCCCAGGATTCAGGCCTTCTCCCGCTTAAAGGTGGGGTTTCACCAGGGACCCACCCCTTTCCGCCAAGGAGTCTGTCTGCCTTCTACCACTGATAATGGTGCCCAGGATTCCCTCCTGTGCTTGTCAGCACCCAAAGTCTGGAGTCAGCACTGCCCGGAGCTTGCTCACACCTGGCCGGGTTGCAACAGCTTTGATCTTGGCCTCAAATTTGCTATGAGATCAGAGTCGGTGTTGGGAGTGGGGAAAGGGCAGGCAGTGGGAGCAGGCACCTCTGAGCCTGAGAGGAAAGTGAGTCCTTTCCAGTCCGTTTCCAAGAGTGCAGAGGTGCCTGATTCCACAGCTGCAGCTGCACTCAGGAGGGTGGGGCTCCTGCCTGCTCCCAGCCCGAAGAGCATAGGGATGCCCCGGTCCATATCCGTGGCTAGGCAGCAGCAGCTGCACCCAGGGAGTACCCGGCTCCCGCTCTGCCAACTCAGAAGCGGGCAGGGCGCTCGCTGGCTACATGGAGTGCACAGCCTCTACTGCACGTCTCTCACTGAAGCCAGCATTATGGCTGCAGCAGCACCAAACAGACCACTGCTGCCATCCATAGCATTTTTTAAATGTGTTTGAGAGATGGTAGTGTTATTTTCAAGCTAAGCGATATTGGAAAGGAGTAGATTTCGAGCAATGGTAATAAATTCCAAGTTGGCGAATGTTAAGTTTTAGATGTCTGTGAGACATCTCAGTGAAAATATCCAATAAGCAGTGGAATATAAATTTCTTGAGTTGAAAATAAGGTATGGATTGGTTATATTGCTAAGAAAGTAATCAGCAGATGCAACTTGCCTTGAAAATTTCATGCTCACAGTATCAAGTGTGTATTGAAGTTCCATCAGGATGCTGCACAAAAACCTAACCTAAAAAGATAAGAAAAACATGAGATTCAAATGGTCTCAAATCTTTCCTTTTCCTCTTTATTTCTATAAATGATATTACTAAATTTCTAAAGTTAGAAAGTCCAGAGTCATTCTTGACCATCTTTCTTTCAATTATATTAAATAAAAATATCTCAAATTGTTCAATTTGACTTCATCTTCCCTCTCACAGATTTAAATAAATGTTTCATCACTTTAACTACTATTACAGTCTCCTACAGAGTCTCCTGTTTACAATTCATTTCCCAAGTATTATCTTCTTTTATGAATTTCAAACCCTTTCAACTGACTTTCTTCTGCCTGAAATATCTTGATGGAAATTACTCATTGCTTTTTTTCCATTCTTTTTCCTTTCTTCTTATACATTTTCCCCATCTATCTATAGATGTAGACATTTAATTATTTATATTCATTGACCTTTAGAAGGTATGTCATTTATTATGTAATTACCTCAGGATACGGATTTTAAGTAATTTCTACAATAAAAATTTATATCCATAATATCTTTATTAGTGAATTTTTTTAATTGGTACTGTTAGACCTTAATATCAGAAAACTGGTGGCTGATAAAATAACTAACAGTGATTATCTTTATTAAATAAGATGTTTCTTCATGGAGAGATTTTGCAATTAGCTACTTAGTTCAAAAGGCACATAACTAGTGGTGACATGTGGCACTTATAATTACGTGTAAGATTATACACTCATGTATGTTGAAATTTATGTTTAGATATAAAGACATTTATGATTTGATTCCTATTTATTGACATCAACCAGGTTTGAAAAGTTTAAAAGCTAAAAACGACAAGGAATGAAGCTACAAAAGTTGTAGGGACATTCTGAAATAACTACAGTTGTTTAATTTGTTTTAATCAGAGAAGTCAGTAACAACATTAACAAGAAGACCATTAGAAAACAAAGGATTTTTCAACGATGTGGCATTTTCACATGTGAAAATGGAGAAGGATATCATTAAAATAGAAATTTTAGCATATATATTCTAAAATACAAAAAAGAAGCTTCCAAAATCTTACTTAGAAGTTAATCAAGATACTCATAGGTTTTATGTCTGTTTGAATTCATTGAAACATAAATATACTATAATTATTATCACTATGTAGTACTAATTGCAGTTTATCATAATGTATTATACATTAGAAGTTTGCCTAAAAATTTATCTTAAGTGTTCTCACACACAAAAAGTAAATATGTGAAGTGATGGATAGGTTGATAAGCTTGATTATGGAAATCATTTCATAATATATATGTACATTAAAATGTCATGTTTACATTTCAAATATATACAATGTTTATTTGTCAATTGTAACTTAATAAAGCTGAAAAAAATCGATGTAGTAATTATACTAATGATTATATTACATGTATTATATGTCATCCTTAATTGTCATAACATGTTTAAAAATAGTGCCCAATTAAACCTTGATTAGGTGACTCCTACATTGAATTATAGATTTATGTGAAAATAGAAGTTTAAAAAGTAAAGAAAGAAAAAGTTATTTCAGCAAACATTTGTACAACATTGTGCTTATTATGCACTTACATTTGTTTTTAATTAAACCTAAAGAGAATATGAGTTAAATCATATTGCATTACATGAAAATTTATTCATCATCAATCATGTTTTGGGGAGAAATTATGTTTTTTCATGGACATAGGTTAGGACTATGGAACTTCAGCAACTTATTTTTTTTTTTTATTTTTTTGCAGGTTGGAAATCAAGTGATAAAGCTGAGAGACATGAGTTTCCCTCAAGGGATGATTTTACATCCATTTTGAAATATTACATAGATTTCTGTTTCTCTTATATATTTACACCAGTGTTATTTATAAATTCATTTACTTTTAAAATAAATATTAACTGAGAACCTATTTTATACCAGGTACAATTTTAATTTTTTAATTTTTATCATAATAGGCATATATATGTATATATAGTACATGTGGCGTTTTGATACAGTCATACAACATGTAATAATCAAATCAGGGTAACGGGGTATCCTCACTGAAAGCATTTATCATTTCTTTGAGTTAAGAACATTATAGTGTTTCCCTTTTCATTATTTTAAGACATACTCTGAATTATTGACTGTAGTTACCTTGTCAGTACTATCAAATATTAGACCTTATTCTTTCTAACTACATTTTTGTACCCATTAAACATCCCACTTTCTCTCTTCCTCCTTGCTATCCTTCCCAGCATCTGGTCAGCATCATTGTACTCTCAAACTCTATGACTCCATTGTTTTAATTTTTAGTGCCACATATAAGTGAAATAATATAAACTTTGTATTTCTCTGCCAGGCTTATTTCACTTAACATAATGTCCTCCAGTTCCATCCATCCTGTTGCAAATGACATGGTTTTATTCTTTTTTATGATTGAATAATATTCCACTGGGTTTATGTATCATATTTTCTTTATCTGTTCATCTTTTGATGGAAACTTAGGTTAATTCCAAATCTTGCCTATTGTGAATAGTGCTGCAATAAACATGGGAATGCAGATACCTCTTCAATTTATTGATTTCCTTTCTTTAGGGTATATACCTATCAGTGATATTGCTGAATCACATGGTAGTTCTATTTCTAGTTTTTTAAGAAACCTCCATTCTGCTTCTCTATAGTGGCTGTAATAATTTATTGTCACCAAGAGTGTATGAAGTTTCCTCTTTCTCCACATCCTCACCAACATTTATTATTGTCTGACTTTTTGATAAAAGCCATCTTAACTGGGATAAGATAATATCTCATTGTAGGTTTGATTTGCATTTATCTGATAATTATATTGCACATTTTTATATACATGTTGGCCTTTCCATATGTCTCCTTCTGAGAAATGTCTATTCACATATTTTGCCCAGTATATTATTTTTCTTATTGAGGTGTTGGGCTACCTTGTATATTCTGGTTATTGAACCCTTGTCAAATAGGCAGTTTGCAAATATTTTCCCTCATTGTTTAGGTTGTCTGATCAATTTATTAACTGTATCCTCTGCTGGAGAGAAGCTTTTTAGCTTGATGAGATCCTATTGGTCCATGTTTATTTTTGTTGCCTGTGCTTTTCAGATATTACTCAAGAAATCTTTGTCCAGACCAATGTCCTGGAAAGTTTCTGCACTATTTTTTTCAATACTTTCATAGTTTCAGGTTTTAGATTTAAGTCCTTAATCAAATTTTGATTTGATTTTTGTATGTGATGACAGATAGGAGTCTAGTTTCATTTTTCTGCATGTGGATGTCCAGTTTTCTCATCATTTATTGGAGAGACTGTCCTCTCCCTGATGTATATTCTTGGCACCTTTGTTGAAAATGTTGTAGATGTATGAATTTATCTCTGGAATTTCTATTCTGTTCCATTGGTCAATGTGTCTGTTTTATGCCAGTACTGTGCTATTTCAGTTAAAACAGCTCTGTAGTATAATTTAAAGATGGTAATGTGATTCCTCCAGTTTTGTTCTTTTTGCTCAGGATGGCTCTGGCTATTCCGGGTCTTTTGTGGTTCCATATGAATTTCAGGACACTTTTTTTATTTCTGTGAAGAATATCATTGGTATTTTGACTGTAGATTGCTTTGGGTAGTATGGATATTTTAACAATATTAATTATTCCAATTCATGAACATAGAATATCTTTACATTTTTGTGTCCTCTTTAATTCCTTTTATCAATATTTTATAGTTTATATTGTAGAGATATTTTACATCTTTGGTTAAGTTTATTCTTAGGTATTTTATTTTATTTGTAGCCTTTATAAGTTGAGTTACTTTTATAATTTTTGTAGATTTTTTCTTTGGCATATGGAAATGCTACTGATTTTTGCATGTTGATTTTGTATCCTACTACTTTTCTGAATTTATCAGTTCTGATAGTTTTTTGAAGGAGTCTTGATTTTGCTAGACATTAGATCATATAATCTGCAAAAAGAATAATTTGATTTATTTTCAATTTGAATACCTTTATTTCTTTCTCTTGTCTAATTGCTCTAGTGGTAACATCCTTGGATAAATCCCACTTGATCATGATAAAGGATCTTTTTATTGTGTTGTTGCTTTTGATTTGCTGCAGTCAGTTGAGAATTTTGCATCTGTCTCCATCAGAGATACTGGCCTATAGTTTTTATTGATGTTGTTGTATCTTTGTCTGGTTTTGGTAGCAGGAAAATACTGGCCTCATAGAATGAGTTTGAAAATATTTTCTCCTCTTAGATTATTTGGAATGGTTTCAGTGGAATTAGTATCTGTTCTTCTTCAAATGTGTGGTAGAATTCAGGAGTGAAGTCATGGGGTCCTGAACTTTTCTTTGATGGGAGATTTATTATGACTTGAGTCTTGTTACTTGTTATTGGTTAATTTTGGTTTTAGATTTCATCATGGTTCAATATTGGTAGGTTGTATGTGTCTAGGAATTTATTCATTTCTTCTAGGTTTTTCAATTTTGGCATATAATTGCTTATCTTTAATGATCTTTTGAGTTTCTAGGTTATCAGTTATAATATCTCCTTTTTCATCTCTAATTTTATTTGGTCTTCTCTCTTCTTTGTCTGGCTAAAGTTTGGGTTATTTGGTTTATTTTTTCAAAAAACCAAGTTTTTCAATAATCTTTTCTATTTTAGAATTTTGTTTATTTCTGCTCTGATCTCTATTATTTATTTTTTCCTATTAATTTTGGCTTGCTTTTCCTTGTCTAGTTCTGTAAAACACATTGTTAGGTTATTTATTTGAAGTTTTTATTCCCTTTTGATGTAAGCATTTACTGCTATAAAC
The DNA here is from genome assembly GCF_000001405.40 of Homo sapiens. Lineage (NCBI taxonomy): Eukaryota > Metazoa > Chordata > Mammalia > Primates > Hominidae > Homo > Homo sapiens. Next base: position 59,861,501 of record NC_000004.12, read on the forward strand.
TTTCCTTTTAGTACTGATTTTTGTGTATCCCATAGGTTCTGATATGTTGTCTTTTCATTACTATTTTTTTCAAAACATTTGTTAGTTTCCATCATAATTTCTTTATTGACCTACTGGTCGTTCAGGAACATTTTGTGTAATGTCTGTGTTTCTGTACAGCTTTCAAAGTTCCTCTTGTTACTGATTATTCCATTGTCAGAAAAGACACATATCTTAATTTTATTTTTTTGAATATTTTGTATCACCTAATGTATGGTCTGTATTTGAGAGTGATCCATGTGCTGAGGAAAAGAATGTATATCCTGCAGCTGTTAGACGAAGTATTCTAAAAGTATCTACTAGGTTCATTTGATCTATAGTGCAGATTAAATCCAATATTTCTTTGTTGATTTTCTGTTTGGATGAGCTTTCACTGCAGAAATTAGGGTGTTCAGGTGTCCAGCTAGTATTGTATTAATGTCTATCTCTCTCTTTAATTTTAACATTTGTTTTATATATCTTTGTGCTCCGGGGTTCAGTGCATATATATTTACAATTGCTATATCTTCTTGATAAGTTGGTCACTTTATTATCACAGTGATATAATTTTACCCTTCTTTGTCTCTTTTGATAGTTTTTATCTTAAAATATCTTTATCTGTTATGAGTATACTTACTTCTGCTGTTTTGGTTTCCATTGCATGGAATATCTTTTTTCATCTTTTTATTTTAAGTCTATGTGTGTCTTTCTAGTTGAAATTAGTTTCTTGTATGTAGCGTATTGTTTGACCTCTTTTTTAAAAATTTATTCAGCCACTTTATCTTTTGATTAGATAATTTAGTTCAGTTACATTCAATGTTATTATTGATACATAAGGATTTATGACTGCCATTTTGCTATTGTTCTGTGGTTATTTTTTGATTCTCTGTTTCTTCCTTTATTTCTGTCTTCTTTTCTGTAAACATTTTTTTTCTGGCAGTATGTTTAATTTCTATCTTTTTAAATTTTTGTGTATTTCTTGTACTTTTTTGTAATTTGAAGTTACCATGATTGCAAGTAATATTTTATAACCATTTATTTTAAATTGATGACAACTCAACTCTGATTACAAAAAGCAAACAATTGAACCAACAAAGGGAAAACTAAAACTTTACACAACTCCATTCCTCCTACTTCTTGTTTATTTCCATTTATGCTTTTTTATAGTCTCTATCCCTTAAGAAGTTATTGTAATTATTGTATTTTATGTTTTTTTAATTCTTCCCACTCAAGATGTAAGTAGTTTACACACCACAATTACAGTGTTAAAATATTCTGTATTTTTCCAAGTACTTACTGCTACCAGTCTATTTTGTATCTTTAGATGATTTCTTATTGTTCATTAGCATCCTTTTCTTTTAGATTAATACATTCTCTTTAGCATTTCTTATAGGACAGGTTTGATGTTAATGAAATTCCTCAGCTTTTATTAGTTTGGGAAAGACTATTTCTCCTTCATATTTGAAATATATGTATATATATTTTTTCTAGATATAATATTCTAGAAGAAAAAAGTGTTTTTTGTTTGTTTGTTTCTTTTATTTAACAAGTTGAATATGTCATGTCATTCTCTCCTGGCCTGTGAGGTTTCCACTGAGAAGGCTGTTGTCAACATACTGGAGATATTTCTTATGTCATTTGTTGTCTTATATTGCCATTTTTGAATCCTTACTTTATACCTAACATTTAGGACTTTGATAATTAAATGCCTTGAGGTAGCCTTATTTGTGTTAAGGTCTCTTGAGGTTCTATGACCTTCTTGTATCTAAATATTTATAACTTTCTCTAGAACTGAAAAGTTTTCTGTTATTATTTCTTTGAATACATTTTCTTACCTGATCTCTCTCTCGATATATATATAGATATATCTATATATATAGATATATCTATATATATCTATATGTGTATATATATAGATATATCTATATATATCTATATGTGTATATATATACTCTTTAAAGAGTACAGCCAATACCTCTTTGATTTGCCCTTTCAAGGTTTTTTCGATCTTGTAGGCATACTTCATTATTTTTTTCTTTTTTTCTTTTTTCTCCTCTGTGTATTTTCATATAGCATGTCTTCAAGTTTACCTATTATTTCTTCTGCTGCTGAGTGAGTCCTGAGCATTTCGTACTTTTCCAATTGAGTTTTTCAGTTGCAGAATTTCTGCTGGTTTTTAAAAAATTGTTTTAATCTCTGTTAAATCTCAATGATAAGATTCTGAATTCATTCTTCATGTTATCTTCAAGTTCTTTGTGCTTCCTTCCTCAAAACAGATATTTAAAATTCTTTGTCTAAAAGGCAACTTATCTCTAGCACTCCAGGATTGGTCACTGTTGCCTTATTTAATTCATTTGGTGGAGGTCCTTTGTATTCTGGATGTTCTTGATGCTTAGTGGATATTCACTGATATCTGAGCATTGAAGTTTTAGATATTTACTCTAATTCTTAGTCTGGGCTTAGTTGTACTCATCCTACTTGAAAAGGCTTTCCAGATATTCAAAATAAATTGAACAATGTGAGTTAACTCTTGGTCACTGCAGCCATATCAGCTCTAGGGGACATCCTAGGCCACGTAATGCTGTGGCTCTTGCAGACCCCTAGATGTATTACCTTGGTGGATTTGGATAGAATCCAAAATAATTTCCTGGATTACACAGCAAAGTTTCTTATTTTCTTCCCTCATTTTCCTCCAAACAGAAGTCTGTCTCTGTATGTGCCACAGTGTCTGGAGTTAGGGAACGAGTGATGCAAGCAGTTCTGTGGCCACTGCAACTGGATCTGTGATGGATCAACTTGAGTTCACCACGGTACTGGGTATCAGTTAAGTCCTGTGAGGACTACTACCTGGCTACTGCTAATGTTTATTCAAGGCCCAAAGGCTCTTTTGTCAGCAGGTGGTGAATCCTGAGAGAACTGGGTCCTTCCCTTCAGGGCAGTGAGTTCCCTTCTGGCTAAGGGTTTATCTAGAAAATGCCATCCAGGAGCTAGAACCTGGAATTGAGAAGTTCAGAAGTCTGCTTAGTGTTTTATTTTACTATGGCTTAGCCAGTACTCAAGTTTTAAGACAAAAAGCCCTCTGTACTCTTCCCTCTCCTTTCCCCAAGTGGAAAAATAATAATAATAATAATTCTCCCTTAGCTGTGCTGCCTGGAGTTGGAAAAGGGTCAATGAAAATACTCCTCTGGCCATTACAACTGGTGTCTCCGTGTCACAGGCACTCCACATCCATTGGCTCCAAGGCCAGAGGAGCATGAGGACTTCACCAAGGACTGCAGTCCTTTGTGGCCTGTCTTCCAAATTTATTCAGGACCCCAGGGCACTTCAGTCCATTGATGGTGAAGCTAGCTGAAACTTAGCTTCCTTCCGCTGAGACAGAGGATACCCTTCCGGTAAGGGCTGGTTTAAATGCTCTCTCCATGGGCTCTGGTGAAATTCTGCCCTGTGTTGCCTTCCATTGTGACAGAGTAGCACTGAGTTCCAATGCAAAATCCCAGAATCATTTGGCTCTCCCTCCACATTAAATACACAGATTCTCTCTCCTTGAGGCACTGCCAAGGGATGGGCAAAGGATTATGTAGGCAATGTAAGATTGTCTTTCTACCCTCTTCAGTCCCTTTTTCCTTGGTATGATGTTAAAACCAGGTTCTGTGATTTCTTACCTGATTTTTGGTTCTTATGAAGGTGCTTTCTTTTATGGATAGTTGTTCAATTTGGTGTTCCTTTTGGGGGATGATTGTTGGATGGTTTTATTTGGCAATCTTGCACCACTTTCTCTTCCCCTGGTACAATTTCATGTGAAGAGAACAAAATAAAGAAAAATAAAATAAAACTTTGCTTTCATAAATCTTATATTCTAAAGGGAGGTATACATAAAATAAATAAGTTAAACATATAATGTGTCAGACTGTAAAAAGTCATTGGGACAAAATAAAGTATGAATGATGCTGATGAGAAAGAAATAGGAGAGTTTATATTTAAAATGAGATGCTTGGAGGATAACTACTGAGAAGACAGCATTGAAGCAAACTTCCAGGAAATTAGGCAGCAATTCCTGTAGTTACCTGGGAGAATGGTATTCCAAACAGAGGTACAGCAGATTCAAAATCTCTGAAGCAGAGATCTTGGTATGTTCAATAGCAGCAAGTTGATCAGCATTGCTGGAAAAAAAATGAAGGAAGAGAAAGAGTAGTGGAAGATAAAGCTAAAAAGTCAACAGCAGCTATAACATGAGAACCTTATAGGTCATTAGCATTTTGTGTAAAAGAAGAACAGAGTAACAATGACCTAACATATGCAGCATATTATTCTGACTTCCATGTTATTTATAGATTTGGTGTTGGTGGTAGAATAGGAAGCAAGTATGTGAAAATGGATATTATTAAGAGGCTATTGTAATAATTCAGTTAAGATATTTTAGTAGTTTGGCTTGTGATATTAGCAATGGAAGTAGCAAGAATTGTTTTGATTCTGGATATTTTTTAAATAGTGCCAAAATTATAAGCTATTTGGATGTGAGAAGTGGAAAAAAAAAAGAAATCAGGAATCAAAAACGACAGTCATTTGGCCAGCACAACTGAAAGTGGCTCTTCATAAGGAAAATAAGACATGATATATGTTACAATGAAATATTTGGTTTGGTCAATGAGCTATATGTAGTAGAAGTGTGAGCCTCAAATATCTGACACAGGTCTCAGTCAATTTAGAAATTTATTTTGCCAAAGTTAAAGATGCACACACGTAACACAGCAACACAGCCTCAGGAGATCCTGACAATATGTGTCCAAGGTGGTTGGGGAACAGCTTGGTTTTATATATTTTAGAAAGACAGGAGACATCAATCAATAGATGTATGATGTACATTGGTTTAGTCTGGAAGGATGGGGCAACTCAAAAAGGAGAGGAGGCTTCCAGGTCATAGGTGGACAAGAGACAAATGGTTGCATTCCTTTGAGTTTCTGATTAGCCTTTCCAAAAGAAGCAATCAGGTTTCCTTTTATCTCAGTGAGCAGAGGGATGACTTTTGATAGAATGGGAGGCAGTTTTGCCCTATGCAGTTTCCAATTGACTTTTCTCTTTAGCTTAGTAATTTTGGGGTCCAAAGATTTATTTTCCTTTCACAGAAGTCATACCATTAAGACAAATGAAATAAAGATAAGCTAATGACTGAAGAAGTGGACATTTCAATTTGAGAGTATTGAGGCGAGGTGGTTTCTGGAAATAAGATTTAGGAAAATGCTGCCCAAATAAGTGAGCTTAATTTTTCTAAAACTGAGAAAATAATATGAGGAACAGGATTGGGGAAAATGATCAGTAGTCCATCTTTTATGTATCTTAAGTTTGAGTTGCCTATTACTCATGCAAGAGGAGATGTTTAGTAAGCTATAAAATATGACTTCTTATTATATATTTGATATTTAAAGCCATTGACCTATATGTTAACAAAGTATGAAATAACGAAAACAGATGCTTTAAGGACTGGAGCTGGAGCAATTCAAAGTTTTGAGGACTGAGAGATGAGCAGAAACCTTCAATAGGGAAAGAGAAGAAGTGGAGAGACAAAAAGGAGAGATTTTTGATCCAAAATTTAAATACTGAAAGTGTTTCACTTGATGAAATATTGTAAAAGTTGTTAATAGGCTAAGAAATACTACCATTATAATTTACCCTTGTATTTAGCAATGTGATGAATAAGAGTGAGAAGAGCAGTTTCTAGAAATGATGGCCACAGTAGCCAGAATTTATCACATTCAAGAAAAAATGAAAGGGGAGAAACTGGAAGACAGGAGTTAATATTTTTCAAAGATGGCAAGTTTTAAAAGAGAATGGAGAAATGAAGTTAGAACAGGTTTTATTTGTTGCTTGGTTTTTGCTTGTTTAAGAAAGGCCGAATTTCTTGTGGTCTTATATGCGAATAATGTTTACTCTGGAGAGAGAGAATAGCAATAAGAAGTACTGAAGCAATGTCTTTGATTTGGTTTGAGGAAATGACATATAAGTAGAAGCGTGTGATATGGTTTGGTTCTGTGTCCCCACCCAAATCTCATCCTGAATTGTAATCCCTATAATCCCCACATGTCAAGGGCAGAACCAGGTGGAAGTAATTGAATTATGGGGGCAGTTTCTCCTATGCTGTTCTCATAATGGTGAGTAAGTCTCATGAGACCTGATGGTTTTATAAGCATCTGGCATTTCTTCTATTTACACTCAATCCGTCCTTCCATCCTGTGAAGAAGCTGCCTATTTCTCCTTTGCCTTCCACCATGCTGGTAATTTTCCTGAGTCCTCCTCAGCAATGCAGAACTGTGAGTCAATTAAACATCTTTCCTTTATGAATTACCCTGTCTGGAATATTTGTTCATAGCAGTGTGAGAATTGAATACAGGGTGACATAACCTGGGTACCTGAACAGTCCCCATTCATATTAACAGAGGAAAAGGGAAGATATGAGAAGGAAAGTTAAGAAATTAACATCTCAAGAAACAATAGACTGAAAGGATTTAAAAATATAATATAAATACCAGGCAACCCAAAGGACCCACTTGAGGTTGATAGTCATGTATATAACGTGAGGCTATTCAGTATAATTTTGTTTGTCAGCGAACCATGTTCAGTTGCACAAGCCCTGTAAATAGCTGGTATTTGTCTTTGAAGTTTTACCAGCTGAGTTTGACCATGCCAGAGAAGAATGAGTAGTTTGATGGTGCTTGTAAGGGTGTGATTATATTGCTGAACCTGGGCACACAAGTAAATGAGAATATACTGTGTATCAGAAAGAAACATTTGGTTTCATCAATGAGTTATATATCATAAAAGTCATGTGACTAGAAGAAATAAGATAGAAACAAATAAATAACTGGGGATTTGAACATTAAATTTGAGGTATGAAGGGGATGCGGTTACTGGAAATAAAGAGATTTAGGGAAGTACTCTCCAATAAAAATGTATGTGATGATAAGAATGTTAATATAGCCACAATAGCCACTACCACATATAACTAATGTCCTTCTGATATGTGGCTACTGCAACTAAGAAATTAACTCATTTTAATAAACTTAATTTATAAAATCTGCCTATAGCTATAGGTTAATAAATTTGGCAGTGCAGGTTTAGGAGCTGCTCATGAGAATGAATGGTTGAGGAATATTGGAGTAATATCAAAAATAGTTTTAGGGAATGAGCTAGAAGGAGAATGAGCTAGAGATAAAGGAGGAATTGCCACAATGAGAATAGATGAGTATCCTCTATAGTGGGTAATGGGTGGTATAGTCTGCTGCCATGAAATCCAAACATAGGAAATTTTAGGAAGCAAAGAGAGAAAGTTCTAGATTCTAGAGGTGGAAATGAGGTTCAGTGCAACAAGATGTGTGAAAAGAAAAATATTCATTACTTGAGAGGGCTGCATGAGTAGTCATGTTCTCACAGGAGAGACATGGTTCAATCAGAGTAATAAGGTGAAGAAAGCCTTCAGGGAAAAGAATGAATGTATATAAGATATTTTGCTATAAAAATATACCCTGAGTTACAGATGGCATGGTAGAAATTTTTTTAATATAGGAGATTTGGGAGTTGAGTTGCAAATTAAGTAAATAAATAAACGAAGTCTTATGGGGATGATAGTTCAGAGAATGGGGATTGACAGGGGTAAAGAGTATAATAAGATTAATCCTGATTGTCACAGGACAGATAGACTTTGTTGTACCCTCTTGGGTCAGTAAGCATATCAACCTTTTCATTCAACAAATGCTAATTAATCATTGGCCATGTGCTGGACTTTCCGCATGACTCCAGGCAATAAATGGACAGCACCTAAAATGGACATGATTCCCCCTCTAATTTTCTGCTAAAATACCTCTTAGGGTAACGTACTCTGCAATCTTATTACCTGCTGTGTAAACAAATATTTTGTGCAATGGATATTTTTCTGTTTTTAGGTATTGTTCTCCTGTTGATTAGCATCCTTTTTTCTTTCAAAAAGAATAGATAAATCCTTTTACTCTCCCCTTAAATGATCACTTTCGGTTTTACCCACTAAAATCTCAAATTATTTTAGTTGTTCTTTACAAGCCATTCTTTGGCTGCATTATGATCATTTAAAATCTTCATAAAACTTTCAGAAAACATAAAGGGCAAATGTCATGACTACTTGATAGGTAAAAGCAATGAGGACAATTGAAGTAAACTGAGCCTCTATTCCAGATATTACAATAAAATGCCGTCATCAGCAAAACCCTACATCATTCCAAATGCTAATCTATCAGTTTTACAAAATAGTTAGAAAATGTTTTGTGTTTTGCTTCTAATATAGAACATTCTATTGTCCATTTTGGACACGGAAACAAAATGATCTTATTTGCACAGGAAAACGCAGTCATGATTAAACATCTGTGCTAGAGTGTAACCACAGCACAGAGAGCCTTTTCATGATTCCAAATTAGAACTTGCAATGCCAGTAATTAATTAATTCATATATACAATGGACATTTTCCCCCTTTCTTGTCTTACTTGACTTGCCTCTCAACTTGAATTGCCTCTCAACTTGAATTTCTTAAACTTTCCTTTCTGAAACTGTTCCTTCTGACTTTCGTGACACCACTCTCCCCAGATTTTCTCTGCATTTTTCTTTTGAATACTTTCTCCTAAAAATTTAGTATTCATAGATTCTCTTTCCCCTCTTAATCCTAGATATTCATACCCTCTCCCACTCTTCTAATTCTTATGCTGATGACTCCAGATCAATATTTATAATTGATTTTTATCTTGAATTTAAAAACTGCCTACTGGATATCTTAACACAGATGTCTAAAGGCATCTTAGACTTACTGTGTCCAAATTGAACTCATTGTATTGCCCCCTTACAATCCTCCATATTTCCTTTTGTTTGTTACTGTTAATAGTAGAACCATGACACATTCAGACCAGAAACCTGGGGTTTTAACTTCTTCCATTGTTCCCCTTTCTCATTATTCCCTCTCGACATAGGCATTTGCTTCTCTTACAGTGTACTTCCTTCTTTGAATACCCAGTGTCTGATACCTAGTAATGCTTAAAAATGTCTGCTAAATTTAGTTGAGTGATGAAAACTCTTAATAACCAGTGCATTGTGTAACATTTCTCCATGATACTCTAACTTTTCAATGATCTACAAAGCTTGCTCCAGTTTCAAAGAATTTTTAAATATATTTTTCCCAGTCTGCATTTTTGATATTACTTTAGCTTTTTACCTTTTTAATAAATGAAGCTTCCAGTTATAGCATAATACCAAACTAAATTCACAAATGGAAAATTGCTTACCAAAATGGATTGACGTACTTTGACCAATTCACCTAACTCCCATAAAATCATTTTGTTATAATATAAACAGATAATTTGGATATCTTTTTAAAGAAAAAAAGAGATAAAATTTAATTTGAAGAAAAATATTTATTTTGTATCATTATAATGATAATAAATTGCACTATCTCAGCCCATTTTCATAGTTTCAACATAAGAGCTTTTTTGTTAAAATATCGGTGAAGGTTCAAACATATATTTTGAACTTAGTATGATGTTAAAAATTAGACAGTTTTATAGTCATTTATTTGTTTCTATGTTAGGCACTCACACTTTCCCTTTTCTTAATAACTAATAAAACGAGGAATAACTTAGTTTTCATTAATCTTAATATACTTTAAAATATTCAGCCAGTGCCTACTCATTTGTCCCTATTCCAGAAACTAATTCAACAAAATTTGCTTCCATTCATACTACCATAGCAAACTTCACCACACTGCACCAACTCCCTCCAACTCTATTTGTTGAATGAAAACCTTGCACTTTTTTAGAAAATGAATGTCCTATTTATTTATTTATTACTTTTTGAGACGGAGTTTTGCCCTTGTTGCCCAGGCTGGAGTACAATGGCACAATCTTGGCACACTGCAACCCCAACCTCCCGGATTCAAGCAATTCTCCTGTCTCAGCCTCCTGAGTAGCTGGGATTACAGGCATGCACCACAATGCCTGGCTAATTTTGTATTTTTAGTAGAGATGGGGTTTCAACATGTTGGTCACGATGGTCTCAAACTCCTGACCACAGGTGATCTGCCCAACTCAGCCTCCAAACGTACTGGGATTACAGGCGTGAGCCACCTTGCCCTGCCAGAATGTCCTGTTTTTGCTCTCTCACTCTCTCTTTATCATTTGACATTTGACTTTATCATTTTATGCTGCTGTAACAGAATACCACAGACTGAATAATTTATAATAAATAGAATTATTTTTGGCTTACAATTCTGGAAGCTGGAGAGTTTAAGAGCATGGTGTCAGCATCTTGTGAGGGCCTTCATGCTGTGCCATCCAATACAGAGGGCAGAAGGGCAAAAGAGCATACATGAGACATAGATCAAGAAAGGACTGAGCTTACTTTTATAACAAATACACTCTTAAGATAATAGCATAAATCTAGTATGGAGGCAGAGCCACCATAACCTAATCTTCTATTAAATGTTTCATCTCTCTACACTGTTGCATTGAGTATTAAATTTACGTAAACTTTGGGGGATACATCCAAATCATAACAGTATGTATTCTATTTATAATACAGAAGTGATTCAGGTTAAATTTTTTAGCTCTGTTGATGCAAGCTTTTGTTTGGGTGGGTTACTCCAATGTCTAGATTGAAGGGAGGCATGAGAATCAGGTAGCAGTAACCAACCCTTTACCCATAAAGTAAGCTGTATTCCCCAGTGAGATTTTTTTTTTTTTTTTGAGACAGAGTTTTGCTCTTGTTGCCCAGGCTGGAGTGCAATGGCACGATCTCAGCTCACTGCAACCTCCGCCTCCCGGGTTCAAGAGATTCTCCTGCCTCAGCCTCCCTAGTAGCTGGGATTACAGGCATGTGCCACCACACCCAGCTAATTTTGTATTTTTAGTAGAGATGGGGTTTCTCCATGTTGGTCAGACTGGTCTCCAGTGAGATTATTAAAATGATGTCTGATAGTTTATCACCATTTGCCCATCTCCTATGTCTTATTTAACCCTTAGTTAAAAACACAGAATAAAGAAAGCCATGCAACATATTAAATTTCTGCAATTCCAATAACATTGAAGATAGAACGAAATGTTGGGAAGCAGAAGAAAATAACAGGAAGAACATTTTCCAATGGCTTCTGCCCAATGCTCAGAGTAGTGTGTACACTGCTTGAAAATGGATTCAAGATAGCTGTAATGATAGCAGTTCACTTTCAGACACATATTCTTCAAGTTACACAGTCATTTTAATAAACTTAAAATGTAAGCATTTCCTTTTCCAATATTTTAAGCAGCATATTTTGTTCCATTTATAAACTCTAAGTAACCTTTGCTTTCCTTCTTTTTCTGAAAGCTCAAGTCTAATGGGAGTAAATGATTATAATGACATTTAGCATTTCTAAAATATCTCTCTAAAACTTCTCCATAAATAGTGACCATTGATGTTTCTATGAATAACTGTATATTAAAAGTGGAAAGACATGAGTCCAGTGGAAAAAATCAGCATTTTACCCAACAACATGTTCTCTTACAAACCTTATTTTTATAAATGCTTTTTCATGGAGTTTTTGTAATTACACGACCCAAGTATTAATAGTTTATGCTAAGTAATAATCGTACAGTATTAAGTACTTTATACAATGCAACTAAACATCCATGTATAAAATACAAAGGCTTATTGCTAAACCTATTACATTATTACCTTGATATCTTGGGATGTAATAATGTCCCACTTGATTATTTGCAGCAAAATAATTAAGAGAGAAGCCTCTGTTAGACTGCCTGCATAGAAATCCAGGTTCTGAAAATTTCTAGCTGTGTGATATTGATTAAGCTCTTTAACCTCCTTAACACTCAGATGTTTAATTTATAAATTGAAAAGGAAGACATTACTTATCTCACTGGGTTACTGTAAAAAAGACAATAAAACAATCAAAATTGAAGTCAGACACATAGCTGTGCTCAGTAAATGTTTGCTATCATTTTAAAAATCAGGTTGGGGTATAAAGGCTTATAAATTATTCATTTTTATGAGTTAAAGGTGATTCTACAGAAACTAATGCATCTGAAGTGCTGGAAATACAAACAACAACAAAAAATTAGATCACTTGCAAATTACTGTTCACACATTATTTTTACAACAAGCTACAGTCCAAGTTATCATTTAGTATTGCCACGGTAAGCCAAATAACTGCATCATCTGGATTCCAGGAAGGCAGACAAGCATGCCATTCTATCAAGGAAGTCAGCTGCTGATCATCCAACTAGAGTAGAACTTTAAATATTAAACCAGTTTCAAAAGTAATGTTCCAGTTTATTTTAAAAAATCATATGTGTTTATGATAGGAGAAAACGGAAATAATGTTGGTGACCTAAAGGAACTGAAGGCTTAAGTTTCCATAAAAATTACGTATATTGGTAGCAATGATAACGTGATGGTGGCCACAGAATGTTTATTCCTGAGAAGTAGGAGTAAAACTGTACTAGACAGAACAGGTCAGATTAACTACTGTGAGTGCTATACAGAAACCAGCCTGAACCTCCCATTATAGTGAAGAATTTGTGTGCACAGATATGTGATAATGTGCATTTGAAACACTTGAATAATTGAATTGAAATATACAATCTGTACAATTTTTCAATAAATATTTTTATTATATTTAAATTAAAGTTGTATATTTGATAGATGGTCTACACCTAAAATAAATGAACTATAGTTTAAATAAATAAAAAAGTGTTAAGATTTCTAGAGTGGGGTCTATATTACATAATTATTGCAAATGTAACAAATCTATGCATCTTTGAGATAGAGGTTCTGGTAGAGTACACTGGCAGGACTTCTCTTTATTTGAATGAAATGGGAAAATAGTCAAGAAGAATGTTTTAATATATTACTATGTCACATCTACCTACGCAATTATTTTTATCATTTTGAACAAGCTGATCTAAACCAATTATTTAAAATGTGATCCTCTTTGCACACAATAAGTCTGATGCCTAAAAAGTGAAAAGGAACCCCAAAATGCTAACATACTTTCTGCAATTTTCATGTTAGAGCACTGAGGTCAATTTGACTCTTGCATAGGGATTTTAAGTGATATGAATTACATTAACCAAGTCAATCCAATAATTTTTAGGTCCTTATTTGCATATTTGTAAATAGATACATTATAACTAATAGATAAAGGTGTAATTCTGTGTTGATCTATGACCCCACTTATATTCACCATTGATTGTAAATATTTGTGAATTAGTAAAAAGTACCTGGACATGGAAGGGTCAGACATGAGTTTCAGTCCTATCTCTGTTATCGTCTGGCTTCATGCTTCAGTAAGTTATTTTTCTTTCTGATATTTATAAGAAAAAATACTCGTCAAGAGCTGACTTTTTTGCAAGCTCTGTTATAAGCATGTATCTTAGTATATATTTGATCATTTTATATTCACAATTATGATAACAGGGATGTATTATATATAGGTGGGGAAATTAAAGCACATGTAACAATGAAGTATTGTGTCCCAAAACTCTCATAAGTAGTGGAAAGATTTTTTTAATTACCCTATCTGGCTCATTTAATGAGTCAGAAAACTGAACAGTAGACAAATTAAGCAGGTAGCAAGAAAATGGACCTGAAATCAGATAATTAAGTATCCAATGAAATGTGAATAATTGTCTTTAATTCTTAGGAGTCTCATAGAAAAATAGGAGAGCTTAGAATTAGTAAGATAAAAGCAATAATATGAAAAAGGAAACACCATTACAAAATAGATTTTATGTTTTTATTTTTATTTAGTTTTAATTACTTATGATAATATTTCATAATGTATCAATTAATGTTCTGTAGCATAGTGTATAAATTTAATAAAGTTCAGAATACAAAAATTTCAAGTAACAAAAAGCTATTAATTATTTTAAGAGAAATGAGATAGTTCATTTTTTTGAGATAGAGGATTTAGCATGAAGATTAGTTGAAATTAAAATAATTAAGTTCCAACATATTTTAATTAAAATGTTATGTGCATTTATTAAGCATTTACTCATAATGTATTTTAAGAATTTATTCTTTATTTAAACAGCTTATCAGATACTATATACACATAGGAATATGGGAGTTAAATCACAGTAGACAAAAAGGAAAATCGTCAGAAGACAGTATTTCAAGAGTCACAAAGAAACTGTATAGACAGATTGTTGTAAAAAAACTAACATTGTAAGATTTATTGTCTTTATATTATTCCTTTTATTTTCAGATGGTATGAGAGAATAAAAACTAAATTTTATATAAATTTACCTGAAACAAATGGTATATTCCTGAACAGTGCAGTACATACAATTCCATATACAAACATGTATTTTTTTATTTCCTCCTTGGCCCTCTTTAAAGTAAAATATGAACAATGTCAACTCTTCTCTGTCTGCTAAAAATGTATTTTTGTATAAAATATTTATAAGAATGAATGTAGGAAATCATGCAGGGAATAGTTGATTTAGATAGACAAGTTTTGGAAGATATAGATTAAGCTGATTGGTGAGAAATGAAAGAGAATGCATGAATAGAGGGTAGATGATAAAGGATGATGGTTAAGAACACTGAAAATTTGTGTATTGAACTACTCAGTGTGTTAAAAGAAAGAAAATATGAAGATTATATCACCTAGGAGAGAACATAAGATGGTCTGAGTGTCAAAAATGTAGCACACTTTGCAGAGTGCTTTGCAGTAGCAATGTGAGTGGCATAAAATCATAAAATAAATAAAATGTTGCTAAACCTCCTGCTCCATTCTTACTGAGACCTCTAAGAAAGTAATTAGCCTTTTCAGATGTGTGGGAAAAGAAGTATCCTGGAGGAGAGTCAGATTTAGTACAAGCAATTAGTGGAATGGCACTGGGAAAAGGAATGGGATGTTCACAATTTCAGGATGGATTGAAGGTTCCAGATGGCACAGTGCAGCAAAATGAGAAAGAAATGGTGCAATAAAAGTATAGGCAAGAGTAACCATATTGTTTATCAGAAGATGATGAACTGAGGGTTTCCGTTTTAAGTTGTGGACTAAGATGGCAGGAATGATGCAGCATAAATTTGGAAATATATGCCATAACTGGAAGAAAATTCAGATCATGTGACAGAAGCCCCAGGAATATGACAGCCATTGGCCTCTTCAGTATTTGGCAGCCTTTCCTCAGATGCAAATGGAGAAGTAGCCCCAGATTGAAAGGAAACATAAGTGATCACCTTGTGAAAGAGTGCTAAGGCCATTAAATAAGAAAACATATTTGCAAATGCTTGGTTGATTAGAACAAAAAATATCTATTCCCAGAAGGAAGCAGGGTGGAACGGTAGGCATATTGCAGTCAAAGCCTGAGGAGTTGGGTATTCAACCAACAGTTACTAGCCATGCAATCTTGGGAACATTATTTAAAACTTCCTGAGTTCAGTCCTTATTTCTAAAATGTAGATAAAACCAGCATGGCACGTGTATACCTATGTCACAAACCTGTGCGTTCTGCACATGTATCCCAGAAATTAAAGTAAAAAACAAAAACAAGAAACCTCATGGTGTTCCTGAGACAATTAAATGAGTTAACAATGACAAAACACAGTAAGTTCTCAATAAGTACCAATCCCTATTCTCCGTGCTATGGTATTCTTTTTTTTAAATTTAATTTAATTTAATTTAATTTTTTTATTATTATACTTTAAGTTTTAGGGTACATGTGCACAACGTGCAGGTTAGTTACATATGTATACATGTGCCATGTTGGTGTGCTGAACCCAGTAACTCGTCATTTAGCATTAGGTATATCTCCTAATGCTATCCCTCCCCCCTCCCCCCACCCCACAACAGGCCCCAGTGTGTGATGTTCCCCTTCCTGTGTCCATGTGTTCTCATTGTTCAATTCCCACCTATGAGTGAGAACATGCCGTGTTTGGTTTTTTGTCCTTGTGATAGTTTGCTGAGAATGATGGTTTCCAGCTTCATCCATGTCCCTACAAAGGACATGAACTCATCCTTTTTTATGGCTGCATAGTATTGCATGGTGTATATGTGCCACATTTTTATGACATCTTATAAGTACCTTCTTCCTGAGCAAAATACCTCTGCATCTTGTAAGCATGATCAGCTTCCACTCTGCATCCTCTAAAATAAAATCATGCATTATCTCTTAGTGAACAGATTAAACATCACCTCTGTGTACTATCATAAAAGTTTCTCCTGGGCCAGGTGCGGTGGCTCACGCTTGTAATCCCAACACTTTAGGAGGCCGAGGTCAGGAGATCGAGACCATCCTGGCTAACACGGTGAAACCCCTTCTCCACTAAAAATACAAATAAATTAGCCAGGCGTGATGGCAGGCGCCTGTAGTCCCAGCTACTCAGGAGGCTGAGGCAGGACAATGGCGTGAACCTGGGAGGCGGAGCTTGCAGTGAGCCGAGAATGCGCCACTGCACTCTAGCCTGGACGACACAGCTAAACTCCGTCTCAAAAAAAAAAAAAAAAAGTTTCTCCTGAATGCTATTGTAGAACATATCACACTTTATTGCAATTATTTGCTTACAAGCATGTCTCACACGAAACAGTGGTTTTTTTAAGGATTCTGATGATATACCATACATATCTGAAATTTCCCGCTCATCACAAAGTACCTTAGAAATTGTATATTCTAAAACATTTAAGTAAATTGAATGAACTAGGTATTTTCCAAGTCTCTAATTTTGAATAAAGACACTTGACTGACTTGTAGAGAACACAAAAAAATCAGCACTATAACTAAGTATACAGGGAATACTGTGGAGAAATCCAGAATGATTGTCCTTCTCATAAATTTCTTGATTGGAAATTTCGAGGAAAACCTTTTATCACAATGTTAGAAAAGCAAGCCCACATTTACATAATGGAATTGCTTTCATAAAGCAAAATATCTCTACATTGTAAATATCTAATCTGATAAAATAAGTTTATGTTATTAAAAATCCAACTAAAGAGTGTTGAAACTATTATTTGCTCTAACAGATGTTTTAAGTCATAGCATGACCAAATTAATTGATTATAAACTTTTAAGAAAATAAGAAACTGAAAGTTCATCAGTTTTGTAATTGAGAGTAAACTTTCACTATTACTTAGCCAACCTGCATGGCAATCCATTTTAAACTGTTCATTTCAAGAAAAAATAATATATATTTTTTTCTAAGTTAAATTTTTTATTTTATTTTTTGAGAGGTCTTAAAGTCTTGAAAAAAATAAACATCAATAGGTTCAGATAGGAAGGTCTCTGGATATCATTGGTGGCTTTAGGAATAGGTACTGATGTAGGATTTAAGAGCTGGGTGATGCAGGTCCTCTCCCTCGCCACTGTCTCTCCATATTGGGAATTCAGTTATTTTTTTTATTTTTTTGCTTTACAAAATTCTCATATTTCATTTTGGCTGATATTCACAACAAATTTTACAAAGTCAGTTTGGCAAATATTCCTATCTCCCTTTTATAGGCAGGGAAACAGAGCACTGAAAAGACTGTACTTCTTGTCTATGGTGACATGGCACAATACAGCCCACTCTGCCTCCCAGGCTGTCCATGACCCAGCTGGAGCTGTCTCTCCAGTCCCATCTCAAACCATTCATTCCTTACTCACTGAGCTCCAGTCTCTGCTTGCATTTCTTCACGGCACTGGTTATCATCTGATATCACCTAATGCTTTTGCTGCTATAAAGACACATGCACACGTATGTTTATTGCGGTACTATTCACAATAGTAAAGACTTGGAATCAACCCAAATGTCCAACAATAATAGACTGGATTAAGAAAATGTGGCACATATACACCATGGAATACTATGCAGCCATAAAAAATGATGAGTTCATGTCCTTTGTAGGGACATGGATGAAATTGGAAATCATCATTCTCAGTAAACTATCGCAAGAACAAAAAACCAAACACCACATATTCTCACTCATAGGTGGGAATTGAACAAGTAGAACACATGGACACAGGAAGGGGAACATCACACTCTGGGGACTGTTGTGGGGTGGGGGGAGGGGGGAGGGATAGCTTGAGGAGATATACCTAACACTAAATGACGAGTTAATGGGTGCGGCACACCAGCATGACACATGTATACATATGTAACTAACCTGCACATTGTGCACATGTACCCTAAAACTTAAAGTATAACAATAATAAAATAAAAAAAGAAAAAAAATTAATCAGGGAGGACTACCGTCTATAATAAATAAACTACAAATGTTAGTGGAATATAAAAAAAAATTACATAAACATGCAATTTGAAAATTTTGGAAAGTATATATTCTAGGTCCTGGGATACAGAAGCAAGCTGAGAGAGAAGCTCTGCTTTCATGGAGCTAATACTTTAGGGGATGAGAAAGATAATAAACAAGAAAAAATAATATTTTTTAAAAAACGATGTATATATTATTATAAGGAGATTGCAAAAACACGTAGTTTGCCTTGCGCAGACTAATTTAGGATAAATAAAGCAATTAATCTGAAAACACAGTGAGCATCTCTCAATTGAGTGACATAACCTATATGCAATATAGGTTGACTCGGCAACAGGATTTATATTTAGAAAACTTTCCAGTTTCATCAAAAGAATCACTTCTCTGAGAGTTATGTTTTATTCATTCAATGGTGTGCCAAAACCCTGATAATTTGGGATATTTAATTGCATTGGTCCACTTACAAACAGCATGTGCAATTGAGCAACTGACAGTTGGTCTTTATTTATTTTAAGTTATTTTAGCAAAATGTTTGTAGATGTTGTACGAGGATGTGTTGTATTTAAGTACAAGATTTGGATGGATATCTATATGCCCCCTGAGGCTCTGTCTTTGCCCAAACCACAATGAAAAAGGAATAATTTCAAATATCTATATTTTAAGCCCACAATGTTTGACCCAGTGGTAAATTAAAGAAAATTGGTGAATGAATAACTCCAAAATCAGTTTGAGGAACAAAGCTTTCTCGGCATGAAGTATGAAATGTAGAGATCTTTTGCTTCATGAAAGCAGTTCCTTTATGTGAATGTAGCCTTGTTTTTTCAAACATTGTGATAAAAAGGCTATCTTTGAAATTTCCAGACAGTCAAGAAATTTGTGACAAGGACAATCATTCTAGATTTCTCCACAATGTCCACATTCAAATTAATCATACTCAATAAAATAATCCAACATGTGATTTGTAGGTCAGGGAACAAAACCAAGCATCAATATGGTAATAACTCATACTTTCCCCTGAAAAGCATTTGTTTTTCATTATTATTGAAAACATTTGTGTTAAAAATTATTTTAAGGTAAGCCTTTTCCAGACAGCTTATTATGTGGTTCTCTTAATTAAATAAGTAAACTTTAGACTTTTAGAAAAATTCAAAAAAAATCTTGTACGATTTTATGCTTTTGTGGAAGTTAATAAAAAATATTATTTTATAAAAATCACATAAAGATGCAACATCTATAGGTATGTGATGATCTCTAGAGTTGCATTTTCCTTTTAGTAAAACAAATAATGCAATTTTACTCCTCAACAAGTAGTCCATGTGTCTTCTCATATTATAACCTCTATTCCAGTTAGGATGGGATTGGGCAAATGAACTGGGTGTGCCATTTGACTGTGTCACTCTCCAGAAGAAAGAGTTTTTAAGACTTGACTTCTTTTATTATTATTATTCTCATTTACTGTTTTGACAAGATAGAGGCCACATGTTGAGACAGAGTAGATAGAGGTAGCCTAGACTACCTATATCACTAAGTGGAGATCCCTGTATTAGGATTCTTTAGAGGGACAAAACTAATAGGATAGATGTGTATATGAAGGGGAACCACTCCTGGTACCAAAATCTATATTAGTCAGGGTTCTCTAGAGGGAAAGAACTAATAGGAAAGATGTATATATGAAGGGAGTTTATTAAGGAGTATTGACTCACACGACCACAAGGTGAAGTCCCACAATAGGCTGTCTGCAAGCTGAGAAGCAAGGAAGCCAGTCTGACTCCCAAAACCTCAAAAGTAAGGAAGCCAACAGTGCAGCCTTCAGTCTGCCAGGTCTGTCCTGCAGACTCTGGCCAACCGACGGATGGAAGGAGTACTCAGACACAGGTATGCAGTGTAAAAGCAGCTAGGGGACTGCCTGGTTCTAGTGGCCAAAGTGCAGCAGCCCCAAGAAGCTGGAGCTGCTTGCTTTTATTCAGTGCAGGCATAATGCTGAAAGCCTGGAGCACAAACAACCTGTAGGTAACTAACATTGATTATTCCCCTTTCAGGGAATGTCATGCACATGGATGATGAAAGGTCAGTTCCTGGTCAGCATAAGTAAACAAGCTGGTTCAAGATAAATTCCTCTACATTCCCTTGTACCTACTCCTTGCCCTCTGCCACAGGCTTATAGAATGGCTACCTTCCCTGAAGCTTTGCAGAGCCTTCTGACCTTTGAGAAGGCCTGCTCCTTTCCCTATAGTTTCTCCCACCACTCTGACTGATCTCCTACATCAGTCTGTGGCCAAAGGCCAAAGAGCTCCTGGCAAATCACTGGTGTTAAGTATGAGAGTTCAAAAGCTAAAGAACTTGGAATCTAATGTTCGAGAGCAGGAAGCCTCCAACACAGGAGAAACATGAAGTCTGGAAGACTCAGCAACGCTGCTCTTTCCAACTTATTCTGCCTCCTTTATTCTACCCACACTAGCAGCTGATTAGATGGTGCCCAACCAGATTGAGGGTGGGTCTGCCTCTCCTGGTCCACTGACTCGTAAGTGAATCTCCTTTGGCAAAACTCTCACAGAAACACTCAGGAACAATACTTTGCATCCTTCAATCTGATCAAGTTGACAATATTAACCATCACAAGTCCACCCCTTGTCAACTTGAACCCATACATGTCTCCTGAAATCATACATAATCTTCAAATAAAGACAACAATAAGATCATAATTATGCCTAATGTAATTCAGCTATCCTTCATACAACTAGAAGTGCACTTATCCTTAATCTAAATACTATTACATAAAGTTAACAACACTTAAATGCTGATATGAAGTCAATAAATCTTATGTCAAATCGGACATATGGAAGGAGTCTAGACTGCCTAAATCACTGCGTGGAGAACTCCAACAAATCGCACCTGATTTTTTCATAAGGGATAGGTAATTTTTTCTGTTTTAAGGCACTGAATTGTCTCTTGTTACGTTGTTGTGACAGCTCAGTTTATTTACTCTTACTAATACACCTAGGGATATCCAAAGTTTGCTGGAATAATGAAACATAAGTTCGCATACCTACTAATTTATGGAACTGTTTGATGAAAGTTGGTCTTCTGAATTTAAATCTTAAGCTTTTTTTACTTGCTCTTAAAGCAGTAGTAGAGTTGTGGAAGAAATGTGGTTATACTTCCAATCCTGAAGAGACTAATAATGCAAGAGAGCTGAGTTAATTGATGAAAAGTGGACTCAGAAGATTTGGTAAAGAATGAAGAAGAGGAATATTAAAGGGCTTAGATTTTAAATAAAGGAACACCTTTTTATCTGTGCACAAATTAAAACAAGGAATAGTTGAAAATACACACACGCTACAGTAACATAAGGCCTAAAATTCTGTGAGCTGCCTTGACATTTTTGAGCCCTCAAATAACCCTAAAAGTCTAACCATGAGTTCCGATGTTACCACCAGTAATGTCCCCTAGCCTGTGGGAAAGACTCTCCACCAGACTACGTTCCCTATCATAAGAACCAGGCTTACCTCACCTAGTTTTTAGCCAAATAGGTTTTTGGGTTTTTTTTTCTTTTTTTGAGACATAGTCTCACTCTGTCACCAGGCTGGAGTGTAGTGGCATCATCTGGGCTCACTGCAACCTCCGCTCCTAGGTTCAAGCAATTCTCCTGCCTCAGCCTCCCAAGTAGCTGGGACTACAGACGTGTGCCACCAAGCCTGGCTCATTTTTTGTATTTTTAGCAGAGACGGGGTTTCACCATGCTGGCCAGGATGTTCTTGAACTCCAGAACTCGTGATCCACCCGCCTCAGCCTCCCAAAGTGCTGGGATTACAGGCATGAGCCACTGCACCCAGCCAACCAAATAGGTTTTACTTGCCTGCCAGCCCATGAAATTTTCCACTCAAGGCAATCATACCCCCACTCAAGATACAGGGTGCAAACCAATGCCTTGTTATGACAAAGACTCCTTCTCACAGTTCCTGCTGGCTCACTCTAATCCTAACTGCAACACTCTATGCCCCTGAGTGGCATGCAGTGGCCTCCTCCCCAGGCTATGAGCATATGTGACTGATACACTGCTCTCAATCTCATCTGTCCAATGTGGGTTTTTGTATGTTTGGCCATCTTATACCATTTAGGGCAAAGAAATTCCTTCTTCATCAACATTGTGAATAGGAAGTGATCAGAATACGCAGACACACATGCACACACACACATATATTGGATCATGCTTATACAGAATTTAATCAACATCTTTAACAAATGAAGATATCAAGATTAAGGATCATGAAGTCGGGGGGAAGAGAAATAGATGCTGCAGAAAGCATGAACAAGAGTTAAATAAAGGCAAACAAACTGAAAAAAAAAATCACCTAGAAGCTTTTGGGCTGATGGGAAAGTGACTGTTTTCAGTAAGTATAAAGTTATTCTGGTAAAATTAAATTGTTTCATGTGATCCTCCAGCAATACTCAGCAGTACTCAAATAAGAAGAAATAAAATGAATGGTAAGATCTATTAATAGCTGGAGAGTGTTGAAATAGTTATAACAGAGGGACATTAAAAAAAACTGTCAAACTTGCCTTAAACACATGGAAACAAACATTATGAAATGTGTCATTTATTAGGGCTGCATTGTAACAAAAAGAAAAACTTATATTTTTGATGTAGATTGAGAATACACTGAAGGAGATATTATCATTTGCTAGGTAGTTCACATCCTGCCCTGTGTGTTTAAGAAGATAAACACATCCCCTCTAAATTTTGCACTTGCAATGTTAAAAATACTTTCTTACATGAGCTCTAATATAAGTTTTCTCAAATTAATTGGTTTCACGGACTTTTGGGTAAATGCATTGTAATTCAAAATAGTAATAGAGTTGAGTGCACTGAAATGAGCAAGCCCAAACAATACTGAGATTAGAAAAGTTTCAAAGTTATAATTATGTTTAGCAACAAGAGATAATACAGTGAACAAAACCACTAAACTTATTTCCAAATGTGAGGGCAACAGTATAACAAATCATAACTGTATTCATAGCTTATGTATCTCTAAAGAACATTATGTTAATAATCATTCATTTTCTCTGTCTGATTGTTTGAGCTCCTTCACACAATTCCTGCCTGGGAAACAGATGGACTTATATTTAAATAATTTTTATACTTGCTATATTTATGTAGGCATGCTGAAATCTTTCTAAGGTTATAAGTTAAACAACCATCTCTAAATCTTTGGAGTATTAAATGGTAATTATAAATAAGGAATATTTATAAGCAACATCAGGAAACAAGTTTAACTCAAGTCCCTGTATTAAAATTGGCAAATTAATTCATTTATTTAAGCTTTTAGTTTATATGTATTTATATGGTAATAAAATAATGGCAAAACCTTAAAAGCGGAGTAAATATGAGGCATACAGAAGTGAGATGATGGGCTGAGTGTTACCACTTATGCCTCTTTAATATGCTTGTATTAAAACAACTAAAAAACTAACGATAAACCTGTCATGTCAGAACAGCAGCATTACTTTAAGTCAGACAACTTTAGGAAGCAGAATTATACTAGGATTTAGATTTCCCATGGGAATGTATGGTAGCAATCATTTAGGTTGAACACATAGACTGTTTCATAAGTTTCAAGCATCTCCACAGTATTCTAATACCATCTATGTAAACCCCACTCTGCAGTATATCAGTGAAATATTACAGCTGTATATGGAAGAATTCTGGTGTTCCTAAGATGCTTATAAAAATGTTCAAGTGCTCTTGTATACAGGTAGATATCATAATAAAGTGTTACCAGTTCTTGAAGCCATTTCTGGAGGTATTTATAAAGAGTCTTAGATCCTTGTGATGTCGTTTACTTGATGCCCTCTGGTTTAAGCTAGAAAATAAAAGCCTATACAGAAATTACTTGACTACATTTTCAAACCTCTTGCTCCACATCTGGGCAAGCTGATGAGAAAGCCAAAATACCCCTTCCCTTGGTGACAAGTTCAAACTGTTCAAATCCAAGCCCATGCGTGCAAAACCCTCATCAACACTATCTCCTAAGGAAAAAAAAAAAAAAGCCAATCTTCTCTCCTTGGTCTCTCAAATGGTTTTCAAACCTGCTTGGAAGCCTACCCTGCTTTCCCTAGCAAGCCTCATTTTGTGAGTGATAAACTTTCATACTCTGTTGGTGCATGTGTGGTATTATCAGTCTTGACAGCTTACTAAATTTGGAGTCGTGGGGATCTATCCCGACTTCGCAGAATCAGTACAGCATGAATGAACAAAAAATGGAAGAATATCCTATTAAGGCAAATGTATTAGCCAAAATAGTTCATTATGACACTCTTCATTCTCTATTTTTAGCAACACTGTTTCTGTCACTTACTTTTCCAAAACACACCAAACTTAGTTGCTTAAGAGGTTTGCTTCTGCTTAGGATGTAGAAATCTCAAGAATTGCATGACCATCCCAATGACAAGAAGAAAAAAAATAAACCTGGTTATTCTGTCCCCAAGGAACAGGGCATAACTCGATTGCTTTTAGGGTAAAAGCAAAAATCAAAAGCCTTCCCCCACCCCCACCCCCACAAAGTAGGGCTAGGAAAACCTTTTGGATCCAGGATACTGAACCAAAACAAAAAGACAGACAACCACTGATTTTGTAGCTACGGACTTTTTTATGTTGTCATCAAAGAATTCCATCTGCATAATTTCTAAGTTTTGCTATTTATTGAGGGTTTTGTTAGTGTTTTATGACTGAACGAAATTATATATTTTCTTTTTTCAAGTTTCGTATGTCACTATATTTTAATTAAGTGAACACTACTATCTTTTTTTTTTTGAGGCGGAGTTTTGCTCTTGTCGCCCAAGCTGGAGTACAATGGCGTGTGATCTCCGCTCACTGCAACCTCCCCTACTGGGTTCAAGTGATTCTCCTGCTTCAGCGTCCCAAGTAGCTGGGATTACAGGCGCCTGCCACTACGTGCAGCTAATTTTTGTATTTTTAGGAGCGACAGGGTTTCACCATGTTGGTCAGGATGGTCTCTAACTCCTGTCCTCAGGTGATCCACCCGCCTTGGTCTCCCAAAGTGGTGGGATTACAGGCGTGAGCCATCACGTCCGGTCATGTATGTTCTTTAGATTGTATTCATTTTAACCCGTTTGGTCTATGAAGAATCAAGATGGGTATTTAAAAATTTTAGTAATGTGTTTCTATTTCCTTTTTTACTTCTTGTCTTCTTTTGTCATGATATTCAGTGATTTCAAGTATGCTGCATAGATATCATTGACTATGTCACCACATTGAAAATTGACCCTCTAATATTATTATAAAGTAATTTATAACTTACTTAGCATAATGAATAATCTTAGCCTAATGAATTTAATCTTAGCATAATGAATAATAATGGTTTATTTTGCTTTGTTTTCTGTTTTTTTTAAACATTTGTCTCACATGCTAATCCTAATCCTTACATTTTCAATATTTTCTAAAACACTTTAATATAGTTTGTAACCTGAGGAAGACTAATATTCTGTTTCGAGATGCAATAGAATAAAATTACCTTTAATAGATGAGTTCAGACCACATATATTCTTTGACAGAGTCTTATTTTTGCCATATAGGTTTATTAGAATCTCAACTTTCAAACCTTTAAAAATCATAAAATATTTATTGCTTTGTCTTTTGTGTGTATGTTTACATGTATTTTGATTGAATATTGAGTTTGTAATGTTTGTTTTCTAGTAGTTAATTTCACAAACTCAATTTTACATGTTACCTGTTAATCTTCTATTTCTTTAGACAGCATTTTTAATCTGTCTTCAAATAAGCACTGTTACAGCTAGCACATTTTCTCCTTTACTGTATTCTTATTTCTTTTTCTTTTGCAAAATTACAAATTTATTTGATTATCTTGCCTCTCATAATTTAATTTTTTCCAATATAATCGATATGTACTATTAGAAAAATTCTTTTTTAGCGATATAATTTAGGAAACTATCACATACTACCTCACACATTAACTTTCCCATCTGTGAATTTTTGAATTAATAGTTTATTATTATTACTATTATTTGAGTGTCTTAATATTAAGTTCTGTTATGTAACAATATTATTAATATTTTGGTCCCATTTGAGTTGTCTTATTTACTACTCTAAGTTGCTTTCGTGTGACCCCGGCCTCCTTGCCTTAGCTCACCTTTCAAAGAAAATATTTCTTCGAAAAGAATTCAGGAGAAAACTACATCCTCATCTTATTCACGAAATATGTGAAGAGGATATGCATATATTCATCTCTTAAATGAATGATAGTTCATACGGATACAGTTTTGGGGTCACTTTCTTTACTTAAGGACTCTATGTTTCACAGCATTGACTGTTGCAATGAGAAATATCAAGGGTTAGACTAAATTCTCTTCATTATATCTTGGCTTTGTCTTCAGAATGACCCAAGGCATTCTTTCATTATCTTTGAATCCCAACTTTTTTTTTTTTTTTAAGTCAGGGCATTTCAATAATTATTTAGTTTTAAATTTTCACTCCCTCAACTCTTATGTTCTTTTCTGAAGCAGTTTAAAAAGATTCAAACAGGATCCCTTCCTACTGACTTAAAAAGGTACATTTTTGAACACCAATAAGGTTTATAAGTACAATGGGTTAAAGTGCATTAAATTTGGTAAACGCGTAAATTTATAATGATACTAAGACACTCCTTGATTGCTTTTGAAATGTATGGAGAAATTAACTGATTATTTGGGAAACTGAGAAATGATTGAAAAGAATCAACCATTTATCTTACCCTTTCTTTATGAATTTTACCTAGGGTAACACAATAGAAGAGAGGATTTTTAAATATAAAAATGTTCTATTTCACAATTAAAGAATTTTGTGACACATAAAAAATGAATGAATGCAGACAATAGTCATAAAAGGCTGCTAAAAACACATAAAGGAATAACAAGGCATTTTATATTTTATGATGGAAATATATAATACCTCCTATGATGTAGTCTTGCCAAAAATCAACCTCAGTGATTCTCTGGATATAAATACCTATTTTCAAGAGACACATTAAGAGAAAAATATGTTAAGCCACAACATAGGGAAGCAATTCCAAATCATAGGAAACCTTATGAGAAAAACGACCTTTTTCTTTGTAATAAAAACAGCAACAAAAATTGCAAGGGAAAAAAGATGGAGGGAAACACAAAAGATTAAGACTGTCTTTGAGACAAAATACTCCTAACAAATGGAGCAAAAGTAAATTTTATCAAAAAATTTGAGTAATATGAATATTGATAATATTAAGGTATTATTGTTTTAGTACTGATTTGGGATGTGGGCCACAGTAGCATTGGAGTTATGTGTAAAAGTAGAGTCCTTGTCACTCATAAATGCGTAACACCTAATTTATAGATAAAATGATATAATTTCTGAAATTTGATTTAAAAGAACATGGAAGGTCATATGGGTGGTAGTAAAGGGAAAAGTAGATTGTTTTAAAATTGATATTGTTTTTAAGTTTTATAAGGGGTACATAGGTATTATTTTATTCTTTTTCTTGTGTGTATGTGTGTGTGTGTATATTTATATATGTTTTACATTTTCCATTGAAAAGGCAAAATAATATTATTTCTGGTAAGATAATTTGTTTTAATTGGGGGGGAGTCAGAATGCAAAACAAAGAAGAATATAGGATACATTTCACGAAAATGAATTTTGGATCCATGGATCCACACCTACAACTTTGATTACAATTTTGTCATGAATTAGAACATGAAGTGAATTTACATAAAATAAATGAACAAAGATGTTATCTGGCATAGTATATTCGATGATTATTAATTGATTTTTTTGTTAAGTTCTCAAGTGTCCCTAATATTATTTGAATACCTTGCTGGAAAAGCTTCAAGAGTAAATGACAAGGGTAATCTATATAAAACTCATACAGATTTAAAAATTGTTATATATGAGGAAAGACAGAAGAAAATTATAGTATTTTAGAGAAAAAAAAGATGCTAATGAGAAATTAGTCATGTTCATTATCCTTAAACCTTGCATATTTTACTTTCTGACTCAATTCCAACCAGATAAAATAATGTGCATTTTTTAGCATACCTTTCTGGAAAAGATAAGTGATTTGACAAATTATTTTGACTAATCTTTAGAGTTTTTATTATATTTTGATGCATTTAAATTAGTTTTTAATATATATGTGTCATACAATTCCATCTTTTCAAATATGCTCTGTTTGTGTTGAAATAAAAACTTAGTACCCCTGATTGTTTCAGCCCTCCATATTCAAAATATCATTTTTAAATTAATGACCAGTTAGTCATGTGGAGTGTATTTCTGTGTCTGTTTTGACAGAAAGAGAGGGAAAGGGAGGAGAGAAAGAGAGAGAAAGCATATGAAAGACAAGAAATGATGATGGCTTGATGTGCAATTTAGGGTCTTCCATGAATATTAATATTGATCCGCTCTTCCAGTATTTTTTCTAAGACATTCCAGGAAATCTGTCTGTTTTCAAAAGATGCAAAACTATCAATTGTTTTAGATAACTATTTTAATTATTTTGGTAAATATTTTCTTACCAGCTTTCAGAGGTTACAGCCAACAAGTGAGTATACCATTGCATCTATAGACAGAATCATAATTCTTCAGGAGTCATCATCTTTGAAGCTAACATGAATAAATAGTTCTGAAAAGAAATGTGAGTGCCTTTACATGCAAAATATATACATATTTTTGAGATGAAGTTTCATTCCTGATGCCGAGGCTGGAGTGCAGTGGCACAATCTCGGCTCACTGCAAACTCCACCTTCCGGGTTAAGTCATTCTCCTGCCTCAGCTTCCCAAGTAGCTGGGACTACAGGAGCCCGCCACCATGCCTGGCTAATTTTTTTTTTTTTTTTTTTTTTTTGTATTTTTAGTTGAGATGGGGTTTCACTGTGTTAGCCAGGATGGTCTCGATTTCCTGACCTCGTGATCTGCCTGCCTCGGCCTCCCAAAGTGCTGGGATTACAGGCATGAGCCATCATGCCTGGCCAGCATTGTTCTTATTTCTAAATTAAAATCTGAATAATCTTTTGAAACTTCCCATAGCTGACCAAATACTGGATTACAGAGAGAAGTCAGGGAAAATCACTTTATTTCACTGCTTATGAAAGGAGACTGAATTATTCATGGTAGTTGAGTGGCATTATTTAACTGATTGTAATTATACAACCAATTAGGTACTTGTTTAATTGAAATTTGCCCCAAGAAACATTTCACAATTTTTAACAAATATGGTTACTGCTAAACTTCAATTGTCATGGAATATAAAACAGCTTACTAAACAGTGTATGTACTACCATTTCTCTTTTTTGAAAGGCAGATTAAGTCTTTTACACTTTTTTTTCAGAAGAGATACTTATGCAAAGAAGGATATTATCCACAAAAGACTGATTCTTATAGATTCTGGAGATACAAATCTACCTTGGGTATATTTTTATCAACATTCCTGAAGTTAAATTTCAAGCTGTATCACTGCATGTGTTTAAACCCAGCTTAAATTTGTAGATCTTTTCCCCCTCTAGTCCTGATTTTGGCAGCTTTCACCATATAGTAGAAAACATGTAGATACAGGCATTTTGTCAGATATGCTGATATAATTCAGTTAGTTTTTTAGCTAGACATTTGCTCAGGAGAATTTGTATGAAATAACTTTACCTTCAACATTGAAAAATATATGCATCTAGTGAAGTAGTGTTCAAGTTAAGAAAAATATTCTGTGTTAAATATCTTGTAGAGTGTTTAATCATCATTTTGGGGGATTTGTGTCTAATGTCAAAAAAATAATTATTTTACTTACGTAATTTTTATTCAACAATTAACCAATAAACAGAGACACAGGAAATAAGTTAAAAAATCTTGCTTTCTGTTAAAAATAACACTCACTCTATGCATTCACCCTGGAGTTTCTTCATCCATTTCTTAGGATCAAGGGACAAGAAGATATTTGTGTTCCCAGGCAAGCACAAAGGGTACTTTATCAACATTTTCATCCTTTTGGGAAAAGAGAAAATAAGCATTTAGACCTCAGCAAGCCTGCAGGCTCCGTGTGGGAGAAAAAGAACACCAAAAAAGACAGAGTAAAAGTGAATGCACAGGTCCTTAAGTTATTGGTTTCCTGTTATTGTGAATACACAAATCCCTAGGTTACTGGTTTCCCATTATGAAAACCTCTATATACTGAGGAGAGAGGTTCCATGATGGCCGAAGAGGTATAGCTCCAGTCTACAGTTCCCAGCGTGAGTGACGCAGAAGGCAGGCGATTTGTGCATTACCAACTGAGGTACCGGGTTCATCTCACTGGGGCTTGTTGGACAGTGGGTGCTGCCCACGGAGCATGAGCTGAAGCAGAGAAGGGCATTGCCTCACCCAGGAAGTGTAAGAGGTCTGGGAATTCCCTTTCCTAGCCAAGGGAAGCCGTGACAGACAGTACCTGGAAAATCGGGACACTCCCACACTAATACTGCACTTTTCCAATGGTCTTAGCAAATGGCACATCAGCAGATTATATCCCACACCTGGCTCAGAGGGTCCCACGCCCACGGAGCCTCGCTTACTGCTAGCACAGCAGTCTGAGATCCAACTGCAAGGTGGCAGCAAGGCTCAGGGAGGGGCGGCCACCATTGCTGAGGATTGAGTAGGTAAACAAAGCGGCCAGGAAGCTCGAACTGGGTGGAGCCCACTGCAGCTCAAGCAGGCCTGCCAGCCTCTGTAGACTCCACCACTGGGGGCAGGGCGTACCTGAACAAAAGTCAACAGAAATTTCTGCAGACTTAACATCGTTGTCTGACAGCTTTGAAGAGAGTAGTGGTTCTCCCAGCACAGAGTTTGAGATCTGAGAATGGACAGACTGCCTCCTCAAGTCGGTACCTGATCCTTGAGTAGCCTAACTGGGAGGCACCTCCCAGTAGGGGCCGACTGACACCTCATACAGCCAGGTACCCCTCTGAGACAAAGCTTCCAGAGGAAGGATCAGGAAGCAACATTTGCGGTTCTGCAATATTTGCTGTTCTGCAGCCTCCACTGGTGATACCCAGGCAAACAGGGTCGGAGTGGACCTCCAACAAACTCCAGCAGACCTGCAGCTGAGGCTCCTGACTGTTAGAAGGAAAACTAACAAACAGAAAGGACATTCACACCAAAACCCCATCTGTATGTCACCATCATCAAAGACCAAAGGTAGATAAAACCACAAAGATGGGGAAAAACCAGAGCAGAAAAGCTGAAAATTCTAAAAATCAGAGTGCCTCTTCTCCTACAAAGGAATGCAGCTCCTCACCAGGAGCAGAACAAAGCTGGATGGAGAATGACTTTGACGAGTTGAGAGAAGAAGGCTTCAGAAGACTGGTAATAACAAACTACTCCGAGCTAAAGAAGGATGTTCAAACCCATCGCAAAGAAGCTAAAAACTTTGAAAAATGATTAGACGAATGGCTAACTAGAAAAACCAGTGTAGAGAAGTCCTTAAATGACCTGATAGAGCTGAAAACCATGGCACAAGAACTTTGTGATGCATGCAGAAGCTTCAGTAGCCAATTTGATCAAGTGGAAGAAAGGGTATCAGTGATTGAAGATCAAATGAATGAAATGAAGCGAGAAGAGAAGTTTAGAGAAAAAAGTAAAAAGAAATGAACAAAGCCTCCAAGAAATATGGGACTATGTGAAAAGGCCAAATCCATGTCTGATTGGTGTACCTGAAAGTGACGGGGAGAATAGAACCAAGTTAGAAAACACTCTTCAGGATATTATCCAGGAGAACTTCCCTAACCTAGCAAGGCAGGCCAATGTTCAAATTCAGGAAATACAGAGAACGCCACAAAGATACTCCTCAAGAAGAGCAACTCCAAGACACATAATTTTCAGATTCACCAAAGTTGAAATGAAGGAAAAAATGTTAAGGGCAGCCAGAGAGAAAGGTCAAGTTACCCACATAGGAAAGCCCATCAGACTAACAGTGGAGCTCTTGGCAGAAACTCTACAAGCAAGAAGAGAGTGGGGGCCAATATTCAACATTCTTAAAGAAAAGAATTTTCAACCCAGAATTTCATATCCAGCCAAACTAATCTTCATAAGTGAAGGAGAAATAAAATCCTTTACAGACAAATAAATGCTGAGAGATTTTTGTCACCACCAGGCCTGCCCTACAAGAGCTCCTGAAGGAAGCACTAAACATGGAAAGGAACAACCAGTACGAGCCACTGCAAAAACATGCCAAATAGTAAAGACCATTGATGCTAGGAAAAACCTGCATCAGCTAATGAGCAAAATATCCAGCTAACATCATAATAACAGGATCAGATTCACACATAACAATATTAATCTTAAATGTAAATGGGCAAAATGCTCCAATTAAAAGACACAGACTGGCAAACTGCATAAAGAGTCAAGACCCATCAGTGTGCTGTATTCAGGAAACCCATCTCACATACAGAGACACATATAGGCTTAAAATAAAGGGATGAAGGAAGATCTAACAAGAAAATGGAAAACAAAACAAAACAAAAAAGCAGGAGTTGCAATCCTAATCTCTGATAAAACAGACTTCAAACCAACAAAGATCAAAAGAGACAAAGAAAGCCATTACATAATGGTAAAGGGATCAATTCAACAAGAAGAGCTAACTATCCTAAATATATAGGCACTCAATACAGGAGCACCAGATTCATAAAGCAAGTCCTTAGAGACCTACAAAGAGATTTAGACTCCCACACAATAATGATGGGAGATTTTAACACCCCACTGTCAACATTAGACAGATCAATGAGACTGAAAGTTAACAAGGATTTCCAGGAATTCAACTCAGCTCTGCAGCAAGCGGACCTAATAGATATCTACAGAACTCTCCACCCCAAATCAACAGAATATACATTCTTCTCAGCACCACAATGCACTTATTCCAAAATTGACCACATGGTTGGAAGTAAAGCACTCCTCAGAAAATGTAAAAGAACAGAAATTATAACAAACTGTCTCTTAGACCACAGTGCAATCAAACTAGAACTCAGGATTAAGAAACTCACTCAAAACAACTCAACTACATGGAAAATGAACAACCTGCTCCTTAATGACTATGGGGTAAATAACGAAATGAAGGCAGAAATAAAGATGTTCTTTGAAACCAATGAGAACAAAGTCACAACATACCAGAATCATCTGGGACACATTTAAAGCAATGTGTAGAGGGAAAGTTTTAGCACTAAATGCCCACAAGAGAAAGCAGGAAAGATCTAAATTTGACACACTAACATCACAATTAAAAGAACTAGAGAAGCAAAAGTAAACACATTCAAAAGCTAGCAGAAGGCAAGAAACAACTAAGATCAGAGCAGAACTGAAGGAGATAGAGGCACAAAAAACCCTTCAAAAAATCAATGAATCCAGGAGCCGTTTTTTTGAAAAGATCAACAAAATTCATACACTGCTAGCAGGACTAATAAAGAAGAAAAAAGAGAAGAATCAAATAGATGCAATAAAAAATGATAAAGGGGATATCACCACCGATCCCACAGGAATACAAACTACCATCAGAGAATACTATAAACACTTCTACACAAATAAACTAGAAAATCTAAAAAATTAGATAAATTCCTGGACACACACACCCTCCCAAGACTAAACCAGGAAGAAATTGAATCCCTGAGTAGATCAATAACAGGGTCTGAAATGGAGGCAATAATTAATAGCCTACCAACCAAAAAAGTCCAGGGCCTGAGAGATTCACAGTCGATTTCTACCAGAGGTACAAAGAGGAGCTGGTACCCTTCCTTCTGAAACTATTCCAATCAATAGAAAAAGAGGGACTTCTCCCTAAGTCATTTTATGAGGCCAGTATCATCCTGATACCAAAGTCTGGCAGAGACACAACAAAAAACAGAGAATTTTAGACCAATATTCCTGATGAACATTGATGCAAATATCCTCAATAAAATACTGGCAAACCAAATCCAGCAGCACAGCACAAAACTTATCCACCACAATCAACTTGGCTTCATCCCTGGGATGCAAGGCTGGTTCAACATATGCAAATCAATAAATGTAATCCATCATATAAACAGAACCAAAGATAAAAACCACATGATTATCTCAATAGATGCAGAAAAGGCCTTTGACAAAATTCAACAGCCCTTTATGCTAAGAACTCTTAATAAACTAGGTATTGATGGGACGTATCTCAAAATAATGAGAACTATTTATGACAAACCCACAGCCAATATCATACTGAATGGGCAAAACTGGGAAGCATTCCCTTTGAAAAGTGGCATAAGACAGGGATGCCCTCTCTCACCACTCTTATTCAACATAGTGTTGGAAGTTCTGGTCAGGGCAATCAGGCAGGAGAAAGAAATAAAGGGTATTCAATTAGGAAAAGAGGAAGTCAAATTGTCCCTGTTGGCAGATGACATGATTGTATAGTTAGAAAACCCCATCATCTCAGCCCAAAATCTCCTTAAGCTGAAAAGGAACTTCATCAAACTCTCAGGATGCAAAATCAATGTGCAAAAATAGCAAGCATTCCTATACACCAAAAACAGACAAACAGAGAGCCAAATCATGAGTGAACTCCCATTCACAATTGCTTTAAAGAGAATAAAATACTTAGGAAACCAACTTACAAGGGATGTCAAGGATCTCTTCAAGGAGAACTACAATCCACTGTTCAACGAAATAAAAGAGGACACAAACAAATGGAAGAACATTCCATGCTCATGGATAGGAAGAATCAATATCGTGAAAATGGCCATACTGCCCAAAGTAATTTATAGATTCAATGCCATCCCCATCAAGCTACCAATGACTTTCTTCACAGGATTGGAAAAATCTACTTTAAAGTTCATATGGAACCAAAAAAGAGCCCACATTGCCAAGACAATCCTAACCCAAAAGAACAAAGATGGAGGCATCACGTTACCTGACTTCATACTATACTACAAGGCTACAGTAACCAAAACAGCATGGTACTGATACCAAAACACAGATATAGACCAACGGAACAGAACAGAGCCCTCAGAAATAATACCACACATCTACAACCATCTGATCTTTGACAAACCTTACAAAAACAAGCAACTGGGAAAGGATACCC
The DNA here is from genome assembly GCF_000001405.40 of Homo sapiens. Lineage (NCBI taxonomy): Eukaryota > Metazoa > Chordata > Mammalia > Primates > Hominidae > Homo > Homo sapiens. The sequence goes on from NC_000004.12 coordinate 59,896,875, forward strand.
TATTTAATAAATGGTGCTGGGAAAACTGGCTAGCCATTTGTAGAAAGCTGAAATGGGATCCCTTTCTTACACCTTATACAAAAATTAATTCAAGATGGATTAAAGACTTAAATGTTAGACCTACACCATAAAAACCCTAGAAGAAAACATAAGCAATACCATTCAGGCCATAGGCATGGGCAAGGACTACATGACCAAAACACCAAAAGCAATGGCAACAAAAGCCAAAATTGAGAAATGGGATCCAATCAAACTAAAGGGCTTCTGCACAGCAAAAGAAACTACCATCAGAGTGAACAGGCAACCTACAGAATAGGAGAAAATTTTCACAATCTACACATCTGACAAAGGGCTAATATCTAGAATCTACAAAGAAACAAATTTGCAAGAAAAAAATCAAACAACCCCATCCAAAAGTAGGTGAAGGATATGAACAGACACTTCTCAAAAGAATATATTTATGCAGCCAACAGACACATAAAAAAATGCTCATCATCACTGGTCATCAGAGAAATGCAAATCAAAATCAAAATGAGATACCATCTCACACCAGTTAGAATGGCAATCATTAAAAAGTCAGGAAACAACAGGTACTAGAGAGGATGTGGAGAAATAGGAACACTTTTACACTGTTGGTGGGACTGTAAACTTTTTCAACCATTGTGGAAGACAGTGTGATGATTCCTCAAGGATCTAGAACTAGAAATACCATTTGACCCAGCCATCCCATTACTGGGGATATACCCAAAGGATTATAAGTAATGCTGCTATAAAGACACATGCACACTTATGTTTATTGTGGCACTGTTCACACTATTCACAATAGCATAAACTTGGAACCAACCCAAATGTCCATCAATGATAGACTGGAATGAGAAAATGTGGCACATATACACCATGGAATACTATGTAGCCATAAAAAAGGATGAGTTCATGTCCTTTGTAGGGACATGGATGAAGCTGGAAACCATCATTCTCAGCAAACTATCGCAAGGACAGAAAACAAAACACCACATGTTCTCACTCATAGTTGGGAATTGAACAATGAGAACACTTGGACACAGGGTGGGGAACATCACACACTGGGGCCTGTCCTGGGTTTGGGGTGGGGGAGGGGTAGCATTGGGAGATATACCTAATGTAAATGATGAGTTAAAGGGTGCAGCACACCAACATGGCACATGTATACATATGTAACAAACCTGCACATTGTGCACATGTACCCAAGAACTTAACGTATAATAATAATAATAATAATAATAATAATAATAATAAAACCTGAATATACTGAGACTTCTGTCTTGACAGATGGTTCATACTCAAAATTGCATCAAATGTGGGGGAGGCACTATCTCAGTTTAGCATTTAGGAACTGTTTTAGTTTAAAGACCTGTCATCATTTTAGGTCTTATATAGAGATGGTGTCGTTGCCTGGTTTTGCTGCTACAACAGAATATCTAGTATTGGGTAATATGTAATAAACAGAAATGTATTGGCTTACAGTTCTGAAGGCTGGATACTTAAGGCCAAGGTGCCAGCATGTTAGGTTTCTCTGCTTTCAAGACTGTACTTTGCACACTACATCCTCTGGATGGGAGGATCCTCACATGGCAGGAAGTCAGAAAGGCCAAGAGAGACAGCTCATTACCCAAAACCTTTTTATTAAGTCATTAAACTCACCCATAGAGGTGGCATCCTAAAGGCCTAATCATCTCTTAAAGTCCCAACCTCTTTGTTCTGTTATAATGACAATGGAGTCTCAACATAAGTTGTGGAGGGGATAAACATTAATACCATAGCAGATATTTATAAATAGTAGGACAAGTAGTCAAAGCTTATCTAGTCCTACACAGATAGAATATTTTAAGCTGACTGATCCAAGAAGACAGCATGACTCTTAGCCAAGGGCTCTGTAAGGTCAAAGGTAATTTTCAGAGAGGACTGATGCTGAAGACATAACCACAACCAACTTCAGCAGCTGGAGGAATCTTTATTCAGTCTAAAAAGGAGATCTGGGTTTAGCAACATACAATGTTTTAGAATGAAACTTAATATTCATAAACACCTGTTCACTTATGCCTAAACTGGAGAAAAATTGCTATAAGCTTGTATAAGCTATAAAGAAGTGTGCTGCAGGTTGTGTGTGGGTGGCTAGGGGGTGTAGGGTAAATAAGGAAAGCATCTGATTGATTTAAATAGAGTTGAACTCTACAAAACTTTAAAATTAACAGCTAATTCTACTGAGAAATGAAGTTAGTTCTCAAAATATTTGAAAATAAAGGTAACGATTTAAAGATTCAAGAAACACGTATTTCTGATTGAAAGAATAAAAGGGAATATTTACCTATAAAATGTTGAAAAAGATAGTTATCCATTATTTTGAGCTTAGGGTTTGAGTTCTTTTGATGCAGGCACAATGGTAGATGATACTCTCTCTCTCTCTCTCTCCATATATATATATATATATATATATATATATATATGTGTGTGTGTGTGTGTGTATATACACATATATGTATATATATACAAATATATGTATATATACAGGTATGTATATACATATACACGTGTATACGCATATACGTGTATATACACGTATACACGTGTATATACACGTATATACGCATATACGTGTATATACACGTGTATATGTATATACGTGTATATACGTATACATGCATACGTGTATATACGTATACATGCATATGTGTATATACATGTACATGCATATGTGTATATACATGTACCTGTATGTGTATATACATGTGCATGTATGTGTATGTATATGTACATGTATATGTGTGTATATACATGTACGTGTGTATATACATGTACATGTATATGTGTGTATATACATGTACATGTATATGTGTGTATACATGTATATGTGTATGTGTGTGTATACATATATACATATACACATATATGTGTGTATATATACATACATATATGTATGTGTATATATGCATATATACATATATTTATATGTATATATGCATATATACATATATTTATATGTATATATGCATATATGTAGATATTTATATGTATATATACATATATGTAGATATGTATATATATAAACTTATTTGTCCTTATGCTTTTTTTAATCTGAAAGAAACCTTTTAAATAAGTAAACTTGAAAAGTAAACCCCTGATGCATGAAAGAGACAGAAAGTTGCTACCTGTGCAAGGAAGAAAAACATACACTGATCCTAGCAAGTCAGTGGTCTCTTCATTCTTCAAACCATCTAAGAAGGTATTGCTGTGTTTCCCCAGAGTTCCAAGGAGAATCCTATCAAATCCATCTAAAATATGTGTTACATTTATTAAGCTTTCTTATCTGTACCACTCCCAGAAGACCACCATTGGCTCTCTTAACTTACCTTTTGAAAAATCTTTCAAATGACGTCTTTTGTTTTTTCATTCTTAATACCCTAAAATCCATTTGCTATAACTCAGCCAAGGGAGTCTTTTAAGGACATAAATTAGGTCTTTTAATTTTTGGCCTAATTTTGGCCAGTTTTTATCCTTGACTTCCAGAACAAGGTTTAGCATACAGTAAATAATAAATATTTGTAGAATACAAAAATATTCTGCTGAGTAACACTCTTTAAAAGTTTTTTATTATACTGAAGTTAAAACATTATGTAATTTGTATAATTTTCAGTGTGGTACATGATCTACCTATCTCTTCACCTTCGTCTTGAATCACTCCTAACCCTACTCAGTTTATTCATTCTAGCCATAAGACCTAAATTTTAGCAGTTTTCTCTTCATACAGCATTATGCTCTTCTTTGCCCACCATACCACCCAGATCTTTGCATGGCTATTCTCTTTTCCCATTGTGTTTTAAATTAAAGGCATCTCCTCACAAAAATTTTTCAGTGTCACCCAAATAAAGCAGACTTCCAGTTACTTCATACCAGTCTATTTATTTTTCATTATGATGCTTATAATGATTTTATTGTATGTATTTTGCTCATTGTTATAATGATGACATGCCCTAAAAGATGATGCCCTAAAAGAAGTCGGATTGCTAGCTTTATGTATATTGTATATCCAGTTTCATATATATCCACTGGAGTGCACTCGAGCATGTGCACATACACATCATGTTATATCATGGCATCCTTATGACTTTCAAGTCACTACAAAGTCTGCTGCACTAATTATGAGAGATTCATGAATGTCTTCCTTGTTATTTCAGCTTCTCAAAATGCAAATAGATAGAATAATATATTTGCCTAACTCATATGAATAAAATAAAAATCAACTAAATTATTTTAATAAAATCAATCACATCATGTAGGAAAAAAAAGAAAAAACCACATGAAGATACCAACAACATCCTTGTTCTTAGGGGTCCCAATTAAGTAGGTATCACAAGTGAAAAGCTGAATATTACATTTTATTCTAATAGATCACGTACTGCAAATCTAATCTCCATTTTCCTTGTATAATTGTTTGCATAAATAAAAAGGGAGGAGGAGACAAAATACATGCACAGTCAAGATCATTTTTAGTCTTATCATTTTATTTTCTAAATGAGCAAATCTCAAAGAAGAGATTGAGTGGTCATGGGTCTCACAGGTAAAAGAAGCTGTGTGTGTTTTTTGTTTTTTTTTTTGGTAAATTTGTTTAAGTTCCTCGTATTTTCTGGATATGAGACCTTTGTCAGATGGATAGAGTGCAAAAATTTTCTACCATTCTGTAGGTTGTCTGTGTATTCTGATGATAGTTTATTTTGCTCCATTAAAAAGTGGGCAAAGGACATGAACAGACACTTCTCAAAAGAAGACAGTTATGTGACCAAGAAACATATGAAAAAAAGCTCAATATCACTGATCATTAGAGAAGAGGAAATCAAAACCACGATGAGATACCATCTCACACCAGTCAAAATGGAGATTATTAAAAAGTCAAGAAACAACAGATTCTGGCTAGCCTGTGGAGTAATAGGAACACTTTTACACTGCTGGTGGAATGTAAATTAGTCCCACTACTGTGGAAGACAGTGTGGTGATTCCTCAAAGAACTAGAACCACAAATACCATTTGACCCAGCAATCCCATTACTCGGTATATACCCAAAGGCATATAAATTTTTCTATTATAATGATACATGTACATGTATGTTCAGTGCAGCTCCATTCACAATAGCAAAGACATGAAATCAACCCAAATGCCCATCAATGATAGACTGGATAAAGATAATGTGGTATATATACACCATGGAATACTATGCAATCATAAAAAGGAATGAGATCATGTCCTTTGCAGGGACATGGGTGGAGGTGGAAGCTGTAATCCTCAGCAAACTAACACAGGAACAGAAAACCAAACACTGCATGTTCTCACTTGTAAGTGGGCCTTGAACAATGAGAACTCATGGACACAGGGAGGTGCATAACACACACTGCGGCCTTTTGGTGGGGCTTGGGGAGGGAGACCATCCGGATAAATAAATAATTCATGTGGGGTTTAATACCTAGGTGATGGGTTGATAGGTACAGCAAACCACCATGGCACACTTTTACCTATGTAACAAACCTGCGTGTCCTGCACATGTATCGCAGAACTTAAACTAATTTTTTTAAAGCTATGTTGAGAATAGGACACAGGTGTTTCTATTCCTATTCCTTGGTGTTCCATTCATTGCTCTCTTCTTTACACCCCACCTTAGCAGAATGAGTAAACAATGTGCTTTCTTCGTTCAAAGAAATAAAAAATCAAGCATTTTATGACCCTGGGAATTTTCTTATTCTAGTGCACTAGGCATTAAGCAAAATAACAAGGTGGTGTCTGAAGATCAAATGTTAGATACAAAGATTTTCAATTAAAAAATGCAATCTTAAAACTATTTGGAAAATCACTATTCGTTTCCATAGCCACTTTCTATATCAGATAATATTCTTAAGATGTAAATTATTCACTCTCAGCTCTTACCCATGAAGCAAGTCACATCCTTGCCAGCTCAGGCTATGCTAGGTAAATTTTTTCAAAAAATATTGCATGGATTTAAAAGATTCTAAATACAAGGTGGAAATTCAACAACGGTGAGCTTTATTATTTCATGAAAATACATTTCATCTTATTTGAAGAGATTGCCTGTGTGTTTGACCTCAATACAACTCTGAATATATTTTTGTCCTGTTCTATCTAAAAAAGCTTCCTTACCTTTTCACTTCAATACCTGGTATTAAATCAATATCCTTAAGAACATTTTTGCTGTTATCGCCTAGACTAATTTTTCTATAGTATAAAATTCACCATAGAAACTCTGGTGTAGCAGAAACAGCCTTGGGACCAAACAAGAAAAATATGGTTTGATTTTTACTTCTTAACTTTCCAGTTGTAAAATTACCTGAAATAATTAAATTAATTTTTAAAATATATTTTGAAATTATTTCAATGTTACAGAAACTTGCAGTTACAGTTCAAAGAGCTATTCCTGGTTTCCCAAATTCCTCAATTTTTAACACACAAAAATGTTTATAATTATATGAATATAAGTATGTATAATCATATATCACAAATGTATATCATATATACACATGTGTGTGCATATCTACATATGTTTGTATGTTCACATTTTTTTCTGGACTATTTGAGAATACAGTGCATATAGTAGTATATCTCTTTATGCTATAATATTTCACTGGCTATTTCTTAGGAACATGGTTATTGTCTGTCAGGGTTTTCCATAGAAACAAAACCAAGGAAACTATATAAGCATATAATTTTTTGCAAGGAATTGGCTGATGAAATTATGGCTAACTGGTCCCAGAATGTTCCATCTGTAAACTCAAGACCCAGGAAAGCCAGTGGTGTACTTTTGAGAACAAGAGGGCTGTTGGTACAAGCCTCATGCCGGGACAGGAGAAGACTAATGTCCCAGCTCACGTGATCAGGCAGAGAGAACAGATTTCCCCTTCCTCTGCCTTTTTCTTCTATTCAGGCTCTCAAAGAATTGGACACTGCCCACCCACATTTGGGAGAAAAATCTGCTTTACTCAGTTCACAGCTTCAAATGCTAACTCCCCCAGAAACAATCTCACAGACACACTCAGAAATAATCTTTAATCTGGTTATGCAGTGTCCTGTCAAAACGACATGTAAATTAACCATCATAAGTTCATGCTTTGTCTTGTCAACTTGGCACTCATACACATCTCCTTAAATCACAATGACTCTGTAAATAAAGAAAATATACAAGTCACAGTTCTGCCTAACAGAATACATCTATCCTGCATACAACCAAAAATGTATTAACCTAGAAGAGGAGGTAAAGTTTCTGAGTGGTGTTTAATTTTCTCCTTGGTGTACCATAATTTGAATAATATGATGTAAAATAATAAGTAAATGCAATGATATGTCAATACATCTTATGTGATAAGATAATAAGAAAAAAATAGACACATACAAATGTATTCATAACAAAATAAGTAGAAAATAATAATTACAGTTGATATTTCTGAAACTGGTCACACAGTAGCTGCTATTATTAATAACTACCTTCTTCCACTCTCCATTCTGTGTTCTTTTTTTCTTTGGTAAGCACCTCAACTGGAGCCGGTTGTGGTTCCTGACTTGGCAGGGTTATGCAAGCCTCCATTCCTAAAGGGCTTGGCCACTAATGGGCCGACCTGTATTGAGTTGTTTTTTTCTGTTGACCTAAATCACAAGGCAGGGTGATACTAAGAGATGCCCTAAGGGATCTCTTACATTCCAGGCATACTTTTTCTTACCTCCATTGTAGAGTAGCCATCATAGCTGTCCAATTTTTCCTTTAGTAGTCAGGGACAATCACCCCAGTCAGCACAGCAACTCCTTTCTTTGCTCGTTGATTCAGAGTGGCCAGTCTTACCTTCCTGGTCGAATAAGTTATTATTGTGTCTCCTGGGGGAAGCATTTTTCCATCTAGAGCAAGACAGCATAAGGTTGAGGGAAAATATCAAACTTTATGTGGGTTTTACTTTTACCCCACACCCTTAGTATCCATTTCCACCTATGTTCCCTGGATTTCTGTCTATATAAACCAATAAATTCAAATAGTTCTTTTGAGTGTAGCACATTTCCTAATGGGTCTCCTTTTGTAGCTTATCTTTACAGTCCTGCAGAAACTTAAATCTACCTAAAGGTCTAGAAGCAAAGAGGGGTGATAGGGATGATTCCTGAGTAGAATCAGTATTGTCTTGCATGGCAACTGCCTCAGCAGGGGCCATTAGTTTTCTCAGACAATGCAGAGTTAATAACCTCAGATGGAGCAGAGGCCAGTACCACTGCTGGAGGTTGCTACCACTGCAGGGTGGAAGTCACTTTCATTGGCAAATGTTACATCAGAATTTAGAGGCTCAATGTCCTCAGACACATTATGGTCTTTCCAAATGTCCTCACTGGAACTTACATATATATAAAACCATATATACATATATATATACACACACACATATACATATATATACACATATGTGTGTGTGTGTGTGTGTGTGTGTGTGTGTGTGTGTGTAAAATCAGTTAGGACCCTGGCTTCATTATCAATATATTGACTCATTTGTTCTACCCTACAACACACAGCTATAGTGTCAAAATAGATATGCCCTTATTACCACAACAAACACACCTAGTTCAAAATTTGTTTGTGGCTTTTCCAAACTGAAGATCCTAGTCAAAGTGTTGTTCAAAGAGCTTTTTAATGTTATTTTATTATTATTATTAATTAAATTCATACTTTATTATTTTTTATTGTTATCTAATGTTCTTTTACTCTTCCAGAATCTCATTTAGGGAAGTAATCACATTCTATTTAGTTGTCATATCTCCTTAAGCTTTGCCTCCAAGCTGTGAAAGTTTTTCAGACTTTGCTTGTTTTTAAAACCTTGAGAGTTTTGAGAATACCAGTCAGGTATTTTGTAGAATGTCTATCAATTGAGATTTGTCTGATAGTTTTTTCATGATTAGACTAGGGTTATGTGTTTTGGGAGAAGAACACAGACAATAGTGACATTTGTATTACATCACATTAATGATGCATACCATTGTTACAGTAGGTAGCTAGTCAGACAGGAGCAGACAGGAGAGCCCCTCCCTCCAACCAGGAATGTCAGGTGACCATCAGGTGATGGTCAGGCAGTCTTTAAGGTGTCTCTCTAAAATAGTCATTGCTCACAGCTGGTGGGCGCCAGGGAAAGACAGTCTCCCGATAGATAGAAACATCTGAAATTGGTGATCTGCAGCTTCTCAATAAGATCTCAGGAGTTGGGTGAGTGGGCTCAATGTGTACTAAGACGCAAAATGGTCTTAACCATGGAGTTTGGTATATGATCTTCCTCTAGGAACACTCTCCTGGTAAGGGAAGATTGCCTCAAGTGAGCACGCATGCAACTCTAGTAAACACACTGTGCAGGAACACCCTACCAAGTGCTGGCAGGCCACTGTGCATAGGGACAGCCCACCCCAAGAGAAGAATTGAGGGAAAAGGAACACAATCTCCCTCGAAGCATGCCAACGCATAAAACCCCAAGTCAAGGTCAAACAGTGCATTTGAATATCTGAAGTCACCTGTGTGGCCCTCTTCCAAGTATACTCAAGTACACTTTACTTCCTTTTGGTGCTGCTCTAATACTTTTTTTTTTTTTTTTTTTTGAGAAAGAGTTTCACTCTTGTTGCCAAGGCTGGAGTACAATGGCAGTATCTTGGCTCACCGCAACCTCCGCCTCCCAGGTTCAAGCAATTCTCCTGCCTTAGCCTCCTGAGTAGCTGGTATTACAGGCATGTGCCATCACGCCTAGCTAATTTTGTATTTTTAGTAGTGACAGTGTTGGTCAGGCTGGTCTCGAACTCCTGACCTCAGGTGATCCGCCTGCCTCGGCCTCCCAAAGTGATGGGATTACAGGCATGAGCCACTGCACCCGGCCTCTAACACTTTTTAATAAACTTTCACTCCTGCTCTAAAAGTTGCCTCAGTCTCTCCTTCTGGAAATTCTTTCCAGAATTCTTGCTTCTGAGGAGGCAAAAGTTGAGGTTGCTGCAGAACCCTACAGATTTACCACCAGTAACATTATCAACATGATTTATCTTTTATTATGTTAAACTTGGTCACTGAGATATTTCTCAGTTTTCTCCACAAAGTTATCTGTCCCCTTCTATGCTATATTCATTGAAAAAAAAATCACTATGTACAACCCATTCTTAAGAAGGGAAAAGCTATTTTCCTTTTCCTTGAGAGTAGAGTATCTATATAAATAATTTGAGGTTCTTCTGCACATGTGGCTTTTTTTGTCCTAGTTATGTATTTATTCAATTATTTATTTATATCTGTGTGGACTAATAAATATTTAGTGTATCTTTTGCCTTATAATCCAATACTACTTTAATTTGTTGCTCCAATTGTTCCAGGTGCAGATATTGGAAGCTCTTTCAGTTGATTCTTGTGTCCCTTGTACATACACACATCAACGTAAAATATAAAAATTATTGTTGTTGTTGTCTTTGTTTCACTCTCTCTCTCTCTCTGTCTTACTTTCTGATACTACAGCATGCTCCAGACTCCTCTTATATATTTCCTAATCCAGTCCTACAAGAAGCCATTTTTCTAAAAATCTTTGATTTCTTTTGTTGAAAAATTATGATATTAGAAACCAAAATCTATGCCAGTTATGACCATTGATACAGGGATATGATTGCTTCTAAGATCTTTCATATGTGTATTTGCAGGTTTGAGTGTGACGTAAGTTGTCTAGAGGTGTCAAACTGACAAATGAAGAGTCTTATGTTTGGGAAGGCTTATGAAGTTTACTCACAAAGTAAAAGGTATCATAGGTCAATGAAAGTTTAGGAAAGTAGGAGGTATATCTCCTCTAATGAGATGAGGAAAAAGTGAAAGTGATGATGTAGATTATCATTGAGGATTAGTGGTCAACGTTTAGTAACTTCAACAATTTTTATTTATACATACATATATATACTTCTATATATAATGATCTATATATAATTTTTCTCTATATATATTTTGATCTCTATATAATTTTTCACTAAGGTGAAAAATTGACCCTCAAATATGTCCAAGTTCTGGGAGTTACCCCAGAGCATATGAATATTATATTATATGGAAAAATGGAACTTTCCAAATGTGATTAAATTAAACATATTTAAATGAGGAGATTATCCTTAATTATATAGCTGGGCTCTGTGTAATCACAACACTATAAGGGGTTTCAGGAAGAGTAAGAGTCAGAAGAGAAACTGATGTGGTGGTAATGGAAGTAAAGACTGTAGTGATGCACTTTGAAGTTGAAGAAAGAGGCCATTAGACAGGGAACACAGGCAGCCATAAGAAGGCGATGAAAGCAAGGAAACCAAGTATGCCCTCAGAGTCTCCAGAAATAACCAGCCCTACCAACACCTTGAATTTAGGCTAGTGATTTTGGACTTCTGACCCCTGAGTTGTAAGAAAATAGGTATAAGTAGTATTAAGCCACAGTGAGATTGCTTTGTCACATTCTGTACTCTATCCTGGGATTCCTAGATCTCCTAAATTATTATCTTTAAAAATTTCATTCCTAAAGATTTACTATTTGTGCTCTAAATTTCTATGGGTTTGGAGAAAAGCATAATGTCATGTATTCAAAATTAAAGCACCACACTCTATAGTTTTACCACTGTAAGAAATCCTCTGTATTTCATAGTCAACCATAACCTCACCCTTAACTTCAGGAAATCTCTGATTATTTTACTGTTGCTAGAGTTTTGCCTTTCCAGAATGTCATATAATTTGAATCATACAATATATAGTATTTTCTAAAATAATTCTTTCACTTAGCAATATGCATTTAAGATTCATCCATATCTTTTTACATATAATAATTCTTGTTATTGCCAAACAGTATTTTGTTTTATAAATGTACCAATACATTTATCCATTCACTTGTTGAAAGATATCATGGCTGTTTCTAGTTTTTCTGACAATTTTGAATAAAGTTTCTGTAAATATGCACTTGTAAGTTTTTGTGTGACATAAGTTATCTGGAGAGGCCAAACTGACAAATGAAGACTCTTCTGTTTGGAGAGGCTTATAAAGTTTATGCACAAAGAAAAATGTATCATGGGTCAATAAGAGGCTGGGAAAGTAGGGGGTATATTTTTGTGATGGTTGATACTGAGAGTCAACTTGATTGGATTGAAGGATGCAAAATATTGATCCTGGATGTGTCTGTGAGGGTGTTGCCAAAGGAAATTAACATTTGAGTCAGTGAGCTGAGAAAAGCAGACCCACCCTTAATCTGGATGGGCACCATCTAATCAGCTCCCAGCACATCTAGAATACAAAGCAGGCAGAAAAATATGAAAAGACTAGACTGGCCTAGGCTGCCAGCTTATATCTTTCTCTTGTGCTGGATACTTCCTGCCCTTGAACATGAGATTCCAAATTTTTTCAGTTTTGGGGACCCAGACTGGCTCTCCTTGCTTCTCAGCTTGCAGACTGCCTATTGTGGGACCTGTAATCATATGAGTTAATACTCAAAAAACTCCCCTTTTTATACATACATATATATACACATATATATATATATACACACACACATATATAATATATATCCTATTTATATATAACTAATATATATATATAACCTATATAACTAATATATATATAAACATATATATATAAAATAATATATATATAATTCTGGAGTTGGCTGCTTAATATGATAAGACCCAAAAAATGTTAAGGACTCTATTTTTAATAGTATGAAGATCACTCATAGTCCTTTGTGTGAACTGTTTAGAGTGTTATGCAAAATAAATGCATTTGACACTCCCGATTCGTTGCTTGTAAAAGGCCAGGAATTTAGTGACCCTATCCATAATACCTTCAAATATATGTGGAGAACCAAGGAGCATAATGAAGCAAGTTGGTTGCTCCTAAGTTAAGTGAACAAAGTTATGAAAGAAAATGATGAACTCAGAGATTCTAACTCCTACTTCAGAAGAAAATACTGAGCCTGAAGTCTGCTAAGATTGCCCTGAGTGGGTATCTTATCTCCTATAGAGAAAGAGCTGAAATTGTGGAAAAACAGACACAAGTTTTTATCATGTGAGTGGTGGACATGCAACAAAAGGTGCATGCCCAGCCTCGCCAGTTGTCTACTGTTAAAATGAAGGCATTGATTTGGAAAAAAGTGGGACCCTGCAACTTGGATTGGGGACATGTGGGAGGACCCTGTTGAAGCTGGGGACACTGAGTTTGTAAACTCTGGTGAACTTTTCTTGCTAGAAAAAAATAGCTTCCCATCCCCAGTAGTGCCAATATCTCCTCGCCATCCTATGCTGCCCTCAGTCTTTTCCGCTTTGTCTGAGAAGATGAACCCTGCTCTGCCTGAGGCAAAATTGATGGCCTCCCCTGAGGCAGTTGCCAAGAAAATAATGTTGATTCTTCTCAGGAGCCACCACTAATACTCCTGTTTTTTTTTCTAGACCTATATCTAGACTAAAGTCCTGGTGGGCCCCTAGAGGTAAGGTTGAGAGTGTGACCCATGAGGAGGTGCGCTACACTCAAAAAAACTGCTTGAGTTTTCTAATTTATATAAGCAGAAATCTGGAGAACAGGCATGGGAATGGATATTAAGGGTGTGGGATAATGGTGAAAGAAACACAGAGTTGAATCAGACTGAATTTATTGATTTGGGCCCCTAAACAGGGAGCCTTTATTTAATATTGAGCTCAGGGAGTTAAAAAAGGTTCTAATAGTTTATTTGCTTGGTTAGCTGAAATACAGATTAAAAGATGGCCCACTGTGAGTGGGCTAGAAATGCCTGATCTCCCTTGGTTTAATGTAGAAGAAGGCATCCAAAGGCTTAGAGAGATTAGGATGGTGGAGTGGGTTAGTTACTTTAGACCTGCTCACCCAGCTGGGAGTGTCCAGAGTATATACCCTTGACCAATGCCTTGCAAAACGGACTTGTGAGGGCAGTACCTCAACATTGAAGAGCCCTGTAATTGTTCTTCTCTGTATGTCAGATATAACAGTGGAAACTGCAATCACTCAACTACATAATTTAAGTACAATGGGAGTGATTGGATCCTGAGGTGGCAGGAGCCAAATGGCAGCACTCAACTGTCAAAGACAAGGTGGACATAGCTATTGTAATGCATAGCAGAGGCAAAGCAGCAATCTGACTCATGTAGAGCTATGGCATTAGCTAAATTAATCACAGTGTTCCTAGAAGTGAAATGGACAGGAAACTCACTGCATTCCTACTTAATATATAAACAGAAAACTTTAAAATCAATTGGACAAAAGACTAATTTGAATTATAAAAACAGAGAATCATGGCCCCTCAATCAATTTCCCAACTTGAGCCAGTTTACAGACCCAGGACCCATTGAATGAAGAGGCAGCCAGGTCCCCTTGAGGAAGGACCCCACTACATTACCAACAATTTATGCTGTTAATATTTCTCTCATTCTTCCCCAAGGAGACCTCCAGCCTTCTGCCAAGGTAACTATGCAGTGGGGAAAGGAAAATGATCAGACATTTAGGGGACTACTGGACATTGGCTCTGGGCTGACACTGATTCCAGAGACCCAAAACATCATTGTGATCCTCCAATTAAAGTAGAGGCTTATGGAGGTCAGGTAACTAATGGAATTTTAGGTCTGATCTGACTTAAAGTGGGTCTCTAGACTCATCCTGTGGTTGTTTCCTCAGTGTCAGAATGCATAATTGTCATAGACATACTTAGCAGCTAGCAGAACCACAACACTGGCTTCCTGACTAGTAGGGTGAGGGCTATGATGGTGGGAAAGTCCAAATGGGAGCCATGAGAGCTGCCTGTATCTAGAAAAATAGTAAATCAAGAACAATATCACATCCCTGGAGGGATTGCAGAGATTAGTGTCACCATCAAGGACTTGAAAGAAGAGGGGTGGTGATACCCACCATATTCCCATTTTAGTCTCCCATTTGGCCTGTGCAGAAGACAGATGGATCTGGAGAATGACAGTGGATTATTATAAGCTTAACCAAGTGGTGACTCCAATTGCAGCTGCTGTACCAGATGTGGTTTCATTGCTTGAGCAAATTAGCACATCTCCTGGTACCTAATATGCAGCCATTGACTTAGCAAATGTCTTTTTTCCCATTCCTGTTCACAAGGCTCATCAGAGGCTATTTGCCTTCAGCTGGCAAGGCCAGCAATCAACCTTTCATGTCCTGCCTCAGGGGTATATCAACACTCCAGCTTTGTGTCATAATCTTATTTGGAGAGACCTTAATCGCTTTTTGCTTCCTCAAGATATCACACTTGATGACATTATGCTGACTGGATCCAGTGAGCAAGATGTAGCAAACATACTGGACTTATTGGGGACACGTTTGCATGCCAGAGGATGGGAAATAAATCTGACTAAAATTCAGGGACCTTCTACCTCAGTATAATTTCAAAGGATCCAGTGGTGTGGGGCCTGTCAAGATATTCCTTCTAAGGTGAAGGATAAGTTGCTGCATTTGGCTCCTCATACAACCAAGAAAGAGGCACAACACCTAGTAAACCTATTTGGATTTTGGAGGCAACACATTCTTCATCTAGGTGTGTTACTCCAGCCTATTTATCGAGTGACCCAAAAGGCTGCCAGTTTTGCATGGGGTTCAGAGCAGGAGAAGTCTCTGCAACAGGTCCAGGCTGCTGTGAAAGCTGCTCTGCCACTTTGGTTGTATGACCCAGCAGATCTAATGGTGCTTGAGGTGTCAGTGGCAGACAGGGATGCTGTTTGGAGCCTTTGGCAAGTACCCATAGGTGAATCACAGAGAAGGCCTCTAGAATTTTGGAGCAAGGCCCTGCCATCTTCTACAGTTAACTACCCTTCTTTTGAGAAATAGCTCTTGGCTTGTCACTGGGCTTTGGTAGCAAGTAAACATTTGACTATGGGCCATCAAGTCACCATGCGACCTGAACTGCCTATCATAAACTGGGTGTTTTCTGACCTATCTAGCCATGAAGTGGGTCATGCACAGCAGCATTCCATCATTAAATGGAAGTGGTATATATGTGATTGGGCTCAAGCAGATCCTAAAGGCACAAGTAAATTACAAGGGAAGTGGCTCAAATGCCCATGGTCTCCATTCCTGCCACCCTCCCTTCTTTCTCCAAGCCTGCACTGATGACCTCATGGGGAGTTCCCTATAATCAGTTGACAAAGGAAGAGAAGACTAGAACCTGGTTTATAGATGGTTCTGCATGAGATGCAGGCACCACCCAAGAGTAAACAGCTGTAGCACTACAGACTCTTTCCAGGACATCCCTGAAGGACAGCAGGTGAAGGAAAATCTTCCCAGTTGACAGAACTTTGAGCAGTGCACCTGGTTGTGCACTTTGCATGGAAGGAGAAATGACCAGATGTTCAATTATATACTGATTCATGGGCTGTAGCCAATGGTTTGGCTGGATGGTCAAGGACTTGGAAGAAGCATGACTGCAAAATTGGTGATACAGTAATTTGGGGAAGAGGTATGTGGATGGACCTCTCTGAGTGGTCAAAAACTGTGAAGATATTTGTATCCCACGTGACTGCTCACCAAGAGGTGACTTCAGCATAGGAGGATTTTAATAATCATGTGGATGACCCCTTCTTTGGCTGGACACCACACAGCCTCTTTCCCCAGCCACCCCTGACATCACCCAAGGGTTCATGAACATAGTGGCATGGTGGCAGGAATGGGGTTATGCATGGGCTCAGCAACATGGACTTCTACTCACCAAGATGGACCTGGCTACGGCCAGTGCTGAGTGCCCAATTTACCAGCAGCAGAGAGCAACACTTAGCCATTTACATGGCACAATTCCTCAGGGTGATCAGCCAGCTACCTGGTGGCAGGTTGATTATATTGGACCTCTTCAATCATGAAAAGGGCAGAGGTTTGTCTTCACTGGAATAGACACTCACTCTAGATATGGGTTTGCCTATTCTGAATGCAATGTTTCTGCCAAGACTACCATTTATGGACTCACAGAATGCCTTATCCACAGTCATGGTATTTCACACAGCATTGTCTCTCATTAAGACACTCACTTTAAGGCTAAAGAAGTGTGGCAGTGAGCTCATGCTCATGAAATTCACTGGTCTTACCTTGTTCTCCATCATCCTGAAGCAGCTGGATTGACAGAATGGTGGAATGGCCTTTTGAAGTCACAATTGCAATGCCAACTGGTGACAATACTTTTCAGGGAAGGGGCAAAGTTCTCCAGAAGGCCATGTATGCTCTGAATTAGCATCCAATAAATGCTACTTTCTCTCCCATAGCCAGGATTCACGGGTCCAGGAATCAAGGGGTGGAAGTGGCACCACACACCATCACCCCTAGTGATCCACAAGCAAAATTTCTGCTTCCTGTTTCCATGACATTATGTTCTCTTGGCCTAGAGGTCTTAGTTCCAGAGGGAGGGACGCCACCACCAGGAGACACCACAACAATTCCATTAAACTGGGAGTTACGATTGCCACCTGGACACTTTGGGCTCTTCCTACCTTTAAGCCAACAACCTAAGAAGGGAGTTACATTTTTGGCTGGGGTAATTGGTCCAGACTATCAAGATGAAATCAGTCTACTACCCCACAACAGAGTTAAGGAAGAGTATGCATGGAATACAGGAGATCCATTAGGAAGTCTCCTAGTATTTCTATGCCCTGTGATTAAAGTCAATGAGAAACTACAACAGTCCAATCCAGGCAGGACTACAAATTCCAGACCCTTCAGGAATGAAAATTTGGGTCACTCCACCAGGAAAAAAAAAAAAAAAACATGACCTGCTGAAGTGCTTGCTGAAGGCAAAGGGAATACAGAATGAGTAGTAGAAGAAGGTAATCATCAATACCAGCTAAAAACACATGACCAGCTGCAGAAATGAGGACTGTAATTGTCATGAGTATTTCCTTCTTCTTTTGTTGAAAACATGTTTGTGCATGTATATACTTGTACTAAGAAAATATCTTTATTTTATTTCCTTTTTCCTTTACAACATGAAATAAGATTATTGACTTCATATCTGCATTTAGGTATTGTTAATTTTGTGGTTATAGTATCTGGGTTGGAGATTGGTGTGTTTCCAGTTGTACGAAGGATAGTTGTGTTATGTTAGGTGTAATTATGACCTTATTACCATCTTTATTTGAAGATTACATACGCTCTCAAGAGATGTGTATGGGTTCCCTTTGACAAGGGGTGGACTTGTGATGGTTAATACTGAGTGTCAACTTGATTGGATTGAAGGATGCAAAGTATTGATCCTAGATTGTCTGTGAGGGTGTTGCTAAAGGAGATTAACATTCGAGTCAGTGGGCTGGGAAAGGCATTCCCACCTGTATTCTCGGTGGACACCATCTAATCAGCTGCCGGTGTGGCTAGAATATAAAGCAAGCAGAAAAATGGGAAAAGACTAGACTAGTCTAGCCCCACAGCCTACATGTTTCTCCCACACTGGTTGCTTCCTGCCCTCGAACATCAGACTCCAGTTTCTTCAGTTTTGGGACTTGGACTGGCTCTCCTTGCTCCTCAGCTTTCAGATGGCTTATTGTGAGACCTTGTAAATATGTGTGTATATATATACACACATATACATATATGTATGTGTGTGTATGTGTGTGTGTGTACATATATATATATACACATATATATCCTCATATATATATGTCCTCATATATATATCCTCATATATATATGTCCTCATATATATATCCTCATATAGATATATATATCCTATATATATATCCTATATATATCCTATATATATATCCTATATGTACATCCTATATATATCCTATATATATTCTATATATCATATATATATACACACACACACACACACACACACACACATATTCTATGAGTTCTGTCCCTCTAGAGAACCCTAACTAATGCAATCTTTGCTACTGAGATGAGAGAAAAGTCAAAGTGATGTTGTAGATTTTCAATGAGAATTAGTGGTCAATGTTAGGCAATTTTAAAATTTTACCTTCAATATTTTTTCCTGAGTTACTAGTCAGTTTTATTTGTTCACTTGAGCTTGGTGGGGGAAAGTTTAGGTTGGTATTCTTTCAAAATTAAGATTCAAGCATGTTTACCACATCTCTACACTTACAGCATAAGTTCTGTTATGAAAGTAAAGATGGCATGCTTCTCTGAATCATTCATAGTTGGTCTGATAAGCACAGAAGGCACTGAGAAAGGTAGCTGATATAGTTCCATAATCATTCCAATCATAGACATTGAAGATAATTCATCAGTGCTATCCATTCATACACAACAGAAGTTCTTTATTTCCCACCAGTAATACGGGTTTATAGAGACATGGCGAAAACACCCTACATGGTTACCTAAGCCCACCAATATCTTATCCAGCAGTCCAAGATCCACTTGATATGCTGAGAAAGAAAAATCCATCACAGCAAGATGCATTGCTAAACATTAAGCTCCTTTTTTTTCTATTTAAAAATCAATTTCAAAAACCTGCATTGCAGGAAATGTGATAAACACATTTGTGTAATAATATATACTATTCATATTAAAATGGCATGGGTTATCCAAAATCTATAGCTATACTGATAAATAGCTGAGTTTGTTGTAAATGTGAAATATTATCTGCTAAAGGCAATCACTGTAATTAGCTTGCTAAGGCTACTTCAGCTTTTCTGTGATCATTTTTGTCCTCTATGTTTCCCCAGTAAAGAAAGTCTTGTCTTTTTTTGTAGCTCATATAGAAAAAAATGTTATTTTCATCTTCCCTGAAGCAAATAGAGTACAATAACAGCAGAAAGGAAGAAAAACAATCATAGTACCGGCTGGCCTCCTATTGAAAGGCAATGAAAAATAATTTTTCCCACAGATACCTTTAAACTTCTTCTCCTGGATGAACTCTTCCGAAAACTTTCAACTGCATTGGAATGTATGTTTGTTTAATTATATGAGGTAACAGAAAATATATCCTGGTACATTCCCTTGCTATAACTACTTATGCTGTGTATGTATCATTTTTATCGTCTAAAAGAAGAACCAGAATTTCCTTTTATTTCTTGTAATATTTTAGTTATATCAATTATCCTTATTGAATGCTTTGTTTAGTGCTTCCAGCTGTACCAATAATATTTGTTCATTTATTTGTTTTTGGTATTTCAAGCAAATATATGGTAATATAAATAATATAGATTCATCATTACTATTATCTGCCAAATGGAAAGATTGTGTATTTTAAGCCATTGTTGTTTCTGTTCCATATTATAAATATACTATCTTTAACTATCCAAGACTGATGAGGACTTGTTCTACTCAATATACTGAAACTTGATTGCCCTTACACACACACACACACACACACACACACTCATGCATACATACAGAATTATCATCCTTGGGCCAGAAATTTTACATGCAATATTTTCTTCAGCACTTAAAATTATAGCAAACATATAAAGTAAGTTCTCTTGTCATCCCAAATTACAGAAAAAAAAAACCCTAAACTTAAAGATACAAATAGTAACTCAATCAAGTTTACACCAAGTGATTGAGCTCAAGTTTATGTCTGGATCTGTCAAACTTCAGAAATCTATGATAAATGCATTACAAAAAATGATTTTGTGTGCTGTTTTGGATAAAACACTTTATTGTATCCCTTGGGAGAATTTTGTCATTAGATTTCATACGGACACCTAACTAGAAGAGAGGATAGACTGATGTTCTAGCCGATGATCTCACACACAGCAAGATGACTGAGGAGCAGATGCCAATACAGGAGATCAATAAAGGTTTTAAAAGTTTTTTAACAACTCATAATTTCCTTTTTAAAAGGAAGTTAACAACCAATAAATTACTTTTAGGTGAGAATGAACAAATGAGTTGTCAAGGTTTCTATTGAAAAAGTTAGAGGATACTAGTAGACGAATGCAATAAAAATTTAAATTATATCCACAAACAAACTTCCAAGTCCATAAGCAAAATGGAGACAAAAATTGCCGAAAGCTGAGAAACAGAGAGGAGAGATTTGTTACGTGTCTTGCTCCATTGTTATCAAACTGTCCCTAACACATAAACAAGTTATGCTTTGAGGTGGCATATTCATGGAAATGAACATGAGTTTACTTAGTTTTGACTTAGCCTGAAACAGACAAGGGAACTCGGTGAATCAAACATATAATGGGCTGGGGTATTTTTTGTTTGTTTGTTTGTGACATGGTTTGTCTGTGTCCCCATCCAAATCTCATCTTGAATTGCAGCTCTCATAATTTTTGTGTGTTGTAAAGGGGACCCTGCAGGAGATAATTGGATCATCCGGGCAGTTTCTCTCATAGTGTTCTCCTGGTAGTGAATAAGTCTCATGAGATCTGATGATTTATTAGGGGAAACCCCCTTCCCTTGGTTCTCATTTTGTCTGCTGCCATGTAAGAGGTGCCTTTTGCCTTCTGCCATGTTGTGAGGTCTCCCCAGTGACACTGAACTGAGGCCATTAAACCTCTTTTTCTTTATAAATTACCCAGTCTCAGGTATGTTTTCATCAGCAATCAGCAGTGTGAAAATACTAATACAGTTTGACTAATTTATAAAATTTTATTTTACTTTTAATTTCAGGAAAAATCCCATTTATGACTTGGTTGATATTATAACATTCTAAAATAACCAAAAGCATTGATACCTTACAAAATTAACATTAATGCCCGAATAGCAAATTATCAGTCTTTGAATTTTGTCGATCATGTATTTTAATTTTTTTCTTCTTTTTTACAGTTAATATTAATCAGGTTCAAAACAAGGTCAAAGTTTTATTTCTGGTGTGCTATAGACTAATATTTATGTCCTCCTAAAATCATATGTTAAAAATCTAATCACCAGTGTGATGGTTTTAGAAGATGAGGCCTTTTGACAGGTGATTGGGTCAAGAGAGTGAAGCCCTTATGAATGGAATTAGAAAGTGCCCTTATAAAAGAGAACCCAGAGAGCTCCCTCACCCCTTCCACCATGTGAGGACAAGAAGATGGCCAAGTATTAACCAGGAAGTGGACCCTCATCAGACACTGAATTTCCTGGCACTTTAATTTTGGATTTCCCAACTTTTAGAACTGTGAGAAATAAATAAGCTACCTAGTTTTTGGTATTCTTTTATACCAGCTTGAATGGCCTAAGATTTGGGGGTATTATCTTAAGTTTCTCTTACTCTTTTTTTAAAGTTTTCATTTTAAAATAATTATAGATTTACAGAAAGTTGTAAAAATGAATCTGGATGTCTCATGGATCTCTACCCTGCATTCTTCAATGTTACAGACTTATAAAGCCATTGCACAATATTAGAACCAGAAAACTGATGTTGGTACACTCATAGGGCTAATTGAGTTTTCATGCGCCCATTGTGTGTATGTGTATGTGTGTGTGTGTCTATGCAATTCTATCATATGCATAGTTTTATATGACCACAACTGTGATCATGAAACAGAACTATTCCAAGCTGTACTACAAGGTTGTTTTTAAGTTAATGTATTTCCCATGTTTACCTTAAGCAGCATTAAGGTAAAGTATTGTGTAAAAACTTTGACTGTAATAACTATGTCTCTTTATTAGGTATTTGCAAATATATACAATTACTCTGATAAATAATTATGTTCTCTATTATAATAAAGTATACGGCTTTATGGTATCTATTTCAATATTTAACTTGATGAGTATTCCCAAGCCCATAATGGACCTTACCTGGTTCCTCTTCACTTAAATTATCTCATTATCACATATTGTATTTGTGACTGAAACAATAACATAGTGGAATAAATTGTGTAGCTGGGTTCCTCTCGGACAGTTAATTTGTTTCAAAATGGTAGTCAAAGGATAGAGGAATGTTTAATTTCTATCATGTGTACTGAATTTTTCTCACTTCCATGTTGTTTTGCATCATCAATTTCTCAGCTTAGCTACTAAAAAGAACTAGAAAAATAATTATATGAAAGGGCTATGTTTTATAATTACATCCCAAGCTAAAATGCTTTCTGCAACACAATACAAACACATAGTGAGTGTGACTTCAATAAATGCTACTTTTTCTCAGACTTGAAGCTATTTTGAGTTCAACTGAATCCTTGACTCTGCTCCAACTCTTTTTCTTCTTTATTCTACAGCCTGAGTGCTTTTAAACAGCATTTTATCAATGTGCATTTCATTTCTTTTAAATAAGCTTCAAATACATGGTGGTAGACCAAAGATGTATACTCTCTTATTGTGGAAAATTCTGTACTAGACCTTTTTTTAGTGGCTAAAAGTAAACAAAAGTGATTTCCTAAACTGTTAGAAAACCTGAAACTAGAAAGGTTAGAGCAAGATGGCTGAATAGAAGCCTTTACTGATCATCCTCCCCACAGGAACACTAAATTTAAACAACTAACTACACACAACAACAACAAATCATTGTCATAAAAAACAAAATCAGGACGTGGGGCAGAGCAAGAAAATAGAATAGAAGACTATACCAATTGTCCTCCCCACAAAGACACCAGTTTAACAATTATCTGCACACACAAAACAAAGCACCCTCATAAGAAACAAAAATCAGTGAAGCACTCACAGTACCTAGTTTTAACTTCTTATTGCTGAAAAAGCCACGGAAGAGGTAGTAAATTCAGTCTTGTATCACCGATGCTGCTCTTCTCCCATCCCCCAGCAGAGGTAGCATGATGTGCAGAGCATTTCTGTGCGTTAGGGAGAGGGATGTTGCAGCAACTGTGAGGCATTTAACTCAGTGCTGCTCTGTTGTAACAGAAAACAAAACTAAATCAAGCTCAGTTGACAATTGCCCACCAAGGGAGCATTTAAACCAGCCTTAGCCAGAACAGCATTGCTGATTACAGCAGCCTGAACTTGAGTTCCCACAAGCCTGACCAGCACAGGCCAAAGTTCTTTAGGGCCCTAAATAAACTTAAAAACCAGTCTAGGCCACAAGGACTGCAACTTTCAGGCGAGTCCTAGAGCTGAACTAAGCCCAGAGCCAGTGGGTGGTGGAGGCACAAGACATACTAAGACATTAGCCAGGGTGGCTAAGGGAGTGACGAAATCACTCCTCCCCTAACCCTAAGCTGCATAGCTCGCAGCTCCAAAAAAGACCACTTTCCTCCACTTGAGGACAGGAGAGGGAAGAGTGGGGAGGACTTTGTCTTACATCTTGGATGCCAGCTCAGCCACAGCAGGATAAGGCACCATTCAGAGTCGTGAGGTCCTTTTTCTAGGCCCTAGCTCCCTGATGACATTTTTAAACACAACCTGGAATAGAAGAGAACTCACTGGCTTTAAGGAAAGAATTCAGCCTTGACAAGATTTATCACCTGCTAACTGAAGAGCCCTTGGACCCTGAATAACCAGCAGTGATACCCAGGTCTACATCAAGGGCCTTGGGTGAGACTCTGAGACTTGCTGGCTTCAGGTGGCACTTAAAACATTTACAGCTGTGGTGGCTACAAGGCTGAGATTCCCTCTTCTTGAGACAATTGGAAGGAAAAGTAAAGGGCACTTCATCTTGTGCTTTAGGTACAAGTTCAGCCACACTGTGATAAAGAACTAAGTGGAACCTCAGCATCCCCGGTTCCAGAACCTTGCTCTTGTATGGCATTTCTGGACCTGCCCTGGCCCAGGAAGGAGCTATCTGCCTTGAATGGTGAGTCCAAGGCCAGGCAGCATTCGCCAAAAGCTGACTGAAGAGCTACTGGCCCGTAAGGGAACATTGATGATAGTCTGGCACTACTCCCTATGGGCCTATGGTGGTGGTGGCAATGGAATGAGGCTCCTCTGCCTTTGGAAAGGAAAGGGAGAGTTGGAAGGACTGCATCTTGTGGTTTAATTGCCAGCTTAGCCACAGTACAATGGAACGTACATAGACTTCTAAAGTTACAGGTTAATGAAACAAAAAGTAGTTTTTTTTTTCCAAAAGTTAAATAAAATTGACAAAACTTCAGTTAGACTAAGATAAAGAAAAGAGAAAACATCCAAATAAATAAAATCAAAGATGAAAAAAGGAGACAGTATAACTGATACTGCAAAAATTCAAAGGCTCATTAGTGGTTACTATGAACAACTGTGTGCCAATAAATTGGAAAATCTAGAAAAAATGAAAGAATTCCTAGACACATACAACCTACCAAGATAGAGCCAAGAAGAAATCCAAAATCTCAACAGACCAGTAACAACTAACTAGATCAAAGCCACAGTACAAATTCTCCTAAAAAACAAAAGACTAGGACCTGATGGCTTCACTGCTGAATTCTACCAAATATTTAATAAACTAATACCAATTTCACTCAAACTATCATTAAAAAAAAAAACAGAAGAGGAGGAAATACTTCCAAATTCATTTTATGAGGCCAGAATGACCCTGATAATAATATCAGACAAAACCATATCAAAAAGAAAACTACTGGCCAATAGAGCTGATGAATATTGATGTAAAAATCCTTAACAAAATACTAGCAAACTGAATTCAACAACATTAAAAAGATTATTCATTATAACCAAGTGAGATTTATCCCAGGGATGTAAGAATCGTTCTATATATGCAAATCAGAATATGTAATAGATCATATCAACAGAATAAAGAACAAAAAACATATGATCATTTCAATTGATGATGAAAAAGCACTTGATAGAATTCAACATCCCATCATGATAAGAACTCCTGAAAAAATGGGTATAGAAAGAACATACCTCAACATAATAAAAGCTGTATATGACAGACATACAGTTAGGTTAGTGTCATAAACAATGGGGAAAACCTGAAGCTTTTCACTAAGATCTGAAACATGACAAGAATGCCCGCTCTCACCACTGTTATTCAACATTGTGCTGGAAGTACTAGCTAGAGCAATCAAGCAAACAAAAGAAATCAAGGGCATCCAAATTGGAAAGGAAAGAATCAAATTATCTTCGTTTGCAGATGAAAGAATCTTATATTTGGACAAACCTAAAGACTCCACCAATAAACTGTTAGAACTGATAATTGAGTTCAGTACACTTGGAAGATACAAAACAAACATACAAAAATTAGTGGTATTTCCATAGGCTAACAGTGAACAATTTGAAAAAGAATTTAAAAAGCAATCCCATTTATAATAGCTAAAAATAAAATTAAATATCTAGGAATTAACAAAATAATTAAAACATCTCTATAATGAAACCTATAAAGCACTGATGAAAGAAATTGAAGAGGATAAAAAAACATAAAAAAGTTATTTCACGATCATGGATTGGGAAAAATATCAATATTGTTAAATGGTCAATAAACCAAAACGATCTACAGATTCAACGCAATTCCTATCAAAATGCCAGTGATTTTCTTCACAGAAATAGAAGAAATGATCCTAAAATTTATATGGAGCCACAAAAGACCCATAATACCCAAAGGTATCCTAAGCAAAAAGAACAAAACTGCTGGAATCGCACTGTCTGACTTCAAATTACACTACAGATCTGTAGTAATCAAAACAGATTAGAGATCCCAGAAACAAATTCTAACACACACAGGGAACTCATTTTCAACAAAGGTGCCAAGAACACAGACTGGGGAAAGAACAGCCTCTTCAGTAAATAGTGCTGAGAAAACTGGATATCCATATGCAGAAGAATAAAACTAGACCCCAATCTCTTACCATATTCAAAAGTCAAATCAAAATGCATTAAAGTCTTAAATCTAAGACCTCAAACTATGAAACTACTACAAACATAAGGGAAACACTTCAGGACATTGGTCTGGGCAAAACTTTTTTTGGGTAATATCCCACAAGCACAGGCAAACAAAGCAAAAATGGTCAAATGGAATTGCATCCAGTTCAAAAGCTTCTGAATGGCACAGAAAATAATCAATAATGTGAAGAGCCAATACATAAAATGGGAGAAAACATTTTCAAAGTGCCCATCTGACAGAGGATTAATAACCAGAATATAGAAGGAGCTCAAACAACTCTCTAGAAAAAATTTTAATAATCCAGCTAAAAATGGGCAAAAGATCTGTATAGACATTTTTCAGCATACAAACGAGAAACGAGCATATGAAAAGGTGCTCCACATAATTCATCATCAGAGAAATCCAAATCAAAACTACACAGTGATATTATCCTACCCCAGCTAAAATACCTTTTATTCAAAACACAGGTAATGACAAATCCTGGCAAGAACGTGGAGAAAAGGAAAACCTCATACACTGTTGGGAGGAATGTAAATTCATACAATCACGCTGAAGAATAGTTTTGTAGCTCCTCAAAAACCTAAAAATAGAGGTACTATATGATCCATCAATCTCATTGCTAGGTATATACCCCAAATAAAGAAAATCAATATATAAAAGGAGTATCTGCACATCTGTGTTTGCTGCAGCACTGTTAACTATACCCAAGATTTGGAAGCAACCTTAGTATCCACCAGCAGGTGAATGGATAAATACACTCAAAGGCATACTCTTCAGCCATGAAAAAGAATGAGGCCCTGTCATTTGCAACAACACAGATGAAACTGGAGGTCACTATGCTAAGTGAAATAAGCCAGGTACAGAAAGACAAACATCACATGTTTTTATTTATTTGTGGTAGCTAAAAATAAAAACAATTCAACTCATGGAGATAGAGAGTAGAAGGATGGTTACCAGCGGCTGAGAAGGGTAGTGAGATGGTTAATGGGTACAAAAATAGTTAGAAAAAATAAATAAGACCTAGTATTTGATAGCACAATATGATGACTATAGTCAATAATCATTTATTTGTACAATTTAACCCTTTTCTCATTTAGAAAAAAAAAGTGCAGATTGCTGCCAGCACTCTTTTAATTTTACATAAAAACAATCTTTGAGGCTGAAGCAAATCTGACTGATGTTCGATGTGAAAATAAAATGTAAAAACAGTTTTTGAAGTTATTTCTAAACAGAACTAACATCAGAATCGTCTGAATCATCAGAATCATCTATTTCGGAAAAATTGGATTCATCAAATGAATCTTCAGCCAACTGAGAATGAAGTTAACATCACACGTAGAAATGCTACGTTTTCTAGGATTTGACATTTTCAGCACTTGAGAATGACTATATTTTGTACATGGAAATACCACTACTAAAAACAGAATGCTATTAATAGAATGACATTTTTTTTCTTTCCAAAGTTGATATAGTAGAGTGATGCAAAAATAATAATGAAAGTAAGATATTTTGTGGCAAAGTTATCTCAGGGTAAACAATGCAGTCACAAGTGTTGCTGGTGAGTATTCTTGGAACAGACAGAAAAAGGGTTAGAATAACTAAAAGACTATAACTTGATTATTTGTAACACAAAGGATAAATGCTTGAGAGGATAGATGCCCATTTTATACAATGTAATTATTACACTTTTATGCCTGCATCAGAACATCTCATGTATCCCCACAGATCTACTATGCATTCACAAAAATTAAAATAAAAAATCTTTTTAAAAAGGACCAAAAATCATCTAAGCCATCACAGAAGTGAGTAGGAATTCTCAAATTTCTGTTGACATAATCCTCATTTCTCCCAGCAGTGGCTGTGTGGCAGGCAGAGAGAATCTATGCCTTTGGGGAGGGTGAGCACAATGCTGCCTGTCACAGCAGAGACCAAGCCATGCTGGGCTTAGCCAGCACCCATGCACAGAGGATACATTTGGAACAGCCTTAGCCAGAGGGCAATTACCCATCCCAGATGTCAGAACTTGAGTTTTTGGCAAACCTCACCACCACAGGCTACAGTGCTCTGGGGTTCTAGATAAACTTGAAAGAAATTTCAGTCCGTGTGTCCCTGTGGGCAAGTGGTGGTGGGAGCCACTGGGAGAAGCTCCTCTTCCTGTGGAAGGGAAAGGGAGGAACAAGAAAGGCACTGTCTTATGGTTTGGTGCCAGCTCAGACAAATGCAGTAGAATGGTACACTAGGTAGATATCTAAGCTTTTTGACTCCAACCCTTGGCTTGCAGACGGCATCTCTGGACCCACCCAGCACATGAGGGAACTCAGCCCAGCACATGAGGGAACTCACTGCCCTGAAGTGAAGGGTGAAGGATACAAGCCAGTCTGGCTTCCACACTTGCTGATTGTGGACACCAAGTGTCTTGTGTGAACATAGGTGGTAGCTATATAGTGGTTACAATGAATCTTGGGTAAAACACACTGCTCTGTTGCTTTCAGGTCTCTCCCTGCATACTCCATTCGTGGTGGCCACAGGGGTGCTTGAATCCAACCATCCCCAGCTCTAGGCATCTCAGTATAGAGGGAGAGACTTCATTTGTTTTGGATAAAGTAAGGGAAAAGAATAGGAGTCTCAGCCTAGTAATCTAGAGAATGCTTCTGGATCTTAACCAAGACCACAAAGGCAGTACCCTGATGAGTATGCAAGAACTATAGCATTATTTGGCTTGGAGCTTAAGTTGCTTCAAATACGTGAAAAACCTTCTGAAGAAAAACAGGCACAAACAAGCTCAGACTGTGAAGACTGCAATAAAAACTTCACATTTAAATGCCCAGACTCTGAAGAACATCCAAAAATTTCAAGATCATCCAGGTAAAATGGCCTTACCAAATGAACTAAATAAGGAACCAGAGACCAATCCTGGAGAAACAGAGATATGTGACCTTTCAGACAGAGAATTCAAAATAGCTATTTTGAGGAATCTAAAAAAAATGAGATAACAGAGAAAATTAATTCAGAATTCTATCCAATAAATTCAGCAAAGAGATTGAAATCATTAAAAAGAAGCAGAAATTCTGGAGTAGAAAAATGTAACTGACCTACTGAAGAATGCATCAAAGTATCTTAATAGCAGGATTGATCAAGATGAAGAAAGAATTAGTGAACTTAAAGAAAGGCGACATGTCACTATATAGTCAGAGGAGACAAAAGAAATAACAATAAACAAAAGTACAATGACAAGATCTAGAAAATAGTCTCAAAAGGGTAAATCTAGGAGTTATTGGCCTCAAAGAAGAGAAGTATAAAGAGATAAGGGTAGAAATTTTATTCAAAGGAATACTATCATAAAACTTCCTACACCTAGAGAACTATATTGACATTCAAGTACAAGAAGGTTATAGAACACCAAGCAGAGTCCACACAGAGGAGCCTACCTCAAGGCATTTAATCATCAAATTCCCAAAGATCAAAGATAAAGAAATTCTAAAAGGAGTAGAAGACAAAAAACAAATTACATAAAACAGAACTCTAATACATCTGGCAGCCAATATTTAGTGGAAAACTTGCAGATTTTTTTACAGGAGAGGGTGGCATGACATACTTAAAGTGCTGAAGGAAAAAACAAAAACAAAAACAACTTTACACTAGATTAGTTTATCCAGCAAAAATATACTTCAAGCATGAAGGAGAAATAAAGGATTTACCAAACAAACAAAAGCTGAGGGATTACATCAATAGCAGATCTATCCTACCAAAAATGCTCTAGTGATTTCTTCAATATGAAAGAAAAGGACATTAATTAGCAATAAGGAATTATCTGGAAGTTCGATGGGAAAAAGAGGATATTAATGAGCAAATGAGCAATACCTAATTACCTGAATGTGAAAAACTGGTAATAATAAGCACACAGAAAAACACAGACCATTATAGCACTGTAATTGTGATTTGTAAACTACTCTTAAGTAGAAACACAAAATGATGATCCCACAAAAATAATAATTACAATAACTTTTCAAGATATATACACTACAATAAGACATAAAGTAACAATAAAAAGTGAGAAAGTGGAAGTATGAAGATAAAGTTTTTATTACTGTTCTCTTTGCTTGTTTGTTTATGCTGTGCTAAGTTGTCACCAGTTTAAAATAATGGGTTATAAGATATTATTTGCAAGCCTCATGGTAACTTGAAATTGAAAAACATGAAATAAATATACAAAAAATAAAAAGCAAGAAATTAAATTATAACACCAGAGAAAATCACCTTCACTAAAAGGAAGACAAGAAGGAAGGAAAGAAGGAAAAGAAGACTACAAAACAATCAGAAAACAAAAAAGAAAATGGCAGGAGTAAGACTTATTCATCAATAATAATGTTGATTATAAAAGGACTAAACTCTTCAATCGAAAGACATAGAGTAACTGAATTGAGTTAAAAAAAAAAGACCCAATTATCTGTGGACTGCAAAAAACACGCTTAACCTATAAAGATACACATAGACTTAAAATAAATAGACGGAAAAAAGACTCCATGCAATGAAAACAAAAAAGCGAGCAGGAACAGCTATATTTATATCAGAAAAAAAATACATTTCAAGACACAAACTGTAGGGCCAGGAACGGTGGCTCATGCCTGGAATCCCAGCATTTTGGGAGGCTGAACTGGGCAAATCACTTGAGGTCAGGAGATCGAGACCAGCCAGGCCAACATGGTGAAAACCTGTCTCTACTAAAAAAAAAAAAAAAAATGCAAAAATTACCCAGGTGTGGTGGTGTGTGCCTATAGTCCCAACTACTTGGGAAGCTGAGGCAGGAGAATCACTTGAACCTGGGAGGTGAATGTTTCAGTGAGCCAAGGTCGTACCACTGCACTCGAGCCTGGGCAACGGAGCAAGACTCCATCAAAAAAAAAAAAAAAAAAAACTCTATAAATAGAGATGAAGAATGTCATTATGCAATAATAAAGAGGTGCATTCAGTAAGAGAATTGTATTAGTTCATTTCACCCTGCTATAAAGAAATAGCTGAGAGGGTAATTTAGAAAGAAAGTAAGTTTAATTGGCTCACAGTTTGACAGGCTGTACAGAAAATATGATGCTGCTATCTGCTCAGCTTCTGGAGAAGCCTCAGGAGACATACAATCATGGTGGGTGGCAAAGGAGGAGTCAGCACTTCACATGGTCTGAGCAGGAAGAAGAGAGAAAGATAGGGGAGGTGCTACACACTTTCAAACAACCAGATCTTATGAGAACTCGCTTAGCAGTGTGGCAGCAGTACCAAAGGGAATGGAGTCAAACTATTCAGGAGAAACTGCCTCCATGATCCACTCACCTCCAACCAGGCCCCACCTCCATCATTAGGAATTATAATTTGACATGAGATTTGTTGGGGACACAGTTCCAAACCATCTCAGAGATATAACAGTAGTAAATACGTATGCACCCAACGTCACCAAAATACATAAAGCATATATTAGAGCTAAGGAGAGACATAGACCTCAATCCAATAATAGCTAGAGTCTTTAACACTTCACTTTCAGCAATAGACAGTCTCCCAGTCTGAAAATCAACAAAGAAATATCTAACTTATCTGCACTAAAGAACAAATGGATCTAATAGATATTTACAGAACTTTTCATCCAATGGCTTAGGAATATACATTCTTCTTCCCAGCACATGAATTATTTTCAAAGGTAGACCATATGTTAGGTCACAAAACAAGTCTTAAAATGTTCAAAAATTAAAATAATGTTACATATCTTCTCTGACACAATGGAATAAAACTAGAAATAAATAAGGAGACATTTTAGAAACTACACAAACACATACAAATTAAACAATATGCTCCTAAATGACCAGTGGATCAATGAAGAAATTGAGAAAATCAGAATATTTCTTAAAACAAATGATAATGAAAACAAAACATACCAAAACATATGGATACAGTGAAAGCAGTACTAAGAGGGCAATTTATAGCTATTAAGTGTTCATATCAAAATAGGAAAAAAAAACAAATAAATAACTTAATAATGCATGTTGAAGAACAAAAACAGCAAAAGCAAACCAAACCTAAAATTAGTAGAAGAAAAGAAATAACAAAGATCAGAGCAGAAATAAATGAAACTGAAATAAAGAAAATGATCAAAAAGATCACCAAGAGGAAATGTGTGTTTTTTGGAAAGACAAAGAAAATTGACAACCTTTAGCCAGACTAGCTGAGAAGAGAGAAGGCTCAAATCAATAAAATCAGAGAAGAAAAAGGAGACATTACAACTGATACTACAGAAAGTCAAAGGAACATTAGTGGCTACCATGATCAACTACATGTCAATAAATAGGAAAATCTAGAGAAAATGAATTCCTAGGCATATACAACCTTGCCGAGATTAAATTATGAAGAAATTCAAAATCTGAACAGAGCAATAACAAGAAATAAGATTGAAGTCATAATAAAAGATCTCCTAGTAGAGAAAAGCCAGATCCCATTGTATTCACTGCTTAATTCTACCAAACATTTAAATAATTAATACCAATCCTACTCAAACTATTCCAAAAACTAGAGGAGCAAGGGATACTTCCAAACTTATTCTATGAGGCCAGTATTACCCTGACATCAAAACCAGACAGACACATTAAAACAAAGAAAACTTCAGGCCAATATATCTGATAAATATTGATGTAACAATTCTCAAAAAGTACCAGCAAATGGAATTCAACAATAAATTAAGAAGATCGAACATTCATCATTACCAAATAGAATTTATCCCAGGGATGCAAGGAAGATTCAACATATACAAATTAATCAATGTAATAAATCATATCCAGAGAATTAAGGACAAAATCCACATGATTATTTCAATTGAGGCTGAAAAAGCATTTGATAAGATTCAATATTCTTTCTCATTAAAAACCCTTGAAAAACTGGGTAAAGAAAGAATATACCTCCAAATAATAAAAGCTGTATACAACAGATATACAACTAGTATCATACTGAAGCGGGAGAAAACTGAGAGCTTTTCCTCTAAGATATGGAACAGGACAAGGACATCTACTTTCACTACTGTTATTCAACATAGTACTGGAAGTGCTAGTTAGAGATATCAGACAAAAGAAAGAAAGGACATCCAAATTGGAAAGAAATAAATCAAATTATTCTTGTTTGACGGATGTGATCTTATATTTGGAAAAACCTAAACACTCCACCAAAAAACTACTAGAACTAATAAACAAATTCATTAAAGTTGCAGAATACAAAATAACAAACAAAAATCATTTGTATTTCTGTGTGCCAAAAGTGAACAGTCTGACAAAGAAATCAAAGGGGTAATCTTTTTTAAAACAGTCACAAATAAAATTAAATACCTAGGAACTAACCAAAGAGGTAAAAGATCTCTATAATGAAAATTATGAAATGCTGATGAAAGAAATTGAAGAGAATACAAAAATATAAAAAGAATCAATATTTTGTAAATGTCCATACTACCCAAAGCAATCTACAAATTCAATGCAATCGCTATCAAAATACCAATGACATTCTTCTTCACAGAAATAGAATAAACAACCTTAAAATTTATGTAAAACCAGAAAAGGCCCAGAATACCCAAAGCTATCCTAAGCAACAAGAAGAAAACTGAAGGAATCACATTATCTGACTTCAAATTAGACTACAGAACTATAGTAACCAAAAGAGCATAAAACAGAGCTATAGTAACCAAAACAGTAAAAACAGACATATGGACTAATGAAATAGAATAGAGAATGCCAGAATAAATCCACCCACCTACAGTGAACTCATTTTGAACAAAAATGCCCAGAACATACACTGAGAAAACACAATCTCTTCAATAAATAGCCCTGGGAAAATTGGGAATCTATACGCAGAAGAATGAAACTTGATCTCTATCTCTTGCAATATAAAAAAATTATATCAAAATGGGCTAATGATTTAAATCTAAGACCTCAGACTATGAAACTATTACATGAAAACATTGAGGACCCTAGGACATTGGTCTGAGCAAAGGTGTCTTGAGTAATATCTCACGAGCACAGACAACCAAAGCAAAAATGGACCAATGGGATCACATGAAGTTAAAAAACTTCTGCAAAGCAAAGGAAATAACAAAGTGAAGATACAAAACATGTAATGGAAGAAAACATTTGCAAACTACCATATGAGAAGGGATTCATAACCAGAATTTATAAGGAGCTCAAATAATTCTATAAGGAAAAAGGTATAACATCATTAAAAATGGGCAAATGATTTCAATAGACATTTTGCAGAAGAAGACATACAAATGACAAACAGGCTTATGAAAAGGTGCCCAACATCTTTGGTGGTGGGAGGAACTAGGGCTGGTTAATGGGTACAAAAATATTTAGAAAGATTGTATCAGACCTACTACTTGATAGCACAACAGGGTGACTATACTCAATACTGATTTAGTCATACACTTTAAAATAAATGAAAGAGTATAATTAAATTGTTTGTAACACAAAGGATAAATGCTTGAGGGGATGGCTATCCTATTCACCTCGATTTGGTTATTATGCCTCCCATGCCTGTATCAAAGTATCTCATGCTCTCTATAAATATAATATATATGCCTACCAGGTATCCACAAAAATTAAAAATTAAAAAAAACCCACACACACCAAATCTGAAACTGTGACATTCAAGTAGAATCTAAATCTGCAGGCTACAATTATTTCAAATCAAACTGTGTATTTAAACTTGTCAGGATCTAGGAAATCAGCAGTTAATTAAAGCAATATCTAATGGAAGAAGTTCACATTCAATTTTATGCTCTTAAACGTCCTTTTTTAAAACAAAATTTATTCGGAGTTGTTAATGATATAAAACATAGAGACACTTAGTCAATTTCCCTTTATTTTATGATTTCCAATAAAATGAAGCAAAATACTGATTTTGCATCATAAAATAAATTTAGTTACTCTGCTGAATAAAGTCTCTTATTTTTGGATAGCAGGGCTTGATATGCCCACAAACACACACACAATTGTGTAAGGACTTTCAATTTGTTTTTTTATTTGTTTGTTTGTTTGAAATGGAATCTTGCTCTGTCATCCAGGCTGGAGTGCAGTGGTGCGATCTCGGCTCACTGCAACCTCCGTCTCCTGGGTTCAAGCAATTCTCCTGCCTCAGCTTCCTGAGTAGCTGGGGTTACAGGTGCCTGCCCCCACACCCAGCTAATTTTTGTATTTTTAATAGAGATGAGGTTTCACCATGGTGGCCAGGATGGTCTCTATCTCCTCACCTCATGGTCTGCCAGCCTCCCAAAGTGCTGGGATTACAGGCGTGAGCCACCACGCCCAGCAAGGACTTTCAATTTTAAAGTCCTGAACAATAATTATGTATATCTGTGACTTCTACAAGTTCAGCGATATGGTTGAATCTAGTGTTCTTTACCATCGGTCATACTAACTACTTTCTTTAAACATCTTTAGTGTTATAAATATCACACATGAAGAAAGCACTATCATCTAATTCTGAGGATTTAGATAACATTTCAAATGATCTCATAGCTTTCTGAGGAAGATATAATATCCAACATTTTCTCTCACTAATCTTTCTTCCTTCCTCTCTATCTTTCTCTCTCTCTCTCTTTCATTCTCCTTCCTTCATTCTTCCTTCCTTCCTTCTTTCCCTTCCTTCCTTCCTTCTTTCTTTCTTTCCCTTCCTTCCTTCCTTCCTTCCTTCCTTCCTTCCTTCCTTCCTTCCTTCCTTCCTTTCCTTTCTTTCCTTTCTTTCTTTCTTTTGTAATCCTTGGCTTTCTCATATTTTGGCTTCTCTTTCTTACTTAGACTATTTGTCCTCTTCTTCCTTTGGCTAAAATACTGTCCCATAAGTTTGTCCTTATTTGACCTGACATTTATTGCCTTTTGCTTTGTCAAAGTTTCAGTATGCTATTAAACCTTGACTCTAGTTCTAAGAAAACTGCCCTTGTCTCTAATTCTGCTATTTTACCCTATCGTTGTTTTAGTCTCTCCCACATAATCTCAAATTCAAAATGATAAAGCAGATAGAGAGAATTCCAATGTTACAGATATTTATTAAGAGCCTACTTTGTCACTAGGCCATGCTGGGCTCCATGGGCATGCAAGAAAAGCATCAGCATGTCCTTTTAGATACTGATCTGCAGTACTCTAAATAGCTGAAATCCCAAGCATTGAGTGCCTGACAATTTATTCGTGTAATTATCATCTGCTTTGTACAAAGCACTCTACCAACTACTTTGAAGTGATAATATAAGACGGATTTTTTTTTTTTTTTTTTTTTTTTTTTTTTTTGAGACGGAGTCTCACTTGTTGCCCAGGCTGGAGTGCAGTGGCGCGATCTCGGCTCACTGCAAGTTCTGCCTCCTGGGTTCACGCCATTCTCCTGTCTCAGCCTCCTGAGTAGCTGGGACTACAGGCACCCGCCACCACGCCCGGCTAATTTTTTTTTTCTTTTTTGTATTTTTAGTAGAGACAGGGTTTCACCATGTTAGCCAGGATGGTCTCGATCTCCTGACCTTCTGATCAGCCTGTCTCAGCCTCCCAAAGTGCTGGGATTACAGGCATGAGCCACTGCGCCTGGTCAAGATGGATTTATAATGACTGTATAGTCAAAGTATGCATATATCATCAAGTGAATAATATAAAATACACATAAAATCAACAAGTAATTAATATGAGAGATTATAACCATATTTTGTGCCTGAGACTGTAAAAAAAATCTTACTTTATTCTCACAGCATCCCTAGAAAGTTTCCTACAGTTGTAATTCACACTTACAGATAGAAACAAGGCTGCAAGATATAAGAATAAATTTTGATTTTGTATACCAGATTTGGCTTCATATTTACCTCATGCCAACGTCTGTCCTAGTAACCACTACATCTTTCTATTTTAAGGTGCAGAGGAGCAAATATTACAACCTTCCACTTAATGGAAATGTTTGTAAACATAATAAGCTATATAATCCTGAAATGGATTTTAAATTGATTTTAAAAGACACAAATTAAAATTAGGCATATTTACTGTCTCAACTTTCATTGCATTCCAATTTGATAGTCATTTAGCCTTTGCTTCAATACTCTCAACAGTCAAAGGCTCACTTCGTTGCACTGCTGATTATTTCATTAATGGTCAGATGTGTTTGTTAATACCTTCATCTATTCGACATTAATTTTTGAAGAACTTTTATGTGAGGGGCACTATGCCAAGCACTAAAGACAAAAAATGAAGCATTAGGACATATATCTGTGTTCAAGGAGTTAAAAATCTATTAGAGATTTTTAATTTTTTTTCCTAAAATTTTCTTCCCGGTCATTTTTGCATGCCCATCCTTACAATACTTTGGAGACCACTGGATAATGAATTGCTACAGACTTGTGTATGACAGCCTTTCAAACATAAACATATGACAATAGCCATCCGTCCTTTGTCTTTCCCTTCTAAAAGCTAATAATTTTTTAATCCCTTCAAATGTATCAACCCCTCACCATCCATATTGTTCTCATTTTTATACAGTATAATTTTTTAAGATATGAAACATCAAATTAACATAGTATTCAAGATGTATGCTGAGTGGTACTTAATGTAATTAGAGTTATACTTTCTATAATGTCAACATTATATGTTTTAAAAGCAACTTAGTTGTATACATAATCTATAATATTTATGTCACACTGTTGCCTCATATTAATATTGCGGCCACTTATAAACGCAGAGTATTTTCTCCTGGATTATTGCTAAATGACCATCTAAAAGTTATGCAACATTTAGAATTTTGTATTTATAATTGCATATTAACAGTTGACTTAAAATATGTATAATTTGATATTGATTCTATTTATTTAATATGCTTCAGTAATTTTCAGACTTAATAAGCACCCATTCATAGCTTCATTTATATGAGCAGTTATACTTATGAACAAATGAAAAATGCAGAATTATCTCCCTATTACCATTTATAATTATGTGTAGAGAAACGTGGAATAAAAAATTATTAGAAATGGTTGAGTTTATATTTTGTTCTTTTTAATTTTTATTTTAGTTAAGAAAGTCTTCTTGAAGTACGTGTTTTTTGCTAGTTTTTATCAAAGTGGTATACTTGTTTGGTGACAAAGGCTGTGTTTTGACTAAATAAATGCCATTTAAAAATTGGGGAGAGAGAGTAAAAATGAGGATGGTTTACGTAAGTTTTCCCACTTTTATGAATCTCCATATATGACTGAATCAACAGGCCTGGATCGGGATGAAAATAATACAAACAGAAAACCATTCTACTTCTTCTCCTTAACCTCCACTATGTTTTGCAATCAGGTTTCAGGCACAGGCACGCCCTCAATATGTCAATGTGAAGACTCGTTTTTATACATTTCTATGTTTTTTAGGTGTTTTAGTGTAATCATCCTTTCTCAGTAATAACTCATCTGTCCAATGTCTGTTCACAAATCTCACTCAGTGTTTCAATCTCAAAGCTCTTCCGAGAAAAGATGTGTGCAAATAAAAATAAGAAAATGTAAAAGCCCATGAATAGAAAAAGGTTCACATTTCCCTATGTTTTATGTCGTATAGGTGGTTCTGACACCATGTTTTGTCTCACCATCTCCAAAAAGAGTTTTTTATTAAATATTTTGGTAAAATTAAAAACATATTTTTAAAGCATTTGCTGTTTTTGTAGTTTTGGAGAAGGCTACTGAAGGCAGATGACCAAACCCTGGGTCCTTCAACTGCCTCTTCTTCTTGCACTAGAATAAAGAGATATTCATAAGGGAAAAGTTTGATGTCAACCAAACAGCTCATCCTTACTGGCATATATTTTTACTAAGGTTAAACTTCATTGGAAGGTGCATCCCAGTTATTAATCCATGTCTTCCTTCCAGTTATAGATAAGTCTCTAGAAGGCCAGCACGCTGGTGAAATCGTGGATTTGAGGACCAGGAGGCCCCGGATTGTTCCCTACCGGCTTTACCTTCCCATAATCATTTAGTCTAAAAGGTCTAATTTGACCAAGAAGCATTATATTCTTACTATTCAAATATATTTTTCTAAAACTCTGGAGATGATGTTAATTTCTGTGATACTTCTGTAAACATATTTGTAACATATGAGTAATATGTTAAATAATTATTGACTGAGTACCAAGTCCGTGACAAACACTCTGATAGGCATTAAGTAAATCCAGCCAAAGAAGGAAAGACACGGGCATGGTCAGATACAGCTGAAAATCTAGTGAAAGCAAATATAGCTAAGTACATAATTATGTGTATTTAATATGTGCTTTGAGGGCAAGTAAAAGGCTGCTGAGAGATAATTATGGGTGAGGGAAATCTACACTGAAAAGATGTTATTTAAGCAGATACATGAAGGATAATAGGACTTAAGCGGCTAGAGTACAGAAAAAGAATACCCTAGACACAAAGAAAAGTGAATATGAAGGTCATGAGACAAGAAAGGGTTTCAGAATTATAGTTATGTTAGAATAACTGAAATATTATTGCTATAATTTAAAATCAAATTTAAGGGCTTATATAATTCAAATTATTAAAGCTATTTATTTGGAAAGTAAAAGTGAGTTACTATTTAAATAATGATTTATTTCTTTCGTAGGGAAATCTCTTGGCTATCCCTGGTTATCTGATTGTTTGGTGATGATTTCACAGAAATAATCAATTAGATTGAACAAGGTCCAAGTCGGAGAATTTTTCTGAGCTAGACAATAATTTCAATAACAGTAAACATATGTAACTCACTGTTCTTCCATCTTTGTCCCACTCTTATACTTTTTAAGGAATCAGCTGGCTATTTTATGTTCCCAACAAGAGTTTCTAGCATCATAACCCATCAGAGTCTATAAAATGTTTAATCAAAATTGTTCCTTAAGCAGTTGACTACCTGCCTTGTCTTTCATCATCTCTTTTATTCACTTACAGAAAATACATAAGTAGTGTTCTGTGACTATTCTCAATGTCTCATTAGTTTTTTCTGTTTTCCATGACAGTTCCCAGCAGCTGTCAATGACACCACTCCTGGGTGTCCAGATCTCAGAAGACCTTACCAGAAGTTCTTCAGAAACTCCTCCTGATAGTCACAACTGGCTCACCCTAAAAATCTCTAATGACAACTAACAGCTGCTGCAAGGTTTTTTAAAAAATGGACATCTAAAGGGACGTCTTCAAATTGCTTTACATTTGCATTAGGAAAGCAGATCTCTGGGTCAGCATCTGTTTTTCTTCTCACAGAGCCTTTGGAGAAATTTTCATTCTGACACTTCTTGATATATGAAGTAGAATATGGCATATCTATAAAATGCCTACTCATCATACATCAAGTAAATTTGTCAACCTGCCTTTTGGAGATGGTGTCTAGTTAGAAATCCAGCTAATTTACCAACAGAATATGAAAAACAGAACGAATGTGTCTATAGAATAGGTAGTAAAATAATACTGAATTATCCGGATTCTCATAGAATGCAACCGAAAGATCCACAAGCTGTTTAACTGCTTAAATTTAAAATCAAGACTCACCAGTATATATAAAACAGGCTATGTGGAGCACTACAAAGCTGCCATTGCAAAATTGCAAGTGAAATTATATTTTTTCCTTTAAAAATAAAACCCTGAAACTGTTTGCAGTTGATATTGGCAGAAACTTAGGAAGAGATGACTTTATGATTTGCCTTTTGTGAATTTTCAGTGCCAACCAGGCAAAACAGAATAAAATATAAAGTGATGGTAGGACATCTTAAACATACACCAAGGGGCTCTACAATTTCACTCATATGATTTCAATTTCTAGGGTCTAAGGATTTTTCAGATACATTAATGTTAAGCCAGATTCTCTCAGTGTCTAACAATCCAAAACATTCCTTTTAAACAAGTTTGAAAGCTGCATTAACACTTTCAGTGAAGTAATTTCCCCAGTAGTACTCTGGTGGCTGAAAGGCACGATAGTTTCTGCATATATCTCATTTTCTCAAATTTGAAAGCACAAGTCCAATTGGCCTTTTAGCTGCTAGAAAAGTTGCTTATATAAAATTGTTCCAGATGTTTCCCAGTTTATTGCAACTCGGTAAAAAGTCCAAGATCCATGTACACACTACCCAGCATAATTATTACTCAAAAGTAAGCAAAGCATTCTTTATAAAACCTGACTTCCAATTAAAAGTTTTAGAAGATTTCACATTAGAATATAGCCTACATTTCTCAACAAGTCATTTACCTAGTTTTCTAAGGACAGGTTTGATGGAATCTTGTTTTGCCAGCATTCATTAATTGATGCCCTTGTTTATTCTCAAGATGTGCCTTTGTTTGGATAAAAAATTATATGGCCATCATTATTAATTTGGCATAAAAGATGTGATGAGCTGGTCTTGCCTAATAACACTTTAGACTCACCTTCTGTCACTCCCCTCTGTCTTTCTGTAATCCAGCAAAAAAAGAACTGCTTCTTATTGTCTGAATGTGTGATACTCTCAACTTTGTGTTTACTCATGATGTTGCCTCTCCATGGGTCACTATACTTAACACTCTGCATTTTATATAATTTTTATTAGTTTTTAAGGAGAAGCTTCACTGCCATCTCTCCCTGGAAGCTCTGTCTACTCCTCTGGTCAGCACCGAGGTCTCTGATAGACTGCTCTTGCACCTTATGTATGTTCCATAATTTTCTCATGGCATGTATGTTGCTTATATATGTCTGTTTACTTGACTGTCTTTTCAAGACATAGCTAACATTTTGAGAGTAGGGACATTTTGCATCATTGACTTCTAATCCCCAGTATTTTGCTGGCATATGAAAATATCGAGTGTTTTACATAAACAAAAAATGAATGAAAAAAACTAAAGCATAGTTATTTATTTTCAATTTCATAACTGTATTTTATAATAATGGTAAAAAATCTGATTAATATTTAATGCTAACTAATTTCTTTAAAGTACATGTTTTTAACCAGAATATAGCAGTTTCTGGCTTATGTCACTTTATGTAAACTAAATATTTATACACTTGGATTTGTGGTATACAGTAGATACTTTTAGATATTGTTTACTTTTCACGCAAAAAAATTAAAACAAAGTTCTTTGTTGAACTTAAAATATCATTTAATTTTCAAAATGCTGATTACTATGCTACCGATAAGAAAACCTCATTTTCCTTAAAATGTGGATAAATCTTCAGAGATAAGGATATATTATCCAAATAAATGTCGATATTAGTTTTATCCACAGAATCCACAACTCTGACCATTCCTTTCTGTACATGTCAAGCATGACTTTTAGATGATGTCTGCATGACTGACAGCAGAGAAGG
This sequence comes from Homo sapiens, assembly GCF_000001405.40. NCBI lineage: Eukaryota > Metazoa > Chordata > Mammalia > Primates > Hominidae > Homo > Homo sapiens. The sequence continues at coordinate 59,939,875 of NC_000004.12, forward strand.
ACTGAGAATCATTCCCACTACCAATGTCAGACAAGCCAATTAATGTAGTCCATTTATCCCTAGGAAAACATGATGGGCAGCTCACTGGGAGTAAAGTATTAATCACTTCATTAATATCTTCCAGTACACAGACTTCAGGGTGATGTTTTAACAATGGTTATATTTTGATAATATCTCAAAATTGTTTGCTACCCTGCATGAAGCCTTATTTAATATTTTTAGAAATTCAAGCTTTTAAAAATAGCAACAACTAAACTAGGATGGTGTTCAAGGTAAAAAAAAAAAAAAAAAAAAAGGAGAGAAACAATTAAATGTGAGCCATAGACAGCCTGTGATGTGCCAGGGGATGGAAGAGATATTATACCTATAAGTACACACACACACATTTATATATATACATATATATTATATATATACACACACACATATATACACACACATATATCTTATATAAAATAAGATATATAGTAAATGTATAAATATATCTCTTTATATATATAAATATATCCATATTATAAATCTATTTATATGGATATATTCATCCATCAACCCATGTCTCAAACATATAGTTATACGGATATATCCACAGCTAATTATCACTAAAATTCTGCAAATTGGATAAGTTCATTCCCATTTAGGAAGTAATAAGATATTTGTCCAAAAAAGAATTGTTAAAAACAGCTGAACTTGGATCAGACTTTGTCCATCTGCATTCATAATTGCATTGTATTTACTATGTTGTATTATCACTCTTATTTCTTATATACAAATCATATTCCTTTAATGAAGGGAATGCATAATATCTAAAACAAGTATTTTTTAATTTTTATGGATACATAGTGGATGTATATATGCATGGGGTACATGAGACATTTTAATACAAGCATACGATGTAATTATTACATGAGAGTAAATGAGGTATCCATCGACTCAAGCGTTTATGATTTATTTGCATTACAAACATTTTAATTATACTCTTTTAGTTATTTTAAAATGTACAATAATTTAGTCTCTCTTCTGTGCAAATACTAGATTTTATTTATTCAATCTAACTATAATTTTGTACCCATTAACCAACCCCACTTCTGTCTCACACCCACTACCCTTCCCAGCCTCTAGTAGCCATCATTCTACTCTCTATCTCAAAGAGTCCAATAGTTTCAATTTTTAGCACACAGAAATCAGTGAAAACATGTGAAGTTTGCTTTTCTGTGCCTAGCTTATTTCACTTAACTTAATGTCTTCCAGCTCTATCCATGTTGTTGCAAATGACAAGATCTCACTCTGTTTTATAGCTGAATAGTACTGGAACGTGTATATGTACCACGCTTATTTTATCCATTCATCTGTTGATGGACACTTAGGTTTCTTCCAAATCTCAGCTATTGTGAATAGCACTGCAATCACTGCAATAAACACAGGAGTGCAGATATTCCTTTGATACACTAATTTCCTTTCTTTTGGTTACATACCTAGCAGTGGGATTGTCAAATCATACGGTAATTCTATTTTTAGTTTTCTGAAGAGCCTCCAACTGTTTTCTATAGTGGTTGTACTAATTAACATTCCCACCAACAGTGTATGAAGCTTTCCTTTTCTCCACATTCTCACCAGCATTTGTTATTTCCTGTCTTTTGGATAAAAGTTAATATAACTGAGATGAGATAATATCTCACTGTAGTTTTGATTTGCATTTCTCAAATGGTCAATTAAAATAATTCTCATCCTTAGGTCTAGGGATCTAGGGATATTCTAAAGAAAAACACACACACACATTTTTACAACTCTCACTACTCTCAGTACTTGCAGAACACTTCACTTCTAGTCACCTAATTGTGTGGGGTTTTTTTCCAAATCAAGCAATTCTCACTTTCTGGACACCAGCTAGGTGTCCTATAATTCAATTCAATGTAATTCTGACACAGTGTGCCTAGCGATAGCATCAGATCTCATAGCTTAATGGCCCTGTCACACTAGACTGACCCCCCTTCAGATGACAATCCCAAGTTTTAGGGGGTGTCCTGTACTTCTGACCAACTGACTATAATTTGCGCTCACAATCCCTCCTTAGGTATGAAAATTTGCTAGCTGCTTCATAAAACACAGAGAAGTACTTTATTTATGTGCACTAATTTACAAAGGATATTATAAAAAATATAGATGCACAGACGAATGAAGAGATACATAAGGCAAGGCATGAGCGAAGGGGTGTAAACCTTTCATCCCCTCTCCTGGTGAGCCATGGTTCCAGAGTTGCATTCACCAACCTAGAAGTTTATCAAATCTTGTCGTTCAAGAGTTGCTGCTTAATCTCTAGTCCCCTACCCCATTCCAGGAAGTCAAACTCGCAACCCTCTTATCACTTGGTGTGGTGACCATACTCATCCTGAGGCTGTCTAAAGGAACCTACCCTGTCACCTTATTAGCATAAACTCAAATGTAATAAAAAAGGGGCTCATAACAAATAACAAGGGCATTCCTATCACTCAGACATCTCCAAAAGTAGTAGGAACTCTATAGCAGGAATCTGGGATAATGACCAAAAATTTCGTATTATATCACAGCATACAATAAATAGAGACTGTCACACATTTAAAATCAATTACTTGAGGACTTAGCTACTTTACTCAGAAACATATAAAATTATTTGAAAAATCCCCTCATATCACCTTAATGTGTCTCAAAAGAACCTGAAGAATTATGTGTCTACATATTGGATCAACGTGGTTTAGAAGTTTTCTGAAAAATTAATCAGAATTACTTGCTCACACAAAGCTATGACTCTTTAGTAAAACACAAAACCAAATTGAGAAGAACTGGAGATATCTTATAATGTAATAAAAACAATGAGGTTCCTTCTCCTGTTCCTGCTACAAGAATTAAATCATACTTGGCACTTATTCAATATTATGTTATGGACTTTTAAAATATCTTCACTCTTAGCACAATATTTAATTTTTATCCTTGTTTCCTTTCTGCTTTCTAATTTACTTTTCATTTGCTATACTGTGGGAAATCTCCAAATCAGCAAATTTTGAATGTAATACAAAGAATATTTTTCTTTCTGAAGCATTTGTGAATAAGTTGCTGACATAATGCTGTATCACCCTTGGTTTCTTCAATGTATATTTCCTAAAACTAGTATATAATCTTACATAATTACCATTCAACCCTCAGAATCAAAAAATTATTATTGATACGTTACTAACACCTAATCTCAAGACCCTTTTCAATTGTCTCCAATTGTACCAACAATGTCTTTTATAGCAAGAATCTAGTTCAAAATCATACGTTACATTTAGCTGCATTTATAGTCCATCAGTATAAATAGGTTTTTAGATTTTGTCTGACTAAATTGCCTTGGCAGTTGAACATTTATTGGCCAGTTATTTTGTAAATGTTCCTCAATTTGAATTTGTCTGGTGGTTCCTCATATTTAGATTCGGGTTATACATTTTTGACAAGAAGGTGCTCTTATTTTACCCTATCAGGTGGCACAGATTCAATTTTTTATTTACTGATGAGATCTCCTTAGATCACATAATATAGTTTCTGTCTGCCAGGCTTCTCCTCTGTAAAGTTACACTTTTTTTCTTTTGTAATTAACAAGTATTTTGTGGGAAGGCTCAGGGAAATTATGTAAATGTCTTGTTTCTCATCAAAGTTTCAACTTACTCGTTTATAGAATCATATCAGTATGAAATCATTAAGTCCTATTTTATTCGATAGTTTATATATAATCAGTATTTTATTCAATAGTTTATATATAATAATGACTGTCATTATTAGTCATTATTAGCATTTATTTTGACACTCAGATTTTTCCATATTTCATCAGTGGCTCCTGCATGTTGGTTTCTGTTTCCTTATGACATGAGTCCAACATTTTTGGAGTATGTCTTTACTTTCCTTCCTGACAAGATGTCCCACTCCCTTTTGCCTTTTCTCTGAACTAGCAGAGAAACCAGTTACTTCTCCAAGGAGCCCTGGTTCCTTTTAGTGGAAGATGCTGTTTAGAAACCAAGATCTGGGATCACTATTCTCACTGTTTTTGAAGTATCACTACTGCCAAGCTCTCTTAGAAAACAGTCCTATGGAATGGAAATCTCTATCTACACCTGCATCTATATCTAATTCTATCTCTATGTATCTCTATGTATTTGTGTATATGTGCATGTCTGTATCTATATACGTATCTATCCATCTATTAATCTAAAAAAAATGGGGTTCACACCAATATCTCAAATTCCAATCCAATACACTAGATTAATTCTAGTTTTCTTGTGTTTCCTATTTGTAATTTCATTCTCCAACAGAGAATGAATGTATTTTTAATATATTTGCCTATTGATTGAGAACCCTGTAGGTAATCCAGTCTGCCATATCATCAGCCATCACCTCTCCTACTCAGATGCCCTCCTCTCCCCTGCTGTGCTCCAACACACTGCTATAGTCCACTCTTCCATGCATATACTCTCCTCATAACATGCATGCTCTGACACCTCACATGTAGCTCACCCATGTGAATGCCTCTTCACTTGATAAATGACATTATTCCTTCCAGTCCTCAATACCGGAAACTGGTCATTTATGCCATTTCCAATTTTTACCCCATCTTGATCTATTTCCAATACCATAACTCAACCTAACTTCCTGCGTAGGCTATGACACTCCAAGGCAGGCCATTCTCTAATTCCTTGGAAGCTTTCCTCACCCTGCATAGGCTCTACACCCCACACAAGACCAACTACACACCATGCAGACACCCTTTCCACCACACTTGGGTTCTGATTTCCTCCTCTGGGCCACCTGATCACTCAGATATCTTTGCAGCCTCCAAAAAGCTGAGCCAATTACCTCTCTCACGCACTGCACTCATTTACCCAATTAAGCCCCAATACCAGGCATTCTCTACATCCCTTTATGGTCACTCTCCTTACCCTCTCAGGTCCCTAAACCCTGGGCCAGGCCTACCTCTGCCACTGTGAACCCCCTTCTCACCTCACTCAGGATTCAAATGATTGAGCTGGGCAGCTACCTTATGTGATGTTTTTTTTTTTTTCACACTGTGTGACTCTGATATTGCCCACTAGGCTGCCTCCTGTGTGGAAGTCTTGCACACTCAACGTGTGCTCTGACAGCTGCAGAGCTGTGCCACCCTGCCTTGTGTGCATACCTTCTTTAGCCTGCCTGGACTCTGACATCCAGCTCTAAACCACCACTTTTCCCCATACTTGCATGCACTGATGTTTACTGTGTTTGTCTCCATTCAATGCTCTTGGATTAGGGTGTTAGATATAAGAAGGGGAGATGAGGAAAGGGAAGGAAAGAGAAAAGAAGGAAATGGGAAAAGAAAGAGGAAAATGATGAGTACTCACCTCTAATTTATGTTTCTATTCTGTATTTTTCTTAAATTTGTAGTATGTCTTAAATCTTATTTTAAAATTACACATGGATAAAATAAACAAATTGTTTAGGGTTAACAGAGTTATATATAGACATAAATACATTCCACGGTGTTCAACAATTTGTGTCATAGAAACATATTTATCAGAGTAATGTCTCGCAAATTTATGGTTTCAAAGATGATTCAGATTTAAGGCTCTCTTGGATGAAAGCCAGTTTTCCTTTTAAGTCTCTTTAAATCTTTACCTCAGATTTCTTAAGAAAGCCACAAGCTCAACTTCCACTTCATAGTATTTATTCATGTAATATTGACAAGAACTCTGATTTAAGAGAAAAGAGCAGTGATAGGCAGAATGAAATAATTATTGATAAGCAGAATAATATAATGATTCTCATGTTTAATGATTTTAAATATTATATTTTTACAGAATGATTGGATCTAATGCTAATTAAAAACTGTTTACATGTTCTCTATTTGAAGAAAGAATGTAGGCCCATTAAGTATCATTCTATAATGGAAATGAAAAAGTCGACTAAATTAGAGAAAAGCTTTTATCCACTAATATGCAGATAGCAGGCAGCATCTGTTCTATCACTGCTATGAATCAGCATGAGAAATACCTATTATACTGAAATGACAGTAGAATCCAGTTCAACATGTTGAGACCCATTCACAAGTTTTATGTATTTTTGTCTAGATAACCTTTGAAAGTTCAGAAAATTAACTGAGATAGCATCTGTAAGAATTCTTTGTGTGAACCCACAAATGTTACTTCTCAACTCTCCAAAGATGACTTTGATCCTTTGATTTCTTATATCATCCCCTCTAATATAGTTTCCCTCCACCTGAATCTCTCTTTCTCTCTCCTACTTCCATCTTCTTATTCAATAAATATTGTATACTTTCCCTAGAAACAAGCTGTTCTGTTTATACCTTGCTACAAAACAAACCACTCTAAATTTTAGTAGCTAAAATAAGAACAATCATGAGCTTCATAAAGTTTCAACATTTATTCTTTGAACTTAAACATTTACTCTTACCCTGTGTGCACTTACTGCAATTTACAGAATTAATTCTGAGGAGGATTTCAAATTTTGCCACATAACAATAGGTTTTACTCCAAATTTGAGATTCATATCTGCCATGCCACAGTGAGAGCTTCATTGTCTTCCTACTCCCATTGGTTTGTGATTCTGTATGTCTTTTACTTCTGTGGTTGCTATCTGTTAATGTCACAAAATCTACAGATTGTTCAAGCCATAAATTTCACTACTCTCATTCTCACAGGTGGCCAGTCAGCAAGTCCAAGACTTTAAAATGTTTCTAAAATCTATCTCTCCCTTTATATTCTCCATCTGTGGCTTGGCTAATTGCTTCCTTCTCATCAGTTAGAAAATGTAATCATTCTGTTTCTACTGTCTTCCCTTTGAAATCTACTGTCCACTATACCCCTAATACATAACTATCATTCTTTTACTAATAAACATTTTCAAAGACAGTTTATAAAAATAAATCCAAAAGACATCATTGTTTTAATACTTTTTTATCAGTGCTAGTCAATCTTTCATTTCAAATGGTTTTTCACCTGCTGCTGTACCCTTTTCTTAAGGTACTTTTTATGTACCCCAAGAAAATTACAATAAGACTTTGTTTCATACGCAAGGAGTTTCATGGCTTTCCCACATTCTCATATATCAATGGCTAGCAAAAAGACATTTTTTTATTTACTAGAAATAAATGTAGCATTTCTTTAGCACTTCTGAAATGATTCTGCTGTAGCAATTACCAGTCAGTCTTATGTTAAATTTACTTATTAATATGACTCTCTCATAAATGTTATTATTTTATCCTTATAACTTTTCCTTCAAGCATCTATAATGAAGAATTGGGCAATTCAGACATTTAATATATATAATATGATTATGGGAGGCAAAGCAAGATGGTTGAATAGAACACTTCAGTATTATCCCTGGCATAGAAAAAGCAAATTGAACAACTCTCCACACAAGACCGCATCTTCATAAGAACCAAAAATGAGGTGAGCAATTATAGTACCTCGTTTTAACATCATATCAAGGAAAGAGGCACTGAAGTGGGAAGGAAAGGCCATCATGGATTGGTGACATCACCCCTCCTCCTTCCCCAGAAAATGGCAGTGGCCATGTGACATGGAGAGAAAATCTGTGCACTTCAAGGAGAAAGAGTGTAGTAATTGCGGGACTTTGCATTGAAACTCAGTGTTGCCCTATTACAGTGGAAAGCAACACTGGGGAGAATTCAGCTAGAGCTCACAGAAGACGCATTCATGCCAGTGCTATCCAGAAGGGAATTGTCCATCCCAGCAGCCGGAAACTGAGTTCCCATCAGCCACATCACCGAGGGCCAAAGTGCTGTGTGGTTCTAAATAAACTTGAAAGGCAGTCCAGGCCACAAGAACTAGAATCCCTGGGCAAGTCTTGGTGCTGTGCTGGACTCAGAGCCAGTGGACTTAGGGAAAATACGACCTAGTAAGACGGCAGCCAGGGTGGCCAAGGCAATACTTGGGTCACCCATCCCTCAACCCCAGACACTACAGCTTGCAGCTCTGGAAAAGATCTTTTCCTTCTTCTTGAGGAGAGGAAAGGGGAGAGAAGAGGATAGTGTCTTGTGACTTGTATACCAGCTCAGCCACAGTAGAATAGGGCAACAGGCAGAGTCCTGAGGCTCTCGTTGCAGGCTCTAGCTCCCAGTCGATGTTTCTAGACATATCTTGGCCCAGAAGAGAACCTGCTGCCTTGAACAGAAAAACTCAGTCCTGGAAGGAATCATCACCTACTGACTAAAGAGACCTTGGGCCTTGAATAAACATCCGTGGTACCCAGGCAGTAATTGCCTCGGGTCTTGGGGGAGACCTGTGCTGTGCTGACTTCAGGTGTGACCCAGCACATTTCCAGCTGTTATAGCCATGGGAGAGACTCCTTTAGCTTGAGAAACAGAGATGGCAGAGTAAAGGGGACTTTGTTTTGCAGCTTTAACATCAGCTCAGTCACAGAGGGGTAGAACAACAAGGGGATTACTGGGGTCCCTTATTTAAGACCTTGGCTCCTAGATGTCATTTCTGAAAGTTTCCTGGGCCAGAGTGGAGCCCACTGACCTGAAGGGAGAGACCTAGACCCAGCAGTATTCACCACTAGTTACTTGAAAGACCCTTGAGCCTTGAATAAACATCAGTGATAGTCAAGAAGTATTCACCCTGAGTCTGGGGTAGTGGTAGCAATGAGAAAAGAGTTCCCTGTATGAGAAAAGGAAAGGGAAGGATGGGAAGGAGTTTGTCTTGTGGCTTGGGTACCAGCTACGCTGCAGTAGAATAGAGCATCAAGTATGTTCTTAAGGCTCCCCATTCCAGGCCCTGGCTCCTGGATGGCCTTACTGTACCTGCCCTGAGCTCTAGGGTAGCTTCCTACCCTGAAAAGAAGGACACAAGCCTGGCTTAGTTATCTGATGACTGAGGAGCCCTTGGCCCTTGAATAAAACATTGGTGGTATGCAGGTAGTGGTTGACGTGGACCTTGGATGAGAGGCAGTGTTATGTTGGCTTCAAGTCTGACCCAGCACAGTCCTAGTGGTGGTGGCCACAGGGGTGTTTGTGTTACCCCTTCCCCCGCACCAGACAGCTCAGCATGGAAAAAGAGTCTCCATTTGTCTGGGGGAAAGTAAGGGAAGAGGACAAGAGTCTCTGCCTAGTAGACCACCAAGGATGTACCCCTATTATTCTGCAAGATTCACAGCATCAGTGGGCTTGAGGTGTCCCCTAATGCAGATACTACTGCAATGACAAAAGAGTTAGATAACAACACTCAATTTCTTTTGAATACTTGCAATGCCTTCCCAAGGAGAATGGGTACAAATAGGCCCAGACTATGAAGATCACAATAAATACTTAACTTTTCAATACTCAGACAGACAAAAATCCACAATTGTGAAGACTATCCAGAAAAAAACATGACTTCACCAAATGTACTAAATACAGCACCAGTGACCAATCTTTGAATGATGCAGATATGTGACCTTTTAGACAAATAATTTTAAATAGCTGCTTTGAGATAGTTAAATGGAATTCAAAATGACACAGAGAAGGAATTAAGAATCCAATCAGATGAATTTCATAAATTGGTTGAAATAATTTTCAAAAATCAAGCATAAATTCAGGAGCTTAAAAATGCAATTGGAAAAGTGAAAAATGCACCAGAGTCTCTCAACAGTGGAATTGACCAAGCATAAGAAAGAATTAGTAAGTGTAAAGACAGGCTCTTTGCAAATACAGAGAGAAGGCAGAAGAAAAAAGAATTAAAAATAATAAAGCATGCCTACAAGGTCTAGAAAATAACCTCAAAAGTGCAAATCTAAGAGTCATTGACTTTAAAGAAGAGGTAGAGAGAGATTGAGGTAGAACATTTATTCACAGGGGTAGTAACAGAGAACATTACAAAGCTAGAGAGAGATATAAATATTCAAGTACAAGAGGGTTATAGAACACTGAAATAATTTAACCCAAATAACACTACTGCAAGGCATTTATTAATCAAACTTCCAAAGGGGAAAGATTTAAAAAAGTTTCTAAAAGCAGCAAGAGAAAAGAAACAAATAACATAAAAAGGAGCTCCAATATATCTGGCAGCAGACTTCTCGGTGGAAACCATATTGGCAAGGAGACAGTGGAAAGACATATTATAAAAGCTGGAGGAAGAAAACCTTTTATCCTGTAATAGTATATCCAGTGAAAATATCCCTCAGATATGAAGAAGAAATAGATACCTTTCAAGACAAATAAAGCTGAAGGATTTTATCACCACCAGACCTGTCCTACAAGAAATGCTGCAGGAATTTCTTCAATCTGAAAGGAAAGAATGCTAATGAGAAATAAGAAATCACATGAAGGTGAAAACTTACTATTACACTAGTAATAATAAGTACACAGGCAAACAAGGAATATTATAACACTGTAATTGTGGTGTGTAAACTAATATCTTGAGTAAGAGGCATAAAAGATGAATCTACATCTTGAAAAATAATAAGAACAATTTTTCAAGACATAGAAAGTATAATAAGATATAAATCAAAACAACAAAAGGTGAAGAATTAAGACGGATAAAGTATAGAGTTTTTAATTCCTTTCTCTTTGCTTGTTTATTGTTTTGTTTGTTTGCTTATGTAATCAGGGTTAAGTTTAATATAGTGGGTTATAAGACATTATTTGCAAGCCTCATGGTAATCTCAAATCAAAATACCTACAACAGTACAGGAAAAAAGAAAGAAATTAAAACATACCGTCAGAGAAAATCACTTTTACAAAAAGGAACACAGGAAGGAAGAAAGGAAGAAAGAGAACACACACACACACACACACACACACACACACACACACAAAACAAATGGCAGAAATAAGTCCCAGTAATCTATAAGAACACTGAATCTAAATGGACTAAACCCTCCAATCAAAAGACATAGACTAGTTGAATTGATTAAAAATAAAAGCAAGAACCAGTAATCTGTTGCCTGCAAGAAACACACTTCACTAAAAAGACACATATAGACAGAAAACAAAGGGATAAAAAAACATATTTTTTTGCAATGGGAATGGAAAAAAAAAGCAGCAGTAGCTAAATATATCAGAAAAATATATTTGAAAAACAAAACTATAAATAGAAACAAAGAAGATCGTTACATAATAATAAAAGGGTCAATGAAGTAAGAGGGTATAACAATTTTAAAGATATATGCACCCAACACTGGAGTACCCAGATATATAATGCGAATATTATTACAGCTAAAGAGGGAAACAGACTCCAACACAATAATAGCTGGAGAATGAAACATCCCACTTTCAGCATTGAATAGATTATTAAAATAGAGAATCAACAAAGAAACATTAAACTTAATCTGCACAACAAAACAAATGGACCTAATATATACTTACAGAGCATTTCTTCCAATGGATAGAGAATACGTATTCTTATCCTAAGCACATGGACCATTCTCAAGAATAGAACATATATTAGGCCACAAAACACACCAAAACATTTTAAAAAATCAAGTATCTTCTCTGACCACAATAAAATACAACTAGAAACTAAAAAACAAGAGAAACTTTGGAAACAATAAAAACAATGGAAATTAAATATTATGCTCCTGTATGACCAGTGGGTTAATTAAAAATCTAAGGAGAAAAAGTAAAAATGCCTTGAAACAAATGAAAATGGAAACACATTATAGCAAAATCTATGGGGTACAGGCAAAGTAGTACTAAGATAAAACTTTGTAGCAAAAAAAGTCTACATCAAAAAAGTAGAAAAAATTCAAATAAACAATTTATTAATGCATCTTAAAAAACTAGAAAATCAAGAGAAAACCAAACCCAAAATTAGTAGAAAAGAAGAAATAATAAAGTTCAGAGCAGAAATACATGATATGAAATAAAGAAACAACACAAAAGATTAATGAAACAAAAACTTGACTGGGTTTTTTTTGGAAAAGATAAACAACATTGACAAACCTTTAGCCAGGAACTAGGAAAAGAAGAGAGAAGACCCAAATCAATAAAATCAGAGATGAAGAAGGAGACATTACAATTGATACCACAGAAATCCAAAGGATCTTTAGTGGCTGCTATGAGCAATTATATACCAATTGGAAAATCCAGAGGAAATGGACAAATTCCTAGACACATACAACCTACCAAGATTGAACCATGAAGAAATCCAAAACCTGAATACAGCATGTTTTAGTCAGAGTTCTCTTAGAGGGACAAAACTAATATAATATATGTATATGTATATATATATGTATATATACACATGGGATATGTATATATATATATGTGTGTATATATACACACGGGATATGTGTATATATATGTATATATATACACACACACACATAGGATATGTGTATATATATGGGATATGTGTGTGTGTATGTGTGTGTGTGTATATATACATTACATATATATGTGTATATATATAAATGGGAGTTTACTAAGTATTAACTTATATGGTCACAAGGTCCCAAAATAGGCTGTCTGCAAGCTGAGGAGCAAGGAGAGCCAGTCCGAGTCCCAAAACAGAAGAATTTGGAATCTGATGTTCGAGGGCAGGAAGCATCCAGCATGTGAAATAGATGTAAGCTGGGAGTCTAGGCCCATCTCTCTTCACCTTTTTCTGCCTGCTTTATATTTCCTGAAAGCTGATTAGATTGTGCCCACCAGATTAATGGTGGCTCTGCCTTCCCCAGCGCACTGACTCAAATGTTAATCTCTTTTGGCAACACCCACACAGACACACCCAGAATTAATAATTTGTATCCCTCAATCCAATCAAGTTGACACTCAGTATTAACTATCACAGATAAATAACAAGTAATGAAATTGAAGCTGTAATAAAAAGACACCCAGCAAAAAAAGCCTGAAACTTGATAGCTTCATTGCTGAAATTTACAAAACAGTCAAAAATGAAATAATACAAATTCTACTGAAAGTACTCTGAAAAATAGAGGAGGAAGGAATACTTCCAATCTCATTCTATGAGGCCAGTATTACTCTGATATAAAAAACAGACAAAGACACATCAAAAAAAGAAAACGCCAGGCCAATATATTTGATGAACATTGAGACAAATATCCTCAACAAAATACTAGCAAACCAATTCAACAATACATTAAAAATATCTCTATAATGATCAAGTAGGATTTATCCCAGCGATGCAAAGATAGGCAAATCCAGGAATGTGATACATCATATCAATAGAATGAAAGACAAAAACTATATAATCATTTGCATTGATGCTGAAAAAGCATTTGATAAAATTTAACATTCCTCCATGATAAAAACTCTTAAAAAAAGTAGTAAGTAAATATTGCCTCAACACAATTAAAGCCATATATGACAGACCAAAAACTAGTACTATATTGAATAGGCGAGAACCGAAAGCCTTTTCTCTAAAATCTAGAGCACGGCAAGGATGCCTACCCTCATGACTGTGATGGAACATAGTACTGGAAGTCCTAGCTAGAGCAATCAGACAAGAGAAATAAATAAATGACATCCAAATTGGAATGGAAGAAGTCAAATGACCCTTGTTTGCAGATGATATTATTCTATATTTAAAATAACCTAAAGATACCATCAAAAAACTATTAGAACTAATAAACAGATTCAGTAAAATTGCAGGATACAAAATCATACAAAAAATCAGTAACATTTCTTTATGCTAACAGTAAACGAACTGAAGAAGAAATCAAGAAAGCACATAGCTACAATAAAATAAGATACCTAGAAATAACTGACTTAACTTACTTAACTGACAAAGTGAAAAGTTCTCTGTAATTAAAACTATGAAACATTGATGCACAAATTTGAAGAGGACACAAACAAATGAAAAGATATTCTATGTTCACGGATTGGAAGAATCAATATTGTGAAAATGTCCATCCTACCCAAAGCAATCTACAGATTATATGAGCCCATTATCAAAATATTAATGATATTCTTCTCAGAAATAGAAAAAACAATTCTAAAATTTTTATGGACCAACAAGAAACCCAGAATACCCAAAGCCATTGTGAGCAAAAACAAAAAAATTGGAGAAATCTTGTTACCTGATTTCAAATTACACTACAGAGCTATACTAATCAAAACATCATTGTACAGGCATAAAGACAGACATATAATCCAATGAAACAAAACAGAGAACTAGAAATAAATCTATACATTTAAAGTAATCTCATTTTTGACAAAGTTGCCAAGAATATACATTGGGAAAAAGACAGTCTTGGTAAACTTCATATCCATATGCAAAAAAAAAAAAAAAATGAATCTAGACCATTATTGCTTACTGTATACATGAAATAAATCAAAATGGGTTAAGGACTTACATCTAAGACTTCAAACTATGAAACCATTACATGAAAATAAAATCTCCAAGACATTGGTATGGGCAAATAATTCTTGAATAATACCTGTAATACCTGCACAAGCACATGCAATCAAAGCAAAAATGGACAAATGAGATCACATTAAGTTAAAGAACTTCTGCACAGCAAAGTAAACAATAAACAAAATAAAAAGACAACACACACAATGGAAGAAAATATTTGCAAACTACCCATCTGACAAAGTTTAAATGACCAAAATATATAAGTAGCTCAAACAATTCTACAGGAAAAAAATTTAATAATCCAATTAAAACAAGGACAAAAGACCTGGATAGACACTTCTCAAAAGAATACATGCAAATCACAAATAGGTATATTAAAGGTGCTAAATATCACTTATCACCAGAGAAATACAAGTCAAAACTACATGGAGATATCATCTCACCACAGTTAAAATTGTTTTTATCCAAAAAACAGGCAATAACAAATGGAAATAACAAACAGGATGTGGAGAAAAGGGAACCCTTGTATGCTGTTGGTGGGAACGTAAATGAGTACAGGCATTATGAAGAGCAGAATGGAGGTTCCTCCAAAAACTGAAAAAAGAACTACCATAAGATCCAGCAATCATACTGTTAGGTTTATACCCCCCAAAAAGGATATCAGTATATCAAAGAGATATCTGCACTCCAATGTTTACTACAGCACTATTCACAACAGCCAAAATTTGGAAGCAACCTAAGTTTCCATCAACAGATCAATATATAAAGAAAGTGCAGTATATATACACTATGGTTTAATATTTAGCCATAAAAATGAATGAGATCCTGTAATTTACAACAATATGAGTAGAACTGGAGGATATTATGTTAAGTGAAGTAAGTTAGGTACAGAAAGAGAAACATCACATGTTCTCAGTCATTTGTGGGAGCTAAAAATCAAAACAATTGAATTCGTGCAGATAGAGAGTTGAATGATAGTTTCCAGAGGCTGGGACTGGAGGCAGGGGGGGATTTGGGAATGGTTAATGGGTACAAAACTTTAGTTAGATAGAATGGATAAGATCCAATATTTGATTGCACAACAGGTGACAGCAGCCAACAATAATTTATTATAAATTTTTAAATAACTAAAAGACTATAATTGGAATGTTTATATCACAAAGAAATGATAAATGCTTGAGTTGATGCATACTCCATTTATTCTGTTGTAATTACTACATATTGTATGCCTGTATCAAAATATTTCATGTACCTCATAAATATGCATAGCTACCATGTACCCACAGAAATTAAAAATTAATAATTTTTAAAATATTTGTTAAGTGTGATTATGGGATTTGTAAAAAATGACAGTGTATTGCAATGGGAATGAGTTGACTTTTTGGTAAGTGGTACAAGTCAAACAAAAAATGATTTGAAATACACTGTACATCAAGGAATGCTATTCAGCCATAAAAAGGGATAAAATCATATCTTTTGCAGCAATGTAAATTGAGCTGGAGGCCATTATTCTAAGTGAAGTAATTAAATAATGGGAATCCAAATAGTATATGTTCTCATTTATATGAGGGAGCTAAGCTATGAGGATACAAAGTCATAAGAATGATATAATGGACTTTGGGGACTCAGGGGTAGGGAAAGTTTAGGACTATAAGTGAGGGATAAAAGACTGAATATTGGGTACAATGTACAATGTTCAGGTGATGCGTGCACTAAAATCTCAGAAATCAGCACTAGAGAACTTATCCCTGTAACAAAACCACCTGTACCCCCAAAACCATTGAAATAAAAACAAAAATAAAGTAATAAAGCACTAGAGAAAATCTGCATGATCATAAAGAAGACAAAGATATTTTATAGGATATAAAAACACTACTCAGAAAGACCTAAAAAATGATCCATTGAACTGTCAAAAAACATTACAAAAATGACAAGGCAACTGACAGTATGGGAGATGATATTTGCAAACAATGCATCTGACAAAGGATTCCTTCCTGAATATACAAAGAACTACTAAAGATCCAACTAAAAACAAACAGCCAACCCAATAGAAAAATAAACAAAATACTTACATAGCTATTTCACAAGACAGGATCTCCTAAGGTAGGAAACTAAATCTTATGACTCAAAAATAATTGTATTTTCTGGAAATCTTACTGAGACAGTATGGCTAAAAATACCAAATTGAGGAGCAAACAGCATTCACATAAACTGTTGAGTTAATGTAAAACAGTCAACCATTTTTTGGGAAATAAAAGCAGTATTTTTAAACATCTAACTATATGCAAACCCTATAGTCCAGAAATTCCACTCCTAGGTATGTACCTAACATGATGTCACCAAATGATAGGCACAAGACTGCAAACTCAGTATTTACAATAGCCCCAACTTTGAGAGTACTCAAATGTTCTTCAGTGGTGAATGAGGTAAATAAATTGTGGCGTAATCACACAGTTGACTGCCATATACCTATTACAGTAAAAAACTATACCTACATGCAACAATACAGATAAATCCTAAAAATAGAAAGATAACACAAGAAGCCAAAGATAACATTGTTTATTTTAATTTATGTAAAATTTAGAAACAAGCAAAATTAATCCTTTATGTTTAGAGATTCACTGGGAGAAGGTTCTGACTAGAAAGTGGCATCATGATTTTCTAGGACGCTAATAAAATCCTGTATTGTTTTTAGGTGTTCTATTTTGTTTGGTTATTTTTAAATTGGTTACATGAATAGGCTTAATTTCAGTAATTCATTTATCTGTACACTTACAATTTCTGTGTTTGTGACATGTATGCTGTACCTGAATAAAAGTATAAGCATTTTATATAAAAAAGTATTTACCTACATTGACATAATTATCTAAAGTATACAAATAGTTACTAGTCTGCAAAAATGTTCTATTACTATAATTACAAACTAAGGCTATATGTTTGCAGCAATACTAGGTAAGTGGAAATAGTGAGAAGTCACAGGATAACTGAAATGCCATTGTAAATATTTGGGATGTAGGAAAACCCTAAGGCATGTTATATCTTCAGGAAATATGATGATGGGTTCCTGGCCTTTAGTTAATTGCATCTATACTCCAGACTAAACAAGAAAATAGATTCGAAATATTAATGTTAATGTTAGTGACCTAAACACATAATATGCTCTAGTTGCTTTATGTATTACTTTTATGCTTAATTTAACAAATATCTGGGATCCTTTAAAAATACTTTCTATTGACCGATAGTGCAGAATCCTGGAAGATGATTAATAAACAGAAAGAATTCTTTGTAATTTTCTTGAGAAAATAAAACATAAGAGGTTGATCATTAATATACTTCTTTTCTATGCTTTTTTTTTTTTTTTTTGGAGATGGAGTTTTACTCTTGTTGGCCAGGCTGGAGTGCAGTAGTACGATCTCGGCTCACTGCAACCTCCGCCTCCTGGGTTCAAGTGATTCTCCTGCCTCAGCCTCCAGAGTAGCTGAGATTACAGGTGCCGACTACCACGCCTGGCAATTTTTGTATTTTTAGTAGAGATGGGGTTTCACCATGTTGCCCAGGCTGGTTTTGAACTCCTGACCTCAGGTGATCCGCCTGCCTTGGCCTCCCAAAGTGCTAGGATTACAGGAGTGAGCCACTGCAACTGACCTCTATACTTGGTTTTTAAAGATATCTTAGATTAGAATCCATTTACTTTTTCACATTTAAATATTAGTAAATTTTCTAATTTTGTGGTGAACTTGTGTAAAGATGATGACACATGTTAAAAAGACAAAGACTGTAAAGACTTAGAGTAAATATACTTTAGGCTTTAATCTTCCTGTGATTTATTGGTATACTATGACATAAGAAAATGTGAGTTAAGAATCAACGAATGATAGGGATTACAGTATATCAGTAATAATAAAACATAGGAATTACCATTAATATTGTTTCTTAAGATAGGAAAAAAATTGTCATTCACTGTTAATAGATTGACAGTATATAGCAAAATAAAATGCTTAAGAGGAGCACTTTATTTAAACCTTAGAATGCAATTTTCCTCAAATTTCTGAACCTCCTCAAATTTTTTAATTCTACTACCTGGTTATCCTTTTTTCTACTCTTTTTTATTCTTTTTAAAGCTTCCAAGAAAGCATATTTAATGTCCAGGATAAAAGAAGATTACAAAAAAATTGAAGTTTATTTTCTACTTAGATGTCAACTTGGTAATTAGTACATTTATTTTACCATATAACTTGAATCTAAGAATTGATATAATTAAAGAGTTTGGATTTTGGAGGAAGAAAGATCTGAGTTTAATCCATGTTAGCTATTCTGAATAAATTTACAATGTTCTGGATTTCTGGCTAACGGAGAGCATTTTATATACTCATATGTATGTGGAGCTGTGCGTGTGTATGTGTGTGAACATATACACTTACTTAACCGTATGTACTTATCCAAGTACATAAATAGTACATAGACCATAACATAGAGTTATGATCATATATCTCTTAGAAATGGAAGAAGCCCTCCCCTTATTATTTGTCTTTCTGGTGATGCAGCCTGAGGAGTATTTATTAGTTCATTGTCTATGGCAGAAATTCAAGAGGCGGTCCTTATATACAAAAAGTAGATCATCTTTTTTGATTATTAAACATTTAAACTCTATCTTTAAAAATAGCAGTTATTATGTTAATGTTCAGTGTGGCTAACTCAGAAATCTGACTACTCACGAAAATTTTATTCCCATTTTTCTTCCAAACAAAATGTACTCACTACATTATTTATATTTTCATTATGCTGTACCTGCAAATTTAGGGAAAACACATACCAGTTGAAACACAAACGAATTGTGTGACCATGGAGAAGTAGCTTACTCTCTGAATGATTGGTACGTAGGTGGCATTATGCTATGCAGTTAATAGCACAGAACCTCATTTTATTAATTTGTGAAATGTAGATAAGAACACTTAGGCTATAAATAAAAATAAGGCCAGGCATGGTGGCTCATGCTTTTAATCTCAATACTTTGGGAGGCCAAGTTGGGAGAATCACTTGAAGCCAGGAGTTTGAGATCAGCCTGGGCAACATAAAAAGACCCCATCTCTACAAACAATTCTAAAAATTAGCCAGGCCCAGTGGTATATACCTGTAATCCCAGTTACTCAGCAGACTGAGGAGGGAAGATCATTTGAGCCTAGGTTCGAGGCTGCAGCAAGCTATGATGGTGCCACTGCATTTCAGCCTGGGTTACAGAAAGAGATTTTGTCCAAAAAAAAAAAAAAAATGAATAAAATAAAAAGAAAGAAATTCAACACTAACATAAGGTAGCTATTATCATTGATAATTATTAAAATACATAATAAATGATTAATTAAAATTAATATATAGTTAAATATTGCTTATCGTTTACCATTCATAGGCTACGAAATATATAACACAATGACTTAGAAGACGAATGGATATATCTAAGACGCACATTTAAAAATTAGAGGTGGGCTACCAAATATCCTTTTTTCTTTCCTTCATCCATTTATTCAAAATACTTACTGAGAACATGTCAACCTATTACATGTTAGACACTAGTAATAACATATTTTTTAAAAAATAAAAATTCCAAGTCTAATAGAGGAAACAGACAAGTAAACCACATGTTGCAATGCAATAAGACCATAGTTATGACAGAAATTCAGATAAAAAAGCATGGTGTGGGTAGAATACCATCTGAAGTAGTGAACTGGGTAATCTGGGAAGGCTGAATAGATGATGAATTGCCTAAAAGAACAAGTGTGAGGTTAGGTACTACCTGAATGGGAAGCAGTAACAGCAAACTTATAGCAGTATGAGAGGAGAGTAATTTCTGTGCAAGCAGTAGCATCTGACTTAGAATTCTGGTATCTTTTCAAAAGTAGATTATAAATAATTTTTTAAATGCCCGTATAGTGGTTAATCTAAACAAGTTTTTTACTTATTGAATTAATTTTATTTATTATAATTTTGACAGGATGTTAACCTTCCATTAGTTTCTCAATTCCTTGATATAGTGCAGAACAGTGTTGCACTCCAAACCAGTACCCCTAAGCAAGGACAGCAAACTCATCCAGCACCTTCTAACAGTTGACAGATATTTTCCTCTCTGTGAATCACGTTCAGATAGAGGAAGTTGCCCTGTCCAATGTTCTGTCCCCGCCCGTGAAATGATCCAAACACCCAGCTGAAGTGGGTAAACAAAGACTCAGCACTTGTCTCAATTTTGGATAACTTCAAAGAACGCTCTCAGGTTCACGGTTCCATGCAGGATGGCTTCAGCAACAGTTGCAACTGCATCTCGGTTCAGCTTCTTCTTTCCTCTTCCTCCTGCTTTTGTCAGCTCCCTGACCAAATGTTTTCCAAAAACACTGTTCAATGAGCAACTTGTGCATGACTTGCAAACTTCGTCTATTTCAAATTCAACTGTAGACATTTATTCCTGAAGTGGTGTGAGAAATAAACATTAACTGGTCATCTTGTATTGAGGACCCCATCTTGTTGATAGGTGAAGGGATAATAACACCCAGCAACTTAGTTGTTAAACTAGCGTAAGATGATGTACTGGCTAGTGTGAAATTATTAGCTCTTGATAGGCATGAAGGAAATATTACCTATAAGGAAAATTGGCTAGGATGACTGTTGTAATACATCATAGGTTTATTGAAGAGCGAAAAATGGCAGTTACAGGGAAATTATCACCAATTTAAGGCAAAATGTGAAAGTCCAAGGGCCTCTTTGTCAGCAATTAAGGAAGCCTCAAACTCCTGCAGAGAGGAAAGCGAGGCTTAGAATTAAAACATAAATGTACCAGAACTTCAGAGAATTTATAATCATCAGTCATGTTAGTTCTCTGATGTCAAGATCAGTACCTAATAGAGAAGAAATTAAACCCTTAGACTTGAGATGGACACATCTGAGAAGATCCAATAAAGAACCTTGAACTCGTGGATTTTCTAAACTATGGGAGCTTGCAGATATGAGTTCATTCTCTCTTCTTAAAAGATAATACTTGAGGTTTATTCAGAGGAAATACTTGACTTAGGTGTGCTTGTTAACTTTTTAGCACCTACTTCCACTTCTCCTGGTAGCTTCCTCAACTGAGAGCAACCAGAATAATAACAAGTTTCAAATTCTTTCACTGAGTTATTCTGGTTATGCAGGGCCGGCTAAGAGGAGCTTATACGCTGGGTGCAATGAAATAACTGCAGTATTTACTTAATATTAATATGCATCAGCAGGAGAAGAAATTCTATTTGGGGTTAAATCCTGAAAGTGCTGGATCAAGAGGAGGGCTAAAATGGTTGTATTAAAGAAAACGTATAATTATGCCACACCATGAAACAGGATTAGATGCTTTGGCAAGGACCTGGGTAAGAGTGTTTGCAAGTTTATAAGGTGCATCTTGGCAATTTGAGAAAAAGATAAGTAGAAACATTAGAAGTGCTACTATGGTAGACGGTGGAGGAAGGGATTAAAAACCTTAGAGGGGTAAGCATACCAGCATGGATACACTATGGAAATCTGAGAAAACCACCTGTTATCTAAGCTCTATAAGAAAGTCTAGAAGAACACTTATTTACCAAAATGATAAGGAATACATGAGGGGTGGTCACGAGCATCAGCAAGAGCCTCCATGGTGCCTACTCTCTGTAGGCCCTGGCTGAGAGTAGGAGATTCTGTTATAAAACTAGATTTCATGATACCAATAAGATAATAAAACCCTAAGTGACAGAAGCCATATAGAGGCACTCATCTATCAGAGGAAAAGTGGGTACAAATATTATATTGTAAAATCAGCAGCGAAATCAGAGTGTAGCCAGCAGAGGCTGCCATAAAGAAAGACATGGAGATAGTTAAAAGTGCATGGCAATCCCCCGAGGTAAGAAAGATGGATGCACAAAGGTTTACTTTATGTAATCAAAAGAAATCAAGGATTTGTGATGGCTATGTTAATTAGCTTAATTGTGGTAATCATCTCACAATGTATATGCATATCAAATCATTGTACACCTGAAATATATACAATTTTTATTTGATAATTGTACTTCAATATAGCTGGGAAAAGTGTTTTTAAAAAAGAAATCAAGTCAACCTGGGTAACATGGCAAAACCCTGTCTCCACAAAAAATACCAAAAAGTTAGCTGGAAGTGGTAGTGAGCCCTGTAGTCCTAGCTACTTGAGGAAGTGGGAGGATTGCTAGAGCCCAGGAGGTTGAGGTTGCAGTGAGCTGCGATTGTGCCACTGCACTCCAGCCTAGGTAACAGGATGAGACCCTGACTCAAAAAAAAAAAAAAAAGAAAAAGAAAAGAAAAATGTTACTGATTGTCCTATATTTTATTGGGACTCTGCAAAAGGACCAAGTTGGAGAGCGGTGCTGGAGGGACACATTGAGACAGTCAGGAAGCCGGGGTGCCATAAGCGTAAAAGAAAGAGCAGGGTCCAAATCTTGGGCTATAGAAAAACAAGTTTGAAAAATAAAATCATCTCCAGGGGACTGGACTGCCAAAAAAAAAAAAAAAAAAAAAGATAAGAAAAGAAATCAAGGATATATTATCAGGAAACTGAGCAATTCAGTGACAAGTCACTGTCCTTTGCTAAATTTTTAGACTTGAATTACTCCCCTGACCTAGAATCCTTTGGACTGAGGAAGAAATCAAGCCATTCTGAGGAAGGATCTGCAATATCATGGCAAGTACATTGATTAAGTCATTGTCTTTTTCTTTCCACTAAGTGGCCTATGGAAATTTACTCAAGTAACCATACATTGGGGAAAAATATAGAATATACTTAGGTCTTTCAGTAATTACTTGGTGCAGATATTTATTTCACATTTTTACCTAGGACTCATAGTGCCATTTTAATCTCTCACTAAACGAATATTTCTCACATAAAAATATGAGAGCTTGGTATTTAATGGAGCCCAGGGCCAATGCCAGTTCCCAGTGAGTTCACTGGATCTACAGACACACCTTGTCAGTCTTCAGTCATGTTTGTCCTCAGTCATATCTGTCCTCATTGCTATACATATAGTCAAAATTAGTATACTTAGTAGTACTTATTAGGGTCTTAAATTAGTTTCTTGGCCTTTAAGAGCTATTATAGGAGAGAAAGCCCCATTCAAGCTCCCTATCACCACTGTTACCCCACAACCCAAGATAGTAAATCAAAAACACTATCTCAACTCAGGGAAAATGGCAAATATTAAGTGTCATCCTCAGAGACTTAAGGATTCTAGTAATGGTGGCCCTTGTTTTCATTTACCAATCTAGCTCCTAAAAACTAAACGAATCATGGCATGTGACATGGACTACTTCAAATTTAAACAAACAGTAGCCTTAATTACAGTTGCATTATGTGCAGTGGTATCTTTCTCAAACTAGTTTAACACAGTCTTTGACACATGGTATGTTGAAATTGATCTTACAGGTGCAATATCTTTCATTCTTATTGGGACAAGGGCAAATAATAAATTCCCATTTATACCTAACGAACAATAGAATGAATTTAAAGTCTTGGTCTAGAAAAATGTCCTAGACTACGAACAATTTACAGAAAAATCACATTGATCTATGAATCAGACCAAAGAACAAGAATTGGGCAAGTATCCTGCAAGCCTGTCATACGTATGTGTGAGAACGTGAGAGATAAACGTTTTGAAGATTCAGAGATAAGTCATATTAGTAAAGGTTTTAGGGGTCTGGTAAAATTGGTGGTTCAGGGTATGCTTGATCTCCTTTCAAAGTATAGAACAAATAATTGCATCTCTTTTTTTTTTCTTTTTCTTTTCTTTTCTTTTTTTTTTTTTTTTTTGAGACGTAGTCTCACTCTGTCTCCCAGGCTGGAGTGCAGTGACACCGTCTCGGCTCACTGCAAGCTCCGCCTCCCGGGTTCACGCCATTCTCCTGCCTCAGCCTCCCGAGTAGCTGGGACTACAGGCACCTGCCACCACACCCGGCTAATTTTTTGTATTTTTAGTAGAGACGGGTTTTCACCGTGTTAGCCAGGATGGTCTCTATCTCCTGACCTGGTGATCCACCCGCCTCGGCCTCCCAAAGTGCTGGGATTGCAGGCGTGAGCCACCTCGCCCAGCCAATAATTGCATCTCTTATATCTCACTTCTAAAAAAGGAAGTTTAAAGGGCCCATATTGAGTTCTAGAGGCACCTTATTCCATACTTGGGAATTATTCTCTGCCCTATTTTCTGGATGAACTGCAAGACTGTCAGCTTTGAGTGGGGCCCAGAGAAACAAAGGTTTTTGCAACAGGTCCAGGCTTCAGTGCAAGTAGGTTTGACTTTTGGGTTTTACTACCTGTCAAATCTTATGATACCAAACCTAACTAGTAGCAAAAGATGTCCCAATAAGAGAATCTCAATTTTATGGGTATGTGTGAATTTATAACACAAAATGTGTTGATTGAAATACTAAATTTATCTAAAATTAAACTTTTCACATAGGTCTGTATCAGTCATAGAGACAAGTATTTCAAAGTAGTTGCATTTTATCTCAACCATCCTTGATTTCTGCATGATTTTGCTTCATGTATTTAGCTGTCCTGTTATTTGGTGCAAACGAATGTATAATTATTATTTACTTTTCTTTATAAATTATGCTTTCGAGTGTGTGTATTAAAGACAAAATAAAGAGGGTAATATAGAAGGGTTATTTTAAGAAGGAAGCTACTTTTAATTCACCATGTTACCAAAATCAGTCATTTGTGGAATCAATAATTATTCCATAGAAATGTAAATGTTACAGAAAACTTTTTTTAAAGTTTTTGTGTTTTTCTCTTATGCTAACTTATGTTTTAATTCTTCAACTTTACTTCGTTCATCTGTTCAACCTCAAGACTCTGATATAGTTTATGTTTATAACCATGAAATATGCAAAATTATATGTAATTATAAATTTATATTTCCAAATCAATTTTGAAAACTAGGACAAAATTTTTCCAGAAGGAATTTTCAGATAATTAAAGCATTAAAGACTCATATTTTAATATTTGCCAAAAAGATGACAGGTCTAAACATATGCATAATATTCTAATATGTGCTGATACCTTTTCTCTTAGTTTCCCAATATTTTTTGTGGTTTGTATATGTATGTTCAGTAAAATTTGAAAATAAAACCCCATCTCTGTCTCTTTCCACTTTCCTCTTATTTTAGTGTGGGGTAAATTTATATGAGTTTGAATGTATGTATGCATTTAAGATAAAATATAATTTGATTAAATAATTCTTAAAGTTTGATTTATGACATAAATATCATTCATTTGTAAGTATTGGAATTAACAGAATGTATTAGTCCATTCTCACGCTGCTATAAAGAAATACCCAAGAATAGGTAATTTATAAAGAAAAAGGCTTAATTGACTTACAGTTCTGCATGGCTAGGGAGGCCTCAGGAAACTTACAATCATGGAGGAAGTCACCTCTTCACAGGGCAGCAGCCAGACACTTACAAATCCATCACATCTCCTGAGACTCGCTCATTATCACAAGAAGAGCATGAGAGAAACTGCCCCCATGATTCATTACCTCCACCTGGTCCCACACTTGACATGTGGGGATTGTTATAATTCAAGGTAAGAGTTGGGTGGAGACACAGAGCCAAACCATATCATAAAGTTTATTTACTTTTACCACAACAACATTAGAAAAGAACCTACTTATTACCATTAGCAAGCATTAGCAAGACATCCATTATACTTACAATTGAGTCAGATAAGTAGTAAGTTATGTTGGGTAAATGAGTAGAGTATTCTCGATTTGTATCCTCAGTATAGTACTATATATATATATATTTTGAGATGGAATCTCACTCTGTCGTCCAGGCTGGAGTGCGGTGGCACAATCTAGGCTCACTGCAATCTCTGCCTCCCAGGTTTAAGTGATCCTCTCACCTCAGCCTCCCTAGTAGTTGAGATTACAGGTGTGCCCCACCATAGCTGGCTAATTTTTGTATTTTTAGTAGAGATGAGGTTTCACCATGTTGGCCATGCAGGTCTTGAACTCCTGACCTCAAGTGATCTGCCCACTTGGGATTACAGGTGTGATAAATCACACCCAGCCCTGAATTTTTTATTATAAGATAATATGAGCTAATTGAAAAAGCAAAAAGTACAAAGTATGGGAAATATACCAAGTATTAAAATTAGAATATATAAATCATCTTAATAAATATTTCGTATAATAGGTTTACTTCATGTCTGTGTGTATATGTCTCTTTATATTTTCTAAAAATTTGGATTCTACATTATCTAGTGCTTTGCTTCCTTTCTTAAGCATTGATCATAAGCATCCTCTCATGTCTTTAAACATTATTTGAAAATATAATTAAAACCAGTCAAGTAATACTTATTTACACCTTGTTTGAAAATACTTAAACTGTTTTTATAATTGTATTTATGTCATCTACTTAGACATCATAAAATTCTACTTAGAACTCTCTATATAACTTTTATAGCTATATACTTCAACGTCTAACTCTTTTCATGCGATAAATTCTTAAGTGAGATAAATGGGCAAAAGATGAATTACATATAGATGCCTTTGACCACATTACAGAAACCTGCTACAAACATCCTAGAAGATAATACAATTAATTATATCACAAGAGAGAACATTCAGAATTATGTAGGCTTCAGATATAATACCATCAAAATTTCACCTCTGCTTCTCAGTACTATGTGGCCTCTGCTTTTCACCATGCTGGTCTATGACACATTGCTTATCTCATGGCTTTAAGAATGTTGCCAGCAACAAATAAGACAATGTGATTTCCTGGTCATGCCCCAGAGAAGAGAGATCTTAATCTCAATTCATTTGAGCTAAGACATATTTTCACTTCTGGACCAATAACATTTACCAGAATGAAGGCATGGAAATTATTGATGACCACAGAAACATAAAAGGAATAGAGTCATAATCCTAGGTTTTGCCATGAAGATTCCTCTGCATAGGGCACCCTTTTCTAAGGCTGACATATTTGACCTCCTTTGCATTATTCAGGTATGGACTCATTTGTTTTCCCATTAAAATATTTTCTAAATTCCCTGTCTAAAATTTCTAGTTTAGGTGTCTCATCACAGCAAACATTTCATGTTATATTGATTTCATAAGACTTCTTATTATCTAAACTTACATTATTAATTATTGTATGTACATATTTATTGTCTATTTTCTTTGTAAGAATGAGAGTGCCATGTTTATGCCACCCCTACCCCCACCAGAATCTAAGTAGTGTAAACATCTCGGCCTTATTACTGAATTATCTGCATCTGACACATAGAAGAGATTCAAAAAATATTTTCAGAAAGAAAAATTTTAAAATAAGACAAAAAGAACGTGGAGAAGGATGGAAGTGAGGGAGGAAACGAGGGAAGGAGGGTGGAAGGAAGGAAAAAGAGAGAAAAAGTAAGGAAGGTGAATGTATAAATAAATTTTAGATGATGCATCAAGACAATGCCAATGTCTAACTCTCCTGTAAATGGCCATATTGGTACTTATAATAGTTATCTACTGCTGTATAACAAATTGCCCCATACTAATCAACTGCTGGAAATAAACATTTATTATCTCAAACAGTTTCTGAAGGTCCGGAATGTTGGGTCAACTTAACTGGGTGTTTCTAGCCTAAGAACTCTCATGAGGTAGCAGTCAAGCTGTCAGTGGAGACTGCAGTCATCTAGAGAATTGACTGGAGCTTAATGAACTGCTCCCAAGCTTACTAACATGGTTGTTGATAAAAGGGTTCAGCTCCTGACCACATGGACTTATCATAGGGCTGCTCATAATATGACAAATGGATTCCCCAAAAATTGTATTCCAAAAAGAGAAGGAGTAAGGCAGAAGCCAAAATGACTTTTATATCCCAATTTCAGAATTGGCATACCATCATATCTGCAATATTTTACCACGCACACAGACAAACCATGGGACAATGTAATACAGGAATACACAAGGAATCACTGGGAAGTATGTTGGAGGCTAGATAACACAATTCACTCTCTGCCCCTCAGTGATTCATTCCAGTCAACCTTTCCAAAGTCCCATAGTAGACAAATACCCTAAGAATAACAGCTCGGTGTCTAGAATCTTACCATTTAAAACAGGGTCTGGAGGCAGATATGGCTCCTTTGATGTAGTCGCTCAAATACGGCTTCTTAGGTGCAGTCCCTCTGAATCTGTAGCGATATAAACTACGGAGACAAAACACACACACAAATACGCATACACCAAGTGTAGAAAAATAAGCCTAGGATCATCACCAGGAATGTTCTTATTCAAAAAGGGGAAAACAGGAGGCACAAAAGAATCATTCCTCCATTTGAAGTCCAGCCAGGCAAATATTGGATATTCATTGATTAGAACTCAGTTCTCTGGCCCAGGAGTTATTCTCCAAGACTCTTATTCAGCTGTTTGAGTCATCCTTACTGTTTGTTTGCTTTTTAAATCAAAAACAGCACATGTGTATAGTTGAGTAGTATTCTCACCTGCAGGTAGAATTTTACAACAGCCTCTTTTCTTTTCTTTTCTTTCTTTTTTTTTTCAGAGTCTCACTCTTGTCACCCAGGCTGGAGTGCAATGTCACACTCTAGGCTCACTGCAACCTCTGCCTCCTGGGTTCAAGTAATTCTCTTGCCTCAGCCTCCCAAGTAGCTGGGGTTACAGTCGTGTGCCACCACACCTGACACATTTTTTGTACTTGTAGTAGAGACAGGGTTTCCCCATGTTGCCCGGGTTGGTCTTGAACTCCTGAGCTCAGGTGATCCACCTGCCTTGGCCTCCCAAAATGCTAGCATAACATGCGTGAGCCACCGTGCCCGGCCCCTCTTCCTTTTGAACTCTGTCTGTGCCATTCAGCCCTAGCTGCTCATGCTTCTGTTGACATAATTATTTTAGAATCTTTGTAGTTATTCTGATAATCTTACTGGTGTTCACTCCATTAGACAAATCCACATCCACAAATCTCTACTTTTGGTGTCTTATGACACAGCTGGGGGACAGCAGCCCTCAGAATCTTAAATGCTCTATTGTTTAACTGAAAGATATCTAGCATATCTTAAACTCCTTAAAATGGCTTTTGTCTATCTCAATGCTCTGAAAAACTGTCTTTGGTCTTTTGAGATTTTAACAAAGGAATTTACAGTCACGTTTTTATCTCATCTTTAGATCACGCTTTCCAATCACTTTCCAAAGAGTGTCCTGGATTTCATGCTTGCTTGGAAACAGTTTGTTATTTTCATTTTCATTATGGCATCGTTTGACATTTGTAGAGTCTAAGAATTTTCAACACCATCAAGTCCTGGCTTCTTTTTGCTTAACAATTCATCCGTCAATTTATCTTTCTCATCTAACTTTTTTCTCGAAGCAGTAAGAAAAACCCACGCAACACCTTCCTGCAAAGCACCTCCACAGTGAATGCCTTTGCTTGAAAAATTCCTTTAATTAAATCACTCTGTTCATTAGGCACATTTTCTACTATACTCATTCTCGCAAGCAAGAATGCTGCTAACCTTTGTATCACACTACATAACAATGATTCCCCTTTAGTTTTTTCAGAAGATCTTATTTTCCTAAAAGTCCTCAATTGACTGCAATAACAAAGATTATGAGGCTTCTGGTTAAAATTTTTAAAGATAGTTTCAGCTCTGAGTTACACTGTCCTCATACCTACTACCACGCTCCAAAGACATACCCATTTTACTTTTATTTAGCACAGCAGCCCACTCTTGGTACAAAAATTACATTAATTTTCTATTTCTGAATTTAAAAATTGCTTCAAAACATAGTGGCATAAAACAACAGACATATTTTTTCACAGCTGATGTGGGTTAGGAATCTGGGCTCAGCTTCACTGAATACCTTCAGTTCAAGGCCGGTCACGAGGAAGCACTCAACATTTTGGCTCAGACTATAGTCCCATCTGAAGGACTAACTGAGAAGGTTTATTTCTAAATTTACCCATGCAGTTGTTTCCTGACCTGGTCACTTGCTATATGGACCTCTCCACAGGGCTAACTCACAGTTAGGAACTTGGATTCTCCTACGGTGAATGATTTAAGACCAAATGAGAACACTCAGAACAAAAGCCACAATATTTTGATAAACTGATCCCAGAAATTACATTCTATCGCTTATACTCTATAATCTTCATTAGAGGTGGGTCAATAAGGCCAAATCACATTTAATAGAAGATATTACATCCAGGCCTAAAAATCAGGAAGTGGGGATTACTAGGGACCATCTTAGTGGTCGTCTACCACAGAACATATCCAGTTGAAACATGGTCCAGAAGAAGGCACAAGCAAGACATTCACAGTCCGTTAAGAGTCTTCTGGGACAAAGGTGTAAAAATGAGAAGTTGGATCTTTGAGGTGGAGGTTGGAGCAAAAGAGATTCTTTTTTCCTGTTTATCTACATATGTGAATATATAATATATATATCTATATATATATTTACCTACATATGTATATATATTTTTATGTGCATATATATATTTTGTGTGTGTGTGTGTGTGCTTGTGTGTGAGACAGAGTTGTGCTCTGTCTCCTAGGCTGAAATGCAGTGGCACGATCT
Organism: Homo sapiens; assembly: GCF_000001405.40. NCBI lineage: Eukaryota > Metazoa > Chordata > Mammalia > Primates > Hominidae > Homo > Homo sapiens. The sequence goes on from NC_000004.12 coordinate 59,970,782, forward strand.
CAGCTCACTGCAACCTCTGCCTCCTGGGTTCAAGCAATTCTTATGCCTCAGCTTCCTGAGTAGCTTGGATTACAAGTGTGCACCACCACATTCACTAATTTTTGTAGTTTTAGTAGAGATAGGGTTTGACTATATTGACCAGGCTGGTCTGTAACTCCTGGCCTCAAGTGACCTGCCCGTCTGGGCCTCCCAATGTGTTGGGATTACAGGCGTGAGCCACTGCCCCCGGTCCATATATTAATGTGATTTTTTAGAGTTTATTCTTTGATTTAAATTTCTGTTGTGGTAGTGTCTTTATCTATGTAAAAAATTTAAGTAAGCTAGGGATAATTCCTGAAGATAGCTATGAAAGCAATCCAAAATATCCTGAGAAGTCAAATATAAATGTAGTCTTTACAATTCATGGATGTGTTAACACCTAAGAATCCAACTTCTATTGTAACTATCATTTATTTTAACACCAGTAATGTATGCTTCTACTGCATATTCAGTATGACAATTCCAAAGTTAGTGTCTTTATGATTTATTCTCTAAGACATTGAACGTACAATTTAGAAAGTACACCTCTCACTTTTTGAATTCTATCATATCTATTTTTTGGTTTTACAGCATGACCTCTATCATCCCCCACTTCTCTATGTTGATCCCTCAGCCTGGAACTCTCTATACACATCGATTTCTCATCTCCATGCCTTCCCTCCACCAAGCTTTATATGCATAAACTTACTAGTCTAATTTCTGTTCACCATTTAGTCTTTATCTTAAACTTTATTACCCCCAGATTCTAATGTGTGGGAACATAAAAGAGACCTACAAAAGGCTTCTCTAGGTACTACTCAAAAGGCTTCGAATTCTATTTTTTTAATTAGTTTATAAAGACATATTAGTTAACTCTTTAGGATGTATTATGACCCTCGAGGGCTTGATTGCTTTTTGTTTTGTTATAATATTCCATTTTCTACTCTCAACTTCTATTTCCTCTAATCATCAAATGTGATCACTCTTTATCTTCTATTTGTGATGTTAGAAATACAGAAATGCCATGTTTGCCTTATTCCAGTATTCTTTGAATCACATTGTTTGGGCAAAGTGTGAGCAAACAAGAATTCACTGTTAATTAACATTCGAACAATCTAGTCATTTAAATATTTGCATGTGCTGAAAATTGTCAAATCTCTGCATAAATGAAATGCAATGGCATTTCAGAACAATGAAGGAAAAAACTAAAATTTTCAGTTAGATATAAATCCAGACTCAAAAGTGGTATCTACTGATGAAACTACTAAACTTTCCAGGCCAATCTTTTTTTTTTTTTTTTGAGATAAGATCTTGCTTTGCAGCTCAGGCTACAGTGCAGCTGCGTGATAACAGCTCACTGCAGCCCAAACTCCTGGGCTCAAGTGATCCTCTGAGTAGCTGGGACTACAGGCATATGTCACCATGCTCAGCTAATTTTTAAATCTTTTGTAGAGATGAGGCCTTACTATATTGCCCAGGCTGGTCTTAAACTCCTGGGTTCAAACGATCCTCCCATCTCGGCCTCCCAGAGTTCTGAGATTACAGGCATGAGCCACCACACCTGGCCTCAGATGTTATTTCTAATAACATACAATAAGGATACAGTAAAAGCATACCTAAATATTAACATTTCTTATCTAACTATAAGAATTTAAGTATAATGACCAGGTAGATATGTTTTTCTTTTTTTATTTTTTTTATTTTTTAGGGTACGTGTTTCTTTTAGAAGTGAACCTGAGCAGGAAAACTTTTTCAGTGTTTTATTTATATTGTAACAATACCTAAAAAGTGGAAATTCCTTATCATGAAAGTTATTATTAATCCTGAATACAAAGAATAAAATGTGAAAATGTGATGTTTCCCACAAAAATTGATGATCATTTGTCTAATTGTGAGAATGGATGACTTGCTTAGAATAAATGAAGCAAATAAATGCAACTGACAAGTGTATATGTTTCCCCAGTGTGCTCATGAATACCTTTGAAAGCGAATTAATTTGCTCACCATTGAATATGTCCTTTTGCCCATATGCATTGTTAGAAAATATGAAAACTACTGTGATTATAGTTTTCATATTTTCTATACTGGAATTAGTCATTACAAACAGTAGTTCTTTTCCTGAATATCAAAATATATGTAAAATATATATTGAACTAATTAGGTATTCTGGCCATTGAAGTAGAATGCTTGCAAGTCAGAGTCAACATAGGTTAACAAATGAAGAATTCAGTTACAAAGAATGTAGAAATGAAACAATTTAAGGAGTAAAGCAAAATATTACATTCCCTAAAGTTTCATACTTTGTGAGTTCTAGGATGAGGGCAGGGAAAAAGAGACAGGGAAGGGTTTGAGTTTTTGAAAATGCCAACAACCTCCGGGAATAAGTTAAAAACCGTATTTTTTTCAAATGTCTAATATATGCATATGCCGTGTAATTATGAACATATGTAGAAATGGTCATATGCTACTTTTCAGTAAGCTGGAATTTATTAAACTAATGATAACCAGTTTTTGTGTTGTTTTTTAAAGAGCATAAATTTTTGCCCATATTAAATTCTAAAATATCTCTAATAATAACTTGTAACACCATTGAGTCTGGGAAAGCAGATCAAAATAAATATTCACATAGTGATAAACATGAGAGTTTTAAAAAATTTATATTTAAAGCCTCTAATACAATATATTGACTTCTATTTGTCAAGACCTGATAATTATTAAGGAAGTCAAAAATGATAGAACAAGACTAATGGAAACAGCAAAAATATAACTATTGGGATGATGCAAGCACTATCAAATTTAAGTAGTCAGCACATCACGTAACTCTTTGGAAGAATACTATAAAGCAATGATTCAGCACTATGACATCAATTAAAACTAGAGTCTGACAGAAAAAGCACTTTCTCCAGCTGTGTAGGCCCTGTCAGAATGTCAGAGTGTGCACAGAGGTAGCCACATAGACAGTGCTTCAAATGTTTATAAGATAGCAAAACTATGAGTAATAAAATCTGACATGAAATGTAGCAAAAAGATTTCACTGATTTCAAATCCTTAGTTTTGCCTCTACCTCTTTATTGACTTTTACATTTATAATGCAAATGTTTATTTTTACCGAAAAATTTAAACTGGTATTTAAACAAAATTTAAAAATAGTACTTTTTTGATGATAAAAATACTATATCTTTCTTCTGTATCGCTTTTCCAAATATTTTCTTTCTATAATTAGTTTGCTGTTTAAAAAATCCTATAATTTAATTTGCATATTTATAATTATTTCATGTGAATATATTATTCGGTAACCACATATAAGTTATAAAACTATTAAATTTATGTTAACTCTTTTTTTCTGAGTGAATTTTTCAAGAATAACTTGACTCCTCCTTTCTTATAAAATTTTAGGTTAAAAAGTCTGCAATATTTTGAGAATGCAATCAAATTTATAACTGTCTATCCTTACACTTAAACTTTACACTGGTAATTCATATATAAAAGCAAGAGAAAGTAATATACGTTAAATATTTAAAATTAATTCTGTGATAGCAGTGAACATATAACCCATAAACAAATGTAATTTTCATCACTTGGTAAATAATCAGACTACTAATTTGCCTCTATAGTAAACTCTAGATGTAGAAACTGCTGATCATGTAGCAATCTGTTGATGATTTTATTGTGGAACTACATTCAGAGCAAATAAAAGAAACTGAGATTGGAGAGAGCTCATTATGTTAATTAGGATGACGTGAGAAGAAATCATTGAGGCAGAAAAGCCAAAGATTAAATAGAAGCTACTCTGAGTTTCTTAAATCTCACAATGCTCTCTGTGACACATATGACAGTGTCCTGCTTGTGATTAGGTAAAAGAAGCTTAATTTAACGAATGAGGAGACATTTTTGGATAAACCATGAAATATACCATATGTTAACCAAATTTTTCCTATTTCTTTTATATTCACCACAACACTTTATTTAAACATGCTCTTGGCTTGGAAAGTATACATTTCTAGTTAGTTGCCAATGTTGTGCTTTGTTAGAGTGAAAGTTTTTGCAACGTGATGTGTGTCATGGAAAATTGACACAAACCAAGTGCATAAACATGGATGAATGACCATTGATCTATAAATTGGTCTTCTGTCTTCATTAAAAACCAGAAAAATGAAAAATTATTAAACATTTTATTTATTCTGATATATCAGGATTTCTAGGATGGTAGAATTATGTAATCCGATATAAACAATACAAGTTTTTTGATTAACTAAAAAATGGTCGTGGAGTTCTCTGACAAGTAGAGAAAGCCATTTTTCAGAGTGAAGTCTGGTACTGGGAAAAAGTTTGAACTAAAAAAAAAATTATAAGAAATGCTGAAGACTAATAAGGCACAAAATGCATTTAGGGCATTTAGGGTGATCTATGTGTGTGTTAATTCCATTTTAATTCATTCAAGTGATGAATGTATGAATAGTCTGATATTAAATAAGAAATTTAATTAAATTTTGCCCAAATTTTGAGTTGAACTTGTACTTATTTGCAGTTTAGGAAGATATTTTAAGAAATCTTCAACTTTTTAACTCTCCTATTCTCCAATGATACAGCAGACGCTCTAAATTATCTAACAGTCATCATTACCTCGTCCCCATTTCCCTGTTTACAGAAACTCAGTGTTGCTCAGGTGTCAGGCACAGATGAGTTCAGAAAAGATGAAATTTTCCTCATCCTCAAGAGAAATAATAATTATAGTATAAACAAATTATTACAAAACCACACTCTTTGCTAGTGATTTGAGAAAGTTGAACATTTCATCCAACTCTAGGTATTTTGATGCAGTCAAAAGCCTGCTGGAGGGCAGGTGTTTTGGGGATTTATGTGACCAAGATCACATAAAGAAATATTTTATGAGCTTATTCACTTAGGTATGTTATCTCTACCACTTATGGGGTTCAACCTCTTATTTCTTACTTCCTCTACTGCAGTTGCAGTATAAGTGGTTTCCCAGTACCTTTCTCATCCCACTCACATTCATCTTCTTCACAGTTGGCAGAGTAAGATATTAAAAATATAATTCTGATCATGTAAATCCTCTGCTTAAATTCACTCAGTCACTTCCCAGTGGTCTACAAGACCCACACTTCATTATTCTTCAGGAACTTCTCTTCTACTCTATCTTTTTATTGTTTCTCAAAAATGATTCAAATGCCCATTTTCCATTGCACTTTCCATAGCAAACTATAAATGTCAGTGTATGTGACTTCAGGAGAATGAGCTTTTTGCTTTGGCAATTTATTTATTTATTTTTTGCCCAGTACACAGGACAGCATAGTTAACATAAAAGAATATCATAAATATTTTCTGAATTATAAAATTAATAGTATAATTATTTCATAGGAAATATAAATTTTAATTTTTAAGGTTTAAATAGATATATAATCAACAAGAAAAATAGATTTTAGGATACATCATTTGTAACAGTACGCAGTTTCATCCTTGCCTGTGACATGGTACTTTAAACTCATTTCGCACTACATTCTGGCAACAATTTGAGTATTATTCAGCCTGATATGAAATTCTGAAAGGAGATTTTGAGCTTCAGAAATTTTTACTTCCCCCAGCTACATGGGAGTCAGAAAGGTAGTGACTGCATTTCACTAGACTCTCCTAAACTCTCTTTGCTAATGCAAATATCTCAATAATATTAGCTTCTCTACATACTTTTGGTCAATATTTCTTAAATCTTTGAGCTATTTGTATTGTGCTTTTTACCGGATCTTCAGTCTACCTTGTGCACCTTAACCTGAAATATATCTTAAATTCCAAAGAAAGTATAACATCTGTCCTGTTCTTTTTCTTACATCACAAGAAAAAATTTATCTTACAACTCTAACATTCATAGATTGAACAGGCATTATCGAAAAAGGAACTGACAAACTGCTGAAACACAGCAAGTTCACCATTTTCAGAGGATATGGCCAAATGAAATAAAGTAATAATTCTTCCAAAAATTGCATATTAACTCTACTGAAAAGATTATCTTTCAAAGCCCAGGCTTCCACTATTTTTTTTCAAGGTAGCTTTTTTGGTTCTATGTAAAACTTAATGATATTTTACTTTAGTATGATTATAAGTGAAAAGTTTGATGAATTTTTAAACCACACTAATGAAACTACCAATATGTTAAAATATTTGAACATTAGCAGCCCTCAAGAAATTCCTCTTGTGTTCCTTCTGAGTTACTAATTGACACAAAGAAACATTCGCCTGACTTTTATCAACATGGATTAGTGTATTTTTGAACTGTAAATAAACCAAATTATGTATTATGTCATATTTTATGTCTGATTTCAATTGGTTAACATTACCTTGTAAAAGTCATATAGATCATTGAAGGTAGCAATAATTTTTTTCTCATTTCTGTATAATATTTATTGTTTACCAACAATATAGCATATGTACTTATTTTACTTTGAGTGGCTATTTCATTTGTATCCATATTTAGGGTAATATAACTAATCCAATTATAAACATTCTACAACATTTGTTTTGGTGCACACATACATGCATTTTAGTTGTATAAATTTAACATTGAAATTACTATGTCATGGGAAATGCACATGTCTAGTTTAATAGAAAAAGACAAATGATTTTTAAAGTGGTTTGTATGAATTTTAACTTCCACCTGAAGTATATGAATGTTCCAGTTATTCAACACTGTTACAAAACAGTGGCAAAACCTTCCTTTTAAAGTTGTAGCCATTCTAATGAGTATACAGTAGTAAAGCACTTAGGTTTAGGTCCTATTTCCCTAGTAACAAACGAGGTTAAACAAAGTGTCACATTTATTGACCATTTGAATTTTGCCTTCTTGAAATATAAAGAGCCTTTTCAACCTTTTGCTCATTTGTATTAAATTTCCTTTTTCATATTAATGTGTGCAGTTTTTTAAAATATTTTCTGCATTTGAATCATTTGCTGGATATGTTTTTAAAATTATTTCTATGACTCCTTGACCTACATTTTCACATTTAATGGTGGCTTGTGATAAATGTAATTTTTAAAATTAAATACATTTCAGTTAATCAATCTTTTTTCTTTATGTTCAATTCCATTTTATTCTGTTTAAGGAATATTTGTCTCATCAAGGACATTAAGATATTCTCTTATGTTATATTAAGTAGCTTTTTTGTCCCCCTCATTTATGTATGCTATCTACTTAATATAAATATATTTATGGTTCAAAGTAATACAAGTAGCCACAAGGCACATAGCTAATTTAAATTAAATATATTCAAGTCAAAAATTTAGTTTATCTATCACATATTGAGAGAAGTGCTCAACAACTTCATGTGGCTAATGGCTACCATATTGAAGCAGTTGGAAAACTTTTCCATCCTACAGATACTTTTGGGCTGTACTCATCTTGAGTCACTTTTTTCTCTCATAAATATTTAATTGTTCCAACATCATTTGTTAAAAAGTACTGTTTGTCCCAAATCCACTTGAGAAGCATATTATCATAAAACAACTGTCACTATATGTGTAGGTTTTCTATTTTGTTCGAGAGAATTATTTTCTATTTTTTTTTTTTGGCAAAACCTCATGCTGTTAACTATGTAACTTATACTAAGTATTACTGCGAATATTAATTATCCAAATGTGCTCTTCTTCCTCAATAGTCTCCGGTTATTCTTAGGCCATTGCATTTTCACAAAACTGCAGAATAAACTTGCCACTCTAGAACCACCCATTGACAAGATGCTGGGGTTCTGTTTGTGATTGCCTAATATCCAAAGATTAATTGAGAGTAATTAATATGGTGTAATATTTAATTTCTCCAATCCATAAACTTGGATTAATTTTATTTATTTAGGTTTTTAAATTCTGTTGGTAATACTCTGTAGCAGTCTTCATAGATGCCTTTCATAACTTTTTAAAACATATATTCTTTGGTGTTTGATATCACCAAAATATTGACTGTCTATTGCTTATCTGTAGAAATATGACTAATTTATGAATATTGACACTGTATTTTGTAACCTTTTAAAGTTTACACATTCATTTTTAAAATATGTAGATTTCTAAAATATTCTCTAATTAAATAATTGTCAGCTGCAAGTAATAATGTTTTCACTTAATCTTTTCCAGAATGCTTTGTATTTTATTCTATTTTTGCTTTATTCAATGACTTCATTTCATCCAGTTCAGTGTTGAATAAAACTGCCTCTAATGAAGATCGGTTTTTTTCTAGTTATTTTGAAGAAAAACTTTAGTTTTTTGTTTGGTTGTTTGTTGTTGGTTTGCCATTGTTTCTAAGAAACCAGTAAATAGTCTTCCCTCACACCTTAATTCTTACATTTTAAATTTGGTTCACTGGAATTTCAACATTTAATATCAGCATCATTAATGCAGAGGGTTTTTCTGGAAAGCTGCCCTGTCCAGCCACTTGGCAGGCTTAGAAATACCAGGAAATTAACACCTCAAGAAGCAGCTTTTAACTACTTACTGAATCACAGTGGTATATAAATACTTCTTTCCCTTGAGTCATGTTTTTTGAAGCATTTCCCTATTTCTCCATTGAATTAAGCTTCAATTACCTACTGTAGAAGACTGCTCAAAAATCTACTCTTTATTGAGTTCCTTCCCTGTATCCCTTTCCCTCTTTTCTACCGTTGTTCCCTTCAAAACCCACTACTTGCCCTCCATTCTTTAGTCCTTGCCTCTGCTATTGGCATTGCAAACTAAGGAAAGTGTAAATTTTTTTCAGTTCTTTACCAGGTTAAAGAATTTCCTTTTCATTTGTACTTTTTAAAGATTTTTCCCATGAATAAATATTAAAACAAATGGTTTTCTCCTTTGTTCTGTGAATATGGGAAATTACGTTGATTGATTTTAAATAATCAAGTAAATTTGTGTTTCTGGAATAAGTTCAAGCTGGCCATCAGATAGTATTTACTTAATAGATCTCTGGTTTGCTACTATTTTCTTTAGCATTTTTGCACATATGTTTACAAGAGATCAGTCTGTAATTTTCCTTTCTAATCACATGTGTGATATGTTTTGCAATTGTCAAAGAAAAAATGCACAAAATGGAGTTAAAAAGTCAAGGAAGACTTTGTTAGAGACTTTTTTTTTTTTTTTTTTTTGAGACCGAGTCTTGCTCTGTTGCCCAGGCTGGAGTACAAAGGCACAATCTCGGCTCACTGCAACCTCTGCCTCCCAGGTTCAAGTGATTCTCCTGCCTCAGTCTCCTGAGTAGCTGGGATTACAGGCGTGTGCCACCACACCTGACTAATTTTTGTATTGTTAGTAGAAATGGGGTTTCACCATGCTGGCCAGGCTGGTCTCAAACTCCTGACCTCAAGTGATGCACATGCCTCGGCCTCCCAAAGTCCTGGGATTACAGGCTTGAGCCAACGCACCTGGCTGTTAGAGACTATGAAAACAGGGATCAAGACTATTGTAATAATTGACATTCAGTTCAACTCTGCTGAAACAAAAGATTGGGAGTTTTAGGCACTAGACTGAGCTAGTAGAAAAGTACTGGGCAAGCTAGGAAAAGATTGGTCAATATGATCAGGCTATCCTTGTTAACTGGTATTTAGGAAAGTTAGGTTAAGACAGATCTTGGGAGATATAAGGATAGCACTGTCCTTAGTTCTGTAAACCATTATAGTAGATAATTAAATCTGACTGTGGATTTGGAAAACCTTCAAATTTGCAGTTAGTTTCTAAAGTCTTGGGCAGACTTGGCCATCTGGAGCACTGTGCCCTAACCTCAAGTTTTGCTAATTTCAAGTATTCAAGTTAATCAACTATTTTTGTTTCATTCACACTTATTAAGATATTTATTTTTATTCTTTTACTATTGTTGGGTCTCAGAAAAAAATTTCCCCAAAATATGGCATGTTGATATGCTGAACTCAAGAAGCCTAAAGGTTGTTTCTGGTCTTCATGCTCCACCATCTCTCCCAAAGCACAAGATGAAGTTATTCAGTTCCTTTATCTGCCTGAAGTCTAGATCCCCTAAGGAGAACAATTGTTTTATTCTCCTCCACCCTGTAGAACCAAGAATGTAACCACATCTGAACAGAGCCTTCACAAAATAATGTGCAAGGTAATCTCTGTTTTCTGATCCATTAATTCTCCCTAGCAATCCCTTTAACAGATTTCTCCTCCCACTCCCATAACCTATTTTGCCAGGATGGTATCGAGGCTTCCAAACCCTGTTATGGGGTGAGTTATAACTCTAGTTCTCCTGGTGCACACATTAATACAATTTGTAGTCTTTCTCTCCAGTTAATCTGCCATTTGTGAGTTAATTTTTCAGTGAACCTTCTGAAGGTGAAGGGGAAGTTTCCCTTGACCACTACACTATTTCTTTAATGATTACCCTACACTTTATAATGTGCATGCCTGTCTCAAAGTATTCTTTTACTTCAGGTCTATTAATGATGAATGTCCTTAGTTTTTGTGTACCAAAATGATTTCACTTTAGCGTCATATTTGAAGAGTGTTTTCACAGTGTAAAAATCTAGGTTAAGCTTCTTTTCTTTCACTATTTAAAAAATATCAGTCTATCCATCATAATCTGGATTACATTATTTATCTATTGAGAAATAAGGTGCATTATTATCACTTATTTGACTCTAATTTTTTTTCTGGTTTCTTTGTATATTTTTTCTTGTCTTGTTCTGTTTTATTATTATGATATGCCTAGACATTTGTTTTACTGTAATTTTATTACTTGGATTTGCAGTTTCTTTTTGAATCTGTAGATTGATGTCTTTGAAATATACTTTAAAACATTATCAGCTATCATATCTTCAAATATTTTTTCTTCTTCTTTTTTATTGCTCTTCTCATTCTGAGATTCTAAATACATATATGTTCAAATTTTTCTCAAGTTCCTATATATCTCTTACAATCTTTTCAGAATTTTCCATGCTTTTTACTCTCTGTGGTAGAGTCTTAATATTTTCACCTTTTAATTTATTGATTTTTCTCTGTGGAAGATGAAATACACAGCTAATTAATGAGGTAATTTTATCCAGATTATATGATACAGAGAACACTTAATAAGCAACATCTCCACAATAATAAGACAAACGGTCTTAGTGGTTTCTGCTGCTATAACAGAATGCCACAAACTTTGAAGAATAGAAGTTTATTTTGCTCATTGTTCTGCATGCTGGGAAGTTGAAGAGTATGATGCTCACATCTGGTGAGCATCATCCCATGGCAGAAAGCATCATATGGCAAGGGAGATTAGGAAACAGAGAGCTAAATTCATCCTTTTATCAGGAGCCTACTCCGATGATAACTAACCTACTCACATGATAAAGGTATGAATTTGTTCATGACAGTGGAGATCACATGACCTAATGATGTTTGTTTGTTTGTATTGTTTGTTTGTTTGTTTGACAGAGTCTTGCTCTGTCACCCAGGCTGGACAAGCTAGAGTGCAATGGTGTGATCTCGGCTCTCTGCAACCTCTGCCTCCCAGGTTCAAGGGATTCTCTTGCCTCAGCCTCCTGAGTATCTGGGATTACAGGCATGCACCACCACACCCAACTAATTTTTGTATTTTTAGTAGAAACAAGGTTTCACCATGTTGACCAGGCTGGTCTTGAACTCCTGACCTCAGGTGATCCACCAGCCTCAGCCTCCCAAAGTTCTGGGATTATAGGCATGTGCCGCCGTGCCCGGCCCTAATCACCTCTTGAAGGCCCACATCCCAATATCATTACATTGGCAATTAAGTTTCAAACATGAGTTTTGGAGGAGACATTGAAAACATAAGAGGATCCTAAGGATTTTTAGAGGCAGGTTAACAAGGGAGTCATCAGTGAGTTTTGCAGAAGTCATAAGAAAGAATAGAAGTGAGGCTCATCTGAGTCAATGAGGAAAAGTGAGTTGGGTTTTGTATCTGTACAAAGGTGGTTCTTTTTGATTAGCCTTTTCTCAGAACGCAAAAGGACTGAGATTTCTCAACCTTAAGTACTGTTTGGAAACATTGGAGTTAGATAAAGTTTAACATTGTCATCTCTAGCTATGTTTTAGTTTACTTCATGGACTCTCATGATAAATCATGAATTTTACTTATTTTGTTTTTTATTCCTACTTTATCTATTTGATCTTTTAGTAGATACAACTTCCCTAAGGAGATACTACATTTTGTCACTTGTTTTCTTGAACATTTTAACTACAGTAATTTCAAAGTGTCTCTATAATATCCAATATTCATATCCGTGTTATCTATATCTATTTCTTTTTTTTCTCATGATGCGTTTCTTTCCTTTCTCAGTATGTTTGGTGACTTTTAATCCATTTTAGGAAAATATATCATCTTCATGAACATCTTCATGATGTTCTCATTCCTAGAAACGATTCCCTATCCTCTATCAAGAGGCTAGCAGAGCGATAATCATTTCTATACTGTCAGCCACTGTTAGATTCAAGCTGGATCTGTAATCTTTATAAGTCTCAGTGTAGCTCTATTTTGCTTTATTTCCCTTAAGTGTTACAACTGAAGCATACCGTTTTTCCTATGGCCTGTCTTCCTTGACTTCTTAATCTACTTTTGTTTCTTCAGAATCATAAGGCTTAAAAGAACTTCTCTCTTGAATTTATGTATTCCTTAGGTTATTAACCAGCTGTCTTTCACATATTTTTTATTTCTTTCTTGAGCTTCCCTTTTTGCAAGTATCTTGCGCCTCATATGCTAGCTTCATTGTCACATTTGAACCAAGCCTTTTTTCTAAATTGATTTTACTTTTTTTTTAATTATTGGCAGAAAAGAGCATTTGCCTAGTATAAGCTACCCTATCACAGCCAGAGGAGGAAATCTACTTCCACTTATTTTTTTGCTACTTTCTTCATTTGAAACAAAATTGTTTAAAAAGATTCCAGAGATACATTGACATGCAATTTATTTTTATTACAGTGGCAAGTAACTGTCTCTTGAGATTGTACTTAAGCATATTTAACATTTTAAGCTATATCCAATCTTAGAACATAATCTGCAGAATCATAGTAAGTTGATTTTTTAAACAACCAACTGGATTGAAAACAACAATATCCTTTTGTACTGTGTAGTTGTTTTCCTTGTGTTATTACTGCTTCCACCCATGAATAGAACTATTATGTGTTTTGAATAATTTAAAAAGATGTGTTGCTTGTTGATTTTGGATTTATTTTCCTGACATATTGAATAAAATATTCAGTGAGTGAATGACATATGGCCTTTCTTCACTGAAATATGGCAAATATGTCTTTTTCCTGGTGCACAGATCTTGTTTTCTACCAGTTTTATAAGCTATGCAGGGTGAGTGAATTCAATAAAAGATTGTTAAAGACTTACAAATAACATACATTCAATGATTGTGTTCTGCAACAAAGTAAATTTAGACTCGTGGATAATAAATATTTATGAAGATGAAAACCTTTTCAGAATTCTAAATTTGGAAGCCATATGCTGGCTAACTGTTTCACTGTACCTTTCTTGTGTCTTTGTTAGACTGATATTGTCCAGTTTACAACATTTTTCATGATGTTTTCAAACCTTACTGGCCCAATTTTATCTACTACTGTCAGTATGATCCAGCATGTGAAAAAATGCACACTACTGTAATATGCAACCACATAATCCAATCATACACACTGCTACTATATCTACATATTAAACAAATAGGATTTTGTGTTTTAATCCTGTTCTTAGAGCATTTGGCATGAAATGTTATCTTAATCATTTGTATATTTCCCTATATTTAAGTACTTCAATAAAAAATGTAAAAGAAAAACAAATTAAATCATATTAAGTCATTTTATGTAAGTAGATGGAAACAGGTTAACAATAATAATTAACAAACTGTATGCATTTCGTGCTGTAATTCTACCAGGTAATCACAGTGGGAAATACTACAGCATAAAAATTATTCTGAAGGTGGGACAATCATGTAAATTTTACCATCTTTGAAGGCAAAGATTTTGGTCTACATACATTCTTTACATGTTTTTCATGTAACTATGAATTGTGCATACCATATTTGAAGCTCAAATATGTTTCATATGTATGAATTGTTCCTTCACGAATGTTCCTTAGAACGTAGCTGTAACTGAAAGACAATAAAGATAAGTGCCCTTCTGGCATTCTTGATTAGAAAATAGATAATTCTGTCCTTATTGTCTCTAGTCTTCCTTGATTTGCTCCTAGGAATGTCCCTCCCAATGATGCAACTTTGTATCATATCAAACATTTCTCAAGTTTCCTTTCCTCATATGGTTCTGGGTAAATTCAGCCACAAGGGAAATTTGTGTGATAGGTGGAAGGCTAAAGTAAACAGTCAATTTTTTGCCTTTTGTTGTTGTTGTTGTTGTTGTTGTTAGCTCAACATTCTGAAAGTCCAAGTAAGGCTATGACCCCTGCACCTGATGCAAGCTTTCAGTGTGCTGGCTCATCTTGCTGGTGTGGGGAAGCAGCTGGACCCTTAGTTTCTTTGGTTCTTGGTGGATCTTTTGTTTTACCTGCTGCACATCATAGCACTGGCACATGTGCAGCTCTTTGTTGAAGTATGTTCAGATTATAACATAGGTTGCACACATCATCAAGGCTGCAGGCTATGAATAACAGATGTGCATTCTACTTTGTTCTTGTGGGTTCCATTTAGTCCTCAAGTGTGCCTGTTTAAGTCATAGGTTCCTATGCATTCACACGCATTTCAATTTGTCTTTAATTTTCCCAGGTTTAAATCCAGTATTTCTTTCTATATCCTGGTTCTTACCTCAAGACCAACAACAGATGCAGAAGCAACAGCCTTATGTAAACTACTTAGCCAGCTCTGACAAATGTATAACTTTTAATCCCTATAACAGATTATTTATGCTACATATCACTCTAGATACTCACATATCACTCATCATCATTCTATATATCACTCATTGTGGTTCCTATTATTTGATCCAAGCCTAAATCATACAGATTTTGGCACCCAATTGATTCTGGGGATTACGACCTTGAGAGTCAGTTCTTTGAATTGATTCTGGTTTGCACAGAACTGCTTTTCTGATCTACTGATTTAAAATATATGAATGAATCAGTTTTCAGTGGTAATTTGGTTAGTGGTAGTCTATGGCATGCATTGGCAAAACTGTTTCTTACATTATTTGTAGATAATCTGCAATCAAGTGCTACAGAAAAGAAATCTTTGGGTGGCTATAGAGTTCCTCCCATGGAACACAGTAGTAAAAATATGGAAAACAATGGGTTATTTAGTTATTTTTTATATATACCAGACACTTGGAGAAAGAAACAGCCAAGTTTGGCTCAAATCTGGGTCCAGGTAAGGAACCAAAAAGTTTCAAAATGAAACTGTTTAATTCTCTCTCCATAGAACTTGGATTTCTGAAAATAAAATCTAAAACTTATCCCATAAGTGAGTAAATTACAATGCAAATTACATTTCTAATATAATGTGTGTCTCTGTTAAAGTTAGGGCATTGATCTGGGAGGATAAAGATCCTCACAATGGTATGGATACTTATAAGTATATTCTGTTGAAGCTGGAGCCTTTGAACCCATAAATTATCTTGAGATGCTTTTGACATTAAAAGTAAATTTTCCTCCCTTATGAGGTTAATCTCCTTTTGCCTGAATAACCAGTAATGTCCTCTCTGATGTATGTGATTGTAGGGACCTCTGATGCTCTTTAATACCTACTCCATCACCTCTCATTGCTTCTGAATTTGTAGACAGATTTAAGTCTGTCAGGCCAGAACATGTAAACCCAAACATATAATGCAATAAGCATCAAAAAAGTGACATTTTTGCCATTTTGTATCAGCAGAAGTCTGAAGAACATGTCTGCGAAAAAACCCTAACAGTGTTGGCACAGAGTGATGTGAATATAACATTGGACTAGGCTGAATTATTTATCATGAGTGCTCTAAACAGATTCTGGATTTAACATATTACCATGAAGGACTGAAAATGGTTTCAACACCATGTTTAGGGTAACTGAACATAGACCCAAAGATAGCCTAACTACATTGATAAAGTTAAAATGTTTGACCTTCCTTGGTATTATAGAGGACAGTTTCTAAAGACTTAAGCTGTTTGAAATACTAGAATGGATTCATTCAATGATATCTGTTCACAAATACCTTAACTCCATACTAACTACATCCACTAAGAAGATGCTGCTCTCTTTTAGTGGATGCAGTCTTCACCAAGAGGATACTATCTTCACCAAGACTAATTCTCACTCATAGGTAGGAATTGAACAATGAGAACACTTGGACAGAGGAAGGGGAACATCACCACTGGGGCCTGTTGTGGGGTGGGGGGAGGCGGGAAGGATAGCATTAGGAGGTGCACCTAATGTAAATGACAAGTTAATGGGTGCAGCACACCAACATGGCACATGTATACATATGTAACAAACCTGCACGTTGTGCACATGTACCTTAGAACTTAAAGTATAATAATATATATATATACACATATATATATGAAATACATACATGAGAGAGGCTTGAGAATTCTTAAGAGTAATTGGGTGTCTATTCCTTGCAAGCAGAAGCTAGAGAAGCTGCAAGATCTGCTGTCCAGGCTGGTACAGAGCCAGACGCTGTTGCAGTGCACACATACAGCTGCTGATCCACTGCCTCAACTCACTGTCATGAAGCAGCAGCCAGACCTGCAGTTCCCCCAGTTCCCACTGGGTCATATCATTCAATTATTTCCAAACTCTGAGTCAGGTGTGTATGTAAACCCATTGTGAAGAGTACCAACTTCTGCAGATCACTGACATTATTGAAATTTGAGTTAGTGGAAGACAAATGTGGTTTCCAGTTTGAATGCATGGGTTCCCAAAAAACCCTGGGGGTTTCAGGTTTTCCCTGATCTCCTTCACTCTATGTCTATTTCTTCTATTCAACTACAAGCTTGTTAACTTCCAGCCCATATTAGACACATAAGTCAATTTTACATAGAGCTTTTAACTAGCTTCCACAGTTTTTTTTTTTGTTGTTGTTGTTGTTGTTGTTTTTGCCTAATTCGTACTATAAACCTCTTACTCTATGTTACTCATAGTGACTCTGATTCTCTGACAAATCCTAACTGGTGCACCTATTTGCTAACTCTGAAATATAGAGATTATCCAACAAGATCTCTTCAACATCATATATATATAACTATAACACTTAATATAATTAATCACTATGCCTAAGATAATTTAATGTTTCATTTGTATTTCTATTAGAAAACTCATCGTCTCTGAGTTTCACAAGCCAACATGGCTGAACATAAGCCAAAATGACAAATACAAATGGGAAGAGTTGCTGCTTGTTTAAAAATAAAAATCTTTTCAGGGTAAAATTAATTAATAAATATATTTAATCGATTTTATTTTTATGGGCAGTGACAATTAAGGAATCATCTTTATAGATACAGTTTTCCACTTTATGGGTTGATAAATACATATGAGGAGTGTAATATTTGGAAAAGCAATTTATTAAATAACCGGAAGGAAATTTCTAATTTTGTAAAGCCCAGTGGAAGAACAATCAGAGATATAACCAGGGATATATTTGGATATAACATAATTAATGATTGGCCCCCTTATTCATGCCTATGTTTATGTCTCAAATGATGACAAGCTGAAGTTCATACAATTATTAGAATTAGAGGCTGTGGGAGTGGGACAAGGAAGGAAGTGGTAGGCTATGGATTGGAAGGCAATACTGGTGGGGGAAATTGCAGGAAACCTTTTATCAGGATATCAAGTATGAATCTCTTACCCCCACTATTCACTCAGTCAATTCTCTTTGAGTATGCTAATAAAATTAAGGCCAAGAACTTGGGAACCCCTAGAGTTTGTTTCTGTTATCTACAAGCTCTAACTATTTATAGGACCAGAATTGTCCCCACTGATATTAAATCCAAATTAGGTAAATGCCACCAAGTGTTGCCAAAACGCAACCAGGACTATGATAGATTTGGATTGTTCAGCTACTCTTCTTCTACTCAACTCTCAGTGTTCTACTTGCACAGACTGACCCAGATCAATTAATAAAACTCCAGAAATCTGATTCCATATTTTTAACCACATTGTCTGCATTATAACTGTGTTTCCTTTTATTTAATTGATCTTCTCTCTTGGGCATAACATTGATAATCCTAGATAACGAATGGGCTTGGATACTTAATATGTTCAGCCAAGAGAAAAAAAAGGAGCACAATGAAGTGGAATGGTCATCAGCTGGTCTAACTTGTTGTGGATGGTAAATGCATCCTCTCATCCCATCTCAAAGCACAAAAATAAAAATGGTCTGGACCCAAGGACATCAGAGGTTACTGAATGATAACTATGATAAGTGGGTAGTGAACCTACTTCAGGATTCCTGACCACTGAAGACCTTATCTGGGGAGGTAAGAAAGTTTAATATTAAATCATGCTAAACTTTTGAAATCATTACATAGGGTTGCACATTTTAAATGTTACTAAATTAAGATGTTTTCAAATTACAAGGGCTATAAGACTTTCTGTTCCTTTAGGATCAATGGATAATCATGGATGCCCACTGAGATGTCAGCCAAAAGCAAGGCAAATAAATAGTTCTCCTGAGTAAATAGTTTGTACATGTCCCAAGCCATTGTTATTCAAGGCCCTGGTTAAATGGTAAATACACATCTATTTTTCATTTTTAAAAATATGCACATGTATAAGTAAATGTCTGCAAATATGAACATAAAATCTGCATATATACATACATAAATCATACATTCATACATGAATTCATTCATATATGAATCATATATATCTATGAATATACATACATTTATACAAACACAAACACATATACATACATAAAGGTCCAGACATGTTTTCACTTAAACGCTGATAATAATTGGGGTGAATGAATGTAATATAGATATTTCCAAATAGTTTTTGAAATGTTTCCTCATTTGTCTACAACAGCATAGTGTTTAAAAGCACAGATTCTAGAAACAAAGAGCTGGGTTTGGATTCTAAGTCCACTATTGTGTGAAATGATTCAAGTCACTTAATTTCTCCATGCCTCAGTTTTCTTATCTGCATATTGATCATATTCATAGTGACTATTCCATAAGATAGTTGTGAAGATGTCAGGAGTTAACAGATTTTAAGAATTGTAAACAGCGTCTGGCATATTTTAAACTCTGTATGCCTAACTCTTTGATTGAATCTGAGATTTTATGTTTTTTCTCTATAAAAATAAAATCATTTTTATACACATTTTAGGTGAGGGATTACACGTTTAGTTCAGAGAGGAATGAGAAAATGCAACTACTTTTCAATGTCTAATCATCACTATATTTCTATTGCTCAAATGTGCAAGAAATACTTTATAAAATTTTGTGGTCACTTACACAACTCCCCACTACTCCAAATTAGCTATGATTATGATTAAGTCAACCCACTGGTCTTTCAGCTGACATAAAGTTGAATAAAAAAATGTTGTTTTTACCTAGGAATTTTCTTTTTTTCCCACTGATTTATAGTTATTTTGGCACTGAATAAATTACAAGTGAAACAATTACATGATTCAAAAGACTAGAGTTAAGAAAAATTGCATCTGCATGAAAAAATAACAGCAACTTGAAAGATGGTCCATCTTCTCAACATATTTAACAATGAAAGATTATTTTGGGAAGGAAAGATGCACGTTATTAGTTCCAATTTGAACGCTTTTCTACCAACAGAAATGAAATGAGGCAGAAAAGAAAAAGTAAAAATTTGGAAGAAATGAGAAGTATTCCCTTTTGATATTTGTGTTTTTGAAATGAGATTACTTTTCTACCTACATTAATATTGGTTCCCATTTGAAATAAATGATACAAGAACAGCAATATGCTAATTTAAAATATATAGAGATGATTATAATGATTTTAAATTTGTGTATTATTAATATGTTTGTATTTATTCCTATACAGTCCATTAAGTGAAATTGATAAGAGTATATCACAAAAGGAAATGCTATGAATTGGAAATTCACATAAAAATATAATTAATGTATTTATTGAATCCCTATCATTAAGCTAGGGGTGAAGAAAAAGAAGAGATAAAAAATATAATGAAATTATTGACATACAGGGGTATTTGTGGTTGGTTTTTCAGACAAAAGTAAGAAAATCAGGTCTTGTGTATATGTGGGTGTGTGTGCACCCCCATTATAGCTAAAAGTATTTTGCCTAAAATTCTCTGTACATAAAATAAAAATAGTAATATGTTATCCTTTCTATTTCAGGATAAATACAGTGCTCTGTGTGAAATCGTGTTTCTTCATTAGAAGGGTAATTTTATATTGTTTAATATTTCTATTAGCTAGATGTTTCATCATAGGAAGGAGTAAACCCTCTTCCATTTGTCTCAGAAAGAATAAAAAATTTTCTCCTTCTATATTATTTGTCTAATAAATATGATTGTTCTGGTATAGTTCATTCATTTTACTGAGGAAAACAAAACATTTTAAATTGTGTTAAAATTGCAATTCAAAATATCACAAAACTTAGTACAAAGATTTTAACTCGCAGCTTCATTACATAACACAAGAACAAAAGTCAATCAAATAAAATGACAATTTTGCCTTAAGATTAAATGAATTCCTGATATTAATCTTTATTACTATGGCTGACGGTAAATTATTAATTCCAAGGACTCCTTTTATTGGGCATAATTATTCAGATTTACCAGGTGTCTCTAAAGAAGATGTTAACAAATAACTTGTTCAACTTCAGTGTTGTAAATATTTAGGACAGAATGGTTCTCAACCAAGGTAGTATAAAAGAAATAAATAGAGCACGCAAGAATATCTGTCAAGGTAATAAGTCCATAAAATCTATCAACGTTCCTGAAGCAGTGAGAAATTTCTATTGTCAACGTGATATTCTCTATTATATGTATACTTGAATATAATATTACTTTAAGAACAAATAGATCTAAAACATATCTAAGGTATGCTTTCTCAACAGTGGAAGTACAGCTAACAGAATTGAAATTTTTTTAAATAAATCGTGTTAAAATGGATGACTAGAAAAATGTGAATAGAAAAAAAGTATCGTTTTTCCTACTCTTCATTATAAAAATAGACTTTCACTGTTTGAAACATTCATCTTCCAAAAATCGTTCATAGTTGAAAATGTTCTAGTAACAACATGCCCTTTTGCATTTATGCCTCTCTCGCAGTATGAGGAGTAGACCTGACTCTTTGCCTATACCTACAGACATATCACAATCTTTAGATTGAAAACACAGGTATATACATGCAGATAAAAAATGGTTGCAAATTATGATAAATTAATCCAAGAAGGGTTAAGGGCTTGACTCAAAAATATCAAATAAAAATAAACTAATTTCAATGAGGTTCATTTTAACAGTTAGATATTATGAATAAAAATATATTTTAAGACAGTTTTATTGACCCTCAAATTAATCTTAATATATGGTTAACTTGCACAAACTAAAGCATTCATTGACTTAAATGACTATTCAAGGTCTAATTCAGGACTCCATTGAGATTCTTTTTCTCCGATAAGCTCTACCTCACCTTCAGAGTAGATGCAATTTCTTCACCCTCTGAATTCCCCAAACACTTTTTATCTCTCCCATTCACTTGAAAATTAATCATGCATGGCAGGATGACATTTTTTAATATCATGCCATACTAATTTAATTTGCCTGTGGGTTTTGTTTCAACAATAGCAATGAGTTGTGTCTTACCTTTTCTATTAAGGTAAAATGCCACATATTTGATGCCTCCTCATAATTCTTTACCTTATCATTGTACATACCCAATAGCTTTTTCCTATTTTCTCCAAAGAATAGCAGAAAGTACAATTAATTATTAATTACTGACTACTACACTAATCTCAATAATTAATAGTTTATATTAATGCTAATTTATTTAGAAAATAAATTCTATGAAATCCATGATATGTGTAAAAACCATTATTTGCCTAATTTACAAAGATAATTTCCTCATGGCATTTTATTATCACTCTGTTTAGTACTTTTTAAATAACCTTATAAATTTTGAAGAATCAACTCAGATATTACCTCCTCCAGGAAGTGTTCCCTTTTCCCCACTGTCCTTCCCCAGCCTGGTCTAGGTGCCCTTCATCTATACTTCTGTAATCACTATGTATCTCATAGATTTCATTTTGTAATGTGTAATTTCTTATCTGTATTTCCACTGTGCTGTGATTATTTTTCAGGTAAGACTTTTACTTCATCCCACCCCTGCTATGACAAGCAATATCTGGCATATCTGGGTTATGCAAATCCCACCAAAAATGTAAACTTTTGAGATTAGTAATTTAATTTACTCATCTCTCTATCTAGCTACACATCTATCTAACTGTACCCAGCTCTGTGCCTGACATAGTGACATCACAACAATACATAACAAGTTTTTAAATGAGCATTTGAGGAAGTCCAATACAGATGCTCCTTTATTTACTATGAGGTAACATCCCAATAAATCCACCATAAGTTGAAAATGTGAGTAGAAAATGCATTTAATACACTTAACCTGCTGAACATCATAGCTTAGCCTAGTCTACCTTAAACATTCTCAGAACATTACCCTACAGTAGGGAAAATCATCTGGAAATACTGTATGCTGTAGAGTACGAGCTGATACTTCAAGATCTTGTTGCTGACTGGGAGCTGCTCCTCACTGCTTGTGCCCAGCATCATGGGAGTGTCTTACAACGTATCACTAGCCTTTGATCAAAAGATCAAAATTCAGAGCAAGTTTTTATTGAATGTGTGCCACTTTTGCACCACCATAAAGTTGAAAAATCATAAATCAAACTCAGTAAGTTAGGGACCATCTATATATGGCAGTATGAAAAGTAACATAAAGGATTAAAGGTCATTCAGAACACCAAAAGTATTAATAGGGAGGGTGAAGTATTGGAGAAAGGATTTATTTTGTGAGTGAATGGCTACTGCATACTGGATACTAAAATTGTGTAGATTCACCCACAGAATCACAGGGACTGCTAGACCAGTGAAATATCCTGCTGTCTAGATATGGATGTGGGTGTGGCAGGTAAGGGATATGTTAGAAGGAACACAAAAAGTTGGTTCTCTTCAGGAAAACTGGCTCCAAAAGAAAGGAAAGGAAGATAGAATGAACATGATCAAATTGTTCTCCAATGTTAAAGTTACCTATCAAGCATGTTTTCATCTTCCTCTGATGCAGAGAGAATTAATTGGTGGACAGAGGCCATATTATTATATTCTGCATATGGACAAAGATAGTAGAAGCAAGGGAGTGCAATCTTTTAGGCATATTGAATAAATACAAAAAATAAACAAAGGTATTATTATCAGATTCCTGCATCAGGAGGAATAATAACACAGGACTTTTCTCAATTACTTTTGCCAGCTGGAAACTCCCAGCCAGCAATGCCTTTGTCCCACCTCGACTTGTGGTTTTGGGCTGGCTTGGCCACACTGTTGCTTCTCATGGTGTGGGGCAGTTGCCCTCTGCTGGTGGAGGGCAGAGGGCCACAGTGTTATAGCCTTCTGAATAACTCCATTTGGTGGGTCCTGAGTTCTTGTCCTTCATACAAGAAAAATGAGGATACACTGGACAATTGAAGAGTGAGGAGGGTGCAGGATAATTTTATTGAGTAACAGAACAGCTCTCAACAAAGAGAGGATGCAGAGGTAGTCCCCACCCCCACAGTTGGGTGGTTTCTCTCTCAGTGGCTGAGTCCAGGGCTTTTATGAGCTCAGATAGGGGAATACATGCTAATTGGTTTGTGAGAAAGGCTAAAGCAAAGGTGCCACTCAAAGGTGAGCATAGCAGTGTAGAAAATCAATTAGGAAACAGTAGTTATGTGTAGGGTGGGGAGACATCAGAGGAAAGTGTGTCACAAAGGAAGACAGATTCTCAATCTGGTCTGTGTATTTGACTCGTTGCTTGGCTTTCAGGCTTTGTCTTCAGCTTGAAGGTGGGGTTTCACTGGAGAACTGCCCCTATTTGCCTAGGCATTTGTCTGCCTCCTGCTAATATCAAATTCCCCCTCTGAAGAGGTACATCTAATTGCCATTAGGATAAGGACAGTGACAGATCTTAACTGCTTCCTGCTGACAGGGGTCACCATTTTGGGAAGATGGGAAGTAATTTCTCCTCAGAGGCCTATCTAACGGTCCCCAGTAAAAGGGAGCCATCATCCAAGGCTCCAGTTGCATGACTGTTTGGAGTTCGATGGCCTGAAGGTGAGAAGAGACAAATCGGGTTATTAGAAGTTATGTATCAAAATGAAACAAGGGGATAAAAACAGTTAAAATATCCAGAAGCTGCTGGCACACACAGATAACTGGTGGCTATTAGCTATGCCTGCTAAGATTTGGGTGCATGAGGCTTGGCTTTGGTTAGCTCCAATTTGTTCTTATTTTCCCATCAAAGAAACCTAGGGTTATGAGCACCCTCTGCTATCACCTGGCAGGATTTGCAGGATAATTGCCCAGAACTAGAATATTAATCCAGATTTTGATGTTGCCCATCACTTTTGTTTCCTCTGAACTGCAGCCAGAGATCACTGGTTGGTTCACAGGAACAAGCAAAGTTAGTTTAAAATGCAGACAAAAACTTAAAACACAACTAAAGAGACTAGAATTTAATGGCAAGTGTATAATAAGTTTTGAAACATCATTTTCTCTCTTCAATACTCATTTTTGTTAAAAACAAATCATAATAGGACTGAATTGTTGGCAAAATAAACTTTGATCTTATACTTGGCCTGATTATAAGCATAAAGTGCAGCAAGAAAAATTATTTTCACATAGGCTTTTCTAAATTGGCTTCGATAAAACTTTGTTACAGAAGGAATCTCAGATAAGATTTTTTAAAACCCAAGTTCAGTCATGAGTTTATATCCTCAAATACCTATGAGTTGGGTAAATTCCTCTCTGTCTGAGGTCCCAAGATAACTTGGGGATTGTTGGCCTGTTAGAAAGTGACATTCTTTACACATCACAGATTAGAAACCCTGTACAGGGACTGAGTGAACAAGGTATAAGGCCAGTTTTCCTAATGGGATTTTATTGGCTCTGCAAATCAAGTTTGATTCTGTAAAGGAAAGCATGCCATTCCAGTGAAAGCCTTTGTAAAACAACCAGTTTTTCTAATTGTGTCTTGCTGAAAAAAAAAAAAAAAAAAAGGATTTTTATTGCACTCATGCAAATAACTATATTACTGTAAGTTAAGAATACTCACAAATAGTTTCCAAATTCTAGAGAAACCAGGCAGAGAAACAAGTAAGCTCCAAATTTTGTTCACAGGAGTGTAACTTACTCAATTATTAAAAGCTGCAAATAGTTCAAAAGTTTTCTTGACTCAACTGTCAGCAATATTTTAAACAAAGTCAAAAAGATTTCCTCATTCTCCTACTAGTTCATTCCATGCAGTTAACTCCTGTCCTATTTGATGTTCACAAACATTTTAGCTCTTTAAGAGTCCTGAATATTTTTCCTTTATTTCAATGTCACAATCTCTGAATGTATTAGAAACCTGCTTTTATAAGCACCTATCAAAATCATATAGTTGATTATAAACCATATTTTGAAGATAATCAAAGCAAGACAACAATTGTCTATGAATGACAAAATGTCCAGGGTAGTTACATTCAAAATTACAATTGGCAAAAAAATTTGGTAATTTGTGGGGTTTATAATAACTTAGCATAATTACTTCATGATTGATACTGTATCTTCAGACATTAGAATTTTAGAAATCCCATATAATTTTGGAAAATGTATTAATATTATTAATTATAATATAATCTAAAGAGGATTCAACTTTATTTTTATTTTGCAATCCCATTTCACTAAACATGTCAAATAATCCTGTTTACCTCTCTTTTGGATTCTCCAGGGGCCCTCTTTAGCAACCAAAATTTAGGGGCCAGGAAAGACAACATTTGAAGCTGAAATTTGATTTTGGGAAGACTATTAAATAAGTTAGAGGTTTAAAACACTTGATATTATGAAATAGAATTCCAAATTACAAAAGTCATTTATTTAGCCAAAATGATGACTCAAAAATTTTAAAACAAGGCAAAATCCTTTACTCATTATGAGGGAAGTTTTAGCTTTCCAAACAAGCTATCTCTTGTCTTCTCTCTCTCTTTTTGGTAGTTTATTTGCAAGGCAAACAAAAATATTTTATTATCCTTTACTATTACATAAAATTCTTGTACAAGGGAGAGAAAGCCAAATTTTACCCTCCCATTAGTTTATTAGTAATGTTAACCCCAATCTTATAACAAAACCTTACAGATAATTCTATCTAATCTCAGGCAGTTTGACCATGAGGTGAGATTCTTATAAACTTTTTTATAACAATTACTAATTTTTGTTAAAGAGCAGATCGGTGCCTTAAGAAAATCTTGTTGTGATTTTATTTCAATTTTCAATTTAGAGGAAAACCAAATCATATCCTTTTGAATTTAATCAATATGTTCACATACAGAATTTCTTTTACAAGATTAATTTTTGTAAACCTCCTATGACTTGTTTAAATCTTTCACTTTATCTTATCTAATTTAAAACCATCCTTTAGCTCTCTAAGCTTGGCAAAAATTTCTATCCCCATGCCTTCTTATAATCTTTAACTAAAAACACATTTTACTTTCCTTACACACATTGTATGTAAATCTATTTTTAGTAGTCTCAATTACATGTTATAATGGTAACCCTTAGCAATTTTTAATTATAATGTAAAACTTGGTAAGTTATTTAATTACATACTAAGCTCAGATAAGGTCTAACTCTTTCCAGCATTGTTGGGGTGTGGTTAACTCCATATGCCCCAGGCCCTACCAAACTGTAAAGCAGGCAGTTTGAACAATTTTCAAAAGGCAAAGAAGCTGTTTTTAACTTTAAAGCATTTAGCAAGCCCGGTATCTGACCTTCAAAATTTAGACCACATGTTTACATCTGAAAACATTTGTATTTAAAATAGCTTTTATTTCTCAAAGTTTAAAGACACTTTAACTAAAAGGTATTACAGCTCTTATTTTTCCTTCAAAAAATATTTGATCTAAATTCTTATTTTCTTTAAGTCAACTAATTAAAGCTCTTTTTTACATAAACATTACACACATAACACATATAACTACACAGACAGAAAGAAGATTCAGTAGTTGTAAGATTTTTCAATTGCCAATCTCTTATCAGCCTCAGGGTAAAGCCCTTCAAGAAACAGGGCTAGGAAAGCATAAAATGTCCAGGGCCTAATAAGCAGATACAGCTGGAAGACAAAAACAGATTTTGAGAGGGATTTATCTGCTTTTAATTCTTGGGATTCCATGAGGAAAACAGAGGTTTTCCCAAAAATGAGGTCTGTGGTGCCTCCTCTGTTTTTCCCAAAATGTCCCACACTCTCAGAAGTTACCTTAGGGCCTCTCACGTGTGCATTAAGTGTGGCAAGACAGAATTGGAAAAATAATTCAGTTGACTGAGAAGAACCAAACCTTTTTCCAGCAAAACAAGATCCAAGAAGAGAGAGAAAAAAATAAACCGTTTAAATATACCTATACCTTCGGTATCCATTTTTGATTAAGTTGACTTTTATCCATAGCACTCTTTTAAAAAAAAGTCTTTTAAACCCTTTATTACCCGACTTTAGCTAAGCCAAGTGGCCAATATTTCTGGCTTTTGAACTTTACCAAAAGTAAGTTCACAGGTGAAACTAACAAGCCTCAACTAAGGTTATGATTTAACCACAAGTGTACAAGGTATTTTCAAGGAGGTGGTAAGTAGTTTTTACAAAATCTATAATATTTAAAGATAGCTCAGAGAAAAGACGATTAAAGAAAGGAAGCTAGATATTGTTCATAGAGGGGAAGAGAATCAGCAAATGGTCAAAGTCACACAGATATTAACCAGAAAGTACTCATTCCCTAAGCCAGGACTGAACCTGGATTGCCATTGTATAATGAAAGAGAACAAAAGAAAGAACTGCCACATGGCTAAAGGTCAAGGTCCCAAAGAGATAAAACAAAATGGAGACCTCATCCAGTTTTGTTTTACAATTCTTTTTTTTTTTTTTCTTCAGAAACCTGTAGCAAAGTTTGCTACTGACCAGTTTTCTGTGATGGCTTAAACAGTGGGCTTATGGGGTCCTAGGCCAGCATTCTATCCTAAGATAGCCCTCTTTCTGATAGAAAGATATAAAAAGACAAATTTCTAGTACAACAGATTTGCTATAGCTTAAGACTAACCTTACAAATCCTTTTTCCGTTAATCAAAATTTTACACAGAGAATATAAACTGATTTTTACCATTCATTCTACAGGTTTGCACAGGGAGGGAGAGGGAGGCCAGAAGTCTAACTATTAAAAAAGAAACATTTGTCCTTTTACTTGCATGTCAGAGTTCTGGGTTCCCTTCTCTTGAGCTATGGAGCCCTCTTGACCCTGGCGTCCTGTAAAGGGGGAGCAGACAAAGAGTTTATTCGCCTACTGTAAAAGTTGTCCATCCTCAAGAGATTTGCTCTGTTAGATCTGTAATTTCTTCCCAGTTCATTTTTATGCCAAAGATTTTAAGGTTTGGGGAAATTAAACCTTTCCTAGTTTGGGGATGCATCCCAGGGGAGTGTACTATGGTATGAAGATGTGATTACCCAGCTGTGAAGAGAGGACAGAGGAGAAAATGGGGAAAAGAAGGCTTTTTTTTTTCCGTGGAGTCTCAGTGATTCAGGATGCACTTGAGAGAAGCACAGACTGAAGATAGTTGGTTACCCATCTGGAAGAGGGAAAAAAGACGTCCCTTCATTTCTTTCTCTTCCCAGCAAATACCCAGGGTATGTGAGGGAGATAAAAAAAAAAGGCATCCCCTTTTTTTCTTTCATCCTTATATCCCTGCATCCCAGTGAACTTGGCAGTTGCCACCCCTGGGTGCCAATGCAGCTTTCTCTGATGTAACAGTGATGCCTAGAGGGTAGCAATTATCCACACTCACCTACACACTGGCCTATCCTCCCTGTTGCTGGTAACCTTATCTATGCCAGGGTTATGGACATGACCTCCATCCATGAAACAGGGTAGGAAGGGCTAGTTGGGCAGAAATTAGTCATGCTACCTGCACTATGCCCCTTGACTTCCGTCGTTGCCCACCTCTGGGTCCCTCGGATACAATTTTCCTTTCTAGGGCTTCAACTTGAAGTTTGGAATTGAGTTTGGGACAAAAAGTTGCCTCAGAAGGGTGCATAGACATATTAAGTTAAGTTCCAGGTGGCTTTCTCCAAATTTGCAGCCAGTAGCCAGTGGGGCCACTTCTTCACTGCTTTCTTATCAGAAGCAGAGTGCTAAGGTGAAGCTGTGGAACTGGGTCTTCCCCAAACAAGGCCTAGTAAGATGCCTTCCAAAAGGAAAATAAAACTCTCACATAGAAAAGCACCCTGTATTTGCAGGGCTGAGTTAACTCTTGACAATGTGAAGAAAAGAAAAAAAAGTGCCTGTGGGAAAAAGCCTCTTGCTCTTTTACAAATGGGTTCCATCAACAGGAAAACAAAACAAAACAAAACACTTCCAATCACTGCTTTTTCCCTGCTTCTAAGAATAGCTAGAAACCATATTGTTCTGAATTACGTTTTTGATGACTGGGCCAAGTGCCCGTTCTACCCAGTAATATCTCTGTAGTTTGCAACAACATTCTTAACATTGTAAAAGAGAAGATAGGCACCATTACAGCCCCCAAAAGAAGAAGAAAAATGCCATAGAAAAGTCTGGATTGGTAGAAAACCAACATTCCCAACCCCTGAGAGTGGTGGGGGTAGGGAGGTCCTCTTCTGCATCCTGTCCTCTGTAGCTGTGCTGTTCAATTCACTCTTAACTGACTAACCAGAAGTTCAGTGCTTCATCTGCCTTCAGAAAAATGTCTGAGGACAAGAAACTTCGGAAAAAAGTGAAGAGTCTTGGTCTGCATTTAACCACCCTTCAGGGATCATGGACAAGCCCCCAGAGAATATCACTTTTTGATATGTGTCCTGCTAGCAAGTACAAATATTAAATTTAAGAGCATTGAACATTTTCAAGATGTAGTTCACAGTTTATAAACCATTAGTTCATTATCATTCAATTCCCTCATTCCTTAAATTCTTCTGCTGTCTCCTGACTGACCATTTTCTGCTTCTGTAATTATTTGATTCTTTCCATCTAGTCTTAGATCAGTTATGCTTTGACCTTCATAATTCTTCTCAGAAATATATGGCACCACCAAGTTTTCCTTTTCTTTAAATCTCTGTTTTACCTTGAGACAGATGTGCATGTGCATACATAATACATTTTGGACTAACGTTCCTTGATAGCTTTTTTTTCTTACTGCTCAATAACGTTATACTGCTCTATTTTACAGGAAGCAGAAAATTTTATGAGTTCAATTTAGTTTGCATTCCAAAGCAGTAAGTAAAACTGTGAATTTGCTCCATTTGCTTACAAATAAGCAATTTATGGCTTGAGTGAACTCTTTTAGTGATTACAGTTTACAGCAGGAAGACATGGTATTTAATATCTTAAAAAATAAACACACTGCTCATAAATTTAGGAAGTCATATGATAAATAACATGAGAGCATTCATGTTGCAAAGGGACAAAGTCGTTTGCATCACACTAGAACAATTTATATGCAAGAATAATGAAACAGCTGGAGTGTTGTTATTACCCATGGTGATGATCCTCTGTCTTACCCGGGTACCTCCCTGAAATAATAAGTTCTGCATTCTACCCAATTAATAAAAATCTTAAAGTATGTGATGGTGGTAGGAGTGAACTCTGTTTGAATTGTTCATATGAAAAGAATTATTTAAATACAATATCACAACAAGCAGAGTTTAATGTTCTAATAGAAAACAGCCCTGTTTTTACCTTCTGATATTTGATGGATATGTAAATTTGGAGAACAATAGCATATAGTAATTTGCATCTTGAAGGATGAGTTTAAAGAAAAACTTAAACACTTCAACTTCCTTAAGTTTTTTCACTTTTGATTTTTTTTTTCTAATTGCAAGTAAGCAACACATCTAGCTTCCAAAGATGAAATTATCTGTTAATTTTAAATATATGAGCTGTTTTTTAAAGTCTTACTGTGACTATAAACTTCTATTGTCTCAATGCAAATGGGATAAGGTGATTAAAGTGCTTTAGAAGGTATCTTAAAATTTTTAGTAATTTAGATTTAGTCCAGCATTGTAACAAAAATTGCTGGACAACTGCATTACTATTTTGTAAATTGTCAAAAAAGTATAAATCAAAAGAGATTCTACAATAGCATCTCCACTGAGTGGATTTTTTATAAAGAAATGTAATATATGATACATTTTATTAGTCAAATTAATTTTGATATGGATGTAGCTGATATATTGGTAATAATAAAACTGCATAATCTGTATATTCTTGAGTTACTTGTTACATAAGGCCACGGTCAACAAATGTCTAATACCTCAATGTCTGGTACGAATTTACAGCATAAATTAATTCAAAATCACTTAACAGTCTAGGTACTTTAAATGCTGTAGGTCAAATGTATGTATAATCACAAAGACATTTCAAAAATATATTTTTCTCCATGCTATGATTCTGAAGTAATAATTTTTGAATCTGAGGTATCTTTCAGATTATTTAATTTTAAAATACACCACCCTTTTCATATATTGTTTTTTAAATTATTATTTTATTTTTATTATTTTAGAGATAGGGTCTCTGTCACCCAGGCTGGAATGTAGTGGCACAATCATAGCTGACTGCAGCCTTGAAATCCTGGGCTTAAGTGATTCTCCCACCTCAGCCTCCTGCATAGCTAGGATGACAGGTGCATACCACGATGTCTGAATATTATTTTTTTGATTTCTTTTATAGAGATGGAGTCTTGCTGTGTTGCCCAGTCTGGTGGTCAAACTTTCAGCCTCAAGCAATCTTCTTTCTTCTGCCTCTGGAAGCTCTGGAATTACAGGCATGAGCTGCTGCACCCAGTCCCTATTCATATACTTGTAACTTTATCTATCTGTCTTTTCAGCTAGTATTTATAATGGTTGGTAATAGATATATCACCACTCTTTTAAAAAAAATGGTCATTTGAAATCTAAGAATACTTTAGAATTAATCTCAATTTGGCAAGTGTTAATGTGAGTGGTTTTGTTGTTCCTTATACTGCTATACATTTTCATTAAAAACAAACAATCCAGGACCTTAAGTTTGTCTCAGTGTGTAGATAGACTTTTTCTTGCTCAACATTTACAGAGTTCACAAGAAGTCCTCTCCCCTGCCAGAATATTTGTCCAATATTTACATAGTTCACAAGAACACCTCTTTCCTTCCCGAATATTAAACAAGCTTCTTTCAAGTTTAGGCCTCCTGACATACCATTTATTGTGTGTAATGGAGTGGCAGAGCAAGACGTGTATTATTAGAGAGGCTGGTTAAAACTACTTTTCCAGATCCTTTTGTTTTTTCCTAGGAGAGATTCTGTCATTTTATCTTTGTAAATTTTTTTGGCATCTTATAACCTTTACCATTAGCTCATAAGCACTCAAGATTATGGTGCATGGATTCCTCTCACTGATCCAAAAGAGTATTAAAATTAGAAAGCCAAGAATAAAGGATAAATAATATTTCAGACAGTCATATAATCTTTGACAAAGTTGGTAAAAATAAGTCATGGGGAAAAGGTCTCCCTATTCAATAAATGGTGCTGGAATAACCAGCTGGCCACATGCAGATGAATGAAACTGGTCCCCTACCTTTCACTATTGCACTGGTTCATTCTCTCTTTGTTATAAAAAGCTGTCTGAGACTGGGTAATTTATAAAAGAAAGAGGTTTAATTTACTCACAATTCTGCATGGCTGGGGAGGCCTCAGGAAACTTACAATCATGACAGAAGGGGAAGTAAACACATCCTTTTTCACATGGCAGCAGGAGAGAGAAATGCATAGTGAAGCATAGGAATGCCCCTTATAAAACCCTAAGGTCTCATAAGAACTCATTCACTATCATGAAAACAGCATAAGAGAAAAGCCCCCATGATCTAATCACCTCCCATTAGGTCCCTCCCCCAACATGTGTGGATTATAATTCAGATTACAATTCAAGATGAGACTTTGAGTGGGGACACAGCTAAGTTATATCAACCATATACAAAAATTAACCCAAGATGGATTAAAAGTCTAGTGGAAGACCTCAAAAATCCTAGAAGAAAATCTAGGCAACAACATTCTGGATATCAACCTTGGGAAATAACTTGTGACTAAGTCTTCAACAGCAATTGCAACTAAAAAAAAAATCGACAAGTGTGACCTAATTAAAATAATGAGTTCTACACAGCACAATAAACTGTCAAGAGAATAAACAGACATTCTACAGAATGAAAAAAACTATTCACAAACTATGCCTCTGACAAGGTATTAATATCCAGAATTTATAAGGAAGTTAAACAAACCAACAAGCAACCCTCCCAAAACAAAACATTGAAAATGGTCAAAGAATATGAACAGGCACTTCTCAACAGAAGACATACAAGCAGCCAACAAACATATGAAAGAATTTTCAATATTACTAATCATCAGAGAAATGCAAATCAAAACCACAGTGAGATACTATCTCACATCACCAGAATGGCTATTATTAAAAAGTAAAAAAAAAAAAATAGATACTGGAGAGGCTGTGAAGAAAATAAAATACTTATGGATTGTTGGTTGAATGTAAATTATTTCACACACTGTGGTGACATATAGAGGTTAATCAAATAACTTAAAACAGAACTACCAATTTCATTACTGGATTATATATATATATATATACACACACACACACACACACACACACGCACACACACACACACACACATATATATATATATTTCTTCCAAAAATATTGATGCACTTGTATGTTCATCACAGCACTGTTCAAAATAGCAAGCACACAGAATCAACCTAGGTGCCCACTGATGGTGGATTGGATAAAGAAAATGTGGTACATATACTCCATGGAATACTATGCAGTCATGGAAAAGAATGAAATTATGTCCTTTGCAGCAACATGAATGAAGCTGGAGGCCATAAACCTAAGTGAATTAACACAGGAACAGAAAACCAAATATCGTATGTTCTCACTTATAAGTAGGAGCTAAACATTGGGTACATGTGTACACAAAGATGGTAACAATAGACCCTAGAGAGGTCTGTCTGAGTTGAGAGGGTTGAAAAACTAAATAGTGGGTACCATGATCACTACGTGCATGATGGGGCCAATTGTACCCCAAAACCTCAGCATCATGCAATATATAGCCATGTAAAATCCTGCACGTGTAACCTTTGAATCTAAAATAAAAGCAAAATTAAAATATTGACATATATTCCAAGTCAAGAGGACTGGCATTTGGCATGGGGTGGGTGTGGGAGGGGGAGTCAAGAAAAATTAAGGTGGAAAATTTAAAGCAAAATGATAAGGAGTCAAAATAGTGCATTTTTTCTACTCCAATTGCTTATGTGAGGACCCAAGAATATAACTCCAGTTTGATAACCACACTGTCATTTATAATTTAATACAATCTAAAACAAAAATGTGATCAACCACCTTTTTTTCAGGTATTGTGCTAATAACTGAGAATTTACTGGCAATAACACTTAATACAAACTTTCAAGGAACTATTGCTTACAATTACAAAAGCAGAGATTCAGAATACGTTTAAAGAAACACAATAATTAAGAGACATTGATAAAGTTCAAGGTGAATGCATTTGTAGTAGTTCTTGACTATGTTATGTTTCCAGAACCTCTGCTGATTTTATTAACCCTGAATATGGTTAATGTTTGAAGCACTGGGACATGCATAGTATAGTCAGTTTTGGGCCCCTGAGGAAATATAAACAATTAATAAAAGTAAAGTCTTCATTTATTTAATGTTGAAAAATATTAACTTGATTAGTTGTTGGAGAGCTTGTTGATATAACTTAGCAAATTTTGAGGGTTAAAGAGAAGTTATGGTTTAAGGAAAGGAGAAAGTATTCATATAGGTTCATGCCAATGATTCATGTAGATGTTTATTTTCTCAAAATCAGGTATAATAAAAATAAAATAAAATAATTACAAAAAATATGTAGCATATTAGTCAATATGTTACTGCTATAAATGTAATTTTTTTAAAAAAATTAAATTAATTCATGTGGCTTATAAGAAAGTTTGTATTTTATGTGATAATTATCTGTTGAAAAATGTTGCCAATACTTTTTTTACCAAGTTCAGATTTACTTATTCATTTTGACCTGAATCCTCAGAATGAAATGCAATATCTGTAGATGACATATCACACAAATGAGCAGAATAGATGTGAAAGACTTAATGATGAGCTGTAGAATTTAATACAGATATGAGATATGAGATACATACTTTTAAAGGCTTCATTTCCTATTTGAGTATCGATAACACTGGAAAAAATAATTCTTCTTCATAATACAATTCCAAAATCTAATGACTAGCTACTGCATACATGCTATACTTCTTGATATTGCACGTTATTTAAAATTGGATGTAGTATCTTTAGCAATCAGGGTAAGCCTAGGACTAGACAAGTCAGATTGATAAAATAGAAATGAATCAACACATTCTTATCTAGCAGATCATATGAGGACTTTCCTTATTATACCTCTCCCCTCTGATCTCTCGCTTAACTTCTTTCCAGAATTTAGTATTTATCAACATGGTCTTCAATCTCAGAATTGATCCACTTTTCTAAATTAAACCAATTTCTTGATGCCACTTATCTTTTAAAATATGTGCCTTTCCTTATTCCAGGATTCCTCCAGGCCTGCCTAATAAACATAGCAGTAAAATAGTTATATGTGCTAATGAAAATGCAAATATATGCAACTATATTGATTAAAGTCAGAGTTCTTACCTTCAAGGTTCTCATAATCTAGTGGGGAATCAAATAAATTAGCAGATAACTGCAATAGAGCATTAAAGAGACGTCAGAGCCTATCAGAGAACTGTCTTACATAATATGTCCATGATATACAAGGTTGAAGAGAGGTCCTAAGTATTTAAAAACATTTTCTTTTCTAATAATTATATTGTATATAATTATAATGTATGATTATAATGGATGTATGTATAATTATACATGTGTAATTATATTATACATGTAAAAATACATGTAGGAGCTGGGCACGGTGGCTCAAGCCTGTAATCCCAACACCTTGGGAGGACGAGGTGGGTAAATCACAAAGTCAAGCGTTCGAAACCAGCCTGGCCATCATGGTGAAACCCCATCTCTACTAAAAATACAAAAAAGTTAGCCTGGCGTGTTGGTATGTGCCTATAATCCCAGCTACTTAGGAGGCTGAGGCAGGAGAATCGCTTGTACCTAGGAGGCAGAGGTTGCAGTTAGCCAAGATCACGCCACTGCCTTCTAGCTTGGGCAAGAGAGTGAGACTCCACCTCAGAAAAAAAAAAAAAAAAAAAAAAAAAAAAAAACATGTCAGCAACATTTATTGAACACTTACTGTGTGTTTAGCACTGTTATGAATGTTTTACATGGATTAACTTATAAGGGACTTAAAAGACAATTATACACAGCTAATAGGTGGCAGAGTCAGGACTTCAACTTAGTGTAACTCCTGAGAATATGCTATTAATTATTATACTACATTTCAATAATTAAATAAGAAGTCCAAAAAAATTGATTTCTCCCTTAATAAACACATTGATACCTAATAGACACATGTTAATTTAAAAACAGAAAATATCTTCATTTCTTTCACGAAACTTTTTTTGTCTACTGTCTTTTTGTAGTATCCATAGCTTACCCATTGGATAATGCAACACTAGGGGATGAGAACTATAAGAACTCCTTGCTATATTGTGTTAATTTGGAGCTGCCCTTACCAAAAAAGGGCTGGAAGAGAAACCATCTAATAGAGACAGAAGAAAAAGTACGTGCAGTATAGAAACACACTAAAGAACAAGGAACGTTGAGGAAACTACGAAATATGTAGACACAAATTACAAGGTGAAGAAGTAGCACAGAAATAGATAATTTAGCACTGAGTATAATAAGGAGTCAATGAAGAACATAAAAACTCCATATTCAGATATGAACATCAGAAGGCCCCTCTGAACTGAAGGATTCTTCTAGGAGAGTAAGTAAGAACAATTGCAGTTATACATGATATAATGAGAGTAAAGTAGTAAAGGCTAAACTAAGACAACAGCAGAGAGAAGATAAATAAGAAACATGAAAGAGAGCAAGGATGATGAATCAACAAGTCTTGAAGTTTGCCTAAAATTAGAAGCCAAGTAAGGAGATCACAGCCAATATATGGCTTGGTTGAGTGGATAGATTCTGTCCCTTCAATGGTGAAGAAAAAGAGGCAAAGGGCTGTGGCAATGTTGGGACTTACCTTACGGGTATCTTTCTCTCAAGGATTATCCTCTGGTCCTGACAGTTGTCCAAAACCTAAAATCAGAGCCTCAAACTATGTTCAAGATTATGGCTGCTCATATGGCAGGAGGACTCGTTTTCTACTAGTGAGCCTATTGTATGAGAAAGCAGTAATCCCCAATCACCAACTTTTTCATCACAAATAATAAAATTTATTAGTAGAACAGTTTGAAAAGATGGAAGGTACACTTTTATCAGGTTAAAGGAATAAACAAGCAGCAAGCCTTTTACAAGACAGTTTTCAGACATATAGAGTGTAAAACATTCTTATATTGATTCTCAAAATAGAAAACATGTATCTGAAATAGGTTTTATCTTTGTATAAATATTATGTCCAACTTGAATATTATCAGTGCTAGGACTACTAATTAGTATACATGGACTTAAAATACTTTTCATTATTGTGTAGCTCTCTCTCATGTTTTGACAAAGTATATCTGACTATGTATATGTAACATATGTGTATACATTTATACACTGTTTTTGACCTCATCTGGGCATAGCATGTTCTGTCTTCCAATAGTCCACTCTATGTTTATATTCTTGCTAACCAAATTAAATAAAAACACATGCTGCCATCACTCTTCACAAAGTAATGTTCTGATCCAACTAAGAAAATACCATGTATATTGAAATATACCTTTATTTACTTCTGGATTAGGAGAAATAACAAACAAGAAGATAAAATTATAACTTTTTAAATTTTTCTTAAGAATCATTTAAGATGCTAATAGTCATTTTAGATAATTCTAAGTATGCAAACACTGCGCATTTTGAACTTCTGCATTTGAACTCAAACAGTGTACCACAAAGAATTTAGCGATGAAAAAAGCAGAATGACAAAAGCCTCAGGACTTTTATACATGGTGATATGGTTTGACTGTGTCTTCACCAAAATCTCATCTTGAATTGTAGCTCCCATAATTCCCATGTGTCGTGGGAGGGACCCAGTGAGAGGTAATCTAATCGTGGTAGAGGGTGTTTCTCATACTGTTCTCATGATAGTGAATAAGTCTCACAAGATCTGATGATTTTATAAGGGGTAGTTCCCTTGCAATGCTCTCTCTTGCCTGCCGTCATATAAGATGTATCTTGCTTCCCCTTCACTTTTCCCCGTGACTGTGAGGTCTCCCCAGGCATGTGGAACTCAGTCAGTTAAACCTCCCCTTTATAAATTACCCAGTCTGGAGTATGTCTTTATTAGCAACGTGAGAACAGACTAATACAAATATATTATACTAATACATACTAGTATATAAACTCCCTAGATTCATATTCAGTAAGAGTTTAAGCATGATTTAGGAGACTGAATTTAAGTATCATATGGTGTCTTAGAGATTCATTAATTACCATTTAATCACTGAAGCTTAATTTCCTTATTTTTAAAATGAGAATGATATTTGTAGTCATAGCTATATTAGCTTCCTGTGGCTGCCTTAACAAAGTACCAAAACCTTCTTAGCTTATTTTAAGCAGAACTTTATTCTCTCACAGTTACGGAGATTAGAAGTTTGAAATCAAGGTATTGGCGTGCTCCTACTGAGGTCTAGGGCAAAATTCTTCCCTGCCTCTTCCAGCTTATGGTAGTTCCAGGCATTCTGTGGCTTATGGCTGCAAACCTCCGTTCTCTGCTTCCATCTGCATGGCCTTGTATTCTCTTTGTCCCTCTGCTTTTCTCTGATTAAAACACGTGCCATGGGATTTAGGACTCACCTAAATGCAGGATGATCTCATCTAGAGTTCAGTATTTTAATTATATTGGCAAAGACCTCCCCCTCCCCCAACTTAGTTTATATTTATAGATTCTGGTTGTGTGTATGTTTTCTAAGGGGGCAAGAATAAGAGTAAAAATTCAATGCAATACAATGTCATACAGGTAATGCAGAAGTGGCTTAGAGTTGTAAAATTATAATACGTCAACCATAGAAGAACTGTATTCTGTGTTTTCAGTATTTGACCAGATGAACTACAAGATTTTCTAAATTCTGAGAATTTTTGTTTTCATATTTTCCTCTTCTCCTTTTTCATCTTCAATTATATTTCTAGTATTAGAATGCTCTGAAATCTTCCACAGCAGTCATTTCTTGTACAGTGTTTGACATTAAGTTAATAAGATAAATAATGTTACTTACATAGAGTTTAGTACATGCTAGGCTCTTAATAAGTAATAACTATTATTTTATTATTATTGGACTTCTGTGTGCAAAGAAGAATAGTATCTAAAGAGTTCTGACTCAGTACGTTATTTAAATCCCTTGCAATGACTTAAATCAATGATATAATACATAACTTAAAAAATCCTTCTATTTATTCTAAATTCTTCTCACAATTATCAAAAAATCTTTATTAGAAGTTTGCTCCGTGGAAGATATTCTACTGAGCTAATTTACAAAGATAACTAAAAATAATCTGAAAGTTTCATAGATTCTAATAAGTGGGAAAGAGTAGCTTATTCCTTGCAGAGTCAGTGTTTGACAATTAATACAAACAAAGTTAGTAAAAAAAACCTGAAAATACAAATGAGAATAATAAAACTAAGACACAGAACAATTTTATAGTAGAAAAATAGCCTATTAGACCTGCTAACCAAAAAAAATGCATTTAATAATTGAGCTTAAATTCTAGATGTAATATTTTCAGCTGAAATAAAATTGGATTAATCAATTTTAATCTTAATTTTTAAAAATCTATAAAAACCCAGTAATGGGATGGCTGGGTCAAATGGTATTTCTAGCTCTAGATCCTTGAGGAATCGCCACACTGTCTTCCACAATGGTTGAACTAGTTTACAGTCCCACCAAGAGTGTAAAAGTGTTCCTATTTCTTCACATCCTCTCCAGCACCTGTTGTTTCCTGACTTTTTAATGATCACCATTCTAACTGGAATGAGATGGTATCTCACTGTGGTTTTGATTTGCATTTCTCTGATGGCCAGTAATGATGAGCATTTTTTCATGTGCTTGTTGACTGAATAAATGTCTTCTTTTGAGAAGTGTCTGTTCATATCCTTTGCCCACTTTTTGATGGAGTTGTTTGATTTTTTTCTTGTAAATGTGTTTAAGTTCTTCACAGATTCCGGATATTAGCCCTTTGTCAGATGGGTAGATTATAAAAATTTTCTCCCATTCTGGATTATAAATCATGCTGCTATAAAGATACATGCACATGTATGTTTATTGCGACACTATTCACAATTGCAAAGACCTGGAACCAACCCAAATGTGCATCAATGATAGACTGGATTAAGAAAATGTGGCACATATACACCATGGAATACTATGCAGCCATAAAAAAGGATGAGTTCACGTCCTTTTTAGGGACATGGATGAAGCTGGAAACCATCATTCTGAGCAAACCATCACAAGGACAGAAAACCAAACACCGTATGTTCTCACTCATAGGTGGGAATTGAACAATGAGAACACTTGGACACGGGGTGGGGAACATCACACACCGGGGCCTATTGTGGGGTGGGGGGGGGGGAGGGGGGAGGGATAGCATTAGGAGATACACCTAATGTAAATGACTGTAAATGACGAGTTAATGGGTGCAGCACACCAACATGGCACATGTATACATATGTAGCAAACCTTCACGTTGTGCACATGTACCCTAGAACTGAAAGTATAATAATAATTGAAAAAAATCTATAAAAACATTGAGGGGACACATGAGAAAATTTGAATTAGATTATGTATTAGATGACATTATAGATTTATTGTTAATTTTCCTAGAAGTTGTCATGTTGGTGAATTTTTAGGTGACAGGCTGAAAAATTTAAGAGTGAATTGTCATGGTGTTAATGAGCTATTTCAAAGTGATTCAGATATGAGTGCATATGTGTATTTATATGTTTGTACGAGTATGTATAAAACAACTATTGACCAATGCTAACACATTTAAATTGAAGGTGGAGAGCAAATGGGCATTGGTTGAACATTTGTGTAATTTTCTATATATTCTAATATAAATATATATTATGAAAAATATAAAAAATAAATCAAAGACTTCAATATTATTTCTAATAATTATTAATGTATCTCATTGCTTAAAACAGTGAGTGGGACACAGTAGGTGCTCAGTAAATTTTTTTTTTTTTGAGACCCAGTCTTGCTCTGTCGCCCAGGCTGGAGTGCAGCGGCAGTCTCGGCTAACTGCAAGCTCCGCCTCCCGAGTTCACGCCATTCTCCTGCCTCAGCCTCCCAAGTAGCTGGGACTACAAGTGCCCACCCCCACGCCCTGCTAATTTTTTTGTATTTTTAGTAGAGATGGGGTTTCACTGTGTTAGCCAGAATGGTCTCGATCTCCTGACCTCATGATCTGCCCGCCTCAGCCTCCCAAAGTGCTGGGATTACAGGCGTGAGCCACCACCCCCGGCTGGTGCTCAGTAAATATTTAATGAATGCAAAAATTACTGAATTAATAAAATAGTTATCATAATCCTTTCATGTTTGTAACTGGGAAAATAAGTAATTATTGAAATAAAATATAT
The DNA here is from genome assembly GCF_000001405.40 of Homo sapiens. NCBI lineage: Eukaryota > Metazoa > Chordata > Mammalia > Primates > Hominidae > Homo > Homo sapiens. The sequence goes on from NC_000004.12 coordinate 60,012,771, forward strand.
CATTATATAAGTTATAACAGAGATAAGGTTTAAAAATACAAGCGTATTTTACTATACATATAAAATTGGGCCAGGCGCGGTGGCTCACACCTATAATCCCAGCAGTTTGGGAGGCCGAGGCGGGCAGATCATGAGGTCAGGAGATCGAGAGCATCCTGGCTAACACGGTGAAACGCCGTCTCTACTAAAAATACAAAAAAAAAAAAAAATTTAGCTTGGCGCGGTGGCGGGAGCCTGTAGTCCCAGCTACTCAGGAGGCTGAGGCAGGAGAATGGCGTGAACCCGGGAGCAGAGGTTGCAGTGAGCTGAGATCGGGCCACTGCTCTCCAGCCTGGGGGACAGAGCAGGACTCCATCTCAAAAAAATAAATAAATAAATAAAAATAAAAATAAAATAAATAAAATTGATCTATAGTTTATGATAAATTTCATTATTAGTGATCATTACAACAAGTTATTTTATTTCTATTTTTATTATTTGGTCTTCACAAAAATCCTCTGATATTTTAGATTCACTCCTTACATTTGAAGAAACTCAGGTACAAAAAAATTAAATAACTTGGCTTAAAACCACTGAACTAGTAAGTGGCAGATCTAAGATTGAACCAAACATTTTTTACTGTAACTAGTGTTCATTTTATCAAATCATGCTGCTTCTTTCTAATGTATATGCTGTTAATTAGGAAACCAGGCAAATTCAGCTCTCAAACAATACTTGACTTGAAACTGAAAGAAAAAAAATATTTTTTTAAATTTTTGACAGGGGAAATGTGTTTGAGTATTTAAGATATAAAACACTATTTAGCTGTGGTTCCTGTGCTCTAGTAGTCAGTGTCAACAGAGTCTACAATTTTTTTACCCATTTGCCTCATTTGACTGACAGTAATTGTGTCTGCTAAAGCTTAGAAATATTACATCACTGTAAGGTACCCTCTCATTTCACTTTATTTGTAGTCTCCTCCTGCTGCTCTAGATGATGGAAGTTAACAGGAATATTTTGTTCTTTTACATGTAATTTTTACTTTCAATCGATTGAAATTTATTTATGGAAATTAATAACATTTATCAGGACACTATTGTAAGTGTACAATTAGCAATATAATGAATGAGTCTTTTAAAACCTGGACTGGAAAATAATATAATTCTTTTGAAAAGCTCATATACAAATTGTATCGCATGATACAGATTAGAGAACTGTAGCTACAAGGGAAGACAATATGGGACATGTTAAAGATGAATGGGTTTCCTCTCACCAAGTCAACATAATTTGTTGATTTACAGTCATAAAATGTCAGAGTGCTAGACTATAGATATTTTTTTCTTCTGTGAACATGTAGATGACTATATTTTATATAGCACTGAATAAGCTCATTGTCCTCTGGCTCTTTCACATTTAGATGGCAACATCAAATGGACCACTTTTCAGAATTACTTTCTGCCGTCAACTTCTGGTACTCATCAATCTAAAAAGTAACAGCTTAACCATGTCTACTGAAGGTTAAAGGTCTCAGACTCCAGTCAAAGGCCTTATATAATTTTTGCCCCATATATGTCTATTTTTGAAGTGTCTCTTATGTTCTTTGCCCACTTTTTAATGGGGTCGTTTTTCTCTTGTAAATATGTTTAAGTTCCTTATAGAGTCTGTATTTTAGGCCTCGGTTAGGTGCATAGTTTGCAACTATTTTCTCCTATTCTGTAGTTTTTTCTATTTATTTTGTTGATGGATTATTTTTCTATGTAGAAACTCTTTAGTTTAATTAGATCTCCTTTGTCAATTTTTGTTTCTGTTGTAGTTGCTTTTAGCATATTCATCATGAAATATTTGTCAACTCCTGTTTCCGGGATAGAATTGCCTAGGTTTTATTCCAGGCTTTTTATAGTTTGGGGTTTTACATTTAAGTCTTCATTCCATTTTGAATTGATTTTTGTAAATGGTGTAAGGAAGAGATCCAGTTTCAGTCTTCTGCATATGGCTAGCCAGTTATCCCAGCACCATTTATTTAATAGGGAGTCTTCCACATTAGTTGTTTTTGTCAAGTTTGTCAAATATCAGATGGTTGTGGGTGTGCAGTATCTTTTCTGGACTCTCTATTCTGTTCCATTGGTCTGTGTGTCTATTTGGGTACCAGTATCAGGCTATTTTGTTAGCCTTGTAGTATAGTTTGTAGCCTTACAGTATAGTTTGAAGTCAAGTAATGTGATGTCTCAAGCTCTGTGTTTTTGCTTAAGATTGTCTTGGCTATTAGGGCTCTTTACTAGTTCTATATGAATTTTAAAATAGTTTGTTCTAATTCAGTGAAGAATATCAAAAATAGTTTGGTAGGAATAGCATTGAATCTATTAACTACTTTGGGCAATATGGCCATTTTGACAATATTGATTCTTCCCATCCATGAACATGTGTTGTTCTTCCATTTGTTTGCATCATCTTTCATTTCTTTGAGCAGTGTTTTATAATTCTCATTGCAGAGGTGTTTTACCTCCCTGGTTCACTATATTCCTAGGTATTTCATTCTTTTTGTGGCTATAGTGAATGGGATTGTGTTCTTGATTTGGCTGTCAGCTTGGATGTTGATGTTGTATAAAAACACTAATGATTTTGTAAATTGATTTTATATACTGAAACTTTTCTGAAGTTGTTTATTATATCAAGGAGCTTTGGGGCAAAGAGTAAGGGTTTTCTATGTATAGAATCATATTGCCTGCAAACAGGAATACTTTTACTTCCTCTCTCCCTATGTAGATGTCTTTTCTTTCTTTCTCTTGCCTGATTGCTTTGGCCAGGACTTCCAATACTATATTGAATAGAAGTGGTGAGAAAGAACACTTTTGTCTTGCTTCAGTTTTCAAGGGGAATGTTTCAAGCTTTTGTCCATTCAGCATGATATTGGCTGTGCATTTGTCAAAGATGGCTCTTATTATTTTGAAGTATGTTTCTTCAATGCCTGGTTTGTTGAGAAGTTTTAACATGAAGAGATGTTTAATTTTATTGAAATACTTCTCTGCATCTATTGAAATAATCATGTTGTTTTTGTTTATAGTTCTGTCTATGTAATGAATCACATTAATTTATTTGCATATGTTGAACCAAACTTTCATCCCAGGGATAAAACCTATTTGATCATAGTAGACTAATTTTCTGCTTTATTTGGTTGGCTTATATTTGTTGAGAATTTTTGCATTTATGTTCATCAAGGATATTGACCTGAAGTTTCCTTTTTCTGTTGTGTCTCTGAAAGGTTTTGATATCAGGATGCTGCTGGCCTCATAGAATGACTTAGGAAGAAGACCTTCCTCCTCAATTTTTTGAAACAGTTTCTTTAGGAGTAGTGCCATCTCCTCTTTATACATCTGGTAGAATTTAGCTGTGACTCTGTCTGGTCATGGGCTTTTTTTGCTTGGCAGTCTTTTTATTATTAATTAAATTTTGGAGCTCATTATTGGTCTGTTCAGGGATTATACTACCTAAGCGGACTTTACAGTATTTAGGAGAAACAAAGTAGTTTAGCAATATAACTAATAGTGATCAAGGTAATACATTTTATAATCTTGTATTTATCCTCTTAAATATAAATGTCACCAAACAAAATGGTATTTGTTGAATTAATACTGAAAGTTTGAGGTTATTGTGCAACCAAGTCATAAGAACAGGCCTTCTTTTCAACAGTGTGTTACCAGTTAAGCAGTTAAAAACAGCAACAAAACAAAAACAACAACATTTTATTCCTAAAGAATACTTTGAAAATAATAAAATAGCATCTGAAGATGTTAGTGTAAACTCTTAAAATTTTGAGGATTATTATATCTTAAAAACTTATGTTCAAGGAAATGAATGGATAAATTGTGCTTTAAATTGACTACTTTTACTTATCATTTGTTTTTTACATAACACAACACACATAAAAGGAAAATCACTGTTTTTGGGCCTCATTGTTTATATAACAGAGGATTTTTGCCTATTTATTGTTAGCATCTCCCAATACTGCAAGAACATTTTTGTTGAAACTTCTCTAGTAATATTTCTAATTGTTTGAAAAACATATTCAAAATCAATACAGAGACAATGCTAGTATTTGAAATATTTTACTTCTTAAGGAATGAAGTAAGAGAATAAAAATATCTCTCTCCAGAAATTAATGTTTTGGCCTTGATTTGAGAGCTAAATTCAAAAATCCATACACCTGAATAAGATATACAAAAAAGCTATATTATTTAGCTGCATAACGTTTTTGAGATTTAAAAATAACATCTGTGCAATAACAGCTTCATTTTGCTGGTTCAATTCACTGTGCACACCTATTTGCATATTCCTTCATGTTAAAATTCAAAAAGAGTGACTCTGAATGAATGCTAAATGTGTGCTGTATAGGTTCCATTATTGAGAACATAATTACCATATACAGTGCCTTGCCCAGTTAATAATGCAGGAAAACTAAATGACAGGCCTGCAGTGAGAAGGTGGTCACAGCTTTAATGACTGCATTCAAGAGGTTTCATAAATCTCCACTCAAATAAAAGACTAACTCCTGGAAGAAAATGTCATTAAAGTTGGGAAGTACTAACACAATTGATTATAAATGGATTGAACCAGAATATTCATAAACAATCCCTTTTAGTATTTTTTATCTTGATATTTCAGAGAGATATATATTACATTATATGCTCCATAACTCAGAAAAAGAAGATGAAGTGCAAACCCAATTTTCATTTCAAATTTAGTATATCTCACTTCTCCCTCTCTCATTTTATCTTTCTATGCACACACACATATATCTATATGTATCTACACATAGATATTTATATCACTACATAACATATATGTGTAGATATATACATGCATTGCTTTGTGATTTTTTCTTTTATATAAGCAGAATGATACTTGAATAAGACTTCCTGTTAAAAAATTACCATTTTTTTATTTAGTATAATTTTTAGAATGATGAAAGGCATATGTATAACTCTGCCCCTGAAATGAATATAAGCATTCAAATTCTCAGAAAAATTATGTGCATGAATTTGTAGATGCAGATGTCTGGTAATTAAGGTGCTGTAATTGCCTTACAATTAACTTTCCATTTAATGATAGAGAAGATATAGGCTTTCTATCACAAATAATACAGCCTTTTTTTAATGGATAATGTGTCTTTAGATTTTCTGAATGGAATCCTCTACAAGTCAAGAGTTCAGTTCAGAAAACAGCAACCACTCTAGGCATTTTTAAACATGAAGAAATTAAGTGCAGGAAACTGTGCTGACCAGAGCATTGTCGGAGTTAAAAGGCTGAAAGAACAGTTTTGAAGCTGGTTCTACTGGAATAATACCCAGACCTAAAAAGGAAATATGCCAGAAACAAGAGCCCCTGTCTTTGCCAAAACAGACTAACATTCCAGAGGCTGGAAAATGTGCTCTTGGTGCTGCAATACAGGGATAAACCATCAGATCAAGATGCTGCACCTCTTCTGCTTATCAACACCTGTGGATTGTACCCTTCAACCCTACTGTAGGGGACCCTCACACTTCTTGAGTATCAATTGCCATTAGCAACCACAGGAAGATGGTTTGTGCTTAACTCTTGCCTTTCAAATTTTGCTGCCTGTCATCCAAAAGGTGGATCAATTTTACATTCAGGAGCTTTGTTAAAAGGGCATCTTGAAAAAGTAGTTTTTAAGTTTCAAATCTGTGATAAAGGAGGGTTAATATAAGATAAAGTATTGGGAAGCTAATGTGAGTTACATATAGCAAGGATATCCCCACATGGAAATACAATATGCTTAAAATATGATGAAACAGCACACTATATTAATATTTACTCCATAAAAACAAATACATCTCAAATTCTCAAAGTATCTCTGTTCTGGCAAGCAGAACAATTATTTTGGTAGAGTGTATTTTTTAAAAAAGAAATTGAAGGAATTTTGCAAAGGTAAGTTAAAATAGGTGACAACCCAAAGATATCAACATACTGTCAGAATTTGATCCAAATTCAGTGTGTTTTTATTGAGATCAGTAGTGACTGATAATCATGTGAAAATTAAAAGTTGAGACCACTTGTGATTAAGATCATTTCCCAAATGCTTCACCTCATTAAACTTAGAAGGCAATGACATTCATGGCAGGATGGGGTGGGGCATTTTTACTAGATGTTTACTACACAACAGCACAATATGCTAATTGAAGAAAAAATCTAAATCTTTCCATGGTAATCATTTTATTTCTTTATTAGTGTTCTACTGCTGTTATAAACACTTTTCAGAAACTTACTGGCTTAAGAAAACAAAAATCTCTTCTTTTAGATTAGTTTTGTTTGTTAGAGGTCCAATATGGTTTCACTGGACCATATGAAGATAAAATGAAGGCAAAATGAATGTAGGGCTGACTTCCTCTTCTGGGACTCTATGGGAGAATCGGGTTCCTTATGGTTTTCAGCTTCTAGAAGCCTCTAGAATTCCTTGATCCCCTTTCTCCTTCTCAAAATGCAACAGTTTTGCATTTCATCCTGCCTTTTTTTTTTCTTTTTTCTGTAGTTAACAGATCTCTTGTCTCTGTTCTGTCTGCGTCTTTCACTTTTAAAGATCCTTGTGATTCCGTTGATGTCACTTGGGTAATCCAACACAATGGCCCCATCTAAAGGTGTGTACCCATAATCACATCTGCAACATTCCTTTTGCCATGTAAAGAACCATAATTAGCTTCTGGAAATTAGGACACATTTTTGGGGTCAGTTATTCTGCCTACAATTCTGCTTAGAGTAAGAATAACAAACACTGCCTGAAATTTATTATGCAGAGAAAAGCTCTTAGTTGTGATCTCTAGTTTATTCTCATATGACTTATGTTATTACATATACAATAAAAAGGTTGCATTGTAATGTATCCTATGGGATTTTCTGAAAGTCCATATCCTATTTGATTTTTGAACATCAAATGTATGCAATTTTATTAAGTCTAGTTGAAATACTCAAAAAGAATGTACTTCATAGTAACAACTGCATGTGAAAAACTATATTTTATTTGTAAATGGTTTTATTAGCAAACATAAGCTTGTTCATATTCTAGGAAAATTATTTCAGAAAAATTTCTGAACACTTAAATTATGTTTTATCATTCAGATATTCATTGAATCTAACACTTGAATCTATTTACTATTTATAAAATAGAATGTCACTGTTACAAAATATTTAGAAATGTGCCTATTACCTGCATCAGCATGGTTGTTTGTATCTACATCAGGGCATTGATTTAGATAAACTAAAAGTAATCTGAATGTGATTTCAATTTGGAAGAAACAACAAGAGGTATAATATGAAGCTTAGAGGTTATAGTTCTTGAGGCAGAGAAAGTGCATACTGTTGACAGAAACATAACATGGGAATGTGAAGGCAGAGATTAAACAGGAACATGACACGAGCTTTGCTTAGTATGTGTAAACTGATAAAATACAGATGTGTGCCCCCTCCAAAAAGCAAATTAGGTATGGATACAAAATATGCATACATAACATATAATTCTCAAAGGAGGTGGAAATACACATGTGTAATTCACATTTCTGTCAAAACATATTAAGAATAGCACCACTGCTGCTGGTAGAGTTTCCACAGGTCTCAGCAGCCTATGGGGCACTATTAACAGTAATAACTTACATTCCTCTGGCCCTTTTCTTCACTAGCTTATGTGAAACATCGTCCTCCCTTCTGCTCCCTGTTTTTTCTACCTAAATATTTTGAATTTTCTAGACTGTCTCACATGTGGAGCAAGTACACAGAGTGGCCTCCTTTGCCTGAGACTGCCACTTCTGGTGGGTGCTGTCACTCTGTGCACTCACTGGGAAGTGAGTTCACTGGGAATTGCCCTCTGAAGTCTCTGCGGTCGCGGTCTCCTGGACATGCTATTTCTTTCACTGAACAGCACCTCATTCATGGTCTCCCAGACAGCAACCCAGGTGCATGAGAAATAGCCATAAGCTCTTCTTAGGTGGAACAAAATAGGAGAGTGCTTTATTAATTCTTCAGCATGGGAGTATGTTTAAAAACTATCAAAACTTTGTAATTTGGTGCTGAGATGTAGCATTTTGTTGACACAATTTTCTCTTTTTGCTGACAGTCTTCCCTTTCCCTTGGATTTAGAGGAGAGAGGCTCAAATGACTGATCTATTCCAACATATTTTCTCTACTTTGTGACAACCAAGGCTTTATTATTCAGACAACTTTCTTTTCTGCCTGGGGCCTTCTTCCCTTCCAATGACTTTTCTTAGGAAAGCCTCAAATCTCTATGCATGTGGGCTTTGCATAGACTGCCCCACCAACTCACCAGACACTGCTGAAAAAAAAAGGCAAAGCTAAGACTTAAGCTAAAATCTATGTATATTCACAACATGTACCACCTTTAATATAAGACCTGTCACAAGGCACTAAAACTTTTAAAAAGCAGAGGAATATTTTTAAAATGGTGAGTAAGCCTCATTGGTCTGAACCTGAAAATACAGTAACCAAATATAAAGTAGATCTAGGTAGTGCTCAGAAAACATTTAATCCAATCAGATGAAAACACAAATTTCCTTTTCTCTACATTTGGGAGGAGTTAATATCTATGAAGAGTTTCTGGGATATATTGAGCATAACTATGTCTGAAAGAGGAAGTAACAATTTCTAAACTTAGTTTTACTTCACCTAAACTAGAGATGTCCTGTTTTGTAATCATCTTGCATTCTGCAGGTATCTGTGGACAAATTCCCAGGATGTCTTTGTAGTGAAGGAATTTTGTGGAATACAATTTCTATCTGTGAAGTACTTCTGCAATCATGATTTCCACCTCACAATATTATTAGAAAATGTTCTATTCATTTAAATTGAATACAAATCTCTTATAAATTAATTCAAAAATCAAGATAAAAAATTGGAACTAATATTACCTCTCTATTCTTGTAGGAGGAGAATATGTTCTGAAAATAATTGAAACATTGATTAGCTGTTTAATTTTATTTTTTGACATATGAAATTAGGGTGTAGTTTATGACTTAAAATTTGTCACATTTGTGGAGAAATAAAGTTTATCTTTGATATTCCCAAGTTCAACACCATATTATTTATATTAGAGGAACTTAAAACCATACTTTGTTATTTTGTTGCTTTCCTTTTAAATAGATTATTTTTAGCAGTTTACTAATGTGTTATTTTTTAACGTGCTTTATTCACAAGTCAGTCAGGAAACTATTATTCAACCTAAATTATAATTACATTGTTTAAACGATTATTGAAAACTAACAGAATATGTGTTTTACACTCATATTTTATAATACTCTATATTATATAATTTGTTCATTTAAATTATAGTTATGTTATTTAAACTTTGAAAACTAATAGGATATATTTTTCCTACTCATATTTTATATTTTAAAATACTATACATTTTATAACTTATTTAATTATATTCTAAAGCTTTAAAAAATGAATATTTAATTAATATAGATAGTGGAATGGAAGAATCTTAAAAGTAAGTCCTGTCCTCATCTCTCCATTCTATAACAGATAAGTACCTAAGGGTTAGTGAAATCCCTTTGTCACTTTGCCTAATTTCAATATTAAATAATTCTATGTCCAGATGCAGTGGCTCAGGCCTGTAATCCCAACAAACACTTTGGGAGGCCAAGGAGGGTGGGTCACCTGAAGTCAGGATTTGGAGACCAGCCTCACCAACATGGCAAAACCCCATCTCTATTAAATATGCAATAAATTAGCCAGATATAGTGGCAGGCAACTGTAATCCCAGCTACTTGAGAGGCTGAGGCAGGAGAATTGCTTGAACCTGGGAGGTGGAGCTTGCAGTGAGCCGAGATCACGCCACTGCACGCCAGCCTGGGTGACAGAGTGAGACTCTGTCTCAAAAAAATAATAATGATAATTTTATTTTGTATTTGGAGTTTTTCTGTAATGAGAAATATGTGTAGCTTAACAAAATTTTCATCAATATTTTGAAATAGGAGAACACAGAAGAATAAAAGAAACTATGAAACAAGTAAGGATAATGGGAAGGTTAAATATATCACATACATGTATGCATTCCATAAGGCATTTTTTGTGTGTGTGCGTGTGTGGTTTCAAATTGAAACTAAATTTATTTGACAAATATTTGAGCACCTACTCTGGGCCATACCCCGCACTGTTGCTGGTGACTTACAGGAGTGAATTCTAGCCAAGGGACTTTATATCTCAAAACTGGATGGTGTCATGGGGAGTGTCTTTTCTTCCCAACTTCTAGAAAATGGGGCAATAAAAACAACAGGAACCAAATTTACTTGCATTCAACTCTCATTTTCTGAGCATCTTTAGGATGCAAAGCATTTATTCAGCACTCTAGGATTAAATACAAGTCAAATAATATATTATCACTTCCCTCACAGATACTGCAAACTACTTAGGAAGGCCAACGTTTAGACAGAACATTATACATGGCATACGACTTGAGGCCTTCAGCACCAGATTAAGTTGAGCCAAAACTCCTGGGTAAAAGCCATCTGTGGATGCTCTTTGGGCTAATCTTTTGACTTCCTTTTGTTAAGAGTTTTATTTTCTATTTAAAATTGCTCCTCCTTAAGTCTTGATGAGGACTGCATAGGAGAGGGGCCCAAGTAAAGGACATGGACTTTACAAGAAGCATTATCAAGTGGCATGGGTTTGGTTGCAAGAAACAGAAACTGTATACGTAATTGAAAGTCCAGAGTTAAAGAAAAAGTCAAATGCCGTTTGCACAGGACTACAGCACAGTCTTGGCAGTTGTATTCATCCCACCTTCCTCTGTGTGTTACCTTCATCCTCAAGCTAGACATCATGGATGTCAACTACTCCTCCCGTAAGGTACTTTTTTATCCAGTACGATTTATGATCTAATATAACTTGCTACTTCCTTCTCTCATGACTTCAAAAAATAAGGAGAAATGTTATTTTTATACATTTTTCCATAAATAATATATTATTTCATTCAATATTTATTCAGGAATTAAATCCATGTTCGATGTTAGTACCCTTTTACTTTAAGCCTCTGCATTGTGTTATTATCAGCCCAGTCTTGATCATTGTTAAAGTAGACCTTATTCCAGAGCAGAGCTATGAAAGGTAAGTAGGTAGACAGGCACAAAGTCATTGCAAATGACTAACATCTCCAACAGGTTGCTATGAAATTTAGCTAACAAGAAAGTTTGGTGAAATTAAGAAATATAGTACCAGACATATATTTTCATATCTATCGATCTTTAATTAAATCTATAGTAATTTCTTCTTTGACGGCATATTTTTAAAAACGAACACAGTTTCAGAAGTCAAACATTTTTATTTTAAGCAAATTAGATGTGGGAGAAAGAATATACTGAAATGAGAACAAAAACAAACAATTCAGCCAATGAACTTGGAATCGTCACTGAAATAACTATGTATTCATTTCTGAATGTTGAGACTTCACCTGAGATTTGCTGATAATCTTTCCTTATTGTTCTTTTAATATCTGCCTTCTTGCATCTATTGTTTCTGAAGAGAAGTCAGCTATTAATCTTTCTGAGTTTCACTTTTATGTGAAAAAATCATGAATAAATCCTTTTAATCATTTCAAAATTTTCTTTTTCTTTTACATGTGATAGTTTTATTTCAGTGTGTCTAGAACAAAATTTTTTGAGTTTCGTTAATTGAGGTTTTTAGATGTATATATAATTATCAAATTTAAGATATTTTGGGCTATTATTTTTTAAAATATATTATCTTTTCCATTTTCTCTCTCCTCTCCTTCTGTGATTGTAATGATAAGAAACTCAGCTTGATGATGTTCCATAAGTCTCTGAATCTCTGTTGCTTTGTTCACATTCTTTTTTCTTTCTGTTTTTTTTTTTCACACTGAACAAGTTAATAATCTGTCTTCAAGGTGGCTGATTTTTTTTTTTTTTTTTTTTTTGAGACAGACTTTTGCTCCTGTGGCCAGGCTGGAGTGGAGTAGTGCAATCTCCACTCACTGCAACCTCCGCCTCCTGGGTTCAAGCGATTCTCCTGCCTCAGCCTCCCAAGTAGCTGGGATTACAAGCACCCACCACCACCACGCCCAGTTAATTTTTGTATTTTTAGTAGAGACGGGGTTTCACCATGTTGCCCAGGCTTATCTAGAATTCCTGACCTCAGATAATCTACCCGCCTCAGGCTCCCACAGTGCTGGGATTACACAACGTGAGCCACTGTGTTTGGCCCGCTGATTTTTTCTTTCACCTCAAATCTTCTACAATCACCTCTAGAGAATTTTTAATTAAAGTTATTATATTTTTTCACACCACCAGAATTGCTATTTGGTTCTTTCCTTTTTATTTTTTTCTTTTTTTTTTAACTGTCTCTTTTGTTATATTTTCTATTGATGAAGCATTGTCAAACATTCCGCTAATTTTCAAAACATAGTTTATTTTAGTTCTTTGAACATATTTATAAGAAGTGTTTTGAAGTCTCTGTTTACTAAATCTAATAACCATGTATTCTCAGAGATTCTTTCAATTTACTGTGTTTGTGTTTATCGTTGTTGTTTGTTGTTTTTGGAGATAGGGTCTCATTCTATCGCTCAGGCTGGAGTACAGTGGCATGATCATAGCTCACTGTGGCCTTGAACTTCCAGGCTAATGTGATCCTCCTTCCTCAGCCTCCGAAGTAGGCACATGACACCATGTTTGGCTAATTTTTTTTATTTTTATTTTTTTGTAGAGACACAGGTCTCACTATGTTGCCCAGGCTGGTCTCCAAATTCATGCCTCAAATGAACCTTCCACTTTGGTCTTCCACAGTGCTGGGATTACAGGTGTGAGCCACCACCTGGCCTTGATTAACTGTTTTTTTGTTTTTGTTTATTCCTGTGTATGGCCCTATTCTCTTATACATGTCTTATTCTTGTTTGTTCTTGTTGACAGCGGCAGTTTAGATAACATACTGTAACAACACTAGGTTCTGAATTCTTCTTACATAAGTTGTTATTTATTTTTTATTTTTTATTTGTTTATTTAATGACTCGCCAGAACCAATTTTGCAGAAAGCTATTTCTTCCACAGTGCATAATCATTAATGACTCTGCTCAGTTTTGTTTAATTATCTTTATTTTTTTCACACTAGCGTTCGTGGCTGGCCAGTGGGTCAACATAGCATATTGGCTAGCCAATGATTGGTCAGAGATTGAACCTAAGCACCTAAAGCTAGTAAGGCTTAGAACTGCAGCATGCATTTATAGTGCAAGCAGTTTGTAAGTTGGCCCCAGCTTTTACTTTGTACTTGTGCAGTTTCATGTTCAGCCAGCGGTTAGTATATAGCTGAGACAATTTCTAATCTCTCCTAAATAATGCACAACTGCTTGCATGCATGAATCCTTCCAGATCACCAGGAATATGTGAAAGCTTTATCAACACCCCCATGACCATTTTGTTCTCTAGATATTCCTGTTAGATTTTTAATTGATCAACCAAACTCAGGCGCTAGCTGTGATGTTGTCCTTCCACAATTGCAACTGAGATCGTTATTTGTTTCCGAAATAACTCTGGGCATGGGGCTTTTCCTTAGAACTCAGTCTCTGAGAAGTCAGCCTTCTCTAGTGTATTGAGGCTGCTGGTATTCACAGTTACTTCCATGGAGCTGGTATGTGTTAGATATCTTTTCCTCTGTACAAGATTTTGTAGTTTTTCTTGAATAAATGGTTTTTAATTTGTTACGTACCTCTAATTAATTTCTAGAGTTCCAAGGGGGCGGTTTTTGATTACGTTGTCCAGTTTTCATCATTGCTGTTTGGTGAGAGGATTTGCTTATTCATCATTCTACCATAGGCACACTACCTATCACAACTTACTTTCAAGTAATAGACAACTTTATATATATATATAAAAAAATATACGATATGATATATATTATATATATTATACACTACGTTGATATATTCATATTATGATATATCAACATAGTATATAATATATGATATGCATATATGTTGATCATGAAACTGCACTTGCCAGAACCAATATTTTATATATATATATACACACACATATAACACCTTTGTTCCTTGTTTAAATCTCTTTTAAACATTGTTTTATATTAGAATATTTTGTAGTTGAATTGTGTGAATTTTACACAAGGCACTATGATTAACATTGCAAGCACATTTTTCTGCTTTGTTGATTGCTTGTTATATCTCTCATCTATACATGTGTATGTGTGTGTGTGTGTGTGTGTGTGTATTTGTGGAGAGAGAGAGTGAGATAGGTGTTTTGAACTTTAATAATCAAATATATAGTGACTTTTCAATGGTTATTTAATTTTGTGAGAGGTCTTTCTACATTGATACCAGCAATATGTCTAACTCAAAATGTCCTATTTTTATCACAACTTTAAAAATATTAAATATATTATCTTTCTGGATTATCTTTGGATGTACAATGTGCAGTAGAATAGTATTTTATTATTAAATGCTTATTCAATGGTGTCTCCATCATTTCTTAATAATTTGCACATATACTTTGATATAAAGTGACATTGTTTTTGTATAATGAATATATTTAGTAGTGGGATTCTTTTTCTTTTACATTAAATTCATATAATTTTGTAGTCTTTTAAGATATACTATCACTTTTTGCTATTTATTTTAAAAATTCTCATTTTAAAGAGCTTAGAAAAATATAAAAAAATCAGAAATTTATTTAATAATTTATCAATATCATACTATACTGTAACTTTCTTCAGTGACAATCTGATTTAATATATTCTTATATCTATAAATATAAAAAGGTATAAATTTAATAGTTGCACAGCATTACATTGAAGAGTTGGAATTATTCAACTATTTGCTTCTGTTAAAAATTTAAGGTTTTTTCAAAGCCTTATTTATACAAATATCAATTTAATTAATATTGTTTTATTAAAAATGTGATTTAAATATTTGTTTAATTATTGCCTGGTCCATTTAGCTGAATTGTCTCCTTAATTCTAACATGTTTTACCTGATGTGTTAGGCTGTTCTTGCATTGCTATAAGGAAATACCTGAGGCCGGGTAATTTGTAAAGAAAAGAGGTTTAATTGACTCCTGTTTCTGCAGGCTGTACAAGCATGGTGCTGGCATTTGCTTGGCTTCTGGGAAAGCCTCAAGGAGATTTTACTCACAGCAGAAGGCAAAGCAGAAGCAAGCATATCACATTGTAAGAGTACCAGCAAGAAAAAGAGGGAGGAGTTGCCACACACTTTTAAACAACCAGTTCTCCAGAGAACTAATTGCCTATTGCAAGGATAGCACCAAGCCATGAGGAATCCATCCTCATGATCCAGTCATCTCCCACCAAGCCCCATCTCCATCACTAGTAATCACATTCTAATATGAGATTTAGAGGGCACAAATATCCAAACTATATCACATGACTTTTGGGAATTTTATCTATTGGAAATAATATCTATAAACATTAATATTGGACTATTTTTCATTCTAATACTTATATTTTATTTCCTATTACAGTGGTATCAAGGTGGCTAAAATGCCCAAAACAATATAGAGTGATAATGGTTAAACAAGTATACTTGTTAAGTGTCTAAGTTAATAGAAATAATGAGATGTTATTTGCTTAATTATTAGAGGATTACAGTTTTGTGCTTAAATTTCTGTATATATAATGAACATGTGTTTCTATTCCCAAGTCAAATAGCATTTTTATTAAGGATGTTGTGTTTTTTAAAGGTTATTCTCTGTAGTTATAACAACTTCTCTCTCTCTCTCCCTGTCTTTCTTACTCTTAAATATGATGATACAATTTAAATAATGGAATTATTTATATGCAAACATATTAGGTCACTTTGCACGTATCATTCAATTTAAGAGTAAGTTTTGCCTAGGGGAATTTGCTTATATATGTGTTTTTGTGTACATGCCTCTGTGTGGAATAGTGTTAGTGTGTGAATTATATTTCTGAAGTTTAGTACTAGTAACTGCTAAAATGTTAGCTATATGAGTCTGAATACAATATAAGATGTTTTTTGTACTCTTTAACAATATTTCTACCTCTTCAAAACTGATTTGTCCTGATATTTTTGGAAGCTTTCTTCTAATTTATTTTCCTATTACTTACATGAGAGGTTATCTATACTTTCGTGAGTCTATTTTTCTTAGATATACTTATACAAGCATGTATTTTGAAATTTTCTAATTTCATAGCATTAAATTGTATCTTATATTCTTTTACCATTTTTAAAAATCTAACATTTTTTCTATATTTTATTGTACTAAATAAATATAACATAAACTTAACATTTTAACCATTTTAAATGTATAATTCAGTAGCATTAAATACATTCATAATATTGTGCAACCATCACCATGCATAGGCATAACACTTTCCATCTTTTAAAATGTAACTCTCTATCTATTAAACAGTAATTCCCCATATCTACCCCTGACCCCTCAGGCCCTTGAAACCATCATTTTTTTTCTGTTTTTATAATTTTGCCTAGTCTAATTAGTTCATATGAATGAAATCACACAATAATTGTCTTTTTGTGACTGGCTTATTTCACTTAGCTAAAGGTTCATCCATCTTTTAATAAGCATTAGAATTTCTGTCCTTCAGTAAGGCTCAGTAATATTCCATTGTATGTATATACCACTTTTTGCTTATCCATTTTTCCCTCAATGGACATTTAGGTTGCTTCTACATTTTAGCTGTTGTGAATAATGCTGTTATAAACATAAATGTGCAAATATCTCTTTTAGACACTATATTCAGTTGTTTTGGGAGTATACCCAGTAGTGAAAATGCTAGAGCATATGGTAATTCTATTTTCAATTTCTTCAGTAACTACCATATTGTTTTTCAGAGCAACTGTACCATTTTGCACACCTATGAAGAGTTAACAAGAGTTTCTCTTTTTCTACATTCTAATCAAAGTTTGTTCTTTTCTTTTCTTTTTTTTAATTATCTAAAAGGGCATGAGGGCATGAGGTTGTATCATGTAGTTTTGATTTGCATTTTCCTAGTGATTAGTGATGTTGAACATGTTTATATGTGCTTTTTGTCTATTTGCTTATCTTCTTTGAAGAAATGTCTATTTAAGTCCTTTGTACATTTTTGAATTAGGTTCTTTGTTATTTTTGTTGTTGTTGTTAAATTTTAGAAGTTCTTTATATAGTTTAGGTATAAATCCCTTATCAGATACATAATTCACAAATATTTTCTCCCATTTGTGGGCTGCGTTTTTACACTGCTGATAGTAACTTTTGATGTATAATTTTTTTTAAATTTTCTTGAAGTCCTATTTGTCTATTTTTTGTTTTCTTACCTGTGCCTTGGTGTCATAGCTAATAAATTTCTACCAAGTTCAATGTGAAGATTTTGCCCTGCTTCATTCTAAGAGTTTTATAATTTTAGGTCTTATATTCAGATCTTTGATCCTTTTTGAGCTAATTTTTGAATATATTGAGGTCCAACTTTATTGTTCAGTATGTGTATATCTAATTTTTTCAGCATCATTTATTGAAAGACTGTCCTTTCCATATCGAATTTCCTTGGAACTTTTAATCAAAAACCATTTGATCATATACATGAGGGTTCCTTTCTGGGCTCTGTATTCTATTCCATTGGTCTATATGTCTGCCTTTATGCCAGTTCTGTACTGACTGTTTTGATTATAGGAGTTTTGTAGTCACTCTTAAAAATCAGCAAATATCTTTCAGCGATATTCTCCTTTACTCAAGATTGTTTTGGCTATTAAGGGTCCTTAGAGATCACATACATTTTAAGATGTTTTTCTCCTTTTTACAAAAAGAAAAGTCAGTGGAATTTTGATAGGGATTGCATTGAAACTGTAGATGTTTTGGGTAGTATTGATATCTTAACAATATTACATCTTTGAACACAGGATGCATTACCATTTAGTTATGTCTTTTAAATTTATTTCAGCAATGTTTTTAGTTTAAATTGTACAAGTCTTTCACCTCTTGGTTAAGCTAATTTCTAGTTTTCATATTCTTTTGATGCCATTATAAATGGAATTATTTAAATAATTTTCTTTTCATATGGGTCATTGTAATATAATATATAAAATGTAGCCAGTTTGTGTGTTGTCTCTGTATTATGCTGCTTTGCTCAATTTATTTATTATTTTTAAGAGTTTTTGTGGAATAATTAGGCTTTCTACATAAAAGATCATGTCAAATGTGAGTAAAGATAATTTTACTTCGTTTTCAATTCAGATGCCTTCCATTTATTTATCTTGCTGAAATGCTCTGGCTAGAACTTCTAGCACCAGATTAAATAGAAATGGTGAAAGTAGGCATCTTTACCTTTCCTGATCTTAGAAGGAAAGCTTTCAGTCATTCACTGTTGACTCTAACGTTTGCTTTGGGTTTTTCATATGTGGCTTGATTTTTATTATGCTGAGGTATGTTTCTTATATTTTACTCAACTCGTTTTTGGAGTATTTTTATAATAAAAGGGTGTTGAATTTGTCAAATGCTTTTTCTCAAACAATTTAGATGATCATGCTGTTTTTTAAAAAAATGTATTGATATAGGGTATTGTATTGATTTATTATTGTATGCTGAACCATTATTGCATTCCAAAATCAAATCCCACTTAAACATGGAGCATAATGTTTTTGATATGCTGCTGAATTCAATTTGCTACTATTATGCTAAGATTTTTTGCATCAATATTCATAAAGAATATTGGCCTGTAGTTTTTTTCTTGCAGTGTCTCTGCATGGCTTTTTTAATCAGAGTAATGCTGGCCTAATAGAGTGAATTAGGAAGTGCTCCCTTCTATTCAGTTATTTGGAAAAGTTTGAAAAGTGTTGGTATTAATTCTTCTTTAAATTCTTCATAGAATTCACCAGTGCAGCCATCAGGTACAGGGCTTCTCGTCGTAAAGAAATTTTTGATTACTGACTTGTCTCCTTGCTAGTTATAGGTCTATTTATATTTTAAATTTCTTTATGATTTAGTCTTGGTAGATTTTTGTGTATCTAGAAATTTGTACAATTCATCTAAGCTATCTAATTTTTTGGATCAGTTCTCTCTTAAAATGCTCTTCAGTTTTTTTGGAATTGGTAGTACTGTTCCCATTTTCATTTCTGACCTCAGTAATCTGAGTAAATTTCTTTCACATTACTTTTTGTGTATATTCTCTAGATATTTTCTTTCTGTTTACCATGAGATTACATTTTACATCTTCAAGTTATAACACTATAAATCTACCAGTTGAACTTGAAAACATACAAAACTCTGGTTCTTTAAAACTCCATCCCCACATCTTTTGATTGTTGTTGTGACAAAATTAAGTCTTTATACATTATGTTCCCCAAAATATAAACTCTTTAGTAAAAAAGCATTAGTCTCTTAAATTAAGTAGAAAAGGAAGTGTGGAGTTACACCCTAAAGTTACAATAATACAAGCTTTTATACAAATATTTTTAAAAAATGTTTTAGTATCTTAAATCATCTAGAAAACAAAAACTTGAGTTGCAAACCATGGTTACAATATTAGCTTTTATAATTTCCCATGTATACCATAATTGAGATATTTATTTCCTCATACAACTTTGAATTATTGTCTAGTATTCGTTTATTTTCTCCTCCAGGACTCCCTTGAGCATTTCATGTAGGGCAGGCCTGTGGGAAACAAAGTCCTTCAGCTTTTGTTTATCTGGGAAAGTTTCACAGTCTGTGTCTTTTAATTGGGGCATTTAGCCCACTTACATTTAAGGCTAATATTGCTATGTGTGAATTTGATACTGTCATCATGATGCTAGCTGGTTATTTTGCACACCAGTTGATGCAGTGTCTTCACAGTGTTACTGGTCTTTATATTTTGGTGTGTTTTTGCAGTGGCTGGTACCAGGTTTTCTTTTCCATATTTAGTGCTTCCTTCAGGAGCTCTTGCAAGGCAGGCCTGGTGGTGACAAAATCCCTCATCATTTGCTTGTGTGGAAAGGATTTTATTTCTCCTTCCCTTATGAAACTTAGTATGGCTGGATATGAAATTCTGGGTTGAAAATTCTTTTATTTAAGAATGTTGAATATTGACCCTCACTCTCTTCTGGCTTATGGAGTTTCTGCTGAGAGATCTGCTGTTAGTCTGATGGGCTTCCCTTTGTAGGTGACCTTTCTCTCTGGCTGCCCTTAATATTTTATCCTTAATTTTACCTTGGAGAATCTGATGATTATGTGTCTTGGGGTTGCTCTTCTCTCTGATTATCTTAGCGATGTTTTCTGTATTTCCTGAATATGAATGTTGGCTTGTCTTGCTAGGTTGGGGAATTTCTTCCAGATAATATCCTGAGGTGGGTTTTCCAACTTGGTTCCATGCTCCCTATCGCTTACAAGTACTCCACTAAATCATAGGTTCAGTCTTTTTATATAGTCCCACATTCCTCAGACATTTGATTTGTTCCTTTTCATTCTTTATTCTCTCATCTTGTCTGCATGCCTCATTTCAGCAAGATGGTCTTCAAATTCTGACATCCTTTCTTCTGCTTGATCGATTTGGCTATTGATACTTGTGTATGTTTGACAAAGTTCTAGTGCTGTGTTTTTCAGCTCCATCCGATCATTTATGTTCCTCTCTAAACAGGTTATTCTAGTTAGCAACTCCTGTAACCTTTTATCAAGGTTCTTAGCTTCTTTGCATTGGGTTAGAACACGCTCCTTTAGCTCAGTGGAGTTTGTTAATACCCATCTTCCAAAGCCTGCTTCTGTCAATTTGTTCATCTCATCCTCCATTCAGTTCTGTGCCCTTGCTGGAAAAGTAATGTGATCATTTGGAGAAGAAGCATTCTGGCTTTTGGAATTTTCAGTGTTTTTGCATTGGTTTTCCTCATCTTCATGGATTTATCTACCCGTTGATCTTTGAGGCTGTTGTTGATCTTTGGGTGGGGATTTGTGGGTGGGGGGGGGTTGTCTTTTTTGTTGTTGGTGGTGGTGTTGTTGCTTTTGGTTTGTTAGTTTTTCTTCTAACAGTAAGGCCCCTCTTCTGAAGGTCTGCTGCAGTTTGCTGAGGGTCCACACCAGACCCTGTTCACCTGGGTATCACCAGGTGAACTGCAGAGGCTGCAGAACAGCAAAGATTTCTGCCTGCTCCTTCCCCTAAAAGCTTCGTCCCAGAGGGGCACTGGCCTGATGTCAGCTGTATGAGGTGTCTGTCGACCCCTGTTGGGAGGTCTCTCCCAGTCAGGAGGCACCGGGTCAGATACCTGCTTGAGGAGGCAGTCAGTCCCTTAGCAGAGCTGGTGCTCTGTGCTGGGAGAATCCCCCTCGTCAGGATCAGCCACTCTCTTCAGAAATGGCAAGCAGCAAAGATTAAATCCGTTGAACCTGAAACCGCAGCTGTCCCTACCCCCAGGTGCTCTGACCCAGGGAGATGAGAGTTCTGTCTGTAAGCCCCTGACTGGAACTGCTGGATTTCCTGCAGAGATGCCTTGCCCAATGAGGAAGAATCTAGAGAAGCAGTCTGGCCACAGCCGCTTTGCTACGCTTTGGTGAATTCTGCCGAGTCCAAACCTCCCAGTCTCCTTAGCACTGTCAGGGGAAAATTGCCTACCAAAGCCACAGTAATGGTGGTTGCCACTTTCTCCACCAAACTCAGTCATCCAAGCCAGACTCCAGACTGCTCTGCTGGCAGTGAGAATTTCAAGCCAGTCGTTCTTAGCTTGCTTGGCTTTATGGGAGTGGGACCTGCCAGTAAGACCACTTGGCTTCCTGGCTTCAGCGGCCTTTCTAAAGGACAGGATGTTTTTCCTGTCTCACTGGAGTTCCAGACGCTGCTGGAGTTTATATATAAACAGCTGCAGCTCAGTGCCTGCCCAAACAGCTGCCTTGTTTTGTGATTGAAACCCGGAGCCCTGGTGGTATAGGCTCAGGAGGTAATCTCCTGATCGGCAAATTGAAAAAACAAATTGTGGGAAAAGCATAGTACCCCTCAGGAGTAGCAGTGCCTCACGGCTTCCCTTGGCTGGGGGAGGGAGATCCCCCGGCTCAGTGCACTTCCCACGTGAAGTGATGCCCTACCCTGCTTCTGCTCCCTGAGTTGCACCCACTGCCTAAGCAGTCCCAGTGAGATGAACTGAGTACCTCAGTTAGAAATGCAGGAATCACTGGTTTTCTGCGTTGGTTTTGCTGGGAGATCCAGACCAGAGCTGTTTCTACTCTGCCATCTTGGCCCCTCCCACCAAATATTTTTTTACAGGTTTTGTTTTGTTTTGTTTTGCTTTTTTCTCATTCTGTGTCTTTTCCTGGGCTTGTGTTTTCACTTTGTAATTTTTTCTGTATATGCAGTTACTTCTAAATGTTATAGCCTTTAACGTCTGACTTCCAAAAGGAAAAAAAAAACATAGAAAAAAAATGAAAATTGGTGGACAAGGGCATGAGTCCCCTCTAAATTCCTTGGTAATTCAGCCAAAGTGGGAGGCCCTGGCAAAAGTGGCGGTAGATGCAACAACACTGATCACTTGCTTCTTTTCTATGTCTTTGTGATCAGAAGGAACAACCCAAAATCAGAGTACAGATCTCTGATTTTTGAAAAGTCTCCTTTTTGGCCACCTGGTTCCTGCATGCTGTAAATCCAAGCCTTTCCCTGGAAGTTTCAAGCCTTCAAAAGACTCCAGAGTTCCAAAGTAGTTATATCAGACTGTGATTCTGTCAATGTCACCATTGTCTATGTGGGGAGAGAGATTCCTGGTGCTCCCTCCTCTGCTGTATTCCCATAGCCTTTCTCCAAAAGCTAACATCTTTAAGGAGTATCTCTATCATGTGATATTATGTCATTTATGCTAATTTTTTTGTTTGTTTGTTGTTTGAGACGGAGTTCCACTCTGTTGCCCAGGCTGTAGTACAGTGGCGTGATCTCCGCTCACTGCAGCCTCCACCCCCCAGGTTCAAGTGATTCTCCTTCCTCAGCCTCAGGAGTAGCTGGGATTACAGGTGTGCTCCACCATGTCCGTCTACTTTTTGTATTTTTAGTAGAGACAAGGTTTCACCATGTTGGCCAGGCTGGTTTCCAATTCCTAGCCTTAAGTAATTTGCCCTCTTTATTGCCCTCGTAGGTGTCCCAATATGCTGGGATTACAGGAGTGAGCCACTGCACCTGGACTAATTTATGCTATGTTTTTACATTTACTTTAATCTTTCCAAATAGTTGTACATTTTATTGGAGTTTTTAAAAATAAATGTATAATTTATTTTATGATGTTACTCATTTTATGTCTCTGAAACTATTTGTTCACATTACACAATATCTTACTTTTCACTCAATTTTATTATTTTGAGAATTGTGATTATAGTGTCTTTACACTAAAATTTCTCATATTCACCCTTTATTTCTCACTATTTAATATTTATATAGCATAGCAAAAGCTTAATAAATATTTAAAGTATTTTTGTGGTTAATAATTGGAAAAACAGGAAGAGTCCAGGAAAATATATGCTGAAATAGATATCATGTTAGTTAATGTTATATGTCAAATTTACTGGGTTAAGAGAGGCCCAGAAGGCTGGTGTAAAACTATTTCTCAATGTTTTGGTCTCCTTACAGACGTAAGGAGAATTCCAGAGGAGATGATTAGCATCTTAATCATTAGACTGAGTAAAGAACTAATGTGGGCAGGAATCATCCAATCCATTGAGGGCGTTCCTGGAGTAGAACAACAAACAACAACAACAGCAACAACAACAACAACAAAAACAGAGAAAGGGTGAAAGTACTCTCTTTTCTCGAGCTGGCACATTTATTTTCTGCCCTCCAACAGAGCTCTTGGCTCTTTGTTCTTTGGACTTCAGGATTTACATCAGCGTCCCCTTGGTTCTCAAGCCATCAGCTGGGGTCTTGGAATTATACCATTAGCTCCTCTAGTTCACAATCCTTTGGGCTCAGAATAATCACTAGCTCTCCTGGTTCTCCAGTTTTTGGAAAGCATACCATGGGACTTCTCAGTCTCCATAATCATATGAGCCAATCCACATAATAAATATCCTCTTATATGTTCATATATATCCTATCGATTTTGTTTCTTTCATAAAACAAATTTGCAATTGGGGAAAAAGTGGTCTGTAAAAAGCATTTCAATACTGAAAAGTTTATTCTTATTGAATATTGTATTATGTTTTAAGTGTTTATGGTAGAGAAGCATAACTATATTGCTAGTGAAACCCTATTATGAAAGGTAAAAATAAATAAATATTTTAATATTTTGAAATTTGAAAAAAATTATCTCCACTTATTCCTTAATCTATTTCTGTTGATCACTGCTCTAGGCTTTAATTGACAAAATGGGATTTGAGACCCAGATAATTAACTTTATATTCTGTGTATTCTTGTTCAATATTCTTTTTAGTTTTTGTTTGTAACCATATATATATTTAATAAAGTTCATTTAAACATTTTTTACTCTATTGATGTTTATCACCCTAATTCTTTTCTACTGTTTAATTATTGATTGTAATTACCCCTTGTTTATCAACATTGCTTCTTAAATTTCTTTGGCTTTTCAAAGAGTGTTATTCTGTCTGAATTATTTCATTCTAGGAAATATTTCCTCTTGTTTTCATTGAAAGAAACCAATTCTATAGTCAGATGAGGAATTCCAGGGTCATAATTTTTGTCTTTAAAATTGTGTGCCAGCAATGACTTTCAGATATATTTGGCACAGAGAGAATTGATAATAGTCTGATATTTTCCTTAGAGTTCCCCATATATGCGTATAATAGGTGGATGAGGAGGATCATATTTTATAGATGTACCTTAAATGACATGGGATGAGGGAGATTCTGGGTAGGAAGTAGAGTCTGTAAGCTCTAGCCTAGTTCTAGTTTCATAAAAGCTTACTATAACGTAAATCAGATATCATCCCACGTAATAAAAACACCATACCAAGTTTCCTCATGTGGTAGGCAGAATTTTAAGATTGTTCCTGTAATTTCCAACCCCTGATGTTTAGCTCTTCATTTAATTCAAGCCCTCGACCTTCTTTCTTTATTTTTTGACAGTAGAATTTCTTCTATTATGAGTCAGCTTACTAGTGGTGGTATATACTTCTGTCTCTCAGCTTAGGTCTGTGGCAGTTTAAACATATGCATATTATACAAGTTACTCTATTTCTGGCTACCAGAGTTTCCCAAGATTCCCCCAGCATCATCCATTCAGTATTTTGTGGTTCTGTATGTCCTGGGATTAAACACATGAATGCTATTCTTACTCCACTTACAACATTGAAGTTTTCTGGGAGTTGTTGTCTCTAAATTACTTGGATAGGAAAGAATAAATGCAAAATTCAACAGGATAAATGTTACTTAATTT
This sequence comes from Homo sapiens, assembly GCF_000001405.40. Taxonomy (NCBI): domain Eukaryota; kingdom Metazoa; phylum Chordata; class Mammalia; order Primates; family Hominidae; genus Homo; species Homo sapiens. Next base: position 60,038,088 of record NC_000004.12, read on the forward strand.
TCTAGATGGTGCATCTATTTCTGAAATATAGGTGCATATTTGGAGTAAAATCAAGGTTCTTTATTTGCTTTTAGCTAGAGATGTTGATTTGCTTTCTATTTATGTCATCTATTATTATACTTTCTATTCCAATTTTTAAATCTTGTGTTCATTTGATAATTTTCTAATGCTCACAAAATATATTTATAAAATTATCTTATTCATTCATTCAAAAATGATGGTCTCTACAAATGACAAATATTTGATATTTTGTATAACATCAATATCTTCATTAAAGCCTTTCTGGCCTGCCATATTTGCAAAGATGTTGGCCAACATCAGTATCAAGAGCCTCATCTGCAATGTAGCAGCTGGTGGAGCTGCCCCAGCAGCAGGTGCTACACTGGTAGGAGATACTACCCCTTCCTCAGCTACTGCTGAAGCTAGGGAGAAGAAAGGAGAACAAAGAGAGGAATATGAGGAGTCCTACCATAACGTGGGCTTCAGGCTTTTTGACTAAACTTCTGTTGTAACATTTCAATAAAGAGCTGAACTCTATAATAAAATAGAATGAGGTTTGGAGAAGTGGAGGCTGAGTGGTAATATGTAGTTAGAAGTTACACTATGTACACAAAACTTGAGATGTAAGAAGACAAGATTTAGTAATGTTACTGCAACTAAAGAACATGTGAGGTAAAGGCAAGAAAGACAGGGTCCAAATGGTAAAACCCAAATAGATTTACATTTGTCTTATGTCAATTGTATATGTGTACAAATAAGATTTTAGTACCTATAAAGAAGTCATACATATAATTTTTTAATTCCTTAAAGTAAACGGTTTTGCAATTATGTAAGTTCCACTAAAATCTCAATTAATGCTCAAAAAGGAAAAAAATTGAATTGCAGGCAATTTACAAAATAGCTACTATTACTTATTAGATGAGTCAGTATATATATTTGTAGGTATGGTATATGTGCTGTATGTGCATAGCTATGTATGCATATGTTTGTGTGCCTATGTATGTGTCTATATGTGTATGTGTCTATATATATGTATAAACATAATTTTTAATGGCTTTTTATACCAATGACCTGATACCTTATGCCAGTAATCATGAATAGTCATTATTGGACAGTAATCCTTAGACCAGCAGGATTAGCAGAGTCTAGAAATTTGTTACCAATGCATATTATCAGCCTGTACTATACACTTCAGACTGCTGAATTAGAAACTGTAGGGATTGATTGGCTGGGTGCAGTGGCTCATGTCTGTAATCCCAGCACTTGGGGAGGCTGAGGTGGGTGGATCACAAAGTAAGGAGATAGAGACCATCCTGGCCAACATGGTGAAAATACAAAAATTAGCTGGGTGTGGTGGCATGTACCTGTTGATCTAGTAATCATCCTTTAATAAACCTTACATTTGATTATATGCATATAAACTTTTAAGAACCACCGATTTAAAAAACATCATTTGTAGTATATTTTTCATATAAGAGAAATATTGATAAGAAACTTTTAGGGGTTTTTAAATAAGAGTATTTTCTCTGACCATTTTGAGGCAAAATCAGGTACTTTAGGGAGATTGTTGCCTTTGCCGTTTCTAGGTGACAGACACTAAGACATGACATTACCATTAATAAATGTAGTATAATTTAAAAATTATAGGAAACAAGTCAGGTAGACAAAGGAAAATGTATTTTGCAACTGATACACTTTTATTTTCAAAACTAGAGGACTTAATTTCCAAGCACTTATATGAGAAAAAGATTGGTGAAAAAAAAAAAGTTAGTATGAATAAAATGAAAATCTAGGATCCAGATTCTTACTATATGTGGCATTAATATACTATTTTTTTGAAATATACCACATTCCATAATGCTAATATATAAAATAGTACTGTTTAAAGAATACACCACTGGGACTGCCCTGAGTAAGACAGCACACAGCACTGGGTCTCACTCAAGGTCTGTTGTAACCACTCTCTGGCTAGCACCTATGTTCACTCAAGGCTCTAGCTCTGTACAATCAGCAGCTGGCAAAGTCAGCCACGTTTGTGTCATTCCCTTCAGGGCAGAAATTTCCCCCAGGTCCTGGGCAGGTCCAGAGATGCTGCCTGTGAGCCAGGGATTGGAGTAAAAAACCTTAGAAACATACCTTATGTTCTATTCTACTGCAGCCAAACTGGTACTCAAACCACAATATAAACTCTTTCCAGCTCTTTCCTTCCCTTTCCGCAGGCAGAGGGGCCTATTGCTGCAGCCACCACCACCATTGGCTCATGAGGGGTTCTGCCAGGCTACTCCTGATGTTCACTTAAAGCCCAAGAGCTCTTCCTTCAGTTCGTGGTGAATGCTGCCAGGCTTGGTACTCACCCTTCAGGGCAGTGGGATCTCCTCTGGCCCAGGGCAGGTCCAGAAATGCTGTCCAAGATCCTTGATCTGGGCTTGGAGATTGCAAGTTCCTGCTTATGGCTCTACCCTTCTGTGGCCAAGCTGGTACCTAACTTGCAAGACAAAGTCCTTTTTAATTTTTTCTCTGCTTTTTCCAAACAGAAGGAATCTTTCACCGTAGCCACCACAGCTAGGAGTGTGCTAGGTCACACCTGAAGCCAGCAGGTCTCAGAGCCCAAGGCCCATGGCTTACTGCCTGCATATCACTATTGGTTATTCAGGGCCCAAGAGCTCTTCAGTCAGCACATAATGAATCCTTTCGGAACTTGGTTCTTCCCTTCAAGGCAGTAGGTAACCTTTTGGCCAAAGGTGTGCCTAGACATGTTATCCATGAGCTAGGGCCTGGAATGGGAGTCTCACAACTCTTATTGGTGGCCTATCCTACTGTGGTTGAGCTGGTATTGAAGATAGAAGACAAAGTCCTCTACTCTTTTCTCTCCCCACTTTTAAGCAGAAGGAAAGAATTACTTGTATTGCTGCAAGCTGCACTGCCTAGTGTTGAGGGAAGGGTGGTACAAGCACTTCCTTAGCTGCCCTGGCCAGTGTCTCCCTCGGTCACGTGGCACCCTCGTCCATTGACTCTGAGCCCAGCCCAGCACTAGTAGTCGCCTAGGAATTACAGTCTTTGCGTGTCCGGAATTGGTGGGTTCTTGGTCTCACTGACTTCCAGAATGAAGCCGCGGACCCTCGCAGTGAGTATTACAGTTCTTAAAGATGATGTGTCCGGAGTTTGTCCTTCTGATGTTCAGACGTGTTCAGAGTTTCTTCCTTCTGGTGGGTTCGTGGTCTCACTGGCTTCAAGAGTGAAGCTGTAGACCTTCGTGGTGAGTGTTACAGCTCTTAAGGTGGCACGTCTGGAGTCGTTCGTTCCTCCCGTCCCGAGTTGTTGATTCCTCCCTGTGGGTTCGTGGTCTTGCTGGCTTCAGAAGTGAAGCTGTTGACCTTAGCAGTCAGTGTTACAGCTCATAAAGGCAGTGTGGACCCAAAGAGTGAGCAGCAGCAAGATTTATTGCAAAAACCAAAAGAACAAAGCTTCCACTGTGTGGAAAAGGAGCCAAGCAGGTTTCCGCGGCTGGCTCCTGCAGCATGCTTTTATTCCCCTATCTGGCCCCACCCACATCCTGCTGATTGGTCCATTTTACAGAAAGCTGGTTGCTCCATTTTACAGAGAGCTGATTGGTCTGTTTTACAGAGAGCTGATTGGTCCATTTTGACAGGGTGCTGATTGGTGTGTTTACAATCCCTGAGCTAGACACAGAATGCTGATTGGTGCATTTACAATCATCTAGCTAGACATAAAAGTTCTCCAAGTCCCCACTAGATTAGTTAGACACGGAGCACTGATTGGTGCATTTACAAACCTTAAGCTAGACACAGAGTGCTGATTGGTGGGTTTACAATCCCTGAGCTAGACACAGAGTGCTGATTGGTGCATTTACAATCCTCCAGATAGACACAAAAGTTTTCCAACTCCCCACTACATTAGCTAGACACAGAGTGCTGCTTGGTGCATTTACAATCCCTGTGCTAGACACAGAGTGCTGATTGGTGCATTTACAATCCTCTAGCTAGACATAAAAGTTCTCCAAGTCCCCACCTGACTCAGGAGCCCAGCTGGTTTCGCCTAGTGGAACCCTTGCCTAGTGGATCCCGCACCAGGGCTGTGGGCAGAGCTGCCTGCCGGTCCTGCACTGTGAGCCCACACTCCTCAGCCCTTGGGCAGTGGATGGGACCAGGCACCATGGAGCAGGGGGCAGTGCCCGTCCGGGAGGCTCAGGCCATGCCGGAGCCCACGGGGTGGGGGGGTCTGGCATGGCGGCCTGCAGGTCTGGAGCCCTGCCCCATGGGGAGGTGGCTGAGGCCCAGTGAGAATTCGAGTGTGGAGCGGGCAGGTCAGCAGTGCTGGGGGACCCACCGCACCCTCTGCAGCTGCTGGCCCGGTTGCTAAGCCCCTCACTGCCCTGGGCCGGCGGCTCCAGCTGGCTGCTCCAAGTGCAGGGCCAGCTGAGCCAGTGCCCACCTGGAACTCACGCTGGCCTGCGAGCGCTGTGCACAACCCCGGTTCCCACCCATGCCTCTCCCTCCACACCTCCCTGCAAGCAGAGGGAGCCAGCTCCTGCCTCAGCCAGCCCAGGGAGGGGCTCCCACAGTGCAGCGGTGGGCTGAAGGGCTCCCCAAGCATGAATAGAGTGGATGCCGTGGCCTGAGGAGGTGCCGAGAGCAAGCGAGGGCTGCTAGCATGTTGTCAGCTCTCACTTGTGTCTTACAGCGCCTTTCAAGTGGAGCTAGGACTCTAGGGCACTATGGCCCGTGGTGGTAAGGCTTTTCAAGAAACTGAATCCAATTGCTAGGATGGATGATTCCCCACTAGCTAAGGCTGGTCCAAATGCTCCTTCCATGAATGAGCACTGGCTGAGTTTAGCACAACTTTGCTCTCAGTTGTGACAGGGCAACACTGAGTTCAATGTAAAGTCCCCACTGTGCTCTCCCTCCCCCAAATGCACAGACACTTTATGCTACAGGCTGCTGTTGGGGGTGGAGGAGGAGTGGCGTTAGTTATTTAAGACTGTCTTTCCTACCCACTTCAATGACTCTTTCCTCTATATCAGCTTAAAACCAGGCACTGTGATGACTCATCTGAATTGGATTCTTGTGGAAGTGCTTTTCTGTATGCAGGTCGTTGTTAAAATTTGGTGTTCCTGCAGGGGAAAGAAACAGTGTAGGCTCCTATTCTGCCATCTTGCTCTGCCTTAATTTTTATTTTAGATTCAGGGTGTACATATGCAGTTTCATTGCATGGGTATATTGCCTAATGCTGATATTTGAGTTATGAATAATCCCATCACCCAGATAGTGAGCATAGTACCCAATATCTGCTAGAAGCTTTATTTTTTTTAGATATGCAGGTCAGTGGCCATTTTTTTGAGAAATTGTATCTTCTGACATTTAGTTCTATCTTTCTATTTGCTGTTGCTGCTTTTAGAAAGAATTTAGTTGATACATTGTCTCTTTTTATATATTTTGCCTTTTATTCTAGTTTCCTTCAAAATATTCTCCTTGTATTAGAAATTCTATAGGTTTACCAAAATATCTTTACATGTTAATTTTTTATTTCACCACATCCTGTGTTTTTGTATCTATTAATTTATATCTTTCATCATATTTTGACAATTCTAATCATTGTATCATCAAATATTCCATTTCCTGCATTTTCTTTAGTCAGTCTTTCTTACATTATGATTTGATTTGCTTCAGGTATTTTTCTATACTTATTTTTCTTCCCTTTGTGTTTTTAATTTCTAGTACTCTGTGATACATTCTAGATAATTTATGTAATTTGGTCTTCTTGTTTACCAATCATCTCTTCAGCTATATCTAGTCTTCTGTTTAGTTCATGCATCTAATTTTAAATTTTACTCTAGAATTTTTATTTGGCTTTTCTTCAAATCTGGCCAGTCATTTTAAAATAATAAACCTCTATTTTTCAGAAATACAGTTAGTACCACCTCGTATTTATTTAAATATGGGAATATACCTAAAGACTTATTTCATCTTACCATTTTTGGGTTGACAGGTATCAGCCATGGGACATGGGCTGAGGCTGCAGTGACTTGGAGGTTCAATTGAGTTGAAATATTCAAGATAGTTTACTCACATATCTGGCAGTTTATACTCCTTGTTGATTGGAACTAAGCTTGGACCACTGACCAGAGCAACTCCATGTGGCCTCTATATATGGCTTGGTTCTGTGCTTTCTAAGCTCATGGTGAGTGTGTTTTACAAGGTCACATTCTTAAAACAAGTATTCTAATATCTTGAAAATAATTTTAATTAAAATGTAAATAAAATTTGCCTCTTGTCCTCAACAAAATTACAATTCTTGATTCCTTTTATAAATAAAGTGGATGCTTAATAAATTAAGATGAATGAATAAAAATAATTTCAAAACACAAAAAGACAACTATTGAAACTGCGATGTAATTAAACATCTGGATTAAAGGGGAAATTATTGTGAATTTTATTTATATTTTTATAAAGATTATTGGTAGTTCTGATAATGCCTAGCAGATAATTCCTTTTTGATTCATATAATCACTGATTGATTAATGCTTTCATGAAAGGTTTTGTTTATTGCCAGATCAAATGTAGCCAGCAATAAACCTTTCTTTATGATCAGTGTAAATTTGTTTCCTTAAGTCCTTCTTTCTCTTTTATATATTTGTGAAGGAATTCTGGAGTGCTTATTAACAAAAAACATTAATTTTCTCAATTGAGGTTCTATTACTATAAGATCATCAATATCTACATTGTAAATTTTGGGGGGATAAAAGAGAAAGTTTGCTTTATATTTGATCTAATTTTAAGCAAAACTATGGACATTTTGATCATTTAAATAACAAATTTTTATGAAAATCAAATATATGACAGGCACTGTGATAGTCATTGGGGATACCCAAATAAACAAGACCAGTAAAATCATTCCTCTTAATGGAGTTTTATTTTAGAGAGTGAAACAAACACAAACTTAAATATGAGAATAGATAAAATTTAAGACTGTGATGTGTTAGGAAGAAGCAGGATGATGAATGGATAGGTATCTCTCTGTCCCTTATCTATCTATCTAATCCACCTGTAACATACTAGGAATAGTCTATTTAAATGGGTGAAATTTAAGGATAAAGGCTAAAAATAATATTGAATGAGCTGAGTCAGGTGAAGAACTAGGAAAAACTATATCAGGCAGAAGAAAATCTGCTAATGATAGAAACTGTTAGGTGGGGATTAAAATAAATGAATTACAGCTCAAATATTATGCATCTTTAAATCTACCATGTCCACAATATTTATTTGAAGGCAGAGAATTATCTTACTAAAAAATTGAAAAATTGTAGTAGAAAATAATTGAAAATCTAAATATTAAATTACATATTCACTGAGATATTTTTAAATTGTTATTTTGCATTTAATTTTTTTTCTGTAATTTCTAACTTTTTTTTTTTTTAGATGGAGTCTCACTGTGTCACCCAGGCTGGAGTGTAGTGACACAATCTCACTTTACTACAACCTCTGCCTCCCAGGTTCAAGCTATTCTCCTGCTTCTTACTCCCAAGTGGCTGGGACTACAAGTGCACGTCACCATGCCCAGCTAATTTTTGTAATTTTAGTAGACACGGGTTTCACTGTGTTGGCCAGACTGGCCTCAAATTCCTTTTCTCAGGTAATCTGCCTGCGTCGGCCTTCCAAAGTGAATTTCTAACTTTCAAACGACATTAGTTTCATGGCTACAATTCTTTGTCCTGACAGTTTTTATAATAGTAATTAGCAAATTTATTGCAAAATAAGAAAATGATTATTAACACAAAAAAGTTCAGTAAAGGACAATTATGTAAAGCAGTATGATTTTCTTTCTTAATAGAAACACGTGCTCGGAATTGTAATGTCACATTTTATTTAAATGATTTAGCACTCATTTAGTAGAGTAATATTGACCTTAAATTTTTAAATTCTTTTTTTCTTTTATTTTTAATTTAATTTTATTACTATTATACTTTAAGTTTTAGGGTACATGTGCACAATGTGCAGGTTAGTTACATATGTATACATGTGCCATGCTGGTGTGCTGCACCCATTAACTCGTCATTTAGCATTAGGTATATCTCCTAATGCTATCCCTCCCCCCTCCCCCCACCCCACAACAGTCCACAGAGTGTGATGTTCCCCTTCCTGTGTCCATGTGTTCTCATTGTTCAATTCCCACCTATGAGTGAGAATATGCGGTGTTTGGTTTTTTGTTTTTGCGATAGTTTACTGAGAATGATGATTTCCAATTTCATCCATGTCCCTACAAAGGACATGAGCTCATCATTTTTTATGGCTGCATAGTATTCCATGGTGTATATGTGCCACATTTTCTTAATCCAGTCTATCATTGTTGGATATTTGGGTTGGTTCCAAGTCTTTGCTATTGTGAATAGTGCCACAGTAAACATACGTGTGCATGTGTCTTTATACCAGCATGATTTATAGTCCTTTGGGTATATACCCAGTAATGGGATGGCTGAGTCCAATGGTATTTCTAGTTCTAGATCCCTGAGGAATCACCACACTGACTTCCACAATGGTTGAACTAGTTTACAGTCCCACCAACAGTGTAAAAGTGTTCCTATTTGTCCACATCCTCTCCAGCACCTGTTGTTTCCTGACTTTTTAATGATTGCCATTCTAACTGGTGTGAGATGGTATCTCATTGTGGTTTTGATTTGCATTTCTGTGATAGCCAGTGATGGTGAGCATTTTTTCATGTGTTTTTTGGCTGCATAAATGTCTTCTTTTGAGAAGTGTCTGTTCATGTCCTTTGCCCACTTTTTGATGGGGTTGTTTGTTTTTTTCTTGTAAATTTGTTTGAGTTCATTGTAGATTCTGGATATTAGCCCTTTGTCAGGTGAGTAGTTTGCAAAAATTTTCTCCCATTTTGTAGGTTGCCTGTTCACTCTGATGGTAGTTTCTTTTGCTGTGCAGAAGCTCTTTAGTTTAATTAGATCCCATTTGTCAATTTGGGCTTTTGTTGCCATTGCTTTTGGTGTTTTAGACATGAAGTCCTTGCCCGTGCCTATGTCCTGAATGGTAATACCTAGGTTTTCTTCTAGCGTTTTTATGGTTTTAGGTCTAACGTTTAAGTCTTTAATCCATCTTGAATTAATTTTTGTATAAGGTGTAAGGAAGGGATCCAGTTTCAGCTTTCTACATATGGCTAACCAGTTTTCCCAGCACCATTTATTAAATAGGGAATCCTTTCCCCATTGCTTGTTTTTCTCAGGTTTGTCAAAGATCAGATAGTTGTAGATATGTGGCGTTATTTCTGAGGGCTCTGTTCTGTTCCATTGATCTATATCTCTGTTTTGGTACCAGTACCATGCTGTTTTGTTTACTGTAGCCTTGTATTATAGTTTGAAGTCAGGTGCCGTGATGCCTCCAGCTTTGTTCTTTTGGCTTAGGATTGACTTGGTGATGCGGGCTTTTTTTTGGTTCTATGTGAACTTTAAAGTAGTTTTTTCCAATTCTGTGAAGAAAGTCATTGGTAGCTTGATGGGGATGGCATTGAATCTATACATTACCTTGGGCAGTATGGCCATTTTCACCATATTGATTCTTCCTACCCATGAGCATGGAATGTTCTTCCATTTGTTTGTATCCTCTTTTATTTCGTTGAGCAGTGGTTTGTAGTTCTCCTTGAAGAGGTCCTTCACATCCCTTGTAAGTTGGATTCCGAGGTATTTTATTCTCTTTAAAGCAATTGTGAATGGGAGTTCACTCATGATTTGGCTCTCTGTTTGTCTGTTATTGCTGTATAAGAATGCTTGTAATTTTTGTACATTGATTTTGTATCCTGAGACTTTGCTGAAGTTGCTTATCAACTTAAGGAGATTTTGGGCTGAGACAATGGGATTTTCTAGATATACAATCATGTCATCTGCAAACAGGGATAATTTGACTTCCTCTTTTCCTAATTGAATACCCTTTATTTCCTTCTCCTGCCTAATTGCCCTGGCCAGAACTTCCAACACTATGTTGAATAGGAGTGGTGAGAGAGGGCATCCCTGTCTTGTGCCAGTTTTCAAAGGGAATACTTCCAGTTTTTGCCCATTCAGTATGACATTGGCTGTGGGTTTGTCATAGATAGCTCTTATTATTTTGAGATACATCCCATCAATAGCTAATTTATTGAGAGTTTTTAGCGTGAAGGGTCGTTGAATTTTGTCAAAGGCCTTTCTGCATCTATTGAGATAATCATGTGGTTTTTGTTTTTGGTTCTGTTTATATGCTGGATTACATTTATTGATTTTCGTATGTTGAACCAGCCTTGCCTCCCAAGGATGAAGCCCACTTGATCATGGTGGATAAGCTTTTTGATGTGCTGCTGGATTTGGTTTGCCAGTATTTTACTGGTGATTTTTGCATCAATGTTCATCAAAGATATTGGTCTAAAATTCTCTTTTTTGGTTGTGTCTCTGCCCAGCTTTGGTATCAGGATGATGCTGGCCTCATAAAATGAGTTAGGGAGGATTCCCTCTTTTTCTATTGATTGGAATAGTTTCAAAAGGAATGGTACCAGTTCCTCCTTGTACCTCTGGTAGAATTCGACTGTGAATCCATCTGGTCCTGGACTCCTTTTGGTTGGCAAGCTATTGATTATTGCCACAATTTCAGATCCTGTTATTGGTCTATTCAGAGATTTAACTTCTTCCTGGTTTAGTATTGAGAGGGTGTATGTGTCAAGGAATTTATCAATTTCCTCTAGATTTTCTAGTTTATTTGCATAGAGGTGTTTGTAGTATTCTCTGATGGTAGTTTGTATTTTTGTGGGATCAGTGGTGATATCCTCTTTATCATTTTTTATTGCGTCTATTTGATTCTTCTCTCTTTTCTTCTTTTTTAGTCTTGCTGGCGGTCTATCAATTTTGTTGATCCTTTCAAAAAACCAGCTCCTGGATTCATTAATTTTTTGAAGGGTTTTTTGTGTCTCTATTTCCTTCAGTTCTGCTCTGATTTTAGTTATTTCTTGCCTTCTGCTAGCTTTTGAATGTGTTTGCTCTTGCTTTTCTAGTTCTTTTAATTTGATGTTAGGGTGTCAATTTTGGATCTTTCCTGCTTTCTCTTGTGGGCATTTAGTGCTATAAGTTTCCCTCTACACACTGCTTTGAATGTGTCCCAGAGATTCTGGTATGTTGTGTCTTTGTTCTCGTTGGTTTGAAAGAACATCTTTATTTCTGCCTTCATTTCGTTATGTACCCAGTAGTCATTCAGGAGCAGGTTGTTCAGTTTCCATGTAGTTGAGCGGTTTTGAGTGAGTTTCTTAATCCTGAGTTCTAGTCTGATTGCACTGTGGTCTGAGAGACAGTTTGTTATAATGTCTGATCTTTTACATTTGCTGAGGAGAGCTTTACTTCCAACTATGTGGTCAGTTTTGGAATAGGTGTGGTGTGGTGCTGAAAGGAATGTATATTCTGTTGATTTGGGGTGGAGAGTTCTGTAGATGTCTATTAGGTCCACTTGGTGCAGAGCTGAATTCAATTCCTGGGTATCCTTATTAACTTTCCGTCTCGTTGATCTGTCTAATGTTGACAGTGGGGTGTTAAAGTCTCCCATTATTATTGTGTGGGAGTCTAAGTCTCTTTGTAGGTCACTCAGGACTTGCTTTATGAATCTGGGTGCTTCTGTATTGGGTGCATGTATATTTAGGATAGTTAGCTCTTCTTGTTGAATTGATCCCTTTACCATTATGTAATGGCCTTCTTTGTCTCTTTTGATCTTTATGGGTTTAAAGTCTGTTTTATCAGAGACTAGGATTGCAACCCCTGCTTTTTTTGTTTTCCATTTGCTTGGTAGATCTTCCTCCATCCTTTTATTTTGAGCCTATGTGTGTCTCTGCACGTGAGATGGGTTTTCTGAATACAGCACACTGATGGGTCTTCACTGTTTATCCAATTTGCCAGTCTGTGTCTTTTAATTGGAGCACTTAGTCCATTTACATTTAAAGTTAATATTGTTATGTGTGAATTTGATCCTGTCATTATGATGTTAGCTGGTTATTTTGCTCATTAGTTGAGGCAGTTTCTTCCTAGCCTTGATGGTCTTTACAATTTGGCATGATTTTGCAGTGGCTGGTACTGGTTGTTCCTTTCCATGTTTAGTGCTTCCTTCAGGAGCTCTTTTAGGGCAGGCCTTGTGGTGACAAAATCTTTCAACATTTGCTTGCCTATAAAGTATTTTATTTCTCCTTCACTTATGAAACTTAGTTTGGCTGGATATGGAATTCTGGGTTGAACATTCTTTTGTTTAAGAATGTTGAATATCGGCCCCCACTCGCTTCTGGCTTTTAGAGTTTCTGCCGAGAAATCCGCTGTTAGTCTGATGGGCTTCCCTTTGTGGGTAACCCGACCTTTCTCTCTGGCTGCCCTTAACATTTTTTCCTTCATTTCAACTTTGGTGAATCTGACAGTTATTTGTCTTGGATTTGCTCTTCTCGAGGAGTATCTTTGTGGCGTTCTCTGTATTTCCTGAATCTGAATGTTGGCCTGCCTTGCTAGATTGGGGAAGTTCTCCTGGATAATATCCTGCAGAGTGTTTTCCAACTTGGTTCCATTCTCCCCATCACTTTCCAAATCAGAAGTAGATTTGGTCTTTCACATAGTCCCATATTTCTTGGAGGCTTTGTTCGTTTCTTTTTATTCTTTTTTCTCTAAACTTCCCTTCTCACTTCATTTCATTCATTTCATCTTCCATTGCTGATACCCTTTCTTCCAGTTGATTGCATTGGCTCCTGAGGCTTCTGCATTCTTCATGTAGTTCTTGAGCCTTGGCTTTCAGCTCCATCAGCTCCTTTAAGCACTTCTCTGTATTGGTTATTCTAGCTATACATTCGTCTAAATTTTTTTCAAAGTTTTCAACTTCTTTGCCTTTGGTTTGAATTTCCTCCTGTAGCTCGGAGTATTTTTAATCATCTTTGTGTAATACATAGTTACAGTAATGACTTCCAAAGTGACATTCAATCAAAAGTATAATGAATTCCACGTTTTTTTAACCACTTAAATATTCTTATGAATCATCATAGTGTATGGACTTTACAACTAGAGATTTGTTGTATAGCTTAATTATGCCATGCATTAGTCATATGTCTCAAATATTGTACATACATATCTTAAATCTCTTCTGCATGCTCACTCCTGCTTTCTGTTAAGAAAAAAGTTAAAACATACAGTTTAAAAAAGAGAAAATCTATTAGGTTTGTCAAAAAAACCCACAAATATTGACTATTTAGCTACTGAGGAATTGTAATGTAATTTCCCACAGAACAGTGATCAAGTAGGACCTTCACAATTATATGAAAAAAAGGCTCACATTTTTTGATAGACAACTGGTTGGATTTAATATGTAATATCATTGACTGGTCAAATTTAATATATAATACACAAAGTTATAGGGGTATTCCCCTCAATGTAATGATATAATTTCCAAATTCCCACTGGTAATTTTGATAAAACAGTATTTTCTTTATATAGAAATTGCTTGGCAGAAAAAAATGTGGATTTTCATTTTTATAACAATGCCATCGAGAAATAAAGAAACATACAAAAGTAAGAAAAATCCAAACTAGAAATAGACTAAAGTTTTGTTACCAGCTGAGTCATTAAGATCTTTTAGGCTCCAAATAACTTACTTATCTTATTGAGAAGCCAATAAATCATGAAATATATAAGCAAGGGCTTTGGAAGAAACAAGTTATTTAGATAGGTAAAAAATACTATGAGTAGCAAGTATTTTTCCAAATCTAATGTTTTGTTAATATAAACTTTGTAAATGAAATTTTATATTTTAATAAATTTTTTATATAAAATTTGTAAAAATTTATGTTTTTATTATTTTGTATCAAAGACTTACATTTTTAAATAAAAACAAGCTATAATTATCTTGAAGTTATAAATAGTCATAAAGCTAATTTTTGAATTAATTTTATATTTGAAATTATATTAGTTTAACAATTTTTGTTTCAATTTTTAAACAATAATTTTCTTCATTAGAAAGCCAGGTCTTCTATTATAATAAGAATCAAGCTCAGTCCTAACAATTAAGGTACATTTGAGCCTTATTTACCCACCAAAATATAAAACTAGTCTAACATACATAGCTGAAATTTTTCTAATACAAATGATGGTGTGTCTTAAAGTGGTATGTTCATGCAATTCTAAGCTTTTATAATTTATTTCTTCATGGCTGCCAAGAGCAATATGATCTAGGACTATCAATATTACCATTGTGACCAATAATGTTTGTTTCTTTATTTCAAACTCTGACATTAATAAAAAGATTTTAAACATTTTAAACTTTATTTAAATTATTGTTAGGTAGACGGAACAAAATTAAGTTTTTCCTTAATACTTCTTTTTCATTTTTTATGATTGTATTACCTGGCTTTGAAATCTACTATTTTCTTCTGAAAGAAAATTATCCATCTATCGTACTATTCTTTTTTCAGGCACTTTGTTCTTTTGTGAATCAGAACAAATTATAAAATGATTGTAACTAGACGATAAACTTGTTCATAATCTTCCTGTTGCCCCTAAGAGCTAAGCCTCCACTGTTGTAAGATAACACCAGGAAGTCTTACTATAAGCTATGTTGGGTAAACAGATTCACAAGATTTTTAAATGATCTTACAAAAATCGTATTGAATTCTATATACTCAATTTGTATGTTCCATTTCTGGACATTATTTGCACGAAGATGAGTGAGTGACTTCACTTCAGCACTTCCTTGTGCACCTGTAGATGAGTTTCCCTTTGGGAATATTGTTCCTAAGACTTTAGGAAGCCATTCAAATAATCAACCGTAAATGATATAATGCACACAGATAAAAGCTCATGTGTCTCCTTTAAGAAGTTACAGGTTCATGAAAGCATAATGGTAATGCTTAGATAATTCTTAGACAAATGTAAGCAGAGTAGGAAATAAAATCATCAATTACTCTCCTAATCCAACACTGCCATTATTCTAGAACAAATGCATTTATTTTTTAATCCATAAAGATATTTGAAATGTTTCATCTAATTTAGTTGTTCTGAAAACAAAACAAACAACTGTAACAAAACTTAGTTGTTTGAACTGAATGAAAAACGGTAGAAGAGAATTTACCAGTCCCAATTCAGGCTGATTGTGTTTGTCAGGATTCTCCATAGATGCAAAACAAATGGGACATATATATATCAAGAGGGAGCTAGAAAAATTTATTTTGAAGAATTGGTTCACAAAATTGTGGAAGATGGCAGGTCCAGAATCTTCAGAGCAGGTTGGCAGTTCGTAAATTTTGGAAGGGGTTGATGTAGTCTTGAGTCCAAAGGAGGTCTGGAACAGAATTACTTTTTCTTTGGGGGACCTCATTCTTTGAACTTAACGTCTTCCCTTGATGGGATGAGGCTCACACATATTATAATGGGTAATCTGTTTTACTCGAAGTCTACTTATTACATTGTTAATCACATGGAAAGAATATTTTAACAGCAACATCTAGACTGCTGTTTTGATCATACACTGGGTGCCATAGCCTAGGCAAGTTGAAATATAAATGAGCCATCACTGTGGTTTATGAAACTGTAAACAAAATACTTCAGGGAATATGTGAAAGGCCAATCATTGTATCATTGTTAAGACTGCTCAAATGACACTATCTCAAATATCTATCAATCAAGATATTTGTTGACTATTAAAATACACTAAACCAATAAAAGACCATACATACATAAAAAGAAGAAAGAAGCTAGCCAAATACAGATATGGAAAGATCTCCAAAATATGCTGTCCTATGAAAATGAAGGATAGAACAATATGTTTAACATGGTAAATTTTGTTTAAAAGGGAGGGGTAAAAGTACATATTCAAATGTGCTGGTATGTATAGAAAAATCTAAGGAAAGATGCAATCCAAACATGAAAATATTTTACTGTGTTCTGAGGGGATGTGTATGTGGACTCTAAGCAGATATCAAAGAGGATCAGATATTGATTGGACAGTGCACGGAGGATAAAATATATGAATAAAGGATGGAGAGAAGAAAATAAACAGAGGATAACGTGCAAATTGAAGTTATAACTGATATATCTTATTATATCATGTGATTGTCGACTTTTCAAAGAAAATTGTAGATATAAAAATAATAGAAAATATTTCTTTAAAGAAACTCTTAGGGCTTTTAATTTCTTCTAACATGCATTCAATTTCACTTTATGAATTTTGAAATAATAAGTAATTCAAGTAACATGAATGTCTGACTTCAGACATAAAATTTGAAATGATGTAAAAATACCAGTAAATGCTTTATTGGTTCTCATGTCTTTATACATTTTAAGTATTCTTTAAGGAGTAAAAACTATAGTTTTACAGACCACCAAAGTCTTTACGATTTTATAGAAACTATTTTTCATTTTTCTTCTTTCAGATTACACACACACACACACATACACACACACGCACACATACACACACAGATTTAAATGATAGTCAAGCCTTAGGTACATCAGCTTGGTTCGTATGTTCAGAGCTTGCATTCATCCCAGTGTAGTAAAAGGATAAAAGGTTGCTTTATAGGAAAACTTTAAATTATAGCCACCTGTTGAAAGTTCTAGAAACTTCTAGTCACCACTTACGCGAAAATTTTTTCTTTCTTACCTTACAATTTGTTTTGTGGAGAAATAAATGTTATCATGTCTTTTATGCTTTGATAAGTCCTTGATAAGTTATCAAGTCATTTTGAAACAGAACACATTTAGATATTTAGCAAAATACTTTTTGAGTGGATATAGGCATTTTTATGTGTGTATGTGTGGATAAATACACATGTATAAATACAGAAGAAAAAGGGCCTCAAATAATAGATCTGAAAAAATAAAACTTTCAATTATAGTTTTAATATGCTTAAAGTTAACCTTTGTCAACAAAATGGCTTAGTAACAATGTTGAAGAATTTTACCATTACTACCATACATCAAAATAGGCAAATAGGCAAGAATATATCAAAATAGTTGCAATGTTTGGAAGACAAATTTTGAATCAGTGCTTTGTCACCATGGCAGAATTTATAAATTATTACAGTTTTAGGGATAACTAGAAGGGGTCCACACAATAAGAAAGATGTTAGGATATCATCTTATGAATCTGGGGTTCCATCCTAGAAACAAATGGAATGGATGATAGTAGGAGTCATGTGCAGAACCTCTAGAATGATAACTTCAGAGGCCTGCAATATTATATTATCACATGAGACAATAGAAAATAATGTCTCATGATAGTATCATTGTCATGAAATATAACAGCTATCATTTCTATTCTTTGTCTCTAACATGCAGACAAATAAGTGAAAAATGTATTGGTTAATGTTGTAAAAGTATTTTTTCCTCGACACCCGGTAATTTTGAAAGAACTGTGCATAAGCAGTAAAGCTCAATAAACCAGAACTTGAAAATTCAGAATTTTTGGTAACTTGATCTTGTTAATTTGGCCTTAGTTTTTAATGATTTGTAAAAACTATTTTGTCGAACAACTAAGAAATATTAAAATGATTATTACAATTATGCTTTCCTGTAAACTAATTCATACTTTTGTGAAATGAAAGTTTCTTGACTGGCCTTTCAAATACTGAAGTGGGGCTTGGGGCACAACCATTAATAATAATAATATAATTATAATAACAACAATAATAATCTCTTATTTGGAATAGATGAAATGCCATGCATCTTAGTGAAATGTGGAAATTTCGAAGTATTTTAACAACCATTATCTGCACATAAGTAATCACTGTATGAATTATAAAACTTACCCATATTTGTTATTGTACAATTTGCAACCATTGATAATCTTGCTCCTAAACATCTCGGATTTAACACAAGTTAAATTCCCACAAAAACATACATAATAGTCTTCCCATTATTAGGTGGCTTAAACTTATGTTTTCTTACATCCTTCAGGAAATTACTCATATTTTACAAATAACAAAACAGAAATAAAGTTTTTATAGTATGGTTCCTCATTTTTGGCTTTATTGACATTTTAGACCGTATAATTCTTGGTGTGAGGGCTGAACAGTGTATTATAGGACGTTTAGTAGGATCTGTGGCCTCTACCCACCAATAACATCATCCCCAAGTTGTGACAACCAAAAATGTTTCTAGACATTAACAAATGTTACCTGAGAGTAAAATCACTCCCAATTAGAACCACTGTTTATAGTCATAAATCTACTTTAAAGAAAATGTGAGTGCTCTCTTATGATGTTTAATAAAGTAAGAATTAGAAATTTAAGAGGAGACATATTCTTATGGATAATATGTGTTATATGAATACAAAAACTATTCTCTCATAAAACAATTTGTAAAGATGAGTAAGATATGAACAAGACTATCAAATATTGGGATTAATTTCACATGGAACACTATAACCCTACATTTCTTTCAAGTGAAAATAGAACAATTATCTACTTAGCTCATATACTTACCCATAAAATTAGCATCAGCATATATCAAATAACTGAAATCATACATGATATGTACTAAAATGTGACAAATTTGGGCACCAAAATAAGTAGTGATTGTAATATGTAATCGTCCAGAAAATAAAATAAGAGTCAGAAATTATATATCAAATATGTGAATCGGGTCGGATGAAAGTTCTTCTTACAGGTGAATGCCAATTTATGTTATATTGAACACAGCAAATTATCAATAGATTCTAAAACTAATGTAATAACATTTGATGACAAATATGATATCAAAACTATGTAGTTTCAAACTATATTCCCACATATTATTTATTAATTACAATGAGAAAAATTATTTTACAGTGGAAAGTCTTAGCATATGCTACTTTATGTAAGTGATCACTTGATGCCGCCAATATTAGGATATCACCACCACGTACATACTGATAGGATGCACTGAGAAGTATACAACATCACTTGGGTTGTATTCCTGTCAAAAATGTAAAACCTAAATCTAACCATGAAGAAACTTCAGACAAAACCAAATTGAGGAACATTCTACAAAATCACCAGTCTGCAGTCTTTGTGAAGTGACTGGAACATGGCATTTAACATCCATGAAAGAAAAATGTTCCGGAGTAAAAGAGACTAAAGACAAATAATCACTAAATGCAATATGTCACTGTGAAATGAATTCAGGACAAGGATAAGAAAAAAGTCTGCAAAAGACATTATTAAAAAAAATTGATCACTGATAATATATTTGAATATAGACTGTTGATTATGTAACAGTATCTTAAAAATGTTTAATTTTCTAATTTGAGTATTTTACTGTGGTTATGTAAGAAAATGTGTTTTTTCTTAGGAAATACACACTGAAGTTTTTAGTGGTAAAGAAAAACAGTATCTCCAACTTACTCAAATAGTTTATAATTTTTTTATGTTAAAATAATAACAAAATAAAAAGTTACAAAATATGAGGATTACAAATATAGATTATTGAATTAATTTCAATTTTTTAAAATTAAATATTCATATTTACAAATCCAGAATACACTTGCTCTTAGTGAAGTTTTAGGAACAATAAAAATAGATTGACAGTGGTTTCTACTGACAAGAGTGTTAACTCTTCATAAGCTACTTGGTAATCTCTAATGAGTTCAAGTTATGTGAGTCAATGTTTCTGTCATTTGAATCTTTATGTTAATCCAGAAAAAGTTGTTATCGAAGCTGATAAAAGTAGACTCCATCATTTCTAATGTTTCTTTTTTATTTAACTGTTAGAGCAATGATGATTAATTTTTAATTCAGTGTAGGTTTTCTATTTTTAGGTGTTTTCATACTATGCTGCATTTTATCGGATAACTGATTTTGAGTACTCCTTGTCTGTTTCATTGACATAGTGATAGTTCCTGAATCTTATGGATGCAGTGAATAGCCAGAAACACAACCTAGCACATAATAAGTTATTACCAACTGTTATTATATAGAAGTAGTATATGTGGTTTTCCGAACTGAAGTCAGGCTGCCTCAAGTTCAGCTTTGTAACTTCTTAGTGAATGACTTACTCTCTTTCCATCAGTTTCCCCATATCTAACGTACAAACAGTAATACTATCTACCTCTTGGGGTTATTATGTGAATAAAATCATTAAATATTTATAAAATATTTAGAACATCACATAGAAAATGGTATAAAGTCATTACATTAAATAATAATGATGATAATATTTCATCAATCACAGGCTAATATATGTTGCATGTGTGTTTCTTCACTTTCCTTTGGCCAGCTCAGCTAATTGTAGCAACAGTATCTCAGCAGAAGCCATATTACTTTAGAGTAATCTATTTGCGTATAGCCCTTTTAACTTTACATAAAACACTTGTATAGTCCCTTAGGGATATTAGACATCTGTACTGCACTAGTTTTCACCACCTGAAAAAAGAGAACTGCTTTATTTGGTTCCTTTTGCTACAGAGTTTCTTATTTTTAATAGCTCTTTGCAACTGCTAATATATTATTTTGCTGAAGAAATCCTATACTCAATTTATGATGAGTGTAAATTTCACCCAATGTATTTAAATTTTTGTTTTAATAGCTATCTCAATATTATGCAATTAATTCAATGTCTGTAAAATGTATGCAAACAATCAAAGAATGAAAGAAAATCAACTTAATAGGTGTTATAATAGTCAGCCCTTTTTTTTTTTTTTTTTTTTTTTTTTTTGAGACAGAGTCTCGCTCTTTCGCCCAGGCTGGAGTGCAGTGGCGCTATCTTGGCTCACTGCAAGCTCCGCCTCCCGGGTTCACGCCATTCTCCTGCCTCAGCCTCCCAAGTAGCTGGGACTATAGGCGCCCGCCACGGCGCCCAGCTAATTTTTTGTATTTTGAGTAGAGACGGGGTTTCACCGTGTTAGCCAGGATGGTCTCGATCTCCTGACCTCGTGATCCGCCCGCCTCAGCTACCCAAAGTGCTGGGATTACAGGCGTGAGCCACCGCACCCGGCCAGGCAGCTCTTAAAGATAGTCCTTAGTGATGTCTACCTTTTGATGTTCACACCCTTATATAATTCCCTCTCCATGAGTGTGAGCCAGTTACTTCTAACCAATAGAATACCACAGTGGTGAGAGAAGATACAACTTTCACTGCTAGGTTAGGAAAGGTCGTGGCTTTTATATCTTGTTAGCAGACCTGCTCCATTTCTTTCTTGGCTTGCCTGCTTTCATGAAACAAGCTGCCATGCTGGAGGGGCCCACTCAGCAAAAAACTAAGGACAAACGTGGCCCAACACACCACTAGGAACTGGTTTTTCTAGTATCTTTGTCCAATTAAGCGTTGAGATGGCTATGGCCCAGCCAATACCTTGATTGCAGCTCGTGAGACACGCTGCAGTAGAGAACCCTGTAAAGCTGTGCCAAGATATCTCATCCCAGAATGTGAAATAATACACGCATGTTTTATTGAGCCTTTAAATTTTGGGGTAATTTGTTATGTGGAAATAATGAATGCAGTATTTTAATCATAAAATATGCAAAGGGCCATCTTAGAATGCATTTGGCTGTTATAGGATACAATTCTTCAACAGATAAATATGTATAATGTCTTCTTTCCCTTAAGAATAATTATTTCCTAAAAACAGATTTACTCAGTAGAACACAAAAACTCCAAAGTAATTTCAAATCAGTTTGACAACTATTTTATTAATTTCCTCTCACATAGTTCAGAATCAAAAAATGAAATTTTGGTTTAAAACCAACATTTTTATAATCTATACAATCAAAGCTTTTGCTGCAGAATTCAGTTATTAATGGGAGTCTGTATTTTTCAGGAAAATAAACAGAGTTTTCCAAACCTACAAGCTTAACATCTAGAATATGTAACTTGGCCTTTTTAAAGATTTAAGAACCCTTTGGAGCTGAGTCAGTTCTGAACCTGAAACTGCCCTTGGATTTTGGGGGACCACAGTACTACTGGATTTGTAGTTTTTAGACAATCCAAGGTTACAGGATATTGGATGAGTTCTTACTACAGAAAGGGCGACCTTGCTTGTGACTTCTGTTTACACTGCTCACATTCATATGGGGTGTTACCAAAATTATCCCAAGGAGGAAAGTTTAAATATGTGGATATCTGATTTCTAATTTTTTAAAATTCTTCTTAGGTATTTTTCACTATGGTTTCCCTTATATTATTGCCACTGTGAAGGACAATTCATCTCATAAAGCTTTTAGTTTACCTCTTAATGAACTGATTTTATGCCTTAGGTACTTCCTGCAAGATAGCTCAATCCACCTCACAACTAAATATGCTTAACTCATGCATTATTCTAAAAAAAAATTCTTCCTGGATGTTGAAACTGTTATATTCATTTTAATATAAAAATAAATTTTCCATAATGATTTTTACATAGGAATTTTAAGTTAGATGTACAGATTAAATTGTATTATGTCATTGTTGCTATATTTCAAAGTGAGTCTCAGAGTGATTCTATATTTTGAAATTTCTCCCTTAAGGATATTAATATAAGGATAATCTAAGCTATAAGTACATTTAAAGAAATTTAGAAAATTAGTTATATTTTAATATAAATTCTGACATTTTATTCTGAGCTCTACACTTGCTTGGCTGTAACATATAATTATTGTGTGCAGGTTTGTGTGTGTGCATGTGTGTGTGTGTTTAACGTGGTTTACTTTGGTTCTTTTGTTAGTTCTCTCATGTACATTTATATGCAATAGACACTTGCAGCAGCCATTATTCTCATATGCAGTAGCAAGACCTTAATTGAATACATAACGGTCTTAATTATTACTCTATATAACCTTTGTCTTAACCTCCTGGGGCTTCCATAACAAAATACCATACACTAGTGGCTTAAGCAACAGATATTTATTTTCTCAAAGTTCTGGAGTCTGGAAGTTCAAGATCAGGGTTTCAGCATCTGCATTTATAAAATAAATGCTTTGTGGAAAACATAAAACAGTTACTTACTTTCGATCAAGATTTAGGTGGGCTCTGCAAAACTCTTAATATTTCTTTGTCATCTTCACTATAATTTAGCTTACTGACCTCTTTAAGTATACTATTCTAAGAAAAGAAAGGTGCTACTGAAACTTTCCTAGACAAATGAGGTAAATGAGCTATAAACAAAGACCGCTCTGCCCTAACTCAAATCGGCTTTCTACAAGAATATGGTTGTTTCAGAGAGCAATTGCTTACAGTTTATAGGGATAATGATAAATTTCTCAGTAACAGAAAAGAACCAGCCTGCTTTTCATTCCAGGATAACAGCATCTGAAGCTATTATCTTTAAGTAATACAATATTTACAAACAATTAATGGTGATTTTTTTAAAAACAGCCCCCAAATTTTCCTATAAATAAGGAAATTCTCATTTTGAGATTTAAAAAGTCCCCATCTAATTTCAGAGTACTTATTCAAGTGTGAATAATTATTGTTTAGATTTAAATAATTTTAAAGATTCTAAAGAGTAAGCAAGGTCTCAAGGGAGAAGAGGTAGGCTCGTAAGTTATAAAAAATCAGGGAGTCATAAAACATACCTGGGAATACAGGACTACATTTTCATATAAAACCATTCATATTTAAACTTTACGGTTAAGAAAAGAGGCCTGGCGCGGTGGCTCACGCCTGTAATCCCAGCACTTTGGGAAGTCAAGGTGGGCAGATCATGAGGTCAAGAGATCAAGACCATCCTGGCTAACACAGTGAAACCCAATCTCTACTAAAAATATAAAAAAATTAGCAAAGTGCGGTGGCAGACGCCGATAGTCCCAGCTACTCTGGAGGCTGAAGCAGGAGAATGGCGTGAACCCGGGAGAAGGAGCTTGCAGTGAGCCAAGATGGAGCCACTGCACTCCAACCTGGGCGACAAAGCAAGACTCTGTCTCAAAAAAAAAAAAAAAAAAGACAAAGAACGGGAAAGATCTCCTGTATGCTAAACATGTGAGAACACATGTTGTTAATATAAAACAGATATAAAGTGAAGAAAGCAACTCAAATTCTATAATTTTAATATTTTCTAAATATTTTCTTATATTTTAGCTTATATATTCTATTTTAATGTTTCTTTTGTAATCCCAAGTAGTAATGTCTATATTTATAAGCTCTGAAATCCTTTTTTAAAAATATTTGCTGAATATATAATATATGTGTATGCATATTTATTCTTTGTAAATTGGCAATGGCTTCCTCTGTGTCTGTGCCTTTTTATGTATTCATTTGTATGTAAATATGCATGTAAATAGTTTAACTGTTGGTTTTTAACAGTACTAAATATAAATATGTAAAATTGCTTTTATTATTATAAAAATAAGTTTTCAACTAACATTATTATACACAAATATATTACTAACTCTGTCACATATATCTAGTAATTTATGAGAATAAGGAATAGAAAAACAATACTTATCTCTTTCACTGTATATGTTTATGCATCTGCATGTTTTTGTGTTTATGTACATGCATTTTATATATTTACTTATTTTTGTATAAATGCTCTTAATTGGTTTATTTCATTTTTTTACTTAATAAAAAATATAAGGGCAGAATGATGAAGGAATATTAATAAACATTTAAGATTTGCTTTCATTCTAAAATATGAAGGTGATAGAAAAATTAGATTATATTCTAATTAAAAATGGCATCCCCAGATAGTACATATGCTTTTAAGTTATATATCCTACATGATACTGTTTTGAAGGAATAAAAAATATACCACTGTGGTATACTGAATATTTGAAATTAAAGGCATATGAAAAACAGCAGGTACAAGAAGAGCACTCTGACTTTAATCCTGTTTCTTAAAAGCAGAAGATGAAATTCCCATGTGAAAGATGTACCATTCTAATAATCAAGGGCAGGAAGTCAAGACAGGGAGAATTCTGTACAGATCTTGTTAAAATAACCCTTATCTTTTAAGCCTCCTTACAAAATGTAGTTGCTTTTTCACGACTTATTATTCGTTGTCCAATTCTGTATGTGACACTAACTGTTCTTTGGGTTTTTGTTTCTTTATGAGGGCTCCCATGCCACATAAAACTTGTATTAAATAAATTTGTATGCTTTTCTCCTATTAATTTCTTTTATGTCAATTTAATTATTGGGCCCAGTTGATACCCTAAGACTAGAAAGATAGAGTATAGCCACCCTTATGGTTTGATATAGATCAAATAAAACTTTCAAAAAATTAATATTTCATATTTGATTTTGATAAAATTTCCTAAATTATATACATCAAAAAGTCTATAAAAACTGTCATTATTTTAGTTATTATTAGTCTGGTTTTTAACACATAACTCCAATTTTTTGCAATTTTTTTCCCATTTTATTTTTACACTTAGTGTTAAGGAAAAGTTGTTAAATGTAATTTTTTTTAATACGTGAAAGGTAGATATCCAGTAATTTTACTAAATACCTATAAGATTAGTTACAAAATAATACTCTATTAGTAACTCCAAATTGCAGACAGAAGAAAATGAATGGAAGCAACTAATTGTCTATAGCATGACATAAACCAATAAAACATGAAAATCCAGTACAAATGTTTGTTTTCTGTTAGTGTCAAATATGCACTGGTTGCTTTACAAAAGAGTATCACCATTAAAATATAGCAACATTTATATGAAAATATTCTGTATATTGAGGCACTATAGTTAATACTTCAGTGAAAGAATCACTGTCTATTCAGCCTATAAGGGCTATTACCTTCCAAGTTTCAAAGAATTAATACTATCCTTAAATTCAACAGCAGTAAGTGTTTCAGCATCATCAACTTTATCAAAGGATAGTCTGACATTAAATGATTGCTTTGTTGTTCTTTTGCTATTATTTATTTTGTTATTGAACTACAGAGTCAACATATTTCATCTGAATTATTACAATAGAGTGTAGATCCATTTACAGTGATTGAGCAATCAATAACTCTTGCAACTGATGTAATACTCTAAAATATTTTTGCATATTATCTTTTTCTAAAGGTATATACACTTTTTTGAATTTCTATTGGCATTAGAGACAGATGAAATCATCATGAAAAAATAAAAAAAATTACAACCATTCTTATTTTGTTTCCAAATTTCAATGCCAAATTTCACCTTTAAAGGATAACTTGCAGCCCCATACTTTACATACTTGTGCTTTGTGGAAGTAGTTTGCAAAATATGCCCTGGCTCCAAGGAGTTAGTATCCTCAGTGTCCACCATGGGAGAAACAGTGTAGGGGATGGACTCGTGAGATGCTGTTACATCATGCCATCTCTTCTCTAATGTGAGCATGTATGTTAAATCTTGGATTTTTCTAGTAACCATTTTTTAAGTAATGGGTTTCTCTAATTCAAACATTTTAAAAGATTTGAAAAAATAATTCCACTGTGGCATATTTTTAGTTTTAAGTTTAAATAGAAAGTAATTTATTTTTTATTGTACAGGGTGTTAGATAATCAGACACTAGCCTTATTTTATAGCATCACACACACATGCACATGCACTAGCTGGAAAAGAAGTTAAGTCTATTCAGGGACACATAGTTTGACTCTTCCATGAGATCAAGGCGTCTTCATTTTTAACCTTCCCTATTCTATTACATTTCATTAAAGAGTTTATATCTATTACTATCTCTTCTACATAAATAATTATATTAGCATAAACAAACTTTGTCTTAGTTCAGGCTGCTATATAAAAGTCCATAGACTAGTGGCTTATAAGCAGCAGAAATTCATTTCTTACGGTTCTGGAATGATGGATGTCTGAGAACTGGGTACCAGCATGGTCAGGTTCTGGTGAGGAGCCTCTTCAGGGATGCAAGCTGAAGACTTCTTTCCAGATCCTCACATGAGGAAAAGAGAGTGAGACAGCTCTCTGGGGTCTCTTTTACAAAGGCACAAATCTCAGTTAAAAGTATTCTACCTTATGACCTAAAGATCCCCCAAAGTCTCTCCTAATACCATCAGATTGGGGATTAGAATTTCCACAGGTAAACTTTAGAGAGAAACAAATATTTAGTTTGCAACAGACTTAATGCCTTCATGATTCAAATCTAAACATCTCTGTATATACCCAGCTTATTTTTTCTAATTAAATGTTATTCTTAGGATTAAATATCTGGGTAATTGTATTGGTTTCTTATTTTACTGTATTTATTCTTATATATGCCTCTATATGATGAAATAATATGTGACATGGAGGAAAAAAGGGAAATAAAACTAATTTTGCCATTAAGCACGAACATGCGGTACATATACTCTATTTCCTCAAATCCACCAATTGAAAAGCATATTATTAATTCATGTACCTTTAGAAAGAAAAAATGAACATTATGAAACTATGACATACGATATACAGTACGATGGATTCTAACTTTAGAGATATTACAATGTTAAATATATTTATCTAGAACAAATCAAATGTAAAAATAATTTCTTTGACTTTTAGAAAAACACCACATAGAAGGCATTATGGGTAACTTTTTTTAAAAATGAGGAAAGTGAGTACAATTTCTGAATAACAATTTCGAGAGCACAGAAGTCACACATAGTATAATCAGAATCCACAGTCACATTTGTCTGGCCCTATGGATTAATCACCTTCTCTTTACAGATTTCTGTTTCTTAAGAGTTCACTGTTAGTGATGCTTTACTATTGTTTCATTTCTGGAAATGCCTTTCATGACCCTTATTTGATAGCTTGCTGTGCCATTATCTATTAAGGGACCATGATGTAATCTATGGTATAACCAAACAATGGATTTCAGCATTTTCTTTACTTATGACCACTGAGAAAAAGATACTACTTTACTAATACAAAATTTCAGTAATTTTTTTTAAAATTCCTTTTCATTATATTTTTGCCATGTAGAGGACTTTGTCTTTATTAGCTTTATGTTGCTTTCACTGTTCGGACAAACTGTCAAAAACTGTGAGACTGAGCAACCAAAGCTGTTTTAATCAATAACCCATACAATTCACAGAATCCAATATAACATGGTTATTGTTATGGCTATTCCTGAAATGAGTGTGAATTAGGTTTTTGTTTTCTTTAATTTTTCTTTTTTTGTTTCTTTTCTTTTCTTTCTTTTTTTTTTTTTTTCTTTTTTTTGGGATAAAGTCTCACTTTTTTGCCCAGGCTGGAGTGCAGTGGTGCCATCTCGGCTCACTGCAACCTCCACCTCCCAGGTTCAAGCAATTCTTCTGCCTCAGACTCCCAAGTAGCTGGAATTACAGGCATCCACCACCATGCCAGGCTAATTTTTGTATTTTTAGTAGAGACAGGGTTTCACCATTTTTGCCAGGCTGGTCTCAACCTCCTGACTTCAAGTGACCTGCATGCCTCGGCCTCCCAATGTGCTGGGATTACAGGAGTGATCTACCTCTCCTGGCCAGTTTTCTTTTTTTAAATAAAGAGATCAGAGAACATTAAATCATTTTTATGAATTTTAACATAAAGTTTATAATCAGGTACTATTTGACATAGTTAAAGAAATAGTAATATTAATGTACTCAATTATTTATTGAATACTTACTCTGAACCAAGACCTAATCTAACTGACTTCTGTCACTATCTTATTAACTCCTCTTAACAAATATAAATGAAGGAAATCACTCTTATTATGCACATTTTTTAGATCTGATAATTAGGGTTCAACAAATAACCTGTTTACACAGTTAAAACTATAAAATTCAGAAATTATACTAGTTTCACAGATCAAGTTTTTAACTGACTCACAGTATTTCTTCACAAGTAATAAGTAGAAGGGGGCTAAAGTGCTCTGGGGTCTTAAGTGAACTTGAAAGGCAGTCTAGGACACAAGGACTACAATTTTTAGGCAAGTCCTGATGCTTTTCTTGGCTTAGAACCAGTGGACTGGGGCAGTGCATGACCTAGAGAGCTGGGAGCAGACACAAGTTGGGGTGGCTGGGGGATTACTGGGGGTGGCTGGGGGACCTAAAGAGCATGACACCAGCTGGGGTGGCTGGGGGTGTGCTTATGCCACCCCTCCCCCAACCCCAGGCAGAGCAGTTCACAGCAACAAAAGTGACATCTTCCTTCTGCTTGATAAGAGGAGAGAGAATAGTAAAAAGAATTTGTCTTGCAACTTGGATACCAACTCAGCCACAGTAGAATAGGAAAGTGGGCAAAGTCAAGAGGCACACATTCAATGCCCTAACTCCCACACAACATTTCCAGACACACCCTGGAATAGAAGGAAACCCACTTCCTTGAATGGAAGGACTCAGTCCTGATGGGATTAATCACTTACTGACTGAAGTACTCATGGGTCCTGAATAACAAACAGTGACAATCAGGTAGTACACTGTGGGCCTTGGGTGAGACTCTGAGATGTGCTGGCTTCAGGTACCAGCTTGGACACAGTAGGGTAGAACACTAAGTGGTCTCCTGGGGTCCTCAAGTCCAGGCATAGGCTCTTGGATAGCATTTTTGGGCTTGCTATGGGCCAGAGGGGAGCCCATTTCCCTGAAAGCTGCATCCCAGCTCAGGCTGCATTCACCACAAGCTGACTGAAGAAAGCTTGGGTCTTAAGTAAACAATGGTGGTAACCTGACATTACTCCCTGTGGGCCTGGGGTGGTGGTGACCATGAGTGAAGTGCCTCTGCTTGTGGAAAGGGGAGGGAAGATTGGAAAGACTGTGTCTTACGGTTCTGAATTGAGTGCCAGCTCAGCCTGAGTACAATAGAAAAACAGGTAGGCTTCTAGGGTTTTTGACTCCGGTTCCTGGCTCCCAGATGACACTTCTGTACCTGCCTGAGACCTGGAGGAACTCACTGCGCTAAAGTGAAAGACACAAACATGGCACAATTTTCAAACTGCTGATTATGGAGCCCTACGGCCTTGAGCAAACATAGGCTGTAGGCAGGTAGTGGTTACAGTGGGCCTTGGGTGAGACCTAGTGTTTTGCTGGCTTCAGGTCTGACTCAGGGAAGTTCCAGTGGTTGTGGTCACAGGGATGCATGCTTCGCCCCATCCCCAGCTCCAGGCAGCTCATTTGTTGATGTCATCTGTTTGACAGAAAGTAAGGGAAGACAAGAGTCTGTCCCTAGTAATAGAGATAATTATTCCAGATCTTATCAAAGACCACCAAGGCACTACCTCTACCAGTCTACAAAACCCACAGCATTTTTGAGCTTAGGTCCCTAGTCCCTTTGAATACCTGAAGAGCCTTCCCAAGAAGGACAGGCATAGATGGTTATGCCCGTGTTGTGAAGACTACAGTAAATATCTAACTCTTCAATACCCAGACACAGGCTAATATCTACAAGTGTCAAGACCATCCAGGAAAATATGACTTCACCAAATGGACAAAATAAGGCATCAGGGGCCAATACAGGAGAAATAAAAATATGTGATCTTTAAGACAGAGAATTCAGATTAGCCATTTTGAGGAAACACAAAGAAATTCAAGATAACAATGAGATGGAAATCAGGATTCTATCAGATACATTTAACAAATAAATCGTAATTCTTATTAAAAAGGATCAAAGAAAAATTCTAGAGTTGAAAAATGCAATTGACCTATGAACGAATGTATCAGAGTCTCTTCAGAGCAGAATTGTTCAAGCAGAAGAAGCAATTAGTGAACTTGAAGACCGACTATTTGAAAATACAGTCAGAGGAGACAAAAGAAAAAAGAATAGAAAACATTGAAACTTGCCTACAAGATCTAGAAAATAGCCTCAAGAGGGTAAATCTAAGAGTTATTGGACTTAAAGAGGAGATAGAGAAAGAGATGGAGGTAGAAAGTTTATTCAAAGAGATAATATTAGAGAATTTTCCAAACCTAGGGAAAGATATCAATATTTAAGTACAAGAAGCTTATAGAACACCAAACAGATATAACCCAAAGAAGACTAACCAAAGGTATTTAATAATCAAATTCCCAACATCAAGGATAAAGAAAGAATCCTAAAAGCATCAAGAGAAAAGAAACAAATACCATACAATGCAACTTCAATGTATCTAGCAGAAGACTTTTCTGTGGAAACCTTACAGGCAAGGAAAGAATGGCATCAAATATTTAAAGTACTTAAGAAAAATAAACACCTTTTTACCCTAGAATAATATATCCAGAGAATTATCCTTAAAAATGAAGGTAAGATAAAGACTTTCCTGACAATAAAAGCTAAGGAATTTTATTGACACTGGACCTGTCCCACAAGAAATGCTGAAGGGAGTACTTCAATCAGAAGAAAAGGACATTAATGAGCAAAAAGAAATCATCTGAAAGCACATAACTCACTGATATTAGTAAGCACACAGAAAAACAAAGACAGACATTGTAATTTTGTGGTGTAAATTAGTTTAATCTTAAGTAGAAAGACTAAGCAAAGAACCAGTCAAAAATATTAACTACAGAAACTTTTCAAGACATAGACAGTATGAGACATAGAAAGAAAAATCAAAAATTAAAATGTGAGGGGATAAAGTGAAATTGTAGAGTTTTTATTAGTTTTCTTTTTGCTTATTTATTAGTGTGTTTATGCAATCAGTGTTAAGTCAATATCAGTTTAAAATAATGGGTTATAAGATATTATGTGCCAGCCTCATGGTAACTTCAAATCAAAAAACATACAACAGATACACAAAAAATAAACACTAAGAAATTAAATTACACTACCAGAAAAAACATCACCTTCACTAAAAGTAAGATGGAAGAAAGAAAAGAAGGAAGCAAAGACCACAAAACAACCAGAAAGCAAATTTAAAATGGCAATTGTTAGTACTTACTTATCAATAATAACATTGACTTGACATTAAGTGGACTAAACACTCTAATCAAAAGACATAGACTAGCTGAATGAATAAAAAAGCAGGACCCAATGATCTGTTGCCTACAAGAAACACATTTCACCTACAAGGATACAGATTGATTGAAAATAAAGGGATGGAAAAGTACATGCCATGCCAATGGAAACCAACAAGGAGCAGAAGTAGCTATTCTTGTACAAAACAAATAGATTTCAAGAAAAAAACTTGTAAGAAGAGACAAAGAAAGTCATTATACAATGATAAAGGAGTCAATTCAGCAAGAGGATTGTCAATTGTTAATATTTTGCACTCAATGCTGGAGTACCCAAATAAATAAAGCAAATATTATTAGAGCTAAAGTGAGAGATAGACTTCAATACAAAAATAGTTGGAGACATCAACACCACCCTTTCAGCACTGGACAGAACTTCCAGACAAGAAATCAACAAAGAAACATTTACTTCCTACACACAACAGAACAAATGGACCTAATAGAGATTTACAGAACATTTCATCTAATGGCTGCAGAGTACACATTATCCTGAACAAGAATTATTATCAACGATAGACCTTATGTTAGGTTAAAAATCAAGTCTTAAAACATTCAAAAATAATATCAAGCATCTTCCTTTTCTGACAACAATGGAAAACAAAACTAGAAATCAATAACGAGAAATTTGGAAACTATACAAATACATGAAAATAAAACAATATGCTCCTGAATGGCCAGGGAGTCAATGAAGAAATAAAGAAAGTAATTGAAAGATTTTCTTGAAATAAATGTTTGGATTCTACCAACATTTAAAGAAAAAAAAATTCTACTCAAAATATTCCTTAACATAGAGGAGGAGAGAATACTTCCAAACTCTGTCTATGAGGACAGTATTACCCTGATACCAAAACCAAAAAAAGCCACATCAATAAAAGAAAACTGGAGGCCAAGATATCTGATGAATATTGAGGCAAATATCCCCAACAAAATATACTGACAGACCAAATTTAACAATACATTAAAAATACCTTAATCAAGTGGGATTTATCCCAGGGATGCAAGATTGGTTCAACATATGGAAATCAATCAATGTGCTACATAATAGCAACAGAATGAGAGACAAAGACAATATGGTAATTATTTCAATTGATGCTGAAAAAGCATTAGATAAAATCCAACATCCTTTCGTGACAAAACCCTGAAAAAACCGGGTATAGAATAAACGTACATCAACATAATAATAGCTACATATGACCTATATCCACAGCTAGTATCATACTGAATGGAGAAAAACTGAAAGCCTTTCCTCCAAGATCTGGAACATAAAAGGATGCTGTCTTTCACCGCTGTTATTGAACATAGTATTGAAAGTCCTAGCTAGAGAAATCAGACAAAATTTTTAAAAAAAGACATCCAAATTGAAAAAGAACTAATAATATTATCCTTGTTTGCAGATGATATGATCCTACATGTGGAAAAAACTAAAAAAAAAAGCTGTTAGAACTGATAAACAAATTCAGTAAAGTTTCAGTATACAAAATCAACATACCAAAATCAGTAGCAGTTCTATGCCAAGAGCAAGCAACCTGAAGAAGAAATTTTAAAATGTTATCCCATTTACAATAGTCACAAATAAAATTAAATTCCTAGGAATTAACTTGACCAGAGTTGAAAGAATTTTACAATATAAACTATAAAACATTGATGAAAGAAATTAAAGGGGATACAAAAAATATAGAAATATTCTGTGTTCATGGATTGGAAGAATCAATATTGTTAAAATGTCCATACGACCCAAAGCAATATACAGCTTCAATGCAATCTCTATCAAAATACCAATGACATCCTTCACAGAAATATTAAAAAAATCCCTAAATTTGTATGGATCCACAAAAGACCCAGAATAATCAAAGCCATCCTGAGCAAAAAGAGCTAAACTGGAGGAATCACATTACTTGACTTCAAATTACACTACAACACTACAGCAACCAAAACAGCATGTACTGACATAAAAACAGATATAAAGAGCAATAAAACAGAATAGAGAACCCAAAAGTAAACCTATACATTTACAGCGAATTCATTTTCCACAAGGGTGCCAAGAACATGCATTGAGGAAAAGACAGTTTCTTTAATAAATGATGCCCAGAAACCTCGATAGCTGTATGCAGAAGAATGAAACTATACCACTATCTCTTACTATATGCAAGAATTAAATCAAGGTGGATTGGCTGGGCACAGTGGCTCATGCCTGTAATCCCAGTACTTTGGGAGGCCGAGGTGGGTGGATCACTTGAGGTCAGGAGTTCGAGACCAGACTGACCAACAGGGAGAAACCCCATCTCAACTAAAAAATACAAAAAAATTAGCTGGGCATGGTGGCGCATGCTTGTAGTCCCAGCTACTTGGGAGGCTGAGGCTGGAGAATCTCTTGAACCCAGGAAGCGGACCTTGTGGTGAGCCAAGATTGTGCCATTGCCCTCCAGCCTGGGCAACAAGAGTGAAACTCCGTCTCAAAAAAAAAAAAATCAAAGTGCATTAAAAACTTAAATCTAAGACCTTAAACTATGACGCTACTACAAGAAAACATTGGGGAAACTGTAGGATACTGGTTTGGGCAAATATGTTTTTTTAGTAACACCCCGGAAGCACAGGCAACCAAAGCAAATATAGACAAATGGGATCACATCAAATTAAAAAGCTTCTGCAGAGCAAAGGATACAGCCAACAAAGTGAAGAGACAACCCACAAAGAAGGAGAAAATATTTACAAACTACCCATCTGACAAAGGGTTAATAACCAGGACATATAAGGAGCTTCATGCGGCTCTATAGGAAAAAAATCTAATAATCCAATTTTAAAAATAGGCAAAATATCTGAATAGACATTTCTCAAAAGAAAACATACATTTCAAACAGGCATATAAAAAGGTGCTCAACTTCACTGATTATCAGAGCAATGCAAATAAAACTACAATGAGATCATATCTCACTCAAATTAAAATGGAGTTTGTCTAACATACAGACAATAGCATGAGGATGAGGATGTGGAGAAAAGAGAATTCTCATACACTGTTGGTGAGAATGTAAATTAGTACAACCACTGTATGAATAATTGTTTGGAGATTCCTCAAAAATCTGAAAATAGAGCTACTATACAATCCAGCAATCCTACTGCTAGGTATATATCCAAAAGAAGGGAAGTCAGAATATTGAGGCGATATCTGCACTTTCATGTTCACTGCAGTGCTATTCACAGTAACTAATATTTAGAAGCAATCTAAGAGCCATTAACAGATGAATGGATAAAGAAAATATGGTACATAAACACAATGGAGTACTATTCAGTCATAAAAATTATGACATCCTGTTATTTGCAACAACATGAATGGAACTGGAAGTTACTAGGTTAAATAAATAACCCAGGCCCAGAAAGACAAACATAACATGTCATCACTTCTTTGTGGTAGGTAAAAATTAAAACAGTTGAACTCATGGAGACAGAGTGGAAGTGTGGTTACCAGAAGCTGGAAAGACTATGAAGGTTGGGGGAAAGTTGAGATGGCTAACGTGTACAAAAAATGTTTAGAAAAAATGAATATTTTATAGTACAACAGGGTAACTTTAGTCAATAATAATTTAATTGTACATTTAAATATAACTAAAAGAGTATAATTAGATTGTTTGTAACACAAGGGATGAATGCTTCAGGGGATGGATACACCATTTCCATGATGTGATTATTACTCATTGCATACATGTATCAAAACATCTCATGTACCCCATAAATATATATACCTACTATGCACCCACAAAAATTAAAAATTAAAATTAATAAAAATTAAAAACCAAATGAAAAAAATTTCACTATACATTCTATTAGTGGTTTAACCACATACTCTCTCAGATAATCATATGACTTTAAACACAGTAATTTGACTGCATATTGTTAGAAAGATATATCCTAATGTTAAGGAATTGCAAAAAAATGCCTCAGTATTCAATGATCATAAATTTAGTAAAAATTTTATTTGTGTTATTTGTAAACTATTATGTATATATAGCAAGACAAATTAAATAATTGAATATGTCAATCTCAAAAATTGAGATATTTAGCAAAATTTAGACATTTTATATTTGTCTCAAAAAAAAGAGAGCTATTTCAAGGAGAGAAAACTGTAGGTCAATATGTCTGATGAATATTGATGCAAATATCCTCAACAAATTACTGACAAACTGAATTCAACAGTACATTTAATAGATCATTCATCATGATCAAGTGGTATTTATCCCAGGGATGCAAGTTTGATTGAACATAAGCAAAACAATCAATGTAATATAAAATAGCAAACAGAATTTGTCTCAAAAAAGAGACAAACATAAAATTAAAGACTTTGAGTAAAAGTATTGCCATCTTAAATTTGACTATAGCAATATGAAATCTTGATGTATGTTACTGTTAAAAAATATTTTTTGTTTCTGTCCACCGACAAATATACAAGCAGTGAGCAACCTTATCCCAATGAGAACCTTTAACAATCAGATTGGAGTATCTAAAGACTATTTCTCACTAAAAGTAACTGGGTCTCTGTGTAGAAATGTTTGATTTTAGATCTGGGACATGAAATGTACAAATGATTCTAAAACATCTTTCATACCATAAAACTAGGATACTAGGCTCATTTCAAAGGATTGAGGAGCTAACTTAAAGAGTTTCATTGGTCAAAGATTGAACAATAATGCCTGCAGTACATTGAAATATGTAAAAATATTAAAATCGATGTGCTTACATTAATACTTTTTAAAAATCTAATTGATCACATTTCGAGGATTCTAGGGCACTAACACATTCTAAATATTGGTAAATGAATGTAATGAATCATTTCTGCATGTCCTGTATAAAATATGTTTGAAGGTAACCACAGGCAATGAGATAAATTTCTTGTTTATAAGAAATTAAAGCTATTAAATGCAAAATAAAAGCTACAATTAAGATATTAATTTTCCCACCTCCTAAGAAAATAGTAGTTCTAGGTGATCACAAACAGCTGCTAAGCAATCACAAGGTAGAAAACCAATAGGGGACCGTTAGGCATTTTTTGTTTTAAGGTTTATTGTGGTGTAATTGACAAATACAAATTGTATATAATTTAAAAAAGAAGAAAGAAATGAATGAATGGACATCAATCTACTCATTTATATAATAAGAAATTTGGTTTAGTTCAATGCTAAGAGTCTTCTTAGTTCCAAAAAGCAGTCAAGTGTTCCTCTACTGAAATATTAGCACTCAGTAGTCGCTTATTGTTGAGCTCCTCAACTCAATCTCCATTGCACATTTTTGTTGTTTTCTTACCTGCCCAAACAGAGACATCTAGGGCAGAGAATATTGTTGTACCTAAATATGTGTCCTTTTCTAATTTTTACCCGACTTTGCTAATAATTAGGCTATATGACTGACATTGTGTAAGAGAATGTTTAGGAAAGCATTAAATTACTTCCAGGTTTTGTACCTAAAGCATCCTGAAGAGTCTCATAGAGCTCTTTGGCTCCTCAGTCTCCTAGACGAAGGGAATCCTTGAGACTATGCCATGAAGGCCCTAGCAGACAAAGCGGCAGCAAAATGAAGGACTTTTAGATTCCTGAGTCAGTGCTTTCATGTGTGACCCAGGAAAGCCACATGACCTGTGTCGGGCTATGATGTAATTAAGAAATAAATCTTTATTGTGTAAGCCACTAAGGTTACTTTTTTAATGGCAACTAGCATTGATTATTGTAATTTATCAGCAAAAATACATTTGTAATTCCTAGACTAGTTTATTTGTAATTTTATTTTAGGCAGAAAAAAAGAGAGTATGTAGACTAGATTCATATTACTTTTTTCTGAGTTCTCCTGTCAGATTTTTTTAAGCATAAGCCTGTGTTATAAATCTGTGTGGTCTTGGATATTATTAATTGAAGAGTAGAAACTATCAAGATTGGTTCAAAGTGATGATAAATCATTTAATTGTTTTCTAAGGCCCACAGTGTATACTAAGAATTTTGTAGATATACCAAGCAAATAACTAAAAACTTAGCATTTAAGATGTTTATTTATCAGTGAGAAGTTACAAATATATGTCCAAATGTATTTCTTTACTCTTCTAGGTGTTTCAGTTTTGCTTTGTTGTGAATAAATCATGTAACACTGAGAAAAGAATATGAAATACATGGGAAGGAGACCATACTATAAGGAAATCTTGCATAATTAATTATCTGCAAGATCGAATATTCTATCTACAAAGCTTGACATATTTTACCCTCTTAGAGCTTAAGGATTAAATTTCTGAGCAGTAATAGGAAATATCTCGTAGGGAGAGAGAAATGCATACACACACACACACACACACACACACACACACACACAGATACATATACATACAAAGAAGTAGGTCTCTGTGTAGAAATATTTGATTTTAGGTCTGGGACATGAAGTGTACAAGATAATTCTGGAACATCTTTCATGTCAGAAAACAAAGATACTATTGTCATGTCAAAGGATTAAGAAGCTAACTTAAAGAGTTTCCTTGGTCAAAGATTGGGCAATAATGCCTGCAGTACATTGAAATATATAAAAATATTAAAATCCATAGATATATATGGGTCATTATTATAATTACTCAAAAAAGCCTTTAAACCTAGTGTACTTAAGCCAATTATATTTAAATCAATTGCTAAAGTGCTTAAAGTTTATTTCCATGTATCTAAAATATTATACTGAATTGACTTTACAATAATCTTTCTTTCAAATATTTCTTTCAAATGAGAGTTCTGACAAAGAAAAAAGAAAGTTGTCTTCTATTTTTAATTATTTATCAATTTGAGGAAATAATCTCAATAAGTTAAAATATTAGCATTTAATTTTTGGTTTCAAATTTCTTTGTTTCATCCTAATATTTCACAGGTCCCTTGATTTGCCTATTATAATGGATAGAGCCAAACTAAAAGAAAGAAAACAGCAAAGGAGAAGGTAAGAAGTAAGAAAGGAAAAAAGGAAGAAAAAAAGTGAAGAAAAAAAGTTAAGAAAAAAAAAAAAAAAAACCAAGGGAGAGAAGAATGAAGAGAAAGACGGAGGTAGAGAGAAGTCTAATATTTTTGTAAGTTTTGTATAGAAAATATCTAGAAACCCAAGTTGTCCATTCAGAAGAAAGCAAATGAAATTACAGAAGAAAACCCAAAAGTTTTAAAACAGTGGTTAAATTTGAAAATATACAAAATCTTGGAAGAAATTCAGAATGGCAGACTTAGGCATATGTTGCATCATGGAACTGAGTAAAGGCTGATTTAGTTACACATTTAAATAAAATACTAGATTCAGGAAAGAGAGACTAAGTGGAACACAGTTCAAAGAGAAAAAAATGTAAGAATGCCTTAAAGAAGAGAAAACTTGAAAGCAACACTATTTTATTCTGTGTTTATTCTTTCTTTTAACTTTTATTTTATGGTCAGAGGTACATGTCCAGGTTTGTAATATAGGTAAACTGTATCATGGGGGTTTGATGTATAGATTATTTCATCACCCAGGTAATATGAATAAAACCGTATAGGTAGTTTTTTTATCCTCTCCCTCCTAGCCCATGTAGGCCCTGTTTTTTGGTGTTTCCCTCTTGTTTCTTAGCTCACATTTATAAGTGAGAACATGTGGTATTCGGTTTTCCGTTCACACGTTAGTTTGCTTAGGATAATGATCTCCGACTCCATCTATGTTCCTACAAAGGACATGATCTCATTAATTTATATGGCTGTATAGTATTCCATGGTGTATACATACCACATTTTCTTTATTCAGTCTATCATTGATGGGAATTTGGGTTGATTCCATGTCTTTGCTATTGTGAATAGTGCTGCAATAAATATATGCATGCTCGTGTCTTTATGGTAGAATGATTTATATTCCTTTGGGTATATATCCAATAATGAGATTGCTAGGTCAAATGGTATTTGGTTTTAAGTTATTTGATGAATTGCCACCTGCTTTCCATTATGGCTAAACTAATTTACATTCCCACAAGTAGTGTATAAGCATTCCCTTTTCTCTGCAACCTTGCCAGCATCTGTTATTTTTTGACTTTTTAATAATAGACATTCCGATTGATGTGAGATGGTATCTTATGGCGGTTTTGATTTGCATTTCTTCAATGATTAGTGATTTTGAACATTTTTTGTGCTTGTTGGCAATATATAATTCTTCTTTTGAAAAGTGTCTGTTCATGTCCTTTGCTCACTTTTTAACGGGGTTGTTTTTTGCTTGTAGGTTTGTGTATAGATCCTGGATATTGGACTTTGTTGGATGCATAGTTTGCAAATATTTTCTCCCATTCTGTAGGTTGTCTATTTACTCTGTTGATAGTTTCTTTCTCTGTGCAGAAGTTCTGTAACTTAATTAGATTCCATTTGTCAATTTTTGGTTTGGGTGCAATTGCTTTTGCTGTCTTTGTCATGAAATCTTTGCTAGGTCTTACATCCAGAATTGCATTTCCTAGGTTTTCTTCCTAGGCTGTTACAGTTTTAGGTTTTCAATTTAATTCTTTAATCCATCTTTAGTTAATTATTGTATACGTTGTAAGGAAGGAGTCCAGTTTCAATCTTCTGCATATAGCCAGCCCTTTATCCAATTACTGTTTATGGAATAGGGAGTCCTTTCCCCATTGCTCGTTTTTGTTGACTTTATCTAAGATTGGATGGTTGTGGGTGTGTGACATTATTTCATTTTATTTAAAAAAGGCCTGGCACAGTGGCTCACGCCTATAATCCTAGCAATTTGGGAGGCTGAGGCGGGCAGATCACAAGGTCAAGAGATCGAGACCATCCTGGCCAATATGGTGAAATCCCATCTCTATTACAAATACAAAAAAATGAGCTGGGTGTGGTGGTGTGCACCTGCAGTTCCAGCTACTTGGGAGGCTGAGGTAGGAGAATCTCTTGAACCTGGGAGGCGGAAGTTGCAGTGAGCCGAGATCACACCATTATACTCCAGCCTGGCAATGGAGTGAGACTCTGTCTCAAAAAAAAAAAAAAAAAAAAAAAAAATACAACCACTCATCATACTGCCCAGAAGTCTTTGAAAACTCGAATATATTAGGTTAATAAACTTTGAAAATAATTATCAGTGTTGAAATTAGTTTAGCTCAAAATATTTAGTTTTTTAATTATTAAGATTTAAGGAGATAATTAAGTAGTTTTTTTAATTATTAAGATTATCTCCCAATAGCTAATATGCACAAAATCTGTGCTCCAAAAAAATCCCTCCCTCAAATAACCATTTTTATCCCAAATGACTTTTAATGCTATTCACTTATACTTAAAAAAAATGATTATAATTACATGAGTCAGCACAAATATGTAATACTGTTTTGATTAAAATATAGTTATGAATCTCCATGTTAATACCATTGTAACTCTTCTCAGTCTTTGCTGCTCCATTGCTTAAGATATAGATACTTTTGTCTTAGTCTCAATGCATACTGTTGGAAAAAAACAGTTTTTCTAACTTTTCTATACTCTAAAATTCATTTTTTATCTTGTTATGGGCTAAATTATGTATCCCCACAATTCCACTGTTGATCGAAGCCCAGGCCCCCAATACCTCAGACCTAATCTTGGCACCTCGGACCTAATCTTGGCACCTCAGAATGTAACTACATTTGGAAAAAAGTCTTTTAAAAAGTGATTAAGTGAAAAGAGGCTTTAAGAGTGTGTCTTAATCTAATATAACTGGTATCCTTACAAGAAGAAGAAATTGGTAACACAAAGAAACACCAGATACATGTGCAAACAGAGGAAGATCATGTGAAGAAGTAAGAAGGCAAAAGGCAAACAGTGAGATCTGAGAGAATACCAATCCTGCTGTCACGCTGATCTCAGGCTTCCAGCCTCCAGAGCTGTGAGAAAATATATATCTGCTGTTTTCAGCCACTCAGTCTGTGGTATTTTCTTATAGGAAGCCTAGCAAATGAACACAGATCCTAAATTATCTGTTCTAGTATTTACTAAATAATGTGAAGAAAATGTACACAAATTTGTCTGACTTGCATAAAAGGACTGATGTGAACATTTATGAGATGCTGATTGTAAAAAAAAAATGAAATTCATAAATATTTAAATCATGTTAGCAAGTATTATTTATCTTTTTAAATATTAAGTTTTTATGGAACATCATATAGTTTTCACACTAAGAGGGCTTGGTAAATTAGACCATTGTTCAAAGATGTTCATTGCCCTTTTTCTCTCTATAGAAGTGTGGTAGTGCCCTGCCCACTTATATTGAGTTGAGCTACATGGCTTATTTTAGCCAGTTGAATATAAAGAGATGTCATGTAACCAAAGGCTTGAGTGGTGTTTGTGAACTGGGGTACTTGTGAGTCTCTCTTGGCCATAGGAAAAGTGACCTCTTCATCTTGGGTTCCAGAAAGTGCTAGCAGGGGACAAATCTGAGCCCCACTCACAGTATGGAGCTAAACCCAGCTGACCCCCAGCATGGAGCAGAGCTGCCCAGCTGAATCCAGCCAAGATCAACTGTTGCACAACTGAACTTAAGAGGCAAAAAAGAGAACAAATGACAGCTATTATTTTAAGTTATTAAATTTTGAGGGTTAGACCATGAAGCACTGCTGACACCATGATAGATTGATACAGAAAACACGGCTGCAATCAATAAAATAAAAAAGGTTAATTACAATCTAGGTGGAACATTTTAGTAATTTCCAACTGAGTATTTAGGAAATCAATATTCTTGTTGAAAATTTAATTCAGAATATTCACATATTTTCATTGCCATAAATAACAGAAACTAATGCTAAAATCTAATATTTCTTAAGTATTTATTGTGTGCCAGTAAGCTCTGATCATTTTATTTACTCTCATCAATAATCTCAATGTTAAGTATGATGACTACTACATTTTACAGATGCTCAGTGATTTTGACAGGGTCACAAAGCTAATGTGCTGTGAAGTTAGAATTTAAACCTAGGATATGTTTTTCCACTGTCTGTGCTCTTAACCCAAATGGCACATGCAAACATCACAGATTATATGTAAATTGAAGATAATATTATAAATTTAATTCCTGACATAATACATAATATTTTGTATATAATATATTACACACTGCACATACTAAAGTGTATGCTTTAATTATATATTATACTACATAAAATAATATTTCCTGAAGATCTGACAAGATGGCTGACTAGGAAGAGCTCCTGTCTGCAGCTCCCAAAGAGACCAATGCAGAAGGTGGGTGATTTCTGCATTTCCAACTGAGGTACCCAGTTCATCTCACTGGGACTGGTTAGGCAGGGGATGCAGAACACAGACGGGGCGTCACCTCACCTGGGAAGTGCAAGGAGCTGGGAGACCTCCCTCCTGAATCAAGGGAAGCCATGAGGGACTGTGCTACCCTGCCCTGATACTATGCTTTTCCCACTGTTTTTGCAATCTGCAAGTCAGGAGATTACCTCATGTGCCTACACCACGAGGGCCCTGGGTTTCAAGCACAAAACTGGGTGGCTGTTTAGGCAGACACTGAGCTAGCTGCAGGAGTATTTTTTGTACCATAGTAGTGCCTGGAACCCCAGTGAGACAGAAAAGTTCACTCCCCTGGAAAGGGGGCTGAAGCCAAGGAGCCAAGTGGTCTCATTCAGGGGTTCCCATTCCCACGGAGCCCAGCAAGCTAAAAACCACTGGTTTGAAATTCTCACTGCCAGCATAGCAGTCTGAAGTCAACCTGGGACACTCGAGCTTGGTGGGGAAGGGGTGTCCACCATTACTGAGGCTTGAACAGGAGGTTTTCCCCTGACAGTGTTAAGGAGGTGGGAGGTGTGAAATGGTGGGAGTTCACCACTGTGTGGCAAAGCAGCTGTGGCCAGACTGCTTCTCTAGATTCCTCCTCATTGGGCAGAGCATTGCTGAAGAAAAGGCAGCAGCCTCAGGGGCTTACAGGTAAAACTCTCTCCCTGGGAAAGAGCACCTGAGGGAAGGGGTGGCTGTGGGCACTGCTTCAGCAAACTTAAAATTTCCTGCCTGCCAGCTCTGAAGAGGGCAGCTGACCCTGATAAGGAGTATTCTCCCAGCACAGTTCTCGAGCTCTACTAAGGGGCAGATTGCCTCCTCAAGTGGGTCCCTGACCCCCATGCTCCCT
Source organism: Homo sapiens (assembly GCF_000001405.40). Classification (NCBI taxonomy): domain Eukaryota; kingdom Metazoa; phylum Chordata; class Mammalia; order Primates; family Hominidae; genus Homo; species Homo sapiens. Next base: position 60,081,989 of record NC_000004.12, read on the forward strand.
GACTGGGAGAGACCTCCCAACAGGGGTCAAAGACACCTCATACAAGAGAGCTCTGGCTGGCATCAGGCCAGTGCCCCACTGGATGAAGCTTTCTGAGGAAGGAGCAGCCAGCAATCTTTGTCGTTCTGCAGCCTCCACTGGGGATATCCAGACAAACAGGGTCTGGAGTGGACCTCCAGTAAACTGCAGCAGACCTGCAGAAGAGGGGCCTGAGTGTTAGAAGAAAAACTAACAAACAGAAAGCAACATCAATATCATCAAAAAGAACCCCCATACAAAAAACCCATCCAAAAGTTATCAGCCTCAGAGATCAAAGGCAGATAAATCCATGAAAATGAGGAAAAACCAGCACAAAAATACTGAAAATTCCAAAAGCCATAATGCCTCTTCTCCTCCAAATGATCGCAACTCCTCTCCAGCAAGGGCACAAAACTGGATAGAGAATGAGATTGATGAATTGACAAAAGTAGGCTTCAGAAGGTGGGTAATAAGAAACTCCTCTGAGCTAAAGAAGCATGTTCTAACCCAATGCAAGTAAGCTAAGAACCTTGATAAAAGGTTACAGGAAATGCTAACTAGGATAACCAGTTTAGAGAGGAACATGAATGACTTGATGGGGCTAAAAAACACAGCACAAGAGCTTCGTGAAGCATATGCAAGTATAGATAACCAAGTCAATTAAGTGGAAGAAAGGATATAAGAGATTGAAGATCAACTTACTGAGATAAGACATGAAGACAAGATTAGAGACAAATAATGAAAAGGAATGAACAAAGCCTTCAAGAAATATGGGACTATGTGAAAAGACCAAACCTATGTTTGATTGGCATACCTGAAAGTGATGGGGAGAATGGAACCAAGTTGGAAAACACTCTTCAGGATATTATCCAGGAGAACTTCCCCAACCTAGCAAGGCAGAATAACATTCAAATTCAGGAAATACAGAGAACACCACTAAGATACTCCTCAAGAAGAGAAACCCCAAGACACAGAATCGTCATATTCTCCAAGGTTGAAACAAAGGAAAAAATGTTAAGAACAGCCAGAGAGAAAGGTTAGGTTACATACAAAGGGAAGCCCATCAGACTAACAGTGGATCTCTCTGCAGATACCCTACCAGCCAGAAGAACGTGGGGGCCAATATTCAACATTCTTAAAGAAAAGGATTTTCAACCCAGAATTTCATATTCAGCCAAACTAAGTTTCATAAGTGAAGGAGAAATAAAATCCTTTCCAGACAAGCAAATGATGAGGGATTTTGTCACCACCAGGCCTACCTTACAAGAGCGCCAGTAGGAATCATTAATTAAGGAAAGGAAAAACTGGTACCAGCCACTGCAAAAACACACCAAAATATAAAGACCAATGACACTGTGAGGAAACTGCATGAACTGTGCAAGACAACCAGCTAGCATCATGATGACAGGATCAAATTCACAAATAACAATATTAACCTCAAATGTAAATGGGCTAAATGCCCCAATTGAAAGACAGACTGGCAAACTGAATAAAGACTCAAGACCCACTGGTGTGCTGTATTCAGGAGACCCATCCTCCATGCAAAGACACACAGAGGCTCAAAATAAAGAGATTGAAGAGATTTACCAAGCAAATGGAAAGCAGAAAAAAATCAGGGGTTGCAATCTTAATCTCTGATAAAACGGACTTTAAACCAACAAAGATTAAAAGAGACAAAGGGCATTACATACTGGTAAAGGGATCAATGCAAAAAGAAGAGCTAACTATCCTAAATATATATACACCCAACACAGGAAAACCCAGGTTCATAAAACAAGTTGTTAGAGACCTACAAAGAGACTTAGACTCCACACAATAATAATGGGAGAGTTTAAACCCCCCATTGTTAATACTAGACAGATCAAGGAAACAGAAAATTAACAGACAGATTCAGGACTTGAACTCAGCTCTAGACCAGGTGGGCTTAATAGATAACTACAAAACTCTCCACCCCAAATCAACAGAATATACATTCTTCTCAGCACCACATAGCACTTATTCTAAAATCGACCACATAATTGGAAGTAAAACACTGCTCAGTAAATGGAAAAAAAAAAAAAAACAAACAAACAAACAAAAAACACAAATTATAAAAAGCAGTCTCTCAGACCACAGTGCAATCAAATTAAAGCTCAGGTTTAAGAAACTCACTCAAAGCCACACAACACATGGAAATTAAACAACCTGCTCTTGAATGACTACTGAGTAAATAACAAAATTAATGCAGAGCTAAAGAAATTCTTTGAAACCAATGAGAAGAAAGTGACAACGTACCAGAATCTCTGGGACACAGCTAAAACAATGTTAAGAGTGAAATTTATAGTACTAAATGCCCACATTAGGAAGCTGGAAAGATCTCAACCTAATGCCCGAACATCACAATTAAAAGACCTAGAGAAGCAAGAGCAGACAAATTCAAATGCTAGCAGAAGACAAGAAATAATTAAGATCAGAGCCGACTGAAGGAGATAGAGACACAAAAAACCCTTCAATAAATCATTGGATTCAGGAGCTGATTTTTTGGAAAGATTAGCAAAATAGATACACTGCTAAGCTAGACCAATAAAGAAGAAAAGAGAGAAGAATCAAATAGACACAATAAAAAATAATAAAAGGGAGATCACCACTGATACCACAGAAATACAAACTACCATCAGAGAATACTATAAAAACCTTTATGAAAATAAACTAGAAAATCTTGAAGAAATAAATAAATTTCTGGACACATACAGCCTCCCCACATTAAACAAGGAAGAAGTCGAATCCCTGACTAGACCTTCAATAACAAGTTCTGAAATTGAGGCAGTAATTAACAGCCTACCAACCAAAAAAAGCCCAGCACCAGATGGACTGGCAGCCAACATCTACCAGAGGTACAAAGAGGAGCTACTACCATTCCTTCTAAAGCTATTCCAAGCAAAAGAAAAAGGGAGACTCCTCCCTATCTAATTTTATGAGGTCAGCATCATCCTGATACCTGGCAGAGACACAAGAAAAAAAGAAATTTTCAGACCAATATCCCCAATGAACATCAATGCAAAAATCCTCAATAAAATACTGGCAAACTGAATCCAGCAGCACATCAAAAACTTATCCACCATGATCAAGTTGGCTTCCTCCCTGGGACGCAAGGCTGGTTCAACATATGCAAGTCAATAAATGTAATCCATCACATAAACAGAGCCAATGACAAATCCACATGATTATCTCAATAGATGCAGAAAAGGTCTAAAATATAATTCAATGTATCTTCATGCTAAAAACTCTCAATAAACTAGGTATTGATGGAACATACATCAAAATAATCAGAGCTATTTATGACAAACCCATTGCCCATATCATACCGAATGGGTAAAAGCTGAAAGCAGTCCCTTTGAAAACCAACACAAGACAAGGATGCCCTCTCTCACCACTCCTATTCAACATAGTATTGGAAGTTCTGGCCAGGACAGTCAGGCAAGAGAAAGAAATAAAGCATATACAAATAGAAAGATAGGAAGTCATATTGTCTCTGTTTGCAGATGACATGATTGTATATTGAGAAAACCCCATAGTCTCAGCCCAAACACTCCTTAAGCTGATAAGCAACTTCAACAAAGTCTCAAGATACAAAATCAACGTGCAAAAATCACAAGCATTCATATACACCAGTAATAGATAAGCAGAGAGCCAAATCATGAGTGAACTCCTATTCACGATTGCTACAAAGAAAATAAAATACAGCTTACCAGGGATGTGAAGGTCCTCTTCAAGGAGAACTACAAACCACTGCTCAAGGAAATAAAAAAGGACACAAACAAATGGAAAAGAAAAATTTCATGCTCATGGATAGGAAGAATCAATATCATAAAAATGGCCATACTGCCCAAAATAATTTATAGATTCAATGCTATTACCATCAAGCTATCATTGACTTTCTTCATATAATTAGAAAAAACTACTTGAAATTTCATATGGAACTACAAAAGATCCTATATAGCCAAGACAATCCTAAGCAAAAAGAACAAAGCTGGAGTCATCACGCTACCTGACTTCAAACTATACTACAAGGCTACAGTAAAAATAACAGCATGGTACTTGTACCAAGCTGATACACAGACCAATGGAAGAGAACAGAGGCCTCAGAAATAACACCACATGAATAAAACACCAAAGACAATTGCAACAAAAGCCCAAATTGACAAATGGGATCTAATTAAACTAAAGAGCTTCTGCACAGCAAAAGAAACTATCATCACAGTGAGCAGGCAACCCACAGAATGGGAGAATATTTTTGCAATCTATCCTTCTGACAAAGGTCTAATATCCAGAATCTACAAGCAACTTAAACATATTTACAAGAAAAAAACAAACAACCCCATCAAAAAGTGGGCAAAGGATATGAACAGACATGTCTCACTTCTCAAAAGAAGACATTTATGCAACCAACAACCATATGAAAAAAAGCTCATCATCACTTGTCATTAGAGAAATGCAAATCAAAACCACAATAAGATACCATCTCACACCAGTTAGAATGAAGATCATTAAACAGTCAGGAAACGGATGCTGGAGAGAATGTGGAGAAATAGGAACACTTTTACACTTTGGTGGGAGTGTAAATTAGTTCAACCATTGTGGAAGACAGTGTGGGGATTCCTCAAGGATCTAGAACCAGAAATACCATTTGACTTAGCAATCCCATTACTGTATATATACCCAAAGGATTATAAATCATTACAGTATAAAGACACACGCACACGTATGTTTATTGCAGCACTATTTACAATAACAAAGACCTGGAAGCAACCCAAATGCCCATCAATGATAGACTGGATAGAGAAAATGTGGCACATATACACCATGGAATTCTACGCAGCCATAAAAAAGAATGAGTTCATGTCCTATGCAGGGACATGGATGAAGCTGAAAGCCATCATTCTCAGCAAACTAACACAGGAACAGGAAACCAATCACTGCATGTTCTCACTCATAAGTGGGAGTTGAATAATGAGAACACATGGACACAGGGAGGGGAACATCACACACCGGGGCCTTCTGGGGTGTTGGGGAGCAAAGGGAGTGAGAGCATGAGGAGAAATACCTAATGCATGTGGGACTTAAAACCTAAATGATAGGTTGATAGGTGCAACAATCCACCATTGCACATGTATACCTATGTAACAAACCTGCACATACTCCACATGTATCCCAGAACTTAAAGTAAAAAAATTAATAATAATACTTCCTATTTTAAAAATTATCTCTTACTTTATGCCTAAGTAGGATAAATATTCATAATTTTACTCTCAGATTATTATTTAACATGTTTTCTTGCACTTCGACATAATTGCAACCAGAACTGATGAGGAATTGCCAGGCTAAACTGCTATTCTAAGGCCAATGGACTTGCCAGAGCTTTGCTTTAAAGCTAATGTCAAACTGATAAAAGCTGATTGAGTGAAAATATTACCTTTCTATAACTTTCTCCATACTCACAGGCAGCCTGTTGAAGAGTTGTCACTGGACAAAGAAAGATATGCAGCATTTGTGTTAATGGGAATTGTCAGAATGTTGAAGAAGATTTCGGATGAACTGGATTATCGAAGAGCTTTCCATGAAATTTGAGAAGGTCATTGGAACTATGTCTAAAACAACGCAGACTCCTTTAGATTATTGGAAGGCTTTCTGGGAAGTACTGAAGTACATTAGTCCTTTTGGTCTCTATCAATTGTCCCTAAATCCCATACCACATACGAAATGTCCAGGGCCAGCTAAACAAAGTACATAGTTTCTAAAGAAGTTTCAGGGAATATCATTACATAGACAGAGATACTAAAATATAAAAATTAAGAAGAGACTCTCATAGAAGATAGTAACCAGATATTAGCCAATCACGAGGTATGCCTGAAATCAAACTTGATGCTAAAAGTAGCTAAGCCAAGTTAATTATTCTAACAGATCTGACCTGTACATTAAAAGTAAATAACTTTGTTTATTTTCATTGACCAATAGCGTTCAACAGAATCTGAAATCAAATAATGGTTTGGCCTGAATATTAAGGAAACATCTAGCTGAATGAGTCAAATGATTTTCATTTCCCTGTCATTTAACTTGCATTATAAAAACTCATGTTCTTCTCTCTGATATTGTTTAAAAGTATATACATATTTTTTTTCAGTTGAGCTTTTTCAACTAGAAGACATAATAGCCTCTCAGTAATAATTGAGCATTTCCAGAAGTATTTAGATAAGCTAGATAATTTGGAGCTCTTTCTATACTTACAAAACAGGATCTAACACCTCTTTGAATTACATGATTTTAGCTATGGATACTTGAGTCCTAGTAAGATACATTCTATACAAATATCGAGCCTAGCCATTTACTTTAATATTGGTCAGCTGGCTGTTTTCCCAGACCATTTAGAATTCTCATACTATTAACTTTAAATGACTATTGATTTCAAACCTTTATAGACAAGATTTCTTTTCGACTCGGTTATTCTAAAGCAGTGTGAATACACATAGTAGGTATATAACCAAGGAACTGCTAAGGCTAAAAATAATATGCAACATTAAACAGGATTAATTGATATAAAAATTGAGAAGGTTCCATATTTGATTTTAATGGAGTTAATGTCCAATGCTTTATATACTTTTATAATTGTAGCAGTTATTACCACATTATTGAACAATCTATTATTTTTTCATTTATCTCTTGTGAAAAAATTATATATTTAACTACTTGACACTATAGCATTTAAGATTATGTGAGTAAAAAATAAACATCATACATTATTTTTTCATATGTATAATAATTAGTATACCTCTCAGGTACTTGAAATGCCTCCAAAATATATAGCATATCATTATAGTCAGCAATAGTTACAACGTATCTAAAAGGTGCATTTTCTGCTGATCATTTGACATTCTCTCAACTGGCAGAAACTCTGCCTCTGTGGATCTTGAGTCAACAGCTATGGATGCATGTCACAGAGTTCAACAGGCCACTCTTCTTTTCAGAAGAACTCCAGCTCATTCTTGCATATTCATAGGCTGTGATGTACTTCTCACTCTCTTTTCTATTCCTGGTCTCTGGGATTTTTTTTTTTAATGTATAAAAGGAACAGCATGACCCCATCTTAAAAAATTAAAATATTCACTCATCTGTGGTTATTCCTGTAATATCACTAGTGTTGGTGAATAATTCAAATTAAATAGTTCTCTATATATTCAATTTTAAAAACACTTCATTTACTTTCTTTCAATGGTTTCCTCCCGCACTGTTCTCACCCTGCGTTATTCATATGCAACCTCACAAATTGTTTTGAGTTCAAGCAGTGCTGATATAAATCACAGGGCTATTTTCTCTGGAGAACTTCAGCCTTAAGCTCCACAACTTGTTTTAAAATGAAAACTATGCTCAATTAAGGTGATTTGTTTTCCTCAAAAAATTAACTATCATATATTGCCATTTGCTACAAGAGAAGACTGAAGTTACATTGCATGCTGTTGAATGACTTTAGAAATAACTTACTTTCTATCTCATTCTTTCACTGTATCCTTGAATCTAGCTTTTTCCTGTGTATTTATCTGTGCCTAGGTTATATTCCTAAGGACAGAATTAGCTATTTCTTCCTTTCTCAAACTATTTGCATTTTGACTTTTGAATAGTTCCTTTGTAAACAAACTAAAGTCACATTGTTTTCACTGCTTTCCAGGCCCCTCACTGAAGGAGAGGACAAAGACAGTGAACAGGAAATGCAAGCCAACTGAGACATAAGTAAGAGTCAGTGTGGAATATGGCCATACAAGTAGCATTTGAGGAATAATGTCACTGCAAATGGGGAAACTATTCCAGCCCTCTCCAAAAGGCAAAATCCATCAAAATCAATATTTGAGGAACTCTAGGATATAGTCATAAACTTACAACAATCAGGGAGAAAATTTGTGAAAAAAAGGCTGCATATTAGAATGCAAGTTGAACATCCTTCATACTCCAAATCAGCAACTACACTTATAGTATAGATTGGCGGAGCCAGAGAGAGTGATAGGAACCTTATTCTCGAACAATTGTGGCTGCAGGTTTCCACCTCCCTATCTCCACCCTCAGGGAGCAGTGCAGAGGCTTTTCTTTGTTTCACCTGACTTGAAGTATTTCCATGGCGTTTACTATGTGTATTAAAACTAATAGTAGCCAAGTCAGGAATAACACTTGCAGCAAGCTTAGGATACACTTGGGACACACTCTTAAATAACTAATAGGTCAAAGAAAAAATCATGATGGAGATTAGAAAATACAATAAAAGAAATGAAAAGAAAAGCACAACTTACCAAAACTTTTGGAATGCATCAAATGCAATGCTCATGTAGAAATGTATACCTGTAAATGCTTATATTAAAAAAGAAAAATTTTAAGTTAATAACTTAATCATATTTTAAGAAACTATAAAAAGAAAAGCAAGATAAATTCAAAGCCAGTATAAGAAATAAAGATTAGAGTGGAGATCAATAAAATAGAGAAAAAAAGAAAATTTTAAAACATAAGTTGATTTTTTAAAGCAATCAGCAAAATGGACAAATCTTTAGACAAAGAAAAAAAGAAAAATTACTGAAATCAGAAAAGAAATTGGAGACATTACTTCAGACACTAAGAAAATGAAAAAGATTTTGAGTATATTATGAATAATTGTACACCAACAAATTAGATAACATTGAAAACATTTTAACATAGAAAACAATTTTAAACAAATTTAAAAAATTTCTGGAAACACACAAACTGCCAAAACTAACTCAAAAAAAAAAAAATAAAAATTTTAAAAAGACAAACAACAAATAAAAAGATTGTATCAGCACTCAAAACCTCCCTCAAAAGAATCCCCAGGACCATATGTCTTCACTGGCAAATTGTTCCAAACGTTTTTTAAAACATAACATCAGTCAATTTTAAATTTTCCTAAACGTAGAAGATGTTTTCCTAAGTAATTTTTTTATTAACTCCTTATTTGAGGCCAGGATTAATCTGATAATAAAGTTAGAAAAAGACATCACATGAGAACAAAACAAAAGATCAATATTATTTATTATTACAAATGCAAAACTATTCAACAAAATATTAGCAAACCAAATCCAACAGAATTTTAAGAGAATCCTATATTATGACCAAGTGGGATTTATTCCAAGAATGCAAGGGTGGTTCAATATATGAACATCAATCAACATAACATAGCACATTAACAAAATAAATTGAAATATGATTAATTGATACAGAAAGAGAATTTGAAAATATCTAATATTCTTTCATGATACAAGCCCTCAACAAATTAGGACTACAAGGAAACTTCTGCAAATAATAAAGGGTGTTTATGAAAAACTCACAGCCAACATTATATTCAATGAAGAGCAACTGAAATGTTTTCCTCTAAGATTAGGAATGAGACAAGAATATTTGCTTTCCTCATTTCTATTCAACATTTTACTAGATGTTCTAGTGAGAGCAATTATGCAAGAAAAGATATAAAAAGCATCCAAACTGGAAAAGAAGAAATAAAATCATCTTTACTTTTAGATGACGTGATCCAATAAAAAAAATATGAAGGAATTTGCACGTACAAATAATAAAGATGATAAATTCAGTAATGTTGCAAAAAAATGAGATCAATATAAAATCAGTTCTTTATCTGCAAATTACCAATGAATGATTCCAAAATGAAATTAAGAATACATTTCCATTTAAAATGGTAAAACAATAACATTTAGAAATAAATTTAACCAATGAGAGAAAAGATTTGTACACTGAAAACTGAAAAACTTTGCCGAAAAGTTTAAGATGATCCAAATAAATAAAAAGCCAGTCCATTCTTATGGATTGAAACATACTGTTGTTAATTGGCAGCACTATCCAAATTGTTCTACAAATGAAATACAAATCACTATCCAATAGCCTTTTTACAGAAATAGAAAATAAAAGTAATCCTATAATTTATATGAAATTTCAAGGGACCCTAAAGAGTCAGAACAATCTTGAAAAAGAAGAAATTTGGAGTACTCATTCTTCCTGAATTTGAAACTTACTACAAAGTTCTTATAATTGAAACAATGTGGTATTAGCCTAAAGAAAGACATGTAGACCAATAAGATAGAATTAACAGTTAATAGATAAATTTATATATATACATGGTTGTATTAGTTCATTTTCATACTGCCATAAAAAAACTCCCTGAGACTGGATAATTTATAAAGGAAAGTGCTTTAACTGACTCACAGTTCAGCAGGGCTGTGGAGTCCTCAGCAAACTTACAATCATGACAGAAAGCAAAGGAGAAGCAAGGTACCTTCTTCACAAGGCGGCAGGAAGAAGTGCTGAGCAAAGGGGGAAGAGCCCCTTATAAAACCATCAGATCTTGTGAGAACTCACTTACTATATGAGAACAGCATGTGGGAAACTGCCCTCATAATTCAATTACCTCCACCTGTTCTCTCCCTTGACATATAGGGATTATGGGGATTATAATTCAAGATGAGATTTGGGTGGGGACACAAAGCCTAACCATATCAAGGTCAATTGATTTTAAATAAGAGTGCTAAGACCAGTTAATGAAGAAGGAATAGTCTCATCAACAAATGATGCTGGGACTACTGGATATTCACTTGGCAAAGAATGAAGTTATACCGACCTACCTTATACCATATTCAAAAATTAACTCAAAATGGATCAAATACATTAATATAAGAGATAAAACTATAAAAGTTAAAAGTCTTAGAAGAAAATATAAAAGCAAATCTGCATGACCTTGGATATGGCAAAGTATCCTTAGATATGACACTAAAAGCAAAAACAAAAGTACAAATAGAAAAATTGGATTTCATAAAAAGTTTAAAATTTTCGATCCACACAATATTATTAAGAAAGTCAATCCAGGCTGGGTGCGGTGGCTCACGCCTGTAATCACAGCACTTTGGGAGGCCGAGAAAGGCAGATCACGAGGTCAGGAGATCAAGACCATCCTGGCTAACACTGTGAAACCACATCTCTACTAAAAATAGAAAAATTAGCCAGGCATGGTGGCGGCCAGCTGTAGTCCCAGCTACTCGAGAGGCAGAGGTAGAATGATGTGAACCCAGGAGATGGAGCTTTCAGTGAGCCAAGATCTTGCCACTGCACTCCAGCCTGGGAGACAGGCAAGACTCCGTCTCAAAAAAAAAAAAAAAAAAAAAGCCAAAAGACAACCCAAAGAATGGGACAAAATGTTAGCAAATTACGTGTCTGATAAGGGTTTAGTGTTCAAAATGTGTAAAGAACTCATACAACTCAACAAAAACGACAAGAACAAATAAAACAAATTACCTAATTAAAAAAGGACAAAAGATTTGAACAGAAATTTCACCAAAGAAAAGATACCAATGGCTAAAAAGCATATGAAAAGATGTTCAGTATCATTAGTCTCTTTAACTGTGGTTGGAGTATTTCAACCACAGAAATAAGCAAATGCTACAAATAAAAAAAATAAGACTTATTGATTATTCTTATTGATTGTTCAGACTAAGAAATGATAAAGAAAATGTTAATAATGTAGACTAAACTTAAAAGTGTGTTTCTTCCATGAGAACACGTGGACACAGGGAGGGGAACATCACACATTGGGGTCTATCAGGGCGTGGGCAGCAAGGGGAGGTAGAGCATTAAGACAAATACCAAATACGTGTGGTGCTTAAAATCTAGATGACGGGTTAATAGGTGCAGCAAACCACCATGGCACGTGTATATCTGTGTAACAAACCTGCACATTCTGCACATGTATCCTGGAAATTAAGTAATTTTTTAAAAATGTGTTTTATCAGTAGCTATTATTTTATGATGAGCCACAAAAAAATATATACTTTCAGTATTAAAAAACAATTGTCCAATTTGGCATTCACTCATCTTAAAGGTAAAAGAGATGTTCCAACATATGCCTCCATGGTTTCACTTTTGTCATATTTGTTAATAATGTAAGAAAAACTATCAACCAACATTCATATCAGAACTACATTCATTCATCAAATGTAACCATGGATTAGCACTGGATATGGATAGACTATGGTAAAAATCAACAAAAGCATTCTATGATACTTTTCTCTGTGTAGTCATTCACTATATAGAATTTACAATAAAAAGTGTTTTATAGTATATTTTAGTATTACTTGTAAATTGTGTTGTTGCACTTTTCTGATATCAGTACCATTTATAATAATTTATGCAATTTTTTATCCCATTGAGGATTCAGTTATATAGCATTTAACAACAAAACACTGGAATAAGCTCTCTTTCTGAACTGTGGAACATTCTGCCTTTCATATCATAATTGGTCTCTGGGGAGTTAAAATCTAAGAGCTTTCAGTAATGTGTAGAAGACTCTCCTGTTAAGTCAGAGATTGAAACTTATCTTTCCGTAGCAGCCCTTAAGAACCTTCTCACTTAAGTATGTTTCTGCACCTAATGGCCACACTGTTCTCTGGTCATCAATAGTAAAACTTGATAGTGACCTCATTAAATATTATCCAACATAAAGGATCTACATAAATTACTTAAAATTCTTCTGCACGAGATTTGTTTCTTTCATAGCATTCAGTTATTTAATTATTCAATCACTTATATCATTATAAATTCACGGATATTTATTTTCTACTTCAAGTTATAAGCCAGTCCTAATTTATTTATTTTTTCTTAAATTATTCCAGATTTGGACATTGGAAGCTCTTTCAGTTGGCTTCTGTGTCCCTTCCACATACCCTTACAAACAGAGATTTTGTTTTTGTTTTTAGAATACTATTTTCCTTTATGGCATTAAGATACTCCAGGCTCATTTTGTATATTTCCTGCTCTTACCGTAGAATTAGCCATTTCTCCAAAGAGTTCCTTTTATTGTAAAGTACTATTAGAATCCAATCTCAGGTCTCCAGGTGTATTTGTTGTTTCTGAGGATTGTTGCTTCCAGGAATTTGGCTCATAAAATAACACATGTGTTTTATTTACCAGGCATGTACACATAGCTATAAATATTTTTACATCTAATCATCTGAATTCATATTAAGCTAAACAAAATTTTCTACTTGTATCTTCAACTTTATTTTATTACCACATGGATCATTCTAGCATTCTCTATTTTTTTATCTGTTAATTTCCACACTATCAGTAAGAAACCTAATTCCCACCATCCATTTATTAATTGTTCAATTCCAGTACACCAAAGCAGAAGTATCAGAATGAATACACCATCGGAAACAACTTTATCATCTAAAGACAAAACTTTACTCAGTTCTAAAGTTACCCAGGTGAGTAACTTTCCCCTGTCCTCTTCAATGTGACTGCTTCCAGATATTTAAAATACAATTAGACTGTTTTGTCACCTTCATCATTCCAAACTGGGATTCTCCAAAATTCTATTATAGTTCATTATTTTTTAATTTCCATACATTTTCTATGTTTATGCTCTAAAATTCTATAGGTTTTGGCAAATATATAGTGTCACATATTGATCATTACAGTATCATACAGAATAATTTTACCACCTTAAAGGAAGTCTCTGTGCTTCACATATTCAAAGCTTCCCTGTCTTCACTAGCAACTACTGAGCAGTTTTGCCATTCCCAGAGGGTCATATAAATAAAATAAAACAACATGTAGCATTTCAGACTTGCTTCTTTTATTTATAAATATACATTTAGGATACATATCTGTTTCCTTGTGGCTTACTAGCTCATTTATTTCCATCAGTGGTTCCATTGTACACATAAAGCACTGACTATATATTCACTTATTGAAGGACTTCTTGAATGCTTCTGGCTTTTAACAATTATGAATGTAGCTGATATTCACATTCATGTGCAGATATTCACATGTATATGCATTTTTAAATGGTTGGATAAATATCTAGAACAATTACTTGATGTGGTAAGGCTATTTAAACATCGTCTTCGAAATGAAGGGAAACACAGTTGTATCTTAAATATATATTTATAAATGAGATGATTTGCAAAAGATGGTGAGGACCTGAAGCATGTATTTAATTTCGCTCTTGAAAAATAATGGTGAGGGTACGTAACTTATTAAGAAATAGAGTACAAGGTGCCAGGTCAATAGTTTTCTTTTTCCCAACACTTTTAATATTTCACTTTACTTTCTTCTTGCTTGCGTGGTTTCTGATGAGAAGTCTGCTACAGTTTTTATCGTTGTTCCTATATATGTGACTTAGTTTGGCAATGAACTTCTAGATATAATACCAAAGCACCATCCAAAAATAAGAAGAAAATACATGAAAAGCTGTGCTTTGTTAAAGTTAAAAACCCTAGCTATGTGAAATATAATGTTAAGATAATCAAAAGACAAAACATAGAATGAGAGATATAATGTGACAAATGCAGATTTTATTCCTGTGTATGCAATATACAAAGAAAGCTTAACACTCAGTACAAAAACAACACAGTGAAAAAATGGATGAAAAATCTGAATAGATATCTCACCAAAGTAGATATACAGATGGAAAATAAGCATATAAAAAGATGCTCAACATTATTAAAATTAGATAATTGAAAATGTTAAAATGTGGCATAGCAGTAGAAGGACTAAAATCTAACAAATTAATAATAGTAATTTCTGGTGATCATACAGAGTTAGCAGAGCAATACTTATTCATTGGTGGTGGTAATTCCATAAAATAAAGCCACATTGAAAGACATCGTTACAGTTTCTTGCAAAGTCTATGTTTAAATAGCCTTACCACATCAAGTAATTGTTCTGGATACTTATCCAACCATTTGAAAATGCATGTACATGTGAAAGTCTGCACATGAATGTGAATATCAGATTTCTTCATAATTGCCAGAAGCTGAAGCATCCAGGAAGTCCTTCCATATGTGAATTTGGATCCCTTAAGAGAACACTGAGGTATTTTGCATGTCAACTTCACACTTTTATTGAGGAAGTTCTCCTGTGCCTGCCAGCCCCCTTTAACTCTAAAAATAAATCAACATTTTCTAAGACAGTATCTTTGCACTTGACTGATTATGGCATTACAAAACCAGTCATTGTATTGTACAATATATGGAAGAACTCATCACTGTAGTATATTTACATGCCAATTCCATCTTTTAGGGTAGTGGTCACTTTTGTGAATTATGGTTATGCCTCTTTCTTCTAATGGCATTCATTAGAATTAGCCTATATGATTTCTATATTACATATTATTGAAATTAATTCACACATTTTACCTGGTTTAATTCTTGAAGTTATCACAGGTAGTATTTTTATCTTGGAGAAGGTGAATAAGAAAACTGGTCTACTGAATCATAATTTCATGTCCTCCCAACACAGCTGTCTATTGCCCCTTCATGTTTGCATCATTACAAGGCAGCCAAAATACAAGTGGAGGAAGTTAGTCAACCAGAATAAAATACTACAGTTCTCATGTTTTTTAAAATGTCTAATGAAAAAACTATCATGAAATTGCTTCACAAAAATCTATGAAAAGTCTATTTTAAAAGTCTATAAAAGTCATCTCATTTTATTAAGATTGAAACTTCAACCTATTTAGAACATTTTATTTTCCTTTTTGAGATGGGTTTAAAGACTTTATAGAAAGTTCCATTGTCTACATCCATGGAGATTATCTTTATTTAACAGTTTTTTTATTTCTGTGACAATAACACAAAATATAGATTTGGTCTCTGCCATATGTTCCTGACATAAAGCTCCTGAACTCTTGTAATTTTCTGGGTAATGGGGATGATAGTAATATGCGAGGTAGGGGCAGGGAAGTACTGGGTAGAGAAGGGCGGGTCCCTGGCAGGGCTACACCCCAGGGCCTATGCCTACAGACCTAGGTGAGGACAGGCTTTTCTGTTTTTGTGCCCAAATGTTGCATTATCCAAGACCACCCTAGCGTCCCACGCCCCCATCCTGTGCCTATAAAAACCCTGAGATCCTAGTGGGCAGGCACACAAGCAGCTGGACGCTGAGAAGAACACACCAGCAGAAGATACAAGCAGCTGGACGTCAAGAGGAGCACGCCGGCAGAAGAACACACCAGCAGATACCAGCAAATGCCAACAGGCCATCTATGTTGGGACGACACTGAATTTGGCCGGGATGGTCTGAGCAGCCCGATTACAGGGGAAGACCACCTTCCCATACCATTCCTCTTCTGGCTCCCCATCCATCTCGGAGAGTTTCCACCATGCAATAAAACCTCCTTACACATTCTCCACGACCACATGTGAACAAATTTTTCCAGTATACCAAGTCAAGACCCCTGGGATACAGAAAGCTTTCTTTCCTTGTGATAAGGCATAGGTTCTAATTGAGCTGATTAACACAAGCTGACTGCAGATGGCAAAATTGAAAGAGCACACTGTAACTCACTCCCGCTGGGGCTCCAGGAGTTGTAAACACTCAACGCTTGATGCTGCCATGGGGTTGGCGCTCCCCAAGACCTGCCCATCTGCATGCTCCCCCTAGGGGTATGAGCAGTGGGGCACCTAAGAAGTGAGCCACACCCCGCATTGCATGTCCTGCCTGGGGGATCAGGGAACTTTTCCTGTTTCAATAGTAGCATTGTACACAGAGATCCTAAATTCCTTTGAATTTCCTTGGTAATAGGAGCATCTTTTGTTCTAATGCAGCAACTCTTGGATGGTTTCAGGATGGCAGCTGATCACAAGAAACACCAAACTGTGAACAGAAGCTTAGAATTTAAGTCCCTCTCTCCATCCTCCAAGGAGGACAGAGGGACTGGAAATAGAGTTAATAATTAATCGTGACCACATGATGAAGCCTCCATAAAAATCTCTAAACTTCAGGGGTCAGGGAGCTTCCAGGTAGGTGAACACTTCCACATGCACAACTCCATGGGGACAGAAGCTTCTCTGTACAGGATTTTTTGGACCTTGCCCTGTAAACCTCCTCATCTGGCTGTTGATCTGTAGCCTTGATAATATCTTTTATAATAAACGGATAAATGTAAGTAAAAGTTTCCCAGAGTTTTTTAAGCCATTATTAGCAAACTGTCATACCTGTTAGGGAGTGGTGGGGACCCTTGATTTATGGCTGGTTGGTCAGAAGTACAGATGACAACCCGGGATTTGTGATTGTTTTCTGAAGTGTGGGCTGGCAGTCTAATAGGCTGGAGCCCTTAACTTATGGGGTCTACACGAATTCCAGGTAGTCAGTGTCCGGATTAAATTGCAGAGCACTCATTTGGTGTTCAGACAGCTAGAGGATTGGCTGCTATGGAAAAACACCACACACGTTTGGTGTCAGAAGTTTTGTGAGCATAAAGAGAAAGGATTTTTTTTCCTTTAATTTCTTACTAAGTGTGATTTTCAAATACATTACAGAATCACTGCATAATTTCACAGATATGTTATAGAATGTGAAAGATTATAGAAATTTTTAGATTAAATTATATATAAGATCTCTTCTTATAGATTTGAAACTTTTTTTCTATTGTTTTTCCTTCTATCTTGTAGGCAGAATTTTGAGTTTTTGGCATTCCAAAGGCCTGAGTTTGACTACATGAGCTAGGTATTGTACAGAATTTGACTTATTTCAAAACTTGCCAGCAGTGTTTGATAGGAGGGAGCAAAACTAGCTGTCTCTCGCCCTTTCTTTATATATTCCTGCCACTCTAACCTTCTATTATTTTCTATATTTTCTATGTTCTTTCACAACTTCCTATTGATTCTCTGCCTGAAATATTTACTTTCTCTCAATTTTCTGCCTGGCTTTCTCCCACTCATGTTGTGTCCTTGGCTGTTCTCCAAGACACTTTCTTTGACACGCCAATTTAAATCTCATAAACTTTTTTTTTTCTTGATAGAACTGTTTATAATTTTTAATAATAAGATATTTGAAAGGTTTTGTAAAGTAGTGTTTCCAGACCATTAAAATTAAAATTTTAGAAAGAAAAATCATATATATATACATAAATACATATGTGTACATATATTCATGTGTGTATATATGTGAATACATATATTCTACACATATGTACACATATATTTAGTAGGCATATAGGCATATATGGGGTGTTTAGGGTAATAATTTTTAGACCGCTCAAAATTCTGTGGATAAAATAAAAAACAAAAAATACATATAATTGAATGCATCAGGAGATTATATTAATGAAGAGAGATCAGAAATAACACACAATATTTACAATTAAATCAGCCATTTGATGTGCCTTTTTTAGCCTCCTGGTGGGCAGATGAGTTAGAGAATCAGAGAAAAACAGATGTTACAATAAAGAAAAGCCAATTTTTTTAGCTCTTATTGAAGAATGTTAAAACATTAAAAGAAAAATTAATGATATAAAATAGGTGATGATTAAACACATATAAATAATTGTTATAGTCCTGCTTTTAGAGAAGAGAATGCTTTAATAAAAAGAAAAAAAATGGCTATTTGGCTCAGGTGAGAACTATTTACTAGAGGTAACACAACACCCACCTATCTTTCTCCTACAATGCTACTAAGAAAAGCATTCTTAGGTTAAATATTCCATTCAGTTGTGAAGGATAAAGAGGAAGATTTATGATAGCTTAGAATCTCATCTGTGCAGCATATATGTGGGTACCAGCAAGGTGGCTAAAGGAGAGAAGTGCAAGGAAAACAGGAAACACAGGAGCTGGAAGTGAGTAGTATTTCAATTTCTAGTTGGAAGTAAAACTTTGACATTAGTAATATATGTTATATTTAACTGGATCCACAGATTGAATCTTTCTGTAAAGCATATGCTGGTTCTATAGTCCAAATGATAATTTTGTGAATAAATATTGAAAGTTATTTTTAATTCCATAAGTAAAACTTAACTGCATTTAATTTAATGGTACTACAATATTTTTGGAAAAGAAAGAAGAATCATATACCTTTGAGGCACACTATTTTAGCATTTGAAATTTAGTATTATTTACAAATGCCAATATTAATAAAACTATACAAGAATCGTTGACAGAGAAGAAAAAGATCTCTACATGTTTTCACTGGAGAAAGTGAATCGTAAAGCCTATTCTCTTCTTTCAAAGAATAGACATGGAGTTTTCAATTGCAAGGCTTTCCTCTCTTTCTAGTTGACTGTGAAAATACATGTTTGTTTTCCTTATTTATATAATGTGGGATGGGAAAATTTTCTTTAACCTGTAGTGATTATGTAGTAAAACATTCTACCTCCATTTAAACAAAAGAGTAAAGTTGTCATTTCCCAAAGACATCCAGAGTTATTAAATTAGAAACAGCTGGGGCAACTATAGATTTTTCTCCATTAGAAAAGGATACAAATGAGAGAGATTAGTTTGGAAAAATGATTAGCCCAAACCAGAAAGGGAATTCCAGACAGGATAGTTTACTTTTAAATATCGAAGAGACATTTGAAGTTTTGAAAACAAGAAAGCAGGGGACCAAGTGCATTTCCAGTGTTCTTTTTAGAGCAGTCTTCCTAGGAAGTAGTGAAGTTTTTCAAAAGTTGTTTAATTTTATATTAACAATGAAATTTGGTGACTTTTGTTCTAAAACAGAAGCTATAAATGAAATTTTAAGCTCACAAAAACATGAAAAAAACATAATAAATAACTATTTGCATTTATTTTAGTTATTTGCCTTGTTTTATACTAGGGAGTTTACAAAAAATACAAGTTAATTCATTACTTTATATTTTAGTTCTAAAATTATATAACTCTAACATTGTATTTCCTTATATAATGTTACTGAACATAGTGTGGCATATTTTGGGTGTTGATTTTCCATGCTTCAAAGAGTCATTTTTAAACTAAATTATATCATCTATTATATCACAACCTGACACTCCTATCAATCACCTAGTAACAATAGCCGGCAATGAAAATTGTGTATAAAATATTCCTTAAAGGCACTTAGAAATGCAATCTTGAAAGAAACATCATATTTCCATCATCACTTTGAGATTATTCTAACTTTGAATAATTGCAGTTTTCCTCAGGTTAATTTATATTTGTTTGCTTCTTCAAATACATTTTGCTTACTTAAGAATTGCATACTTTATTGCATGCATAATGATATAGCAGATACTGTGATCTATTTCCTTTCTCATTGCTCTTAAACTGTAATTGTCCATGGAGAGAAACTATCTCATTCAATGGGCAATGTGATAGCATAGGTGAATTCATCAAGAAACATGAATAGGATGATTGATAGCAATAGTTAACCCTTTTGTTAAGTGCTTACTGTGTGTCAGACATGATTATAAGTGCTTAATATCGATTAACCTATTTAATTCTTACAGTAAACATATCAGGTAACAGAAACATTAAGAAGTTTAATAACTTGTGCACTTACCTAAAAGGTGGCAGAGCTGGAATTTAAACCTATTCAGTTTGGCCTCAAACTGTGAGATTTGAAACTATGTTATATTTTATTCATGCCTCAGAAATTAGACAAAATGCTCTGAATTTAGTGACAATTCACTGCAATGGGTCTATGGTAGAACTTACACAAAAACAGAATAAAAATTTCCCAAAGGATAACTCACATCCTTAAAAACACACGTTAGTACAAAAAAAATCAATGACCTTATTTACTATATAGAATCTTAAAAATATATATAAATTGAGAGGTAGAGGTAAGAATGTGGACATAGTAGGAACGTGGCTTATATCCAGTAAGGCCGCAGTCTATTGCTTCTATCATATTTCTAATCCCCCAAAATAAAAAGAGAGCACAAGGAAAAATACAAAGCCTCCTATTATCTCTATGAAACAATTTATGGAGTAGCTCATTAATGGGAAAAGGCAGAATTTTTTTTAAGAACTAGAAAGTGACACGGTTGTCAAAGTGATAATGGCAATTAACAACTGGAAGCTAGTGTTCAGATAGGACAAAGTGGGCACCGAGGTCTATATTCAGTAGATTAAAACAAATCCCATTATGTATTAATCAGGAAAATGCCTCCAGACATGTCCAGTAACAATCTGGTGTTCTAAGCTAACTCAGAATTCATAGTCTTTTATCAGTTTTGTTTGGTTAGATCCATGTGTGACAAAATACCGTATTCATTTTTACATTATTTAGGCAAGTGCTATTGTGAGTAGAAAATTTTATTTTACATTCTCATAGCATTAGAGAGAATTGACATAACCTTAATGTGAGGTAAATGTATTTCATTGCTGGAATGTTTTAATAACGGATGTCCATTTATACAAGCAAATCAATTTTTACTTCCATGTCTTCTCGAAAGAACAGAACTGTAGGTATTTCCTCAGGTTATATAATTGTATATTTATGTATTTATTATTCTTTCACTCAGTACTTGAAAAATATGGTGTAAAGAAGTTGTAGAACTTGCAATGTGTGGTCTCATTTTTATCTTCCAATGTCATTAATTTATTTGACCCTTTTTTCATCCAATATTCAGGAAACAGAGTAACTAAGACCTGGAAAAAGAAAAGCATATGATAAACTATTCCTGTCTTCAGGGTGTATGTCTTTTAATGAGGAAGGCAGAGAGAAAATGTACCCTTCAGAGGTTACTCCTATAGCATAGACATAGGGTGAGGATAAAATGAAATATAGAAGAACATTAAATGGAGCTGAAGTAAGCAGTCAGGTAAACTTCCATGAAGAGGGAATGTTTGATCTTGAGGTTTGCTTCCATGTGCAGAAGTTAGTGCAAGAAAGATGAAAATAGTAGTGTACATAAAAAGGCAAAGCCCACCAAGCAAGGAAAATAATTTATTATTTGTCCAATTATTTCTGTAGTTATGTGTGAATTTTTTCTCTATAAAAATTTATTTAATAAATGTGGATGGAATGATCATCAGAAATTCATCATTTTACAATGACCAATAATGGATCTGATTTAAGCTGCATAAATCATTAGGTGAACGAATAAAAGAAAACTCTCAAACTGACCGTATTCAAACACCTGGTCAAACTTAACAGCAGTAAGAGAGAAATACACATTTTATGCCTCTTGATGTATTTCCAAAACAAACAAAGAAAAAGAACACAGCATCACTTATAACCATTTCTGAAAAAGGAAAAGGAGATGGTTCATCTAATCAAACTCTGGATCTTATTCTATTGTCATTTTGTAGGAAATATAAGCACTTGATGCTCAACCTGGATTTGAATCCCAGCTTCACCACTTTTTTTGGTGGATGCTTGAGGAAATGAATTAATCTTCTTTAGTTTCCTGATATGTAAAATTGAATAACAACAGTACCTCAAAGGCATAGTGTCTTCTAGGGTTATTATGAAAAGTCAAAGAGATAATTCTAGTAAAGATCTTATAAAACTACTGTTTAAGAGTAAATCGTATAATCAATTATTATCTATTATTACTATTGCTTTATAGTTATTAAAAGTCAGCAAACCATACAGAAATTATAGTCTAATTGGAGACACAGGAGTCCAGTAGCAATTTTAGTAGAACATGAGAGTTCCTATGAGAATAATGAAAGAATAAAGAGTAAATATGCAGTTTATACTCATTATCCATTCCTTCTCTGAATCCCCACAGTTATATGAGGTTGAGGATATACACAAAATTTTCTATAGCATGGAAATGATCACTAAGGAACTGACAGTTTGTAAAATTATTCTCTAGTGAAATACCTCCCAGTCTTTGCCTTGCCAGCCACTTAACATTACCTAATGTCTCTGTTCTTTTTTTTTTTTTTTTTTTTTTAATTATACTCTAAGTTTTAGGGTACATGTGCACATTGTGCAGGTTAGTTACATATGTATACATGTGCCATGCTGGTGCGCTGCACCCACTAACTCGTCATCTGGCATTAGGTATATCTCCCAATGCTATCCCTCCCCCCTCCCCCGACCCCACCACAGTCCCCAGAGTGTGATATTCCCCTTCCTGTGTCCATGTGATCTCATTGTTCAATTCCCACCTATGAGTGAGAATATGCGGTGTTTGGTTTTTTGTTCTTGCGATAGTTTACTGAGAATGATGGTTTCCAATTTCATCCATGTCCCTACAAAGGATATGAACTCATCATTTTTTATGGCTGCATAGTATTCCATGGTGTATATGTGCCACATTTTCTTAATCCAGTCTATCATTGTTGGACATTTGGGTTGGTTCCAAGTCTTTGCTATTGTGAATAGTGCCACAATAAACATACGTGTGCATGTGTCTTTATAGCAGCATGATTTATACTCATTTGGGTATATACCCAGTAATGGGATGGCTGGGTCAAATGGTATTTCTAGTTCTAGATCCCTGAGGAATCGCCACACTGACTTCCACAATGGTTGAACTAGTTTACAGTCCCACCAACAGTGTAAAAGTGTTCCTATTTCTCCGCATCCTCTCCAGCACCTGTTGTTTCCTGACTTTTTAATGATTGCCATTCTAACTGGTGTGAGATGATATCTCATAGTGGTTTTGATTTGCATTTCTCTGATGGCCAGTGATGATGAGCATTTCTTCATGTGTTTTTTGGCTGCATAAATGTCTTCTTTTGAGAAGTGTCTGTTCATGTCCTTCGCCCACTTTTTGATGGGTTTGTTTGTTTTTTTCTTGTAAATTTGTTTGAGTTCATTGTAGATTCTGGATATTAGCCCTTTGTCAGATGAGTAGGTTGCGAAAATTTTCTCCCATGTTGTAGGTTGCCTGTTCACTCTGATGGTAGTTTCTTTTGCTGTGCAGAAGCTCTTTACAATGACTTTCTTCACAGAATTGGAAAAAACTACTTTAAAGTTCATATGGAACCAAAAAAGAGCCCGCATCGCCAAGTCAATCTTAAGCCAAAAGAACAAAGCTGGAGGCATCACACTACCTGACTTCAAACTATACTACAAGGCTACAGTAACCAAAACAGCATGGTACTGGTACCAAAACAGAGATATAGATCAATGGAACAGAACAGAGCCCTCAGAAATAATGCCGCATATCTACAACTATCTGATCTTTGACAAACCTGACAAAAACAAGCAATGGGGAAAGGATTCCCTATTTAATAAATGGTGCTGGGAAAACTGGCTAGCCATATGTAGAAAGCTGAAACTGGATCCCTTCCTTACACCTTATACAAAAATCAATTCAAGATGGATTAAAGATTTAAACGTTAAACCTAAAACCATAAAAACCCTGGAAGAAAACCTAGGCATTACCATTCAGGACATAGGCGTGGGCAAGGACTTCATGTCCAAAACACCAAAAGCAATGGCAACAAAAGACAAAATTGACAAATGGGATCTAATGTCTCTGTTCTTTTCCTCAAGTTGTTTATTGATAACTCTGTTGGCTTACTGTAGTCTTCTGTAAACATTAGTCAATGCAATGCAAATACAATGCAAATTAGCTAAAAAGTGAAAGTGCACATCTTGCAAGAATCACACTTTCATTTTGCCGATAGAATTATGTCCATGGACTATTCTAGGCACATACAAAACCACTGCCAAATGAAGACTTCACAAGGTTGAGCAATTAACAATTAAAGAAGAAAATATTGATAAAAATTATATTGTATATATTTCAAAAAATGTGTGGAAAATCACGATTTATAGTAGCTTTTAGGGGAAGTTGGTGCAAACTATATATTTTTAATAAAAATGATGGATTCTTTTGAAAAACTAAAACTCTAATAAAGTATATAATTTTACACTATTATAAAATGTCAGAAAAATTATATGCAAAAAGCAACATTTTAAAAATGTGTTTATTTTAAAACTCCAAGTACAGTTTAAAACTCCAAGTACAGTTGTCCTATATCATGAGTGCTAGGACTCATGAAAACTTAAAAGAAAATAATCTACATTGTTCTTTCTTCATTTTATTAACATGGACATTTTCTATTACTGCCCCCCCCTCCCCAGCCTATTGCATCACCACCACCATCACCACAACTACCATTTCCTATGACATTTTGATTCCAGTTTTAAACTGATTTATTTTAAGTGGCTTTTTCCTTTACTAAGCTTCCTTGAATAAGGAAAGCCTCTTGTATGTACCTGCTCTATGTACTCTAGGAGACACAAGATCACAGAAGAAGAAACTTGACTCAGATTTTCAGTGCCAGATACAGTTTCCTGGAGAATTCTTAGGTACTATGCAAAAGAGCTTAATTTTTATTGTAAAAGTTAAGGGAAGCTATGCAGATTCTTATGCATGGACTTTATATAATAAGATTTATATCATAAAAAGAGCATTCATGAGACACTGCTTATGCCTGCCTCTAAGCTCATCTCCTGCCATTGCTGTAGCAAACAGCTTTGACCAAATGTAACCTGCTACTATTGACAGTAACCTTACCTCCATTTGTTTCACTGCATCACTTGCTTTCCATCTTGGTTTTTTTCAGAGGCCATGCCTTTGGATATCTCCCACGCACTCAGTATTCATACATGCATAAACCTGGAAAGGCTAGAGAGTAAACAATCCTGGGATAGCATTTGACAAAGAGGGTAAGAACCATGAAACAAATGATCTCCTATTATATCTCTCAAGCAGATCATTCTAAGGCCCTCAGAGGATCCCATGGTGGTGACAAGCTAGATCACTCACCATTTTCTTGGCTTTTGCTCTTTCTCTGTTTTATTTCACCTGAAATAATGTCACCAAATCAACTCCCTGTACCCAAGACTTTCTCTCAAGGTATACTCTGAAGGGAGCATAAGGAGAAGGACAGGCAGCATCTAATAGAATTCTATGAGACGGCAGGTAAGGTGTCCAGTGATTTTTATAACCCAGGAAAGATAGTAGCTTAAACAAAAGCCATAGAGTAGTGATAAAGAGAAGGGGTGGATTTTAACAGATCTCCATGAGATAGAATTTGTAAGACTTAGCTGATTAGCTCTTAGGAGCAAGGAGGAGTATGAACCCTAAATGGAATCCATGGAGAGGGGCACATCATAAGAAACAGAAAATGGTGCTCTGGGGAAAAGCTGATGAGTTAAATATAAACATGTTAATTTTGTGGTCACAGTGTGTTTTCTGTGTAAAAATGTCTAGAAGACATTTGTACATAAAGTTTTAGAACTCAAAGACTGAGAACTGAGGTCAATCACAAAGATCTATTCAGGAGACATCAGCATACTTAGTAGATAGACCCGCTTGTGGAGATTGAAATCATCTACAAAATACATAGGTTAAAATGAGCACAGAGTCAAAAATTACCATATGGGGAATAACATCATGGAGAAAAGAAGAAAAGGAACTTAATAATATAATGGGAAGAAATTTATAAGAAGATAGATTCTGCTGCAATAAAATTTAACTGTATATTATGAAAAAGTATCAGAAAATGAAAAAGAGTTGCCATACCTAAAGCAGAAATATTTAGGAGATGAATGTGTAAAGGAAACTAAAAAATCTGGATTGATGTCATAGAGGATTTAATAAATTTACATGCCAAAAATACTGTTTTTTTAGCAAATCATGTTTGAGTATTTTAGATAAAATGGTTATAAAGTTTTTCAACAACATTGGCTGGTGAGATAATTTACTTGATAATAAGAGTCCTCTTGGGCAGGCATGGTGGCTCACGCATGTAATCCCAGCACTTTGGGAGGCCAAAGAGGTGGGTCACCAGAGGTCAGGCATTTGAAACCAGCTTGGCCAACATGGTGAAACCCCATCTTTACTAAATACAAAAATTAGCTAGGCATGATGGCACATGGCTCTAATCCCAGCTACTCTGGAGGCTGAGGCACAAGAATTGCTTGAACCCGAAGATGGAGGTTGCAGTGAGCTGAGATTACACCATTGCACCACTGCACGCCAGCCTAGGCCATAGAGTGAAACTCTGTCTGAAAAAAAAGAAAAAATAAATGAGTCCTCATTCCAGTCTTATTGATATGGTATTATATATTTGATTTTTTGGGTTTTGGTGGGATTTAGAAGGGTTTCATGAAAATAAAGGTAAATTATATAATTATAACCACAAGAAAGCCACAGAATAATAATTATAATTATAATCACCAGTGCGACCAATCTTCAGTGGTGTGTTTGATTGCCATTTGTAATGCACTAGAACAAGCTTTTTAATTAATCCTGAAGCAATACAATGGGAAAAAATTACCCTTGCTATTAGATAGCAGTTGTTCTGTAAGAAAATTACCATTACAAAAGGAGTGTTTGTGATTAGACTATGTAATTTCATTTCAATCTCTATAAATGTTGAGTATTTTATTTCAAGTATAAATACTGCATTGTTTTAAGATTCTAAACTTATCCATGCATACTTATCAAATATTTTGATAGCATGAACATGGGAAAATTGTAGAGGTGTAGAAAGCAGAGCAAAATAAGTTAACTATTTGCATGTTTATTTTTTAATCGTAAAAATTGCTTTGTTAAATAATTTTTGTTCAATATCAAAATATCTCAAAACTTTGATGATAATGCTGCCATTTGAAAATGCAACATTTGATACTAGTATCAATGAAATAATTGCTGAAATCTATTTTGTAGCTTTATATTATTAATTATCACTGTCTGAGTTATGCCCAGGAACATATTTATCAGCCACAAAAATAAATCCATTTTTTAAAATTCAGCGTTCTCAACGTTAAAATAACCAAGGGACCATGTCCCTACTTTGAAAAAATGTGAATTTTTAAACACTCAAATTTGTTTCACTTCTATATCTTATCAAGAGATGCTACTTAAAAATATAGCTCTTATTTCCAGCAAATAACTTGCAATTTTCTACTGAATGCAGTTGGCCCTCCGCTTACATGAGTTCCACAACTGTGGATTCAACCACAGCAGATTGAAAATATTTAGGGGGAAAAAAAGCATCTGCAGTGAAAACTGTACAGACTATTTTCCCTGTCATTTTTTTCCTAAACAATACAGTATTACAACTATTTACAAATATTTTCCATTTTATTAGGTATTATAACTAATCACGAGATGATTTAAAGTGTTCTGGAGAATGTATGTAGGTTATATGCTAATGTTAATACTATTCATTTTACATAAGGGACTTGAGCATCCACAGGTTTTGGTATCCAAGGGTAGTTCTGGAACCAATTCCTCATGGATACAGGGGGATAACTGTATATTAAAAAATCTGAATCAAATAAAATCAGATTGTGTAACAGGGCTGAGCATCAAAAGCAGATTTCTGTGAAAAGTATGTCATACAACATGATATGTGCACATTTTTCAAACCTCCAAGTTGATACTGACTTTAACTTTACCCTTCATGTATACAAAGTCAACAATGGAAAATTTCATGAAATACTCCAATAAGCTGTTAACGCCTTTTCATTTTCTAAATTTTACTCCAAATATGTTATGTCCATGATGACTCTCTTGTCTTCCAGTGTCTCAATAAAGGTTGCTCATCTTAGAGAATAGCTCATGCTTCTTAGAGACATCGCCTTATTTTGATTTTACACAGGGTTTTGAACTTGCTCAATACGTTTATTCTAATAATCTATACTAATAGAACACATATACTTGATGCCATAGCATATATATTACATCTAATATATAACATATATTATATATATATATCCTTCCCAAATACACATCTATTGTCATTTCCCTATTAGAATTTCATCAGTATCTCTCTAAACTTGAAAACAAATTCAAAACTACTCAGGAGGATATCTGCCTGCCATTAGATAGATAGGTAGATAGATAGATAGATAGATAGATAGATAGATAGAGAGATAGATAATTTGAGACAAGTTCTCTCTCTGTTGCCCAATCTGAAGGTCAGTGGCACACTCACAACTCACTGCATTCTGGGCTTGCTGGGCTTAAGCAATCCTCCCACCTTCAAATGAGGACTCTGAGGTTCTTTTCCCTGCCTTCAAATTAGGATATAATAATATAACTCTTATAGATATTTTAAGAATTGAAAAATACAATCCAGGTAAAGCATTTAGCACACATTAATATTGCCATTTAAATGATTTGCTATATCTATGATTTTAATCATATGAATCTCAAATTCATTACAAATGTATATAATTATTGTGTTAATGATAATTCCAGCTTTCAACTTACGTTCATTCCCTTTGTCTTAATTTTTCCAAAGACTCACAATGTTAAATACAGCAGCTCCCTAAATTTCTTCACAGGGATGTCCTCTTCTTCTTCACACAGATGTCCTGTACTTCCAAGCTATGGCCAGATGATCATTCCAAAATGCACATATATTGTCATTTCCCTAATAGAATTTCATCAATGTCTCCCTAGACTTGAGAACAAATTCAAAACCACACAGGAGGATTTCTGCCTGCTCCTTGAAATCTGGCCATGTCCTAAATTTTATTTTTACTTTAAAATATTTTATTTTATTTTTACTTTTACTTTATCTGCTGCCGGTACTCCCATATGTATCTCGAGCCTCATCACAGCAAATCACTTGTATTTACTTGAACGTGCAGGCTTTTTTACATCTCTGTGGTTTGCACCTTTACATAGTAAATTCTTTGCTTTACTTTTTTTCCAAAATAATATATAACCTTCCCAAAACTATTCTATTTTTTTCCAGCTGGATGAGGCCCCTTTTTTCTATATCTCCATAACTTTGTGTGAAAACGTCTTCCAATGTGTTTATTATAAGCTGGAGTAATTGTTCATTATTAGCTCCTTAATCAAACTGGGAAAAACTTAAGGGCAGGGATCGGCCATTCTCAGTGTCCATCAAGGTGCCTGGTACTTAGCAAGGGTTCAGTTAAGTGTTTTGTATTCATTTTCAACACTTTTTCAGCCCAGCATTATTGGGTTATAAAGAAAAACACTTCACTGCTGGACTACTCACTGTGATCCACAAAACTGTTATTTTTTACTCTATTGTGCTCCTTGATGTTGAAGTTTAGTTAACTGGCGGTACTGTGATAAAGCTGTTAAAAAAAAAATGAGTATGATATGGGAGCCAGGTCTTTTCTCCCTACATGTAGACATCACAGACTGTCTATTGACACTCCCCGCACCAACCCCACAAAGATCTGCCACCTCTCTGTTGTCAGCATCTTGTCATCACTTCTTTTAACAGTACACTTCAGAAGTTGCAGATATTTTCATAGTTTACACCTCTTTTAGAGTTTCTCAATTGAGACTGCTATGTGTCTGTTATATATATATACACCTATTTTTTTTGACTGAAGTGTAATAAAATGTCTACATGGTGGCCCATTTGTTGAACTTTTCTTGTGAGTGGATATAAAAAACCATAAGCAGAAATATGCCAAACATTTATTCCCTCATTATATTTCCACATTTCCAAATCAAGAAATTTTAAACATAGCACTGAAAATCTGTTATATTGGTAAATCCAAAAAAAATTAAGACTGCAAATCCGGTCTAGAAGCTGAAGAAAACAAAGTTGCAAACTCGCACAGCACATTTACACCCCAGGATTTTCCTGATGAAATCAAGAATATAATCCTATGTATTAAAAACAACAGTTAATATAGTGTCTATAGTCAAAACAGTTTAATGATTAGTCTGATAAATTTACATTTTACAAAAACTTAAGTTATTTTTCAAATCTATATATCTTATTTATTTAGACAGTTTGGAATTAGCAATGCAAAGTCTTTGATTGTTTTCAAAATGTTTTTTATAATTCTAGGATTTTATTTTTACTTTATGGGAAAAATAATGATTTCTTCTTTTTTGTTTAAAATAACGTGTACTTTCTACAAGCAAAACTAAAATCTGAAAAACAGCTACTTCTTTCTTATCTGTCACAATGTTTCCTCCATTCTTTATTTTTGAGGAGGTTATACGCGTATCTGACTATCTTTTAAGCACTGAAAATACATCTAATTTGAATATACTAACAAAAAAGAACAGGAGTGATCTATAATAAAAATGAACAGATGAGTTTTTTAAAAAAAGACAATGTCCTTCTACACTAGTATAGAATATGAAAAATTGGCCAGAAATGAAAAGAACAAAAAATAATGTAAAAGACACAGTCCCTGAATGAGGATGTAATTTAATCTGTTTAGATATTTGTGAATTCACTTTACTTTTAGAAATACTATATGTTAGAAGATATAATACATTAGTGATGAGCTGTTTTTGTTTTATAAACTCATATCAATTGATTCTAGCCATATTATTCCTGATAAAATCATTTTACTAACACATGAAAACTGAAAAGTTTGAACAAAACATAACCTTATTATCTGAGTTTTAAACATATTTGTTCCTTTTACTTCTTATAATTTACTTACAATTCAAATGAACCACTCCTGCCTTAAAAATAAAATGGTAGCTGAGCCCAGTTTAATCCTCCCTTCAACGAATATGTATTGCTGGACCTACTATGTGTCTGGCACATAGGAAAAGCCTAAGGATAGAACACTGGACACAGTTTCTGCTCTTACGGAGCTTAACATTTAGTGATCAAAACTTTAATTCTAAAAACGCATACAAAGCAATATATAATTGAAACTTTGATAAAATTATGTATGGCAAATTTGATACAGAATTGTGAAGGCCAGGGCATCTGCCTTAGTGGAAGAGGCCTGTCTCTTCCTCCATGAAGTTTAGAAGCTTCATCTGAGACCTGAGGGATGACTAACTAGGGAGAGCGACAAGTCATGATGACAATTTCCATAGGACAAAGTGAAAGAAAAGGAATCTAATAGGAAGACAAATACTAAAAATTAAAATTATTTAGCGAATGTCTTCTAGACCAAATACAGAGTAGAAAAAATAATCAGAATGCTATATGTACAAAGATAAAAATCATCAACGATATAAAATGTATAAGGATTTTAATTTTAATTACAACTTTTTCATATGGAAGTATGACAGGTATTTACTGCTTACATAAAGGATTGTTTTAAACTTTAAGTTTAATTTAACATAATTAAATTATTTTCTCCTTTTCAAATATATCTTTTCCTTGAACAGTAGTTAAAAGTTTTTGTTTCTGGCTAAAACATAGACCTAGCATATTGTTTGTGTTGACCATATTAAATATTTAATTTTGTTGTCTAATGATTACTTCCTCTAAGATCTTCTTGTACAATAAAATCATTAGTGTTTACCCTCTTATAACAAAAGCTCTTTTTTCCACTTCTATTTTCAAGTCTGCAAAATACCATTTGATTCTTTTGTTATCTACTAATATTTGTCATAAATGAAATACATTTGGCTAGAAAAGAATTCACAGAAATTGGAGTTTTCTGTCAAGGCTCACTGAGAAAGATATACAATAGAAAGTTTCACAGCTAATCTAGCCAAATAGACCATGCATCTGAGTTACAAATTATTTTAAGTAATATTCTTCATAGGGTATAGGAAGTAATCATGTCACTATGTAAAACACAAAGATTTTAATTAATTATAAAAATAATCACTTTAATTACATTTGCGTATATACTTGTATCATTACAATAGCCATATTTCTTATCAAATTGTTATACAATGTTTTGTTTCACACATATTTTGTCTGCAAAGTATGCAGAATTCTCTTGAGTTGTTTAAGAGCAGGTAAAATAGATTACATTATATCCATAATGATCACAGTGCTAAATAAAAAGGTAACTTATGCTTGGTTCACAACAAATATTTAGATCTAAAACATTAATAAATTACCCCTTATTTATAATCCTAGAAGTACATTTAAAGTGTTCCTGTATGGTTAAGATTATTCCATTGGCTTCTTTTTATTATAGCAAAAATAAAATCTAATTATCAAATTTTTGCACATGGAATTTATGTTTTTTGGTAATTTATATTATCTTAATTTTCTCAAATACATAAAATAATGCTGCTAATTAATAACACTGCTGTCTCTCAATTCATACTATTCTGTGCGTGTGCAGTTGAAAACATAGCATTGTTCTTTTATTCATTTGACAAACGTATATCTAAGACCTATACTCTCTTCCATGCTCAGGCTGATTCTTTTCTTTGAAATATACTATTTTGTAAGCACACAAGGTTTTTTAATAATTGACCACATTGCAGCAATGCGCACAGAGTTAACTAAACAGAAACTTCAAATTTTGTCTTCCCCCCCTTAAAAAAAACATGATATGTACAGTTATCCACACCTACCTAGCATACACTGTAAGTAGTCCATTATCATAGAAATTTTAAAATCTGTACATACTTACATTTCTATTACTGTACTAAAAAACTGATGATTTGAATATATTCAACTCAACTATGAAGACTTACGGAAATTCTATACTTAAGCTTGTCAGGAATGAAAATGTAAATATTTCCATTTTTAATGAATTATAATAGGTATAACTACAATGATAAAATGTTATTGAGTCTACCAAAATGCATATAAATATACTGTATATTTTCTATAATTTTTATTATGTTTGTTTTTACCAAATATTAATTTACAAGATAGATTTCAGAATTTTATTAGCAATATTTTGACCCCTTGGAATTTAAACTGCAATTATTCGATACTTCAGTGGATTTTTTACTGTAATAAATGATAATTTTAAAAATTATACAGGGAAAGTTCAGCTGTATTTTCTTCTGAATTTTTTTCCTCCTAGCATTATAAACATTTAAAATGGTAACATAGTGGTTACAAGCTTATGATATCTTTGCATTCAGGCAATCTGAGTTTGTATTCTGCTTCTAAAGCTTACAATATGACCTCAGGAATGTTACTTAATTGTCTTTTGCTCATTGTCTTCATCTTCAACATTGGGTTTATAAAAAGTAATACTTACTGAACTGTATTTGTTTCCTGTTACTCTTTCAAAAAAGTAGACTACTCTAGTGGTTTAAAACAAAGCTTGAATGTTCTCTCTAGGAGAGAATCCCTTGTGTTGCTTTTTCCAGCTTCTAGAATTACATTCCTTGGCTTGTGTACCGCACCCCTCTCTATCTTTTAAGTCAAGGGGGATCAAGTTGAGGATTCATGTTGCATCCCTCTGACCTTGCTTACTGCTACATATTCCCTGACTCTTCCGCCTCTATCTTCCACATTTAAAGAATCATTTTGATTACACTTGATTCACCTGAATGGATAATCTACTATAATCTATTTATCGTCTAATTAATAACCTTAATTCTACCTCCAACCTTAATTTACTGTGGCCATGTATATTAGCTCATTCTCTTACTTCTATAAAGAAATAAATGAGACTGGGTAATTTATAAAGAGAAGAGGCTTAATTGGCTCATGATTTCACAGGCTGTACATGGGGCTGGTGAGGCCTCAGGAAATTTTCAATCATGATGGAAGGTGAAGGGGAAGCAGGCATGTCTTACACAGCCAGAGAAGGAGGAAGAGAGCAAAAAGAGATGTATTACACACTTTGATACAACCAGATGTCATGAGAACTCACTCACTATCACAAGAATAGCAAGGGGAAAATCCACCTCATGATCCAGTCACCTACTACCAGGCCCCTCCTTCAACAATGCGGATTACAATTTGACTGGAGATCTGGGCAGGGATACAAATCTGAACCATATTACCATGTAACAAACTATTCACAAATTTCTGATATTAGGATTTGGATATCTTTGGGAGCAGGAGGGGAAATGGTACTCTGCCTAGCATAGGTGCATGCCGTATGCCTGGCACTATTCTACAACTTCTTATAAATCATATCTTATAACATTAAATTAAAGTCATAATTTTATATGACTTTATGATTAAACTTCATAAAATTAAAGTATGAATTATGCATTTTATGATCACAGAAAGCTATCTGCTTGGTACTATTATTATCTACATTTTACAGATCATTCAACTGAGCAATAACAGTAATAATAGGTGTCTCAGAATAATCACGTCTACTATTGAGCAACGCTGTCAGGATTAAATAAGGTGACATACAAAATTTTTAAGCAATGTTTAGCACCAAGTACATTTTAATTATTATTATTGCATCATCTTGATTGTTATCGTTCTTATTCCACATTTCTTAGAACACAACTCTCAAATGGGAATACATTTGAGAAATAAATCATTGTGACTTCTGCTTAAATAAAACAGATTAAATTACATATTTACAACTTCTCCCTCCTGAAACCACTTTGAAAGTAAAATGGATAAAAAGAGCATAAGCAAATAAAGCAAGAAAAACAAAAAAAAAATTAGATAGAGCATGACAGAAGCAACGCTTTACAAATGGAAATCAAATAAGTCATAAGTGACTTAGAAAAGCAAAGAGAATTAGACCATAAGCCAGCGATAGGGGAATTTCACACATAAGATGCATCACATCACAGAATCTGAAAAATAGGAATTGGAGGCACTGGATTCTTCTGAAGGTGTAGCTGCAGTTGGAGCAATTAAGTAAAGCTATTGGTTTAAGAATGGCTAAGGCATTGTTAAAATCCTAGAACATTCCTTACCCTGCCAGTTTACTATGTGGAGCTATTGAATCAGAGATAATTTGGACACTAGAGCACTGGCATTTGGGTGCCTGTCCTAGTATATCTAGCCTGCAATAACAAAATACCACAGACTGGGTAGCTTGCAAACGACAGAAATTTAATTCACACAGTTCTGAAGGCTGAGAAGTCCAAGATTTAGGCGGAAGCAGATTCAGTGTCTGGGGAGGGCTTGTTTCCTTCTTTACAGATGGTGCCGTCTCACTGTGTCCTATGTGATGGAAAGGAAAGAGATCTCTCTGAGGCCTCTTTATAAGGGCATTGACCATTTTTGAGTGCTCTACCCTCAGGACCTCATCACCTCCCAAAGGCCCCACTTCCTACTACCATCACCTTGTAAGAATTTCAGCATATGCATTGTGGCAGTCCACAAACATTTTGATTACAATGGCAGTACCTCAGCCAACCAAATCACTTTTCTTAAGTGCTCTCATCCCATAGTGACAGTGAGTAATAACTTATGTCTATGACCTTCTCTGCAGAATTTGCCTTTGTTTTCTCAGAGATGCACTGAAATTATGTAACTTTCACCACCGCTCTGAGGATAGATGGCAATGCATTACTATGCAAAGGAACAAAATCATTCTATGGCGAGATTCCTGTCCTAGATCACACTTCTATTCCTATACTATGAATCAGGCCTAGGATATAATTTATCTTCGACAACAGATATCCCTCTACTCTATTTGGATTGCCTCACTTTGATATAGGTTTTTACTTTTCTTTTCCTGAATAGAATCTCCTTCTATGACATAAGCATCTGTATATCTGTATCAAGCTCTGTTTCTGTGATTCATGATTTATATTTATGGAGCACTCTATTTAACACATTAGAATGTAATAAAACTCTATAAACTGAACAGTAAGAACCTAGGTCATTCTCCTACTCAGCTCTGAGAATGCTTGCTGTTAGATTTCCACACACAATTTAGGATACTGAAGATTTCTTTCTGGGGAAACTGATCAATCAAAGAGAGCAGGTCTATAAATATCAAGAGTAGAAGTGATCCTAACGAAAGAGCAACACCACACAGATCGTCTTAGAGTGAAATTTACTAATTAAAATATACTGCTCCTTCATACACTGATTTCAATAAATTTTGTATTGCCTCTTCTACTTTGCCATCATGAATCATGAGATATTGATGATTGCAGAAAATGTTCTGCATCAAAACAAAGAACAACCAAGCAGAAAATGCAATGCCAAAGATAAAAAAATCATTTAGTGAGAATTAGGACAATTGACAATATATGAGTTATTATCCCCTGAAAAATTTTAAAAATAAAGATACTGCTTTCATCACACACAAAAAGAAAACTTTAAAATAAAAATTTTAGAGAAAAAAATAGTCAGAAATAAAAGTTTAATTGGAACTGTATTATCTAAGGTAAAGTAGTTAATACAATAAAAGCATAAATGTATAATGCCCAAAACATGATATATGTTTATTTATCACTCTATTTAATGTATCACATAGGTGTTCCCAAAATATAAGTAGCTTTATTTCATGCATGAAATTTTACATAGGTAAAATTAACATTTGAGGAAGAAAAAAGAGATTTCATAAGGATAAATGCAAGCCTTAATACATTTGAATAAAGTAAAACAGTACAATATGTATATATGTACATATATTATATACAATTATGTAAGCTATATATTATACAAATATAAGTGAGACATAAACTAATACTCAAATATTATACTCTATAATATAAGCTATATATAATATATAAATATAAGCAATGTATATCTATAGTAAATACATTAGATTTAGCTTTTTAAAATGAAAAGTTATATAATTAGATCATCTAATTATAAAAAAAATTAAAAATGTACGAAAGATACAGATAAAGAAGAAATTTTAAAAAATTACAAATAACTACTTACTGATCTTCATAAAAATAGATTTAGGAATATGCACCAAATGGATAATTTTCTAGAAAAAAATTGACCAAAGCTGATTTCAAAATAGTTGGAAAATCTATATAATGTAATTATAATGAGACTTAGAAAATATAAAGGAACTACCCATTGTATATGTACAAGGCCAGTGCTACCACATATTGAATGAAAAGGTAACTTCAATTCTGTTAACAATATTCCAGAGACTATTAGAAATGTTATGATACAAGAATAGCTTTGATTCTCAACACCCTGAAAAAAAAATAATAATTGTACATACGAATGACATTTAAATTAGGCTAAATGTAGTATTAGCAAATCAAATTCAATAGCACATTTAATGAATAATGTATTAATACCTCATGGCAAATTATGGCATGAATCAGTATCAGGAAATTATAAATAAAAGTTATATCAATATACTTCAGAATAAAAAAGTACAGGATCATAGTATATTGGCAATAAGAAGCCATGTTTAAAAACAAAATATCTATGCTTGATGTAGACTCAAAATGCAAAAAATTGAGAAGTCTTTTCTATTACATGGTAAAATATATATCCATCTTCAAACCAGCATCCACACTTAGTAGGTAAACACTACTACTATTTTGACTAGAGTAATTTATTCGGACTTAAAAAGAAAAACAAATTCTGGCTATAAAATTAGGAAACTAAAGCATGAATAATTATCTTTTGAAAATCATATAAACAATAGAAATTGCAATAATTGTAACATAAATCGATCACCAGTAAGAGTTTAGAAAAGTTTAGAAAAATTTTCAATAGCTTACATCAAGAAAATATAATAGAAGAAAACAATACATCTATAGTAATAAAAATATTTAAATTGTTTATGGATAACTTAGTAACAAATGTACAAGATCTAAATAAAGAATGATGAAAAACACTCCAGGCACAGTAGCTCACACCTGTAATCCTAGCACTTTGGGAAGCCGAGGTGGGTGGATCACCTGAGGTCAGGAGTTTGAGATCAGCCTGGCCAACATGGTGAAACCCTGACTCTACTAAAAATACAAAAAATTAGCCGGTTGTGATGGCAGACGCCTGTAATGCCAGCTACACGGGAGGCTGAGGCAAGAGAATCGCTTGAACCTGGGAGCTGGAAGTTGCAGTGATCCAAGGTCGTGCCATTGCAATCCAGCCTGGGCAACAAGACCCAAACTCTGTAAAAAAGTAAAAAAGAAAGAAAAACTCTCCTTAGGAGTACAAAATACTGATACACATTTAAAAATTATGCAACAATCTTGTCCCAATATTTTAAAAAGGTTACTTTTGTACAAATTAATCTGTAATTTGAAACATTTTTTAAAACTCTCAGAAATGTTAAATGAGACTATTTCTGGAATATGTCAAATAATGATTAAAGTGCACTTAGAATCCAAAAACACACAAGCCAATACATTCCAAACCTGTCTATTTAAAAATATAAAAATGATAATTTATGTGTTGCTCTTACTAGGATTAAGGAAAAAATCAACATTAGGAATCACACAGAAGACATAATTTTAAAAAATCCAGTGGAAAAATATAATTTTATATATACTTCCACAATCCCACATTTGAAAACTTAAGAGAAATCACTTGATTTTTATCAAAATAAAAATTACAGAAATAGACCCAAGAAAAAGACCATTTTGACATGGCAGATATTGAAATGAACACTAGAGCTAAATAAAGTCACATGTATATTTTCAATTAGGTTTTAGGGACCTCATAATTCCATTTGTAGTTTAAATCATTTCAAGCCACAGAAAAAGATAGGTAACTCCCCATTTTATTTTAGACATTTAACTATCATGAAAAAAAGAAACTTACAGGCCAAATGCAATAGTAAATATGATGCCACAGCTCTAAATAAAATAGGAGAAAATGGACAGTCCAGACATGAAATTCGCAAATGACAAACATAAATTGGATATTTAATGTGATAGCACACACTTGTGATAACACACACACCACCTCCAGGATTCAAGCGATTATCCTGACTCAGCCTTCGGAGTAGCTGAGATTACAGGCACCCGACACTATGCACAGCTAATTTTTTGTATTTTTAGTAGAGATGACGTTTCACCATGTTGGCCAGGCAGGTCTTAAACTCCTGACCTCGTGATTCGACTGCCCTGGCATCCCAAAGTGCTGGGATTACAGGCCTGAGCCACCGCGCCTGGCCTAAAATTACTTCTTTATTCTGTGTGTTGGTATTTATATAATTTCCAGGTTAATTAAAGATTTGGTTAGCTACATAGTTTAAACCTCAGTGAAATATATCCTTTTTCTGGAATAACATAAATGACAGAATTTGGTAAATTAAGAATAGCAACTCAGACAAATATTAATCAATAAGTAATAGTAATGGAAATAGACAGGGATCCTCTAAATATATTGAAAAAAAGAGTTAAACAAAATTGTGAATATTATCCCTATTAAAGCAATTGTCCAGACAGCTTCAGGGTACTTTCAGTTTAAAGGATGAGAAAATGTTTTTTTTTTACTTTATGAAGAAACCTGGGGAATAGAAAAATAAAATAATTTTATGAGCTCTACTTAATTTTGATAGCCTAATTTTGTAGCTTTTGTAGGTAGGTATATACAGATACATATTTTTATACATAATA
The DNA here is from genome assembly GCF_000001405.40 of Homo sapiens. Classification (NCBI taxonomy): domain Eukaryota; kingdom Metazoa; phylum Chordata; class Mammalia; order Primates; family Hominidae; genus Homo; species Homo sapiens. Next base: position 60,121,854 of record NC_000004.12, read on the forward strand.
TACATTAGATATATACCGGTGTGTATAATAAAATATTTTATATATATAATATATAAAATATTATATATATATAATATATAAAATATTATATATATAATATATAAAATATTATATATATAATATATAAAATATTATATATATATAATATATAAAATATTATATATATATAATATATAAAATATTATATATATATAATATATAAAATATTATATATATAATATATAAAATATTATATATATAATATATAAAATATTATATATATAATATATAAAATATTATATATATAATATATAAAATATTATATATATAATATATAAAATATTATATATATAATATATAAAATATTATATATATAATATATAAAATATTATATATAATATATAAAATAATATATATAATATATAAAATAATATATATATAATATATAAAATAATATATATATAATATATAAAATAATATATATATACACATACCGGTGTATATAGTATATATACATACGGGTATATATAGTATATATACATACCGATATATATACATTATATATAATATATATTACATACAGGTATATATATTATATATGATATATATTACATACAGGTATATATATTATATATGATATATATTACATACAGGTATTTATATTATATATGATATATATTACATACAGGTATTTATATTATATATGAGATATATTATATATAGGTATATATATTATATATGAGATATATTATATATAGGTATATATAATATATGATGTATTATATATAGATATATATTATATATACATAATATATATATGATATATATTATATAGGTATATTATATATGGTATATATTATATATAGGTATATAATATATATTAACACCAGTTAATATATAGGTACATATATTATATATAGGTATATATACACATATACATGTTACATATATAGATATTATACATGTTATATGTATATGTTACATGTATATGTTATATATAACATGTATGTGTTATATATACATATATGTTAACATATATGTATATATACATGTATACATGTATACATATATACAGGTATATACATGTATACGTATATACATGTATATGTATATACATGTATATACCTGTATATATGTATACATGTATATATACATATATGCATATACGTATACATGTATATATGCATATACGTGTACATGTATATATGTATATACGTATACATGTATATATGCATATACGTATACTTGTATATATACATATACGTATACATGTATATATACATATATACATATATGTTAATTACATATATGTTAACATATATAACATGTATATGTAACATGTACATGTAATACATGTTATACATGTAATGTGTATACATGTATGCATGTTATACATGTAATACATGTATGCATGTTATACCTGTATACATGTAACATGTTATACGTGTATACATGTAACATGTATACATGTTACATATATACACACATCTTTTAGTGTGTTTCAGTTTTTATAGGTTAAACTATCAAAATTACACATATATATTTGTTTTCTCATGTTCATCTGTACTGGAATATAAACAGTAGAAATAAATAAAATCCAACATATAATTAAGGCAAATATGTGTCTGAAGAATACAAGGATTATTTTTAATAAAAAAATAAATGAATAAAATCCATTCAATTATCAGTTAATAAGAGTTATGGGAGTCTCATTAATTAAAACATGTTTTAATAAAACAACATTTAGAATGCAGAAAAACGGAATCACTCTTAAATTGCTGATGAGAATGTAAGTGGTATAGCTGGTATAGTCACTCTGTAAAACAGTCTGGGCCGGGCGTAGTGGTTCACGCCTGTAATCCCAGCACTTTGGGAGGCCAAGGCGGAAGGATTACGAGGTCAGGGGACCGAGACCAGCCTGGCTAACACAGTGAAACCCCGTCTCTACTAAAAATACAAAAAAAAAAAATTAGCCAGGCGTGGTGGCAGGCTCCTGTAGTCCCAGCTACTCAGGAGGCTGAGACAGGAGAATGGCGTGAATCCGGGAGGCGGAGCTTACAGTGAGTGGAGATCCTGCCACTGCACTCCAGCCTAGGAGAGGGAGCCAGACTCCATCTCAAAAAAAAAAAAAAAAGCAGTCTGGCAGTGACTTATAAAGGTAAAGATGCAACTATCCTATGGTATAGCAATTGCATTGCTGGACATTCATCCCAGATAAATGAAAATGTATGTTCTCACACATTCCTGTACACAAATATTAATAGCAATCTTATTTCAAATAAAAAACTGGGAGCAGCCCAGCAGATGTTTTTTGATAGGTGAATGTTTAAGCAAATTGTGGTACATATATAACATGAAAACCTATTTACCAATAAAACTAAACAGACCATTAATACAGTTTTATCCACAGAATTACATACAAATGTTGTTTTATTCATAGAAATTATGATTAACTTTAAAAAAGCCAAACACAAAAGTTTATATGCTATATGATTTGAATCATATGACATTTTGAGATGGTAAAATTTTAGGAATGGATAACAGATTAATGGTTACTAGAGGATGGGCGAAGGAGGTAGAGAATGAGGTAGGTGTGGTTATAAAATTGCAACACAAGAGGAATCCTTACGGTGATAAAATTGTCCTGGTATGATGTCTGTGGTGGTGGACACGTTAACAGACACAGACAATATAGAACTAAATACATATACATACAAAACCCCATACACAAATATGTACAAGAACAATTGGGGAAGTCTGAATAAAAGTTGTGTATTTTGTCATAGTTATTATCCTGGTTATGCTAACACAGTTAAGTCTTCACTTAACATCATTGATAGGTACTTGGAAAGTGCAACTTTAAGTGAAAGAACATAAAACCAATGTTATTAGGTTGATGCGAAAGTAATGGTGGATTTTGCAATTACTTTTATGGCAAAAACTGCAATTACTTTTGCACCAGCCTTTAGTATCATAGGCTAATTGACATAAATAAAAGTTAAGTTTTTGTGGCATATTTCTAGTCATAAAAATACCATCAAACTTCTAAATAAAGACCAAAACGTTTCTAACATTAAACATTGCAATAAATGTGAGCCATAATATACATATATTTTAGAAAGATTACTAAAACAAATGAGATAATTATTTAGCCACTTATGCTAGCTCAGGGCCACAGGTGGGCAGAGACTCTCCTGGAAGCTCCGGATACAGAGCAGGCAGCCGCCCTGGGCAGGACACCATCCCATCGCAGGGCACACTTACATACACCCACCTCACTCAGACTGGGACCATGTGGACACACCAGTTAACTTAACAGGCACATCTTTGGGATGTGGGAGAAAACCAGAGTGCCCTGAGAAAACCCACACAGACACAGTGAGCACATGCAAGCTCCACAAAGACAGTAACCCGGGCCAACAATGAATTATTTCTTTCTCATCAAAGTTATAATGAAAGAATTTTGAACAAAACGATGTTATACTGGGACCTGCTGTTTTCCATAATTCTGCAAAATATTACTATTGTGGGAAACTGGGTAAAGTGTACATGGGAATTATCTTTGTTATTTCTATAAGTACAGGTGAATCTACAATTATACAATGATTTTTAATTAAAATACTTTAATAGATAAATAATTGAAGAACGTTTAGTTTGCATGTCAAACAACATAGTCCTTAATTGTGAAATTCTTGAGATATTTCCACTTAACAAAAAAAATTGTAGTATATTTTTGAAATTGTTCAGAAACTTCTAGCCAGATAAGTATTTTAGAAATAGCTGAATTATTAAAAACAATAAAACAACAATTTTTAACAAATGCCTCGCTTTTCTGCAAAGAAAACATAAGAAATTTCAATGGCAAATGAATGCATACAGAATGGTAAATCAATGTATAATAAGGGAAAATAATTTCTTTAAATAGGTAAAATTTTTTAATTGCCAAGTAGGAAAATATTTTTTGAAATAGCACTAATGTTCATATGTGCACAGACATATGGGGATTCTCAAACAATTTTAGTGTATGTGGATGTTTACATTAAGCAAACATTTTAAGAGATTATTGAACAAAATGTGTAAAAAGACTTTTCAATATATCAAAACCCTTTAGGCCAAGATTTTTCCAGGATTGACAGAATAAATGTTACATAGGCTGGTGTGTGTGTGTGTGCATGTGTGTGTGTGTGAGAGAGAGAGAAATACATATAATTCAATTCAATATATGCTGGGCAATGTACTACAAGTTTTAAGAATATAAACTTACAGAATCCTTGTAACAAGCACATGAAGTCATTGTTATCAATTCCATTTTACCTAATAGAAGACTCTCCTTCTATTGCAAGAGGGATGTTAAGTAACTTTCCCAGGATCATCCAAATTGTTATTTGTTAACGTTAGAATTAGAATCCAGGTAGTTTGACACCAAATATCTGTGTTTTTGATAACTATGATAGACTTAGAATGTAATAAAATATTTTTGTGCTAGCATTCTTTTGATGGTTAAATAAAAGCTAAAATCTATTGAAAGATATGATTCTACATAAGGTCATATTTTTAAAAATTATTATAGGAAAATAGATATAAGTGAAAAGTAGAATCAAATAATATATATATTTATCTTGACTTTATAAAATATTAATAAAGACATAGGTAAAAGAGTGCAATTAAATGAGCCACTACTTACTACAATGATTCCGTTAGGTGTAACCAGCACTTAATTCTGAGAGGTACAATTTTTGAAATTACTCCTTTTTTTTTTTTTTTTTTTTGAGACAGTCTCACTCTGTCACCCCGGAGTGCAGTAGCATGATCTCAGCTCACTGTAACCTCCACCTCTGGGGTTCAGGCTGTTATCCTGTCTCAGCCTCTTGAGTAGCTGAAATTACAGGCACCCACCATTATGCCCAGCTAATATTTTGTATTTTTAGTAGACATGAGGTTTCACCATGTTGGCCAGGTTGGTCTCGAACTCCTGACCTCGTGATTCGTCCGCTCTGGCCTCCCGAAGTGCTGGGATTACAGGCGTGAGCCACCGCACTTGGCCTGAAACTACTTCTTTATTTTCTGTATTTGACATTATTGTCCAAAAGATTTCAACAAATGTGTATTACATTTTTAGTCAAATAACTAAAAACACTTTGGAAATTATATCATATGAATTATTTTACCTAGTAGAAGAACTGTCTGAACCCTGCATGTCTGAAATAAATGTACTTGTTCAAGTCCATGCTGCTAACAAAAAGAAATACAGTTGTTATTTCAATACGGGTCTTAGAATATCCAAGTACATTTTGTTGTAGTTCCTGGTAAAATTTATTTTTCAACTATGTCTAATTTATGACAGTTGCTTGATCTGCCACGTAAAAATACTGATGAGGCACATCGCCCCATGACTCAATTATCTTCACCTGGTCACTCCCATAACATGTGGGGATTGTGGGAACTACAATTCAAGATGAGATTTGAGTGGGGACACAGCCAAATCGTATCGGGAAAAATGAAGATATCCTAGGAATGTTGACATTTTATCAAATAGCCAACACTGCATCTTTCCTGGAAAGAAATACCTAGCAAAGGGAATGACTATTGATAAGAGACTGAAAGGAATTTTATACTTTTCTATAGCCACTCTTCTTTAAAAATACATCTGCATGTGGTAAATAGTAGTGGGATTTTTTTCTTGCAAATTGATTTTCTTTTATAATATTACTGTTTTACTTTTTTAAAGTAATATTTGTTAGCCTTAGTATGAACTTTAAAACGTGTCTTTTTATTACATCAGCTTGACTTGGTGATTTTGGCCTAATTTCTCAAATTTAATTGAAGATGGGGAAAAAACCTAAATAGTGTGCTTTATTTCCTTAAGAAGATGTTTTATTAATTCAATTTATTATTACTTTTTTTTGGTTGTGGGCATGTTATAAAATATTCTTATTGTGAAAATTTTAATTTTTTTCACAATTTTTGTTACCTTCCTTTAGCAAGTTTGGTAGATTATCACAAGAGAACAACAATTTATATTTCATTGTAGTGATTCATTGCTATTCCCCTCCACGGGCTATTTCAAACTGATTTGTATATTCTCATGCTATGTAAGCCAAAACTAGCACAAAGTTTATATCTGTGACATTACCAAATAAGGAAAAAAGGAATCAATAGAAAAAAAAAATGATGCCCTCTGTAAGAAACAAGCACTCACAAGCGGTAATATCTACAAAGAAATTATAACCTTCTGTTAGTAAACTATACATTAGAAATCACCATCATTGATATTTCCTGAGCATTATTATGTGATTAGAGGTATAGAAACTAAATAAAAGGATTTGTCTACTTTCTTGTTTGTTTTGTTTGGCTTCTAGGAAAGGTATTTTAGGATTTTATTGTTTGAAAATTTAATATATTTTAGGTATGGTATAAGAGGAAGAGATTTTAATTGCTTAACCATATTGAATCATCTCTGAGTGCAGTTTTCTTCATCTGCCCTATCAAAAAAATTTTTTTGAGGATCAAGTTACATAATATCTATAAAAGTGCTGTCATAATTGTACCACTTGGCGTTTATATGCTGTTAAGCTGTGTTTAGTAAACTTGCTAAATAAATTTAGAGTTTAAAAGTTTCAAATATAAAACCTCTAGACTAATCTATAAAGAATTATATCCTTATATATTTTAAAGTCTTTATTGTATCACTTACAGAGAATGTTCTCTGGGATGAGCATAAGTTAGCTCTCTTGCTTCTGACTTCTTTCAAAAAGCTTATTTTTCCCTCCGTGGCACTTAATGAATGCCACTAGCACTACGCTGATCAAAAGAAGGCAGGCTTCCTGTCCATTCTTTTTCTTGCATGATGGAAAATTATAATTGAATGAATGAATAAAAGTTCCTTTGTAAAATAATAGAGCTGAACTATATCCCAGTCTTACAGAGCATTTTCTAGCAAAAGGTTGATGTTAAGAGAAATGAAACAATTCCTAGGATTGGTGTAAATTCAGCAAGTCTGGCTTTCACGTTCTTGGTTTAGTACTTTCCATGGTTCCATCATCATGGGAGTAATTCACTCTTAGCTTCAAACTCCTGTGCATGAGAAACACCGTTATGATACTAGTAACTAAGTAAACACTTCCATAGCAACTACTCAAATTCAAATCTTGGAAGGAGAAGGCAAGAATAGAAAGGGGTAGGGGGAGACTCGCTTTTCTTGTGTATGACTGGCCTCACAAGCATAATGCAAGCTTGTGTATTGTACGCCCTAGGCTTGACATCAGCCTGTGCTTAAACTCTGCCTCCCTACATGGCTGTATCCTTATTCATCTAGAACCTTTGTAAAACGAGTTCTTTGAACTCACTCCAACACTTCACAGTCTGAATCATTTTCTCTAGGCTATGCATGAAGTTCAAATGAATTACACCACCTTTTGAATGAAAGTTTTAAAAGTAAAAAAGCTCAAATGATTAGATATTTAAAAATAAAAAATTTGACATGGTCCCATTCACCCAGCCCTCTTTCCTTTAACAAGAACCTAAAATGAAACCAAATAGTCATGTCATTCTAGCTCAAAATCTTTACTCATACCATCAGCCTGTCCTGTAACATTTATATAATTGATGAATGACAGAAATTTATGATTCACAACTCAATGATGTAGTAAAATAATTAATAGACTCTAAGGTTAAAATTAGACTTTTCTTCAGGACATGATAGTAATCTACGTAAAAGCGGCTTCTATGGTGCAAAGTAGAAATTAACATAAATCTTCAGAATTTTTTCAGAAACTTTGGCCTCTATGATGTTTAGATGAGAAAATCTTTGAATAGTGAACTGTTCAACTCTTTTTCAGAAACACCAGAATTAGCAAACTAGAACTCACACTATTTGGATTTATATCCCTAATCTTTTTCCCTTTGGCTGGCTTTATGAGACATCCTATACTCAAAGACATACATTGTGATCACCAAACTTTGTCCTCAGATGCCATCTAGTCTAAAACTTTTCGGCCAGTGTTTCTTCAGTTTGACTAAAACTGCTTTTATTAGTCAAAGATGAACCTTCTTTGAGTTGCATCAGGTATAACAGCATCCCAATAATCCTTCCTCAGTGATTCATGGGTCAAAAATTTGTTATGAACTTCCCCACTTTCATTCAAGCATTTTAAGCAAGATTAAGCTTCTTTAGCTATATCTGTACTAATGCCATGCATTTGAAAGAATAGACTATATTCTACTTTCTCTTGTCCATAGTCATAATCTTATTAGAACACATATTCAGCAAGAGGGTTGTGCAAGCTAATTATTCTTTTTCAATTAACTAAGGCTTTGTTTTGGATTATAGGTATTTCAAAGTTATTACTTACTTTGTTTAAGAATAGCTTAAAACAAACAAAATTCATATTCTTTCTCAAACAAATAGTGTATTTATAAAGGGTTTTTCTGTAGATGTCAATGGTGCTGCTGCCATTTTCAAAAATTATTATTTAAAGATTATGTATTTGTGAACATTGTTAATTGAGAAGATAGACTTTCTCACTTGGGGATTGATTGCTCTGTTTAATAATGATAAGTATATGGAAACAAGAATAATGAAGTGAGACCTACTCACCTCATTAAATTTCTGTAAAATATTAGTTTAAAAACCGATGATTATAAGAATTTTTATTCATATAAAGAGAGAATGATTATCCATGCATATATTTCTGTAGACATGAAGAAAGATAATGGAAGGTGGATGAGGATATGTACAATTGCCTACATTTTATTGTTTTTCTATGATAAAGAATGTATTTTTATTAATTCCCTGTTTACTAGTATTTACATTTGGTTAAAAATACTTCCTTAAATGCATAGATACACTGCTTACTGCTACAACTGTCTTAGAATTTTGACTTTTTATTCATTTTTTGTCATTTTCTCTTCTTTTGCTGTTTGGAAAATTCTTGCAGAAGCTTGAAATAAATGTTGATCTGTTTTCAAGTTTAAGGGACTTATTTTTCTACTGTTCAATTTCTGTATTCCTTTTGTTTCACTGCCTGTGTTTTTGTTAAAAAGAACATGCAATGGCTTGGACAATGTATGGGTGATTGTTAGAAATCTAAGTCAATTCACGTATTTCATTCCAAGCTATGTATTTATTTGATGATTTCTTTAGAAACCGTAGGCCTGGTTTGATGGAGAAGAAAGAGCAAAATAATAACTACATAGGGATATGAGTATAGGTTGAGTTACTTTGGCTTTTAAAACTGAGAACATAGTTTAAAAATAGGTTTTTATATTTCTGGTCAAATGAAAGAATGAATTATTTTGTCTCCTTTCTCAGAGATCAACAAAAGTGCTTTTCAGATCTATTTGTTATTTAATTTCACCTAAGGAATGTGTTTTTCTCTAAATAAAACAGTTTTTACTTGTCAAGAAGAAAACAATAGATTTTTGAACATTGAAAGACACTCCAGTCTGAGTTAAAAATGTTTTTATGCTAGGTGAAAGTTTTAAAGCAAACCAATAAAAAAAAAACTTTTCAGATTACTTATAGTTGAAAGAATAACCACCACTTCAAAGATGGCTGTGTATAATGAAACTTTATTGGAGACACTTCTCAATTATGAGTGTTAGGTGTCCTTCAATGATTCAAATATCCCAGTCATATCTAAGACAGGATCTTGATCAGATCTCAATCTTAAAAGAACACAAATAATCACAATCACAGTGCTATGTTGATACCACAATGCCCTTTTTATATTCCCTTTATCATTTACTGAGATGTAACTTTCTAGTAATATAAAATATGATTCATAGATGTAAACACTTTTTAGCAAACCAAATAATTGTTTATCTGTTTGTTAACTGTTATAGCATCAGTTACTTAAAATAATGCACCCCATAGGGAAAATAAGACAATTTTGAGGTATTTAGACAGATTTACTAATATTGCCTGTGTCTTTAAATAATCTAATAAGAAAATAGTTTTTAATTTCCCTTCAGATATGAAGAGAAAGGTTGTTGCGCTTTTCCTATAGTGGGTTGAGAGATGGAGGGGAAGGTACATTGTGCATGGGGAGAAAGCATACATTTCAGTGATTCATACAAAGAAAACTCGTCGATAATACTTTTAATGAAACTCATGTTCAGCTGAATAACAGTAGCAATGAAGTGAACTCAGCCTTTCTTTAACTTCGTCAGCTCAATGAGGTGTTAACATTATGGTCAATGGGAGCATAGCCATATGAAATGCAGGCAATGGGTTTCTTTAGTTCTGCTTTTTAAAATAGAAACATTCAGCAACGCATTTACACGTAAAGCCTTTCAATGTCAAATTTTAATTTAATGAAATCAGCACTTTTCTGCATTCACAGAATGCAATGTAATTGCCTTGTAGGAAGAAGGTGAGAAGATAGTTCCAACTCCAGAAACAAGCATTTATGACTTTATATGGAAACATATTGCTCCCTTTTCTCCCTTGCATCAGGCTTTGTAAAATTTACTTTTTATTTCACTTCTAATCTGAGACAATTTAGCCACAAATGATTTCAAAAATGGTTAAAATAAACATAGTTTCCCTTTTCTTAACTTTTGTTTTCTATAATGATATATCAAAAAGAAACATTAAACAATGAAACAATAGACATAATAAAAGTCTTGCTTGGTAGAGTCAGTATAATCATCTCAACACTTACATTAGATAGCAGTAATAATTCAAACTAAAATTAATTCGCTTTAGAATAAAAACGTTATTTTTTATACTAATGAAACCGGAGCCTGATACACTAAATCAGATTCAGTAAAGCATTTAAATATTTCATCTATAAATGCACAGCGAGCACTAACTGCAAATTATCAAAATGTTTTTTAATGTATAGATTCCTGGTCAACATGTACACAATTAAACTTAAAATCTTTCTTCACAACTTCCTCATTTTCATATAATTACATTTATAACCAATAATGCTATTATTCAATCTAGTAAACCAAAAATTCGGAAGACCACGAGACCGTGCTCTCTTCTCCTACTTTATCTCATGGGTCACTGAATCCTATTGATTTTCCTACTTTAGTATCTAAAAATAACAACCCCTGCTTAATCGTTAATGACTTAAGACAGATTCTCATAATCTCCCATGTGAACTAAAGTAAGCTCCACTCTGACCCCTGTGTCTGTAGGTCTTACATCCTTTTACTCTGTCTTCAACAATATAGCCACAGACATTGTTTTAAAATTTAAATACAACCAGGTTTCTCCTATTTTTGTTGTTGTTTGTTTAATCTTCTCAGTGGTCTCACTACTTACAAATAAAATCTAAGTTTATTAGAATATCATAAGATATACTCTACAATTTCTCCTTGGCCTAATTTGTCTGTGTTACATAAATGTACCCTACATTTCAATCAGGACTAAAACTCTGCAGTTCCCTTAACTGTCTAATATATTTCTAGTTCAGCACATGCTGTTCTGGCTCCTGAAATACTCTTCTTTCCTCACCAACCTCTCAATTTCACTCTACCCCCATCTGGAAAAATCCTACTCCTCTTTTATGATATATATAAAACAACCTTTCTTTAAGCATGTACCTTATGCATTCAAATTGATGACTTGCTGACTTGTGTCAATGTTCTATTTTGGAAATACTTGCAAAATTGCGCTTATGATCTTGTATTCCAATGATTTACTTACATCACTATCTCCATCCCATGACTGTGTGCCCTGGAGAGCAAACTGTATTCCATATTTATTTTTTTTATCTCTAGCACTTTCCACAGTGTCTGACACATACTATGACTCAACAAATGTTTGCTGATTTAATTGGCATAAAATGAATTTAAAAAAAAAGTGTACTCATCTAAGGCTCTACTACTCACACAAAATTTTTGTGAGGCTGTGAATCATACCCAGAAAGTATACAAGCTTTGAGATATGTGTAATCTAGTTAATGCAACTAATACTACTAACTAAAAAGAGCTTATAGAGGTTGTAAATAGAATATTAAGAGATTGAAATTTCATCATATAATGAAACAAAATTGATGAAGAGAATCAGTTTATATTTCATTTTCCATTTGTTATTTTGAAGACTCAAATTCTCAACCTTAGTTTCCATTTTGTTAAAGGTATAATGGTATTTCCCATCCTCATAAGAATCATGGCTTGTTTACTGAGTCAGTTTTAGAAAGTAAAGTAGTAACCCCCTTATCCATGGGGGTTATGTTTGAAGTTACACAGCAGATGCCTGAAGCTGTGGATAGTACCCAACCCTATATATGCTATTTTTTTTTGTATATGTGCATACCTCTGATAATTTTTTACTTATAAATTAGGCAGAGAAAGAGATCAATAACAACAATAATAAATGGGAACAATTAAATAAAATATAGGTTATTTGAACGCAAATACTGTGCTGATACCCTGATGGGTGATCTGGTAGTCAAAGCAGCTGCTAAGTAACTAACACAGACAGCGTGGATCCGTTGGACAAATGGATGATTCACATCCAGGGTGGTACAAAGAGGACAGTGCAAGATTTCATCACGCCTCTCAGAATAGAAATTTAAAACTTATGAATTGGTTACTTCTGGAATTTTCCATTCATTATTTTCAGATCACAGTTCGCCACCGGTGGCTGAAGCTTTAGAAAGCAAAGTCATGCCTGGATAAGGGAGACTCCTGTACTTTGAAGCGAAGAGTGATAATACGTTGTTACATGAAGAAAAGTGATGATTGTGTTAATGTGGGGTCCAGCCTGCTTCTGATGCTTCATTTCTGCTTAAGTTCTTCCATACACTAGAGGAAACTTATAAAGCATCACAACTCACAGGAGCTGATGGAACAGATCAGGAATATAATACATTATACTGAAAAATAATTTACATTGAAATAAAATTGTGGAAGGTGGGAGGAACAGTGCAACTTGCCTCTGTGATGTTGTAAATTTAATATAAATAGAAATCTTTTAAATTATATTTTGTGAAAGATTTTGTTTCTTTCCAAGCCACACAGTCTCTAATGTAAGACATTCTAACTTTAAAAAGTCCTCCTCAAGACAGTCATGTATTACTTTAATAGGAGCTTCAAATTTCTTCCTATTATTTTGTGTATACAACATTTTCAAATCATGTGATTTTTACCTATATATGTCTGAGTCTGTATTTATATGAATACACCTCAGTATAATTAGTAGTTCTTATGATAAATAAAAAAATTAAACTAAGCCTTGACTGTTTCAAAAATGAAATCATTTCAGTATTACATAAAATTTGAGTTTTCAAAAATGTTATACTATTTTCTAATTTACTAATTACAGAAATAGGTGTTCATACCTACTATATATTAAATATATACTATTATATACATATATTAATATATAAATAAATATATCATAAAACGACCTCTCCATGTTAAGGTGTAGAATCTATAGAATGAAACATAAATAAGGAGTTAACAGACCAAGCGCCGTGACTTATGCCTATAATCCCAGTATTTTAGGAGGTCGAGGCAGATGGATCACTTGAGGGCAGGAGTCCAAGACCAGCCAGGCCAATATGGCAAAACTTTGTTTCTACAAAAAATACAAAAAAAAAAAAAAATAGCCAGATGTGGTGGCGCACCTGTAGTCCCAGCTATTCAGGTGGCTGAGGCACGAGAATTGCTCAAACCCAGGAGGTGGAGGTTGAATTAAGCCGAGATTGCACTGGTGCACTTCAGCCTGGGTGACAGAGTAAGACTCTGTCTCCCAAAAAAATAAAAAAAAGAAGATGTTAACAATAGTAAACATATTAAATATTTAAAAAAAAATTAGTCATGTGTTATGGACACATAGACAACAAAAGGTTTAAGCAGATGGCCAAGAAGATGGTCTTAATACTGGAAGGCAAGAGTGGTGGAAGAAACACAGTTAAAGACGCAGAGATAGAACTTTACTAATCAACAAGACCAAGTCACTGGAATACGACATAATGGACAGTGACTTTGAAGGGATGGCAAATTGACTGGATCATAAAAGATACTACTGTGATGCTAGAACTGTTTTCCTGCTTAAAACAGAAATATACTCTATTGTGATTTAGCAAGCTTTCCTGAGAGGCTTCTGAACTAGTCCCCTGTGTTTTCTGTATTGCTAGTGTATCTTAAAAATGTCTATAGTGTGCAAAAAAACACATGTACAACTTTTGGAAATGATAAAAATGCATTTCACACTGCGCGAAGATAGGTGATACATCTATAGATTTTCTTATGACAGAATTTTCTGCAAATGATCAGTCTTGAAAGTGACATTATAACTTTAAAAGTAGCATAACATTTCTTAAAAATATGGAACATGTTTAATTGAAAAATTGTACATCAGTTTCATTCAGATATACTGACACATGATACAATGCAAGAATTCTAAGTTTACAGTTTGATGTGTTTTTACAAATGTAAAAAGCCATGTGGCCACCATCATAATTAAGATATGAAACATTCATCACCTAAGAAAGTTTTCTCACACTTGTTTAGAGAAGACTTCCACACACCTGATGCTAGTAAACTATTTCTATTTCTATCACATTACATCAAATTTTTCTGTCCTAGAATTTCACATAAATAGAATCATAATATGTACCCCTTTTTTGCTTGGCTTCACCAACTCAAGAAAATGTGATTCAGTCGTATTATTTTATGTGTTACTACTTTATGCTTTTGTATTGCTGAGTAGTATTTCATGTATTAATATTTATTGTATGATACAGTCATCTGTTGATAGATACTAGTTGTGTTTCCAGTTATAGTTTATTATAAATAATCTATTAGGATTGACATTAAACTGTTTATGTAAGCATAATCTTTCATTTGCCTTAGATAAATATTTAGACGTAAAGTTGCATGGTTAGTAATAAAAGCCTGCCAAACTGCTTATTATACCAAAATAGTAGTTGAAACATTTTATATTCTCGCCAGTAATGTGTAAGAGTTCCAATTCCTTCTTTTCCTTTCAACATTTGGTAATGTTGTTCTTTTTAATTTTACTAGTCCGTAATGATATATATTGTGAATATTTTCTTGCAGTCTGTGATACAACTTTTTACTTTTTTACTATGTCTTTAGTATCCATAAGGTATTTCTTTCCTGATATTGCTTATTTGTAACTTTTTGCCTTTTTTTGCCCATTCTTTTAAGTCAAACTTTTAAGTCAAACTTTTGCCCATTCTTTTAAGTCAAACTACAAAAATAACTTGAGTGTTTCTCTCAAACGTAATGCATAGTTAGTAAAATTATAGATATGAGATTACTTATAGAAAATGTGCCCTTTAAAAATTACAGTTTAAACATTTCAAAGATCTTCGGTACAAAAGGCTGCGTCTAACTAGAAATGTATCAATTTTAATAATATTTTAAATAATCTATTATATTTCATTAATTTTCTCTACTTTATTCATATTCAGCTTATACCTATACTATGTTTTTTCCTTTTACATGATTTGTGTTTGATTTGCCTTTTTTTTCTTTTTTGAAATGGAGTCTTGCTCTATTGCCCAGGCTGGAGTGCAGTGGCGCAATCTCGGCTCACTGCAAGCTCTGCCTCCCGGGTTCACGCCATTCTCCTGCTCCAGCCTCCCGAGTAGCTGGGACTACAGGCGCCTGTCACCACGCCCGGCGAATTTTTTGTATTTTTAGTAGAGACGTGGTTTCACCGTGTTAGCCAGGATGGTCTCAATTTCCTGACCCCATGATCCGCCCTCCTCGGCCTCCCAAAGTGCTGGGATTACAGGTGTGAGCCACCGCGCCCGGCCTGATTTGCTTTCTGTATGTTGCCTTTGTATGGTTAAGGCTTAGATTATTAAATTGTACATTTTTCTTCTTTACTAATGTAAGCATTTAATTTTGTATAGCTTTATATACATAAACATAAAGCAGTGGAAGCACTACTTTAGATTTGTCCAATAACTTTTGATAAGTTGTTTACTATCATTCAATTCAAAACATTTTATAATTTTTGTTTTGATTATTTATATGTATTACTTAATCGTTTTGTCAATATTTTAGGTTATTTAACCCTTTACAGATCAGATAATACAATTTAAGTTGTGAATTAATTTAAATTCAGTGATTTTAAGTTTTTTGAACTTGAGGTATTCTTACAGTCTAATCTATGGTCTAAAGAGATTAATATTTCATATATACTTTTAAAATCTTTCTACTTGAGATAGGAGTTAAAAATTTCAATTTTGATATGTTCAGATTGACATTGTGGATAAGTCTGTGTCTCATTTCAGTTTAATCAGTAATTGCGTTACATGTTTTAAAATTTTTAAAGGTTGTACACATATTTTGGTGTATTTAATCTTATGGATGAATCATCACTTTTATAATTGTAAATATACCCCTTTAGAAACATGTTTTGGCCTGAAAAATACATTTTCTCATATTAATAGAGCCCTTTCTTTCTTCTTAGGATAAATTTTAAAATTGTATGCGTTTTTCATTCTTTCACTTTTTACCTGGCTATGTCTTCTTATTTAATGAAAGCTTCCTCCAGGAAGTGAATAGTTAGGTCTTGCATTTTGTCTGATTTGACAATTTGCCTTTTATCCAAAATGTTTAGACCATTTAGATTTAATTATCTGTAAATTTGAGTTCAATTC
Organism: Homo sapiens; assembly: GCF_000001405.40. NCBI lineage: Eukaryota > Metazoa > Chordata > Mammalia > Primates > Hominidae > Homo > Homo sapiens. Next base: position 60,138,434 of record NC_000004.12, read on the forward strand.
CAAAATCTTGCTAAATGTTTTCTATTTGCCCTATCTGTTTTTGATACCTTTTATTCTTTTTCTAACATCTTTTAGATTGAGTAATTTTAGCATTCCATTATGGAGCCAGATTAGTTTATTTTTATCCATCTTTGATTTTTTATTCTAATTCTCTCCAAAGGATCTGCAAGATGCATCTTTAACTTAAGAGAGTCTATTTTAATATTGCTATACTATATAAAAGTATAAAACAGAAATGTTATTCCAGTTTAATTTTCTTCTCCTGTCTGCCACTTCTACCTATGTCATAAATCAGGTAACATGTTATTATTATTAACTTTTTAAAATAATTATGACTTGAAAATCACAAAAATTATAAAAATGTCTTTTATATCTTCTGCTATATACGTACCATATTTATCACCCCTTATTCCTTTATGTATATTCAGTTTTCTTCTCATGTTTTCCACTAATCTGAAAACTTACGTTATTTCTTTCTTTTTTTTTTCTTTTTTTTTTTTTTTTTTTTTTTGAGACAGAGTCTTGCTCTGTTGCCTAGGCTGGAGTGCAGTGGTGTGCTCTTGGCTCACTGCAATCTCCACCTCCCGGGTTCAAGCAATTCTCCTGCCTCACCCTCCCAAGCAGCTGGGACCACAGGCACGTGCCACCACACCAGGCTAATTTTTTGTATTTTTGGTACAGACGGAGTTTCACCATGTTAGCTAGGATGGTCTCGATCTCCTGACCTCATGATCCACCCCCTCAGCCTCCCAAAGTGCTGGGATTACAGGCATGAGCCACCACACCCAGCCACATTATTTCTTATAGTGAAAATTGGAAGTTATAAGTTATGTCCACTTTTTCACAAAAATATTTTTATTTTACCTGATTTTTCAAAGATAATTTGAATGGCTACAGACTTACAGATTAACTCTGTGTGTGTGTGTGTCTGTGTTTCTGCACACAAATAACAAATTATTTGTTAAAGTGCAGTAGACATATAATGTCTACTGTTTTGCATTATTTCTGAGTAAAAGTCTGTAGATTTTCTTATCTTTTATCTCCAGGATGATATAAATTCAAAGTGCTTTTAAGATATTCTCTATCACTGGCTTTCCATAATTCAAACATGTCTTGTCTTGTTTCAGTTTCAATTAATTCCTTGGGTTTTTAGTATATTCTTTTCATTAACTTTGTAAAAAGAAATACCTTTATTTAAGTTTTTTTTTTTTTTTCCCCTGCATTCCTCTTTCCTCTGCTTCTGGGTCTCTAATTATACAGTTACTCCAATTACTGTTGGCTATTTTTCCCTATGTGATTGAGGATCTCTCGTTTTATCACGTTACATTTTTTTCTTTGGGCCTCAGTTTAGATGTTTTTATTCCTATATTCTCAACTTCATTTATCATATGCATTATTTATTCTCCTTTGGTGCTGTAAAGATTTTCTTGGTTCAGGTATTTGAAAGAACCCACTAGCCCTACAAAACATACTCACACAAGGCATATAATTAAAAGTAAAAGATATGGTACAAAAGAAGAGAGTACAAAAAAGTATTGAAGAATTAAGATATATCAACATGCAAGCACCCCAGAGGTTGGGCTTAGACTGTGGATCCAGCTTAAAGCACCAAGATCTGCTACAGGGACCTTGGCTTTGGGAGATCTCAAAAGAGAAGCTGTCAGAATATTTATGTATGTCCCCTTGGGCACCGAATGAAGCCTGTCCTGATTAAATTTATTAATTATGCTTTGTATATTCTAAATTTTATAATGCTTTGACATTTTGGGAAATCTACCTGATCAAGGAGAAACTACCACTCTCAGAACGAGCAATTCCATAAGATAATAAACAATTCACCTTTCAACATGCCTTTTATATGCAAATCAACTAACCCCAAGTCTGTATCTCCAACTACCTCATTTATTTAACTCTCACATGCCAGTCCAGTATTTCCCCAGCCCTAAGTTAACCCAGGGCTAGGTACCAGACCTAGATATAAGAGATAACCCTTACAGCCAAGAGCCCACTAACATTACTCAGACTTGCCAACCCTAAAGAGGTTTCTATGACCTGCCTCCTTTATGTGGAAAACTCTGTAAAGGCTCTGGGTCTTGCTTTCCCTTTGCTCCTTCTGCCTGCTGACCAAACCTGGTGCTTCCCCAAGTGGCCCTCAATAGTGTGGCATAGTCCAACCTCTTGGAAACTACAAGTATTGTATTTTTTTTTCTTTCAATGGCATTGACCTCTTTGTGTCATGAATCAGTCATCTCCACCGATTAAAACCCTGTGGGTACAATTGGAACATAGGTCAGTTGCAAATTATTGGTAAAGAAGGTGACCTCCAGGGTTGTCAGGAGACTGTGAAAGATTAAAGAGTATATTATAAATTTTATTGTCATTACTTTGGACAGGAGTCAGTAATCAAACATCTAAGCATGCCCAGAGATAATAATAAAGTTTTCCTATGCAGATAAACAAAAGTATGTACACAATTTAAGCTCTGACACTTGGTCAAGACATTTTTTACTACAATTCTCATGATTATTTCTTTTCTAGTATGTTTTGTACACCTTATAGAACATAAAAAGCAAAAGGTTACTGACCAAAATAATAATCACTTGAGTTATCAATTGAAGTGTATTTATTGCTTTAAGGAAATGTTTTAGTTTACCAGATATTTTAGTTGTTTATAATTATATACAAGCTTGACAATTCTTTTACTTCCCACTACCATTGACATCTGAAATTTATTAAAAAAAAAACAATAGACTAATTTAATGTAACTATTAATTGTTAATTAAATCTAGTTCCTCCACTGGGCAATCAGCATCCACTGAAAGAATTTGATGTGGATATTTTAATTATTTATTGACAATTTCTTAGTAATATTGATCATCATTATCAGATTGTCATTAGATTTGCCAAAATCAGTCATATATATACTACCAGTTACACTACTATTACATGAAATGGCATAAGTTAGACTAAGCGCATTACAAACTAAGCGAAAATGGGAATAGAAATTTCTGTGTCGTCTTTTCTGCCATTTGAACCTGCTTGCTTTAGGCCAACATCTTTACTTCAAACTCTCCCTGAATTTCTCATGATAATATCATATTGGAAATCATTGTTGCTATTTTAGATAAAGGTCATACTTTGTCCCTGCATACCCATGTTGTCCATAGAGTTTCATTTCCCATTTTCTCAGAGATGACTCTCAATAATGATAACCTGAGGAATATTTTACCATAGGAGAGACCCTTGGTTAAACGCTTACTGGAAAATATTTTTTTCTCCAGTAACTTAAAGATGCTAAAAATGTTTTCCTTAGAGAAAATGCCCTGAAATATTTTTAACTGATTTTTCATGTATTTGTTCTTTTAGTTACTAGAGAATATTGTTATTCAACTTTCTTTATCTTTTTCTTATTTTATTATTCATACTGTTACTTTACGTAAAACTATCTGCACATATTTGCTGATCATTTTTCCCAGTAAAATTTTATTTTTTCATTTTTTAACTGGTATTGGGGCTCATAAACCAGTACCCCCAAATATGATGCTTCAGCATGCTGAACTAAATGCCTCAAGGTATCTCTGACCTTCCCTCCAACCTCCTCATTTCTCAATCATCCATCTCTTCCAAAGCACAGGATAAAGTTGCTCTAGGAAGTTTCCTTATCTGCCTAAAGTCCTCCCCTGCCCCCACAAAAAAAAAGGAAAACAGTTGTCTCTGGCCTCTTCCCTGAGTTTTCATTACCTTAAATCATATGGAAGAAAGAAAGATTGAAGTCTTTCTTTAATCTTTGAAGAAACTGGGCAGACTTTTGTCATAAATCATTGTCTGTTCCATTGGCTCAACAGACTTTGTACCAGGCTATTGTATGTTCTTAAAACCCATTGAATTTATCTAAAAATTATTTATAACACTCCTAAAATTATCTATACTCCCGAATCTCCCTTTCCACTAAGAAGGGTACATAACCATCTTCACCTTATTGCATGGTGGACCAATCACTTTGTGAGTCTTCTCATGCATGCTAATACATTTTTATGTGTTTCCTCCTATTACTCTGCCTTTTGTAAGTTTTCAGTGAGACTTCAGAGGGTGAAGGGGAGTTTCCCTTTTTCTCCACGCTGGAATGTAATTTTTTTCATCTCATTTGCATTAAAGGCAAATTTCCTGAGACAATTTAATGGCTTCTAAAAAAACTCTTAATATCTTACCATACTCATATAATACAATTTGGACATTTTACCTTTTGTGATATTATTTAGCAATAAAATAAAATAAATAGTATTGGATTATAACCCAAAGTGTAAAGCAAATATCTATGAGTCCATACAGATGGAACCTGGTAAGCAAATAAACAAGCAAACAAATAAAATAAAGGCAGAAGAAAAAATTCTCATATGTAGAAGAATTTCAAATAATTTTTACGGAAACTCTGCCCTCAAATTAGGGACACATAATTCTCATTCATTAAGTATGGATTCTGTGTAGTTACTTCCTTTCAAAGAGTACAGTATGGAAAGGCCCTGGTAGGGAGAAGGGGGACAAAGTTTCAGTGAAGAAACCTGAAAAACGATCTCAGCCAGATTATCAATTTCAGTATCAAGAGTGACAAGTCATGTTGAAAGTATCTACCTTGATATATGATAAAATTGTCCTCTGTGGTCTTTGTCTGAAAACTACACAACTCCATACTAATCATAAAGAAAATATCAGACCAATCTTCATTGAGGGATTACGTGATAACTATTACATATTACCTGGTGAGCATTCCTCAAAACTTCAAACTCAATGAAAATCTCAGGAACTGTCACAGGCAAAAAGGCTAAGGAGATATAAGGACTAAATGTAATGTAATATCTTGAACCCTGGAACAGAAAAAAAATGATTTGGTAATGCTAAAGAACTCTGATCAATATGTAAATTTTATTTATTATAATGTATTAATGTTATTACATTATGTTAGTAATAGAAATGCCTAACATATGATGCTCACAATAAGGAAATTGAGTGTGGGTTATATGGTCCCTATATATATTTACATTTTCTCTCTAAATATAAAACTGTTCTAAAATTTTAAAAAATATTTTTAAATTACCACTGTATTACAGGGTCTATTTAATCACCAAAACTCTTCCTATGTAGTAGCAAATTGACTAACAATATGGTTTTATAATATATACTGTTAACTGTCTTACAGTTCTGCAATATATTTCAACTTTCTTTTACCCTAAATAAATTGGCATAATAGAATGTCCTTTTAAGCTGAATCAATTATTTGCTCAAGTTATTTGATTATTAAGTTAATCATTTTCATAAAGTAGTATATGTATTTATTATTATTGATTTTTACTCATGCAGACTAATTAAGTAAACTTTTTGCCTAAAATATAGAATTTTACTCAGATCACTGTTAGTGATATTTAGAAAACAAACATAATTTTATGCTTTAAAAAGCAAAGGTGAGCTGTGCGCTGTGGCATGCACCAGTAGTTACAGCTATTTGAGCGGATGAGGCCAGAGGTATTCATTAAGCCTAAGAGTTTGAGGCCAGCCTGAGCAACACAGTGAGACCCTGTCCCTGCAAAAAATTAAAATAAAATAAAATAAAAAGGAAAGGCTTTAAGAATCATCAAAGTGAACAGAGTAAAAGTAATGAAAAGGTCTGCTTGTATCTGTTGTTAAGCATCACACTACCATAAAGCTTGTGCTTACACCATGACTTAATTTTCTAATAAATTCTGATGCATTGACCGATTGACTATTTCAGGTGAAGGGTTCGTTGGAATAGAACATATAAGACGACCTTAATAACACACCTGACTAGTGGAAACGGCTGTTATTTGGAGTATCGAGTGATTTCTCATTCTCTATTAAGCTAATTGCCTTCACTAGTATATGATGATCTCAGGGAAATGTTAAAGGTGGAAATTGTGGAAGCACTAAGGAATCTCATAAGGCCTAGACTCCAGAACTCACAAATTATGAGTCCCATAACATTTAGCTTATCAAAGAAAATCACAAGGCCTGCCCTCTGAATGAGAGGATTGGCAATGCTGTGTTGGAAAGTGGCATGCATATTTGTCTGGGAGAAATTTGTGTCCATTAAACTATTTATGACACATATATACATTACTAACAGGTATATTAATATGGTATCTGGAAAGAAAGACTTCTGATGCGACAGGATTTTTTCTCAAGGTTGTCATCATTTTGTCATCATCATCATTATAATCTCTGTTGTCTAATATGTATTCAGACTTTCCTTTTAACATGGCATTCTTACAGGCATTTTTTAATTAACTCGAGCATAAAAAAATTTCTGTGATATTGACAGTATTCTCATCTTAAACATGTTGTAGTGTATGAGTTGCCAGAATTTTTCTATTTTAATTGATTAATTAATGCAGTTTTTACCATATACTGGAGACATGACTGAGTGAAATTTAATCTCTCTGAACTTTGGCATGTTAAAGTGATAGAATGAGATGACTGCAATAAAAATTCAAGATTTTTTAAATTTTGAATTTATGTGGATGCATTCTTATTGATCAAGTATCACAAATCACAAATGCAAATAAAGCAACAGGTAGTCTTACTTTCATGATGCTTCCATTTATTGTTCTTATTGTTGAAAAAATATTAAAATGGTTGTTTTTATGAAATATTTCTTGTGGTTGAGTTGCACATAGGGAGAAGCTGAGCTGATAGTAGAAAAGGGTTCATGTCTATTGTTTTACATTAAAAAGAGTTTTAAAATTAAATAACCTTGTGGAAATTTAAGAAGGATATTAGTCCTATTAGGAGAACTATGATCATTTCAAAACTGCTGTCTTTTCCACTTTCTGTCTTTATCCAGTCTTGTAAGTGTTTTAGTGTATTTATCCCAAACATATTACTTTGAATAACTTTTAAAAATACTCATAAGTGAATTATTTTTACCTAATATTTTAATGGAATTGATATTTTGAAATGCATGTTGTTGTGCTTTTATAAAGTAGTTCCAATTGGATACTTTTCTAGGTTCTTCACATATTCTTAAGTCTACGGAAACTCCTACAAGGTAAATATAATATTCCTCAACTAGAAGACTAAGACTAGAAGATTCAGGGGCTCAGAGGTGTTATATGACTTTGCCAGGATCACATAACCAACTCGGATTACACTTTAAGTCCCTTTGACTCAAAATAGCCATTGTGTTTATAAAATATAATAGTTAATTTGTATTAATTTTTCAAAACAAATGTTTAAAAATTCAGCTCAAGCAACCACTATGCATGTATATTTAAGCTGTGATTATTACCTCTTAAAAATTTAAATGTCATCTAAGAATTTGGCATTGCTTAGCTATTCCAGACATTGGGACTCCAAATCCATTAACAATAAAAGAGAAATAAAAGACAAGTGAATATTAATGTTGTTTGTTGTATCTCTCCAGTTTAAATATTTCATGATCAGAAATCAGAATATGCTTCATTATGAAAACACTACAGTGTAATAGGAAGAAATAGAATGAGTATAATTTATTTCTCTATTTCTGATTTTATCCATTATTAATTGGGAATATTGAGTATCCATATTTAGACATATTAAAGTACCCCAAATGTAAAATCCCACTATCTTACAGGTTGAATTATAAAGTTTATATGACATTTGTGGATGGAATTATATTATTATTGGCTTTTCATTAAAACTGTCCAATGAGTATGGAATAGAAATGAAGTAGAGGACGGACTAACTATGAGGTAGAGTTGAAACATGATCTGCTATGAATTGTTAAAAGTTGATACTGAGAGATAGGTAAAATGGGAGAATCTTTGTTTATCTACTTTTGTAAATGCTTGAACATTTTAATAATGCAAGATATTGTGTTTAGTCCATGTGCAAGGCATCCCCATACAAATTTAATGTCTTCATTGGAGATCAATAGAAAGTTAATTTAGTGCCATAATCAGAACTTAAGTTATACACACTGATTAATGACTGGAAACTGATATTTCACCAAATCTCCTGATAGTCATATAAAAGTGAATATCAGCACTACTGTGACTATTGTCATTACCTCTTGTCATCTTTCATATTCCTTCTAGTTGTCAAATTCAAATATTGCTCCAATGCTCTAAATCCATGTAATGTGTATATACTGGATTACGCCCTAGGAGCCAAAAGAGTAATCTTTAACCTATATTAAGCCAATCAAATGATTACGTTCTTGGATCCATAGTGCTAGGTTCAGAGATTAGGAGGAAGAATTGTGTGTGAATCATCAGATTCTCTTTATGTAATATATCTGAATATTGTGATAATATTAACCTGAGACTGCTGGGGGGAAAATGCAAAACTTGGTGCAATTTTGGTGACTCATTTGAGTCCTGAATAAACCCAGACCTGAAGCCACATCCACCCCTGGACTCTTATTACATGAAACAGTAAGTTCTATTTTATGCATAAATGCTTTTGGATAAGGATTGTTTGCCTTGCAACAGAAGTAGTCCTAGCTAATATGTGCACATAAAGGAAAGTACTACAAAAGAATCAGTTTTTAATTATCATGAAGTCCATAACTTAAGAAACATCAGATTTAATTGTGAGAAAACATAAAAATGAACAATCTTAATTCAGTAATAATTTTCAGGTCCTCTGACTTAAAATTTTGTTTTTTTGTCAAGATCTATAGAGGCATATTTTTGGCTTTTACACCATACATATTAAATATTTCTATAGAAAATTAAATTTATAAAGTGGAAATTAATTCTATTTTTTTGTCCTAAGAAATCTGTACACCATTGATAAAATGAGAATATCAGGGTGGTAATGAAAAAGAAAATGCCTATCAATTTTTTTTAATAAAATGAGAAAAGAGGTTAACTTTTTGAATAATTTTTTTCTGATTACTTAATTTTGCCTAATGTCATTTCCATTCCCATGTGTCAGATAAATAATAATGTACACATGCTTTTTCAAAAAATGAATAAGGTTTATAGGTTTCACACAGTGTGCTTGATGGTTATGTAGCAAGTATTTTGCAATTGATATTAAAATCTATCAAATATTACAATAGATTTTTCTTGCTAATAATATTAAGGTATTCATAGAAATCAAGAAAAATATTTTGACAATATTTATTTGTCAGAATTAATACTGGTTTTCAAAAGTTGTAAAACTGTCTATAAAATATCTTATTTTTCTATGAATATTATTTTTACATTTCATTCAATCATATCTGAACATAAAATCCCTTGGAAGCAGAACTAATTAAAATAAAGGTTGATATAATGTTGTATTTTGATAAAACCATATACAGTGCTTAGACTCAAAATCATATTGACAATTCAAATTGATAATGGGAATTAAAATTAGTTAACTCCACTCTGGGAGAAATAATAGTACTTCAAATAATTGATTTATAAAACGTTCTTTTGAATGGCTCTTTATATGTCTATTTTAGTCAATAATTCCTATGATTCTGTATAATATGTAGAAAACATTCAATGATTTAAAGTTCAATAAAAGTTAGCTAAGTATGAGTAAGGAGACAGAGGAAATTTATATTTGTTAAATTGTTAAAATTGATACCATGTTATAACAAAACTTTAACAATTGATTTAGTACAACAGCAATGATAATTGTTGAAAGGTTAAGTTAGTGGTTTCAAAAGGAAAAATAAACAATCTAATAAAAAGCACATTTACTTTAATGAGCGTTCAAACTGTGATGATTGTACCTTTTCCTACTGTGTTGTTTCCACATTGTTCATTTTGAAAACTGGGATAAGTTAAATATTGTCTCTCAAGTCCATATGTATATATGTTTGAATAATCTTTATGGTGACCTTTCTGTTACTCTGATGTCATGAAATTTTTCTAAATAGACAGTTGGATATGTGTGCACATATGTATGTATGTATGTATTTAGAGAAAATAAAAGGTTGAAAAGAAAACCTATGTTTTTTTCCTCAATCTATTCAGCTTAATTAGTCCAGAAAAGTGTTTCCTTATGAAGATCCCAGAGGTTTACAGGATTATGAAAAGGTATATACTCACGAGTAAGCCTAATTTTTGCATTCAATAATGTCTTTTATCGCATTTTGAGTATAAAGTTGAAAATCAGTACAGTTCCCTCTCTACTTACTTAAGTCTTTTAATACCTGAAATAAATGTTTAAGGAAGTTTGTGCATGTGTGTTCACATGCACACAAGTGTAACTAATTTTCATGCAATGAAACTTGATTATTTCCCCATGTAAATTCTCTGACATGAAAATTTAACCCTGTACAATTCAAGACAATTTATTTCTTTTATGTAAACAAATGCCATGTTAATTTCTTTATCCTTCATTATTATGAAACTAAGTATTTCAGAATTATATTAATTCAGGATGTGTTTATGATAGAATATTTGGGGGCAGTATGAATTTGAGGTTAATTTTATGGCAGTTGATTATGACACATTTTCAAGACTATTTTCCCACATCCACATAGTAGCTTTGATTTAATTAAAGGAAACTAGGAGGCATAACCAATCTAAAAACAATGAGATCAATAAAGACCGCTGGGCTTGTTTCATTTAACAAAATGGGATTTCATGTGCAATGGACCCATTAATTCATTTCCTATAGAAAATCCTCTGGTCTATTACCTTTGAAGCCTATGCAATTACTGTATTTTGCTCATATGGATAGAATACATGTAAACATATTTTAGCTACAAATCAATGCCTTAAATGATCAGATTTTCCATATATTTTCTTATAATGTTGCAAATATATAAAACTATTTTAAACATTTTTATAAATTGTCTCCATTCTTGTCAGACTTTAACATCCCTATAAACTATTATATATTTAATAACTAAGACTAATAAATGCTAATTTATGGATTGCTCAAAACAAAAATATCATAAAATAATATTACAAATGTAATGCAATCATCCCATTGGCTGAGAAATGAAATTCAACACAATAGCAATATAATGGGATTGAGTTGGTTTAGTATATATGGACTATGTATTGCATAGGAAAGCAGGGATTTTTGCAGTTGTACAGATATGTATAGCTTTATATATGCATTTATTTACTTTCTTTCGATCATTACTATGTGATCTTGAATAGGCTGAAATGGTGTTTCAACAGGAAAAACTGATAAACTTTGTGTAGCTAATATTCACTTCCAGCCACAGTGGCTTTGAGAGAAGTAAGATGTTTTTCAACGATGACCAAAGCTCAGTTTTGGGTGTGTATATGTAATGTCGCTTCACTTTTACATCTGGTTGACTACTATAGTTTAACACTGAATAGACAAAATGAAACATATTTTTGGGCTACATCCAGCAGTTTTAAGGTTCTACTCTACTATATGATTGCATATTACCTGTAATCATTACATCAAACAAACGGACATTGAGAGATGTTGTCATACAGCAATATAATTACTCCCTTTCAATACCTGCTCAAATGCATTCCGTAGGCTAGTACATTTGGTAAGCTTGAATGAAATCTGAGAATTATATGTTGTTTCCTTGTCGTTACTTGATAGTAAAACCACTACAATTTCTTTAGTCTCTAGAATAGTATAGTTCTGCAAAAATAGCCAACACTATATATTTTACATAATAATGAATCTTTTTTCCTTTCCCTCATTTTGGCTTGCTTCAGTAAACTGCTTCTAAAATCTCCATGTTATAGATTGTGTGTAAGACATGTCAAAGTTTTTCTCTTCCTCTGTTCCTACTATTGAATAGTCTCCTCTCAGACCCGAGGGTTAGCCATGTGAATTGCTTTGGCCAATAGGACAGTATCAGATGTTATGCACACAGAGACTTCAAAGTGTTTATACATTGAGGCTTGGTCTCTCTTGCTATTATTGGAAAACTGAGCAACTCCATGTGAACATGACAGACACAGCCTTCTGGTTGATGAGAGATATGTATCCATGTCATCTAGATTTTCCTGGCTGTCCTAAAGCCACCTGCCAGCCATGTGGGTCTGGCCATTTTAGCTATATATAATATATATATTATACATATGTTATATAATATATATATATAACATGTAGTTTTGTTACATAGGAATACATGTGCCATGGTGTTGCTGCACCTATCACCCCATCACCTACATTAGATATTTCTCCTAATGCTATCCCTCCCTTAGTCCCCCACCTTGACAGGCCCCAGTGTGTGATGTTCCCCTCCCTGTGTCCATGTGTTCTCATTGTTCAACTCCCAATTATGAGTAAGAACATGTGGTGCTTTGTTTTCTGTTCTTGTGTTAGTTTAGTGAGAATGATGGTTTCCTGCTTCATCCACGTCCCTGAAAAAGACATGAACTCATCATCTTTATGGGTGCATAGTATCCCATGGTGAATATGTGCCACATTTTCTTTATCCAATCTAACATTGATGGGCATTTGGGTTGGTTCCAAGTCTTTACTATTGTGAATAGTGACAAAATAAACTTATGTGTGCATGTGTTTTTATAGTAGATTATTTATAATCCTTTGGGTATATACTCAGTAATGGAATTGCTGGGTCAGATGGTATTTCTAGTTCTAAATCCTTGAGGAATCAGCATGCTGTCTTCCACAATGGTTGAACTAATTTACACTCCCACCAACAGTATAAAAGTGTTCCTATTTCCTCACATCTTCTCCAGCATCTGTTGTTTCCTGACTTTTTAATGATCACCATTCTAACTGGCATGAGATGGTATCTAATTGTGGTTTTGATTTGCATTCCTCTAATGACCAGTGATGATGAGATTTTTTTCATGTTTGTTGGCTGCATAAATGTCTTCTTTTGAGAAGTGTCTGTTCATGTCCTTTGCCCACTTTTTGATGGGTTTTTTTTTTGTCAATTTGTTTAAGTTCTTTGTAGATTCTAGATATTAGCCCTTTCTCAGATAGATATATAGCAAAAATTTTCTCCCATTCTGTAAGTTCCCTGTTCACTCTGATGATAGGTTCTTTTGCTGTGCAGGAGCTGTTTAGTTTAATTAGATCCCATTTGTCAATTTTGGCTTTTGTTGCCATTGCTTTTTGTGTTTTAGTCACGAAGTCTTTGCCCATGCCTATATCCTGAATGGTATTGCCTAGGTTTTCTTCTAGAATATTTATGGCTTTAGGTCTTACATTTAAGTTTTTAACCCATCTTGAGTTAATTTTTGTATAAGGTGTAAGAAAGGAGTCCAGTTTCAATTTTCTGCATATGGCTAGCCAGTTTTCTCCACACTGTTTATTAAATAGGGAATCTTTTCCCCATTGCTTGTTTTTATCAGATTTGTCAAAGATCAGATGGGTGTAGATGTGTGGTGTTATTTCTGAGGCCTCTGTTCTGTTACATTGGTCTATATATCTGTTTTGGTACCAGTATCATGCTGTTTTGGTTTCTGTAGCCTTGTAGTATAGTTTGAAGTCAGGTAGCATGATGCCTCTAGCTTTTTTCTTTTTGCTTAGGATTGTCTTGGCTATTCGGGCTCTTTTTTGGTTCCGTACTAAGTTTAAAGTATTTTTTTCCAATTCCATGAAGAAAGTCAATGGTAGCTTGACAGGGATAGCATTGAATCTATAAATTACTTTGGTCAGTATGGCCATTTTTACGATATTGATTCTTCCTATCCATGAGCATGGAATTATTTTCCATTTGTTTATGTCCTCTCTTGTTTTCTTGAGGAGTGGTTTGTAGTTTTCCTTGAAGAGATCCTTCACATCCCTTGTAAGTTGTATTCCTAGGTATTTTATTCTCTTAGTAACAATTGTGAATGGCAATCCACTCACAATTTGACTCTGTTTGTCTGTTATTGGTGTATAGGGATGCATATGATTTTTGCATATTGATTTTGCATCCTGAGACTTTGCTGAAGTTGCTTATCAGCTTAAGGAGATTTTGGGCTGAGATGATGGAGTTTTCTAAATATACTATCATGTCATCTGCAAAAAGAGACAATCTAACTTCCTCTCTTTCCATTTGAATACCTTTTATTTTTTTCCTCTTGGCTGATTTCCCTGGTCGGAAGTTCCAATACTGTATTGAATAGAAGTGGTGAGAGAAGGCATACTTGTCTTCTGCCAGTTTTTAAAGGGAATGCTTCCAGTTTTTGCCCATTCAGTGTGATATTGGCTGTGGGTTTGTCATAAATAGTTCTTAATATTTTGAGATACGTTCCACCGAGACCTAGTTTATTGAGACTTTTTAGCATAAAGGGCTGTTGAATTTTGTTGAAGGTCTTTTCTGCATGTGTTGAAATAATCATGTGGTTTTTGTCATTTCTTCTGCCTATGTGATAGATTACGTTTATTGATTTGTGTATGTTGAACAAGCCTTGCATCCCAGGGATGAAGCCTACTTGGTCGTGGTGGATAAGCTTTTTGATGTGCTGCTGGATTCAGTTTGCCAATATTTTATTGAGGATTTTCACATCAATGTTCATCGGGAATATTGGCCTGAAATTTTTTGTTGTTGTTGTGTCTCTTCCAGGTTTTGGTATCAGGATGATGCTGGCCTCATAAAATGAGTTAGGGAGAATTCTCACTTTTTCTGTTGATTGGAATAGTTTCAGAAGGAATGGTAACAGCTCCTCCTTGTACCTCTGGTAGAATTCAGCTGTGAGTCCATCTGGTCCTGGACTTTTTTTGGTTGGTAAGCTATTAATTACTGCCTCAATTTCAGAACTTCTTATTGGTCTATTCAGGGAATCGACTTCTTTCTGATTTAGACTTGGGAGGGTGTATGCATGCAGGAATTTATTCATTTCCTGTAGATTTTCTAATTTATTTGCATAGAGGTGTTTATAGTATTCTCTGATGGTAGTTTGTATATCTGAGGGATTGGTGGTGATATCCCCTATATCTTTTTTATTGCAACTATTTGATTCTTCTCTATTTTCTTCCTTATTTGTCTGGCTAGCTGTCTATTGATTTTGGTGATCTTTTCAAAAGACAAGCTCCTGGATTAATTGATTTTTTGAAGGGTTTTTCCTGTCTCCACCTTCTTCAGTTCTGCTCTGATCTTAGTTATTTCTTGTTTTCTGCTAGCTTTTGAATGTGTTTGCTGTTGCTTCTGTAGGTCTTTTACTTTTGATGTTAGGGTGTCAATTTTAGTTCTTTCCTGCTTTCTCTTATGGGCATTTAGTGCTATAAATTTCCCTCTACACACTGCTTTAAATGTGTCCTAAAGATTCTGATACATTGTGTCATTGTTCTCATTAGTTTCAAAGAACATCTTTATTTCTGCTTTCATTTCATTATTTACCCAGTAGTCACTCAGGAGCAGGACGATCAGTTTCTATGTAGTTATGCAATTTTGAGTGAGTTTCTTAATCCTGAGTTCTAATTTGATTACACTGTGGTCTGAGAGACTGCTTGTTGTGAATTCCATTCTTTTGCATTTCCTGAGGAGTGTTATACTTCCTATTATGTGGTCAATTTTAGAATATGTGTGATGTGGTGCTGAGAAGAATGTGTATTCTATTGATTTTGGGTGGAAAGTTCTGTAGGTGTCTATTAGGTCTGCTTGGCCCAGAGCTGAGTTCAAGTACTGAATATTCTTGTTAATTTTCTGTCTCATTGATCTGTCTAATATTGACTGTGGGGTGTTAAAGTCTCTCACTATTATTGTGTGGGAGTCTAAGTCTCTTTGTAAGTCTCTAAGAAATTGCTTTATGAATCTGGGTGCTCCTGTATTGGGTGCATATATATTTAGGATAGTTAGCTCTCCTTGTTGAATTGATGCCTTTACCATTATGTAATGTCTGCCTTTGTCTCTTTTGAACTGTGTTGGTTTAAAGTCTGTTTTAACAGAGATTACGATTGCAACTGCTGCTTTTTTCTGCTTTCCATTTGCTTGGTAAATATTCCTCGATCCCTTTATTATGAGCCTATGTGTGTCTTTGCACATGAGATGGGTCTCTTGAATGCAGCACACCAATGGGTCTTGACCCTTTATCAAATTTGCCAGTCTGTGTATTTTAATTGGGGCATTTAGCCCATTTACATTTAAGGTTAATATTGTTATGTGTGAATTTGATCTTGTCATTATGATGTTAGGTGGTTATTTTGCTCTTTAGTTCATGCAGTTTCTTCATAGCATCAATGGCTTTTCCAGTTTGGTATGTTTTTGCAGTCGCTGGTACTGGTTGTCCCTTTCCATGTTTAGTGCTTCCTTCAGGAGCTCTTGTAAGGCAGGCCTGGTGGTGACAAAATCTCTCGGCATTTGTTTGTCTGTAAAGGATTTTATTTCTCCTTCACTTATGAAGCTTAGTTTGGTTGGATATGAAATTCTGGGTTGAAAATTCTTTTCTTTAAGAATGTCAAATAATGGCCCCCACTCTCTTCTGTCTTGTAGAGTTTCTGCTTAGAGATCCATTGTTAGTCTGATGGGCTTCCCTTTGTGGGTATCCCGACCTTTCTGGCTTCCCTTAACATTTATTCCTTTCAACCTTGGTGAATTTGATGATTATGTGTCTTGGGGTTGCTCTTCTCAAGGAGTATCTTTGTGGTGTTCTCTGAATTTCCTGAATTTGAATGTTGGCCTGTCTTGCTAGGTTGGGGAGTTCTCCGGATATCCTGAAGAGTGTTTTCCAACTTGGTTCCATTCTCCCCATCACTTTTGGGCACACCAATGAAATGTAGATTTGGTCTTTTCACATAGTCCCATATTTCTTGGAGGCTTTCTTTGTTTCTTTTTATTCTCTTTTCTCTAATCTTGTCATCTCACTTTATTTCATTAAGTTGCTCTTTAATCTCTGATATCCTTTGTTCTGCTTGATCAATTCAGCTTTTGATACGTGTGTATGATTCATGAAGTTCTCGTGCTGCATTTTTCAGCTCCATCAGGTCATTTATGTTCTTCTCTAAACTGGTTCTTCTAGTTAGCGATTCATCTAATTTTTTTTTCAAGGTCTTAGCTTCCTTGTGATGGGTTAGAACATGCTCCTTTAGCTCGGAGGAGTTTATTATTACCCATATTCTGAAGCCTATTTCTGTCAATTCGTCAAACCTATCCTCCAATCAGTTTTGTTCCCTTGCTGGTGAGGAGTTATGATCCTTTTGAGGAGAAAAGGCTTTCTGGTTTTTAGAATTTTCAGTCTTTTTGTGCTGGCTTCTCCTCATCTTTGTGGATTTTTCTACCTTTGGTCTTTGATGTTTGTGACCATCAAATGGGGTCTCTGAGTGGACGTGCTATTTCTTTCTGTTTGTTAGTTTTCCTTCTAACAGTCAGGCTGCAGGTCTGCTGGAGTTTGTTTAAGGTCCACTCCCAACCCTCTTTGCCTGGGTATCACCAGCAGAGGCTGCAGAACAGCAAAGATTGCTCTGTTCTTTCCTCTGGAAGCTTCATCCCAGTGGGGCCCTTGGCGGATGTCAGCCAGAGCTCTCCTGTATGAGGTGTCTGTTGGCCCCTACTGGGAGATGTCTCCCAGTCAGGATACATGGGGGTCAGGGACCCACTTGAGGAGGCAGTCTGACCATTAGCAGAGCTTGAACGCTGTGCTGTTCCCTTCAGAGCCGTCAGGAAGGGACATTTAAGTCTGCTGAAGCTGTGTCCACAGAAGCCCCTTCCCCCAGGTGCTCTGTCCCAGGGAGATGGGGGTTTTATCTATAAGTCCCTGACTGGGGCTGCTGACTTTTTTTCAGAGATGCCCTGCCCAGAGAGTAGAAATCTGACAGTCTGGCCACAGAGGCCTTGTTAAGCTGTGGTGGACTCTGCCCAATTTGAACTTCCTGGCAGCTTTGTTTACACTGTGAGGGTAAAACCACCTACTCAAGCCTCAGCAATGGTGAATACTGCCCCCGCAAACCAAGCTCGAGCATCCCAGGTCGATCTCAGACTGCTACTGTGCTGGCTGCGAGAATTTCAAGACAGTGGATCTTAGTTTTCTGAGCTCTGTGGAAGTGGGACCTGCCAAACCAGACCACTTGGCTCCCTGGCTTCAGCCCCCTTTCCCAGGGAGTGAATGGTTCTGTCTCACTGGTGTTCCAGGTGCCACTGGGTAATGGAAAAACAAACAAACAAACAAACAAACAAACAAACAAAAACCTCCTGCAGCTAGTTCAGTGTCTGCCCAAATGGCTGCCCAATTTTGTGCTTGAAACCCAGGGCCCTGGTGGGTTAGGCACTGGAGGGAATCTCCTGGTCTGCGGATTACAAAGACTGTGAGGAAAGCATAGTATCTGGGCCAGAGTGCACAGTTCCTCAGGCTCAGTCCCTCATGGCTTCCTTTGGGTAGGGGAGAAAATTCCCCTACCCTTGTGCTTCCTGGGTGAGATGATGCTCCACACTGCTTCGGCCCTCCCTCCATTGGCTGCAACCACTGTCCTATCAGTCCCAGTGAGATGAAGCTTGTACCTCAGTTGGAAATGCAGAAATCCCCCATCTTCTGCGTCAATTTCGCTGGGAGCTGCAGACTGTAGCTGTTCCTATTTGCCCATTTTGCCAGCAATTATGATCCTAGCTTGTTAATTGTCAGCTGAGCTGCCAGATGAGCCAAGCCAACTGAATGACAAGGAAGTCCTTCATGAGGTTCACATGAGGAGAACCAACAAATCAATCCTCTAAATCATATGAAGTAAATATTTATTACTTTAACTCATTAAGTTTTGGGGTGGTTTGTTACACAGCAGAAACTTACTGATACACTACAGAACTAAAGTTGTACTCAGAGATACAAAGATAAAAAAAAACAAAATCTCTTACGTTGGCAGTTGTTGATAGCTTATCATTTCTCTCCTGCTTGCATGAGTAAGTTATATGACTGATTAGCCTACTACAACTCTTTTGCTATTGGACAATGCTTCTGCTTGCACTGACTGTTTAAACCTCCACCTTATTCCCATCTTCTTACTTTTTCTGCTTTTGAAAAAACATATCATGAGTTTCCATCCCAAGATGGCTGAAAAGGAACAGCTCCAGCCTCTGCTCCCAGCGTGATCAATGCAGAAGATGGGTGATTTCCTCATTTCCAAATGAGGTTCTTGGTTCATCTCATTGGGACTGGTTGGACAGTGGGTGCAGCCCATGGAGTGAGTGCAGCCAAAGCAGGGCAGGGCATCGCCTCACCCAGGAAGCACAAGGGGTTGGGGGATTTCCCTTTCCTAGCCAAGGGAAGTTGTGACAGACTGTACCTGGAATAACAGGACACTACTGCCCCAATACTGCACTTTACCCACAGTCTTAGTAACTGGCAGACCAGGAGATTCTCTCCCGTGCCTGGCTCGGTGGGTCCCACACCCATGGAGCCTTGCCCACTGCTATTGCAGCAGTCTGAGATCAACCTACAAGGCTGCAGCCTGGTGGGGGGAGAGGCATCTGCCATTGCTGAGGCTTGAGTAAGTAAACAAAAGGCCAGGAAACTTCAACTGGGCAAAGCCCACCACAGCTCAGCAATGCTACTGCCTCTATAGGCTCCACTTCTGTGGGCATGGCAGAGCTGAAGAAAAGGCAGCAGGAACTTCTGCAGATTTAAACGTCCCTGTCTGACAGCTCTGAAGAGGGCAGTGGTTCTCCCAGCATGATGTTTGAGCTCTGAGAATGGACAGACTGCCTCCTCTAGTGAGTCCCTGACCCCCGTGTAGCTTAACTGGGAGACGCCTCCCAGTAGCGGCCAACAGACACCTCATACAGGCAGGTGCCCCTCTGGGATGAAGCTTCCAGAGGAAGGATCAGGCAGCAGTATTTGCTGTTCTGCAATATTTGCTGTTCTGCAGCCTCCACTGGTGATACCCAGGCAAACAGGGACTGGAGTGGACATCTAGCAAACTCCAACCTACCTGCAGCTCAGGGACCTGCCTGTAGAAAGAAAACTAACAAACAGAAAGGAATAGCATCAACATCAACAAAAACGTCATCCACACCAAAATCCCATCTGTAAGTCACCAACATCAAAGACCAAAGGTAGATAAAGCGACAAAGATGAGGAGAAGCCAGCACAAAAAAGCTGAAAATTCTAAAAATCAGAGCACCTCTTCTCCTCCAAAGGATCACAGCTCCTCGTCAGCAACAGAACAAAGCTGGACAGAGAATGACCTTGACAAGTTGGCAGAAGTAGGCTTCAGAAGGTTGGTTATAAACTACTCCGAGCTAAAGGAACATGTTCTAATCCCTCACAAGGAAGCTAAACCTTGAAAAAAGTTTAGACAAATGGCTAACAAGAATAAAGTGTAGAGAAAACCTTAAATGACCTGATGGAGCTGAAAACCATGGCACGAGAACTTCGTGATGCACGCACAAGCTTCAATGGCCAATTCGATCAAGTGGAAGAAAGGAAATCAGTGATTCAAGATGAACTTAATGAAATAAAGCAAGAAGACAAGTTTAGAGAAAAGAAGAGTAAAAAGAAATGAACAAAGCCTCCGAGAAATATGGGATATGTGAAAAGACCAAATCTACGTTTGATTGGTGTGCCTGAAAGTGACGGGGAGAATGGAACCAAGTTGGAAAACACTCTGCAGGATATTATCCAGGAGAACTTCCCCAACCTAGCAAGACAGGCCAACATTCAAATTCAGGAAATACAGAGAATACCACAAAGATACTCCTCGAGAAGAGCAACCCCAGGACACATATCTGTCAGATTCACTGAGGTTGAAATGAAGAAAAAAATGTTAAGGGCAGCCAGAGAGAAAGATCCGGTTACTCACAAAGGGAAGCCTTAACAGCAGATCTCTCAGCAGAAACCCTACAAGCCAGAAGAGAGTGGGGGCCAATATTCAACGTTCTTAAAGAAAAGAATTTTCAACCTAGAATTTTACATCCAGCCAAACTGAGCTTCAAAAGTGAAGGAGAAATAAAATCCTTTACAGACAAGCAAATGCTGAGAGATTTTGTCACCACCAGGCCTGCCTTACAAGAGCTCCTGAAGGAAGCACTAAACATGGAAAGGAAGAACTGGTATCAGCCACTGCAAAAACATGCCAAATTGTAAAGACCATCGATGCTATGAAGAAACTCCATCAATTAATGGGCAAAATAACTAGCTAACATCATAATGACAGGATCAAACTCACACATAACAATATTAACCTTAAATGTAAATGGGTAAATGCCCCAATTAAAAGATACAGACTGGCCAATTGGATAAATGGTCAAGACCAATCAGTGGGCAGTATTAGGAGACCCATCTCATGTGCAGAGACACAGGCTCAAAATAAGGGGATGGAGGAAGATCTACCAAGCAAATGGAAAACAAAAAGAAAGCAGGGGTCACAATCCTAGTCTCTGATAAAACAGACTTTAAACCAACAAAGATCAAAAGAGACAAAGAAAGCCATTACATAATGGTAAAAAGATCAATTCAACAAGAAGAGCTAACTATCCTAAATATATATGCACCCAATACAGGAGCACCCAGATCCATAAAGCAATTCCTTAGAGAACAACAAAGAGACTTAGACTCCCACACAACAATAATGGGAGACTTTACCTCCCCACTGTCAATATTAGGTCAACGAGACAGAAAGTTAACAAGGATATCCAGGACTTGAACTCAGCTCTGCACCTAGCAGAACTAATAGACATCTACAGAACTTTCCACCCCAAATCAACAGAATATACATTCTTCTCAGCACCTCATTGCACTTATTCTAAAATTGACCACATAATTGGAAGTAAAGCACTCCTCAGCAATTGTAAAAGAATAGCATTCAAAACAAACTGTCTCTCAGACCACAGTACAATCAAATTAGAACTCAGGATTAAGAAACTTACTCAAAACCGCACAACTACATGGAAACTGAACAACCTGCTTCTGAACGACTACTGGGTAAACAAGGAAACGAAGGCAGATAAAAAGATGTTCTTTAAAATAAATGAGAACAAAGACATAACATACCAGAATCTCTGGGACACATTTAAAGCAGTGTGTAGAGGGAAAGTCATAGTATTAAATGCCCACAAGAGAATGCAGGAAAGATCTAAAATTGACACCCTTACATCACAATTAAAAGAACTAGAGTAGCTAAAGAAAACAAATTCAAAAGCGAGAGGAAGGCAAGAAATAACTAAAATCAGAGCAGAACTGAAGAAGATAGAGACACAAAAACCCATCAAAAAATCAATGAATCCAGGAGCTGGTTTTTTGAAAAGATCAACAAAATTGATAGACCGCTAGCAAAATTAATAAAGAAGAAAAGAGAGAAGAATCAAATAGATGCAATAAAAAAATGATAATGTGGATATCATCACTGATCCCACAGAAATACAAACTACCATCAGAGAATATTATAAACACCTCTACACAAATAAACTAGAAAATCTAGAAGAAATGGATAAATTCCTGGACACATACACTCTCCCAAGATTAAACCAGGAAGAAGCTGAATCTCTGAATAGACCAATAACAGGCTCTGAAATTGAGGCAATAATTATAATATATTATATAATATATAATAATGATACCAAAGCCTGGTATCAGGATGATGCTAGCCTCATCCATTTGGTTGTGTGCAGAGACACAACCAAAAAAAAGAGAATTTTTGGCCAATATCCCTGATGAACATCAATGAGAAAATCGTCAATAAAATACTGGCAAACTGAATCAGCAGCACATCAAAAAGCTTAGCCACCACAGTCAAGTCAGATTCATCCCTGGGAGGCAAGCCTGGTTCAACATATGCAAATCAATAAATGTAATCTCTCACATAAACAGAACCAATGACAAAAATCACATGATTATCTCAATAGATGCAGAAAAGGCCTTTGACAAAATTCAACAGCCCTTCATGCTTAAAACACTCAATAAATTAGGTATTGATGGAACTTATCTCAAAATAATAAGAGCTATTTATGAAAAACCCGTAGCCAATATCATACTGAATGGGCAAAATCTGGAAGCATTCCCTTTGAAAACCGGCACAACACAATAACGCCCTCTCTCATCACTTCTATTCAACATAGTGTTGGAAGTTCTGGCAAGGGCAATCAGGTAAGAGAGAGAAATAAAGGGTAATCAATTAGGAAAAGAGGAAGTCAAATTTTCCCTCTTTGCAGATGACATAATTGTACGTTTAGAAAACCCCATTGTCTCAGCCCAAAATCTCCTTAAGCTGATAAGGAACTTCAGCAAAGTCTCAGGATACAAAATCAATGTGCAAAAATCACAAGCACTCCTATAAACCAGTAACATGAAAAGAGAGATCCAAATCATGAGTGAACTCCCATTCACAATTGCTACAAAGAGAAGAAAATACCTAGGAATCCAACTTACAAGGGATATGAAGTACCTCTTCAAGGAGAACTACAAACCACTGCTCAATGAAATAAAAGAGGACACAAACAAATGGAAGAACTTTCCATACTCATGGATAGGAAGAATCAATATTGTGAAAATGTCCATACTGCCCAAGGTAATTTATAGATTCATTGCCATACCCATCAAGCTACGAATGACTTTCTTCACAGAATTGGAAAAAAATACTTTAAACTTCATAGGGAACCAAAAAAGAGCCCACATTGCCAAGAAAATTCTAAGCAGAAAGGACAAAGCTGGAGGCATCACACTACCTGACTTCAAACTACACTACATGGTTATAGTAACCAAAACAACAGCATGGTACTGCTACCAAAACAGATATATAAATTAATGGAACAGAACAGAGGCCTCAGAAATAACACCACACATCTACAACCATCTGATCTTTGACAAGCCTGACCAAAAAAAAGAAATGGGGAAGGGATTCCCTATTTAATAAATGGTGCTGGGAAAACACATGCACACATATGTTTATTGCAGCACTATTCACAATAACAAAGACTTGAGACCAACCCAAATGTCCATCAATGATAGAGTGGATTAAGAAAATGTGGCACATATACACCATGGAATACTATGCAGCCATAAAAAAGGATGAGTTCATGTCCTTTGCAGGGACATGGATGAAGCTGGAAACCATGATTCACAGCAAACTATCACAAGGACAGAAAACCAAGCACCACATGTTCTCACTCATAGGTGGGAATTGAACAATGAGAACACTTAGACACAGGAAGGGGAACATCACACACTGGGGCCTGTCAGAGGATGGGGGACTGGGGGAGGGATAGTGTTAGGAGAAATACCTAGTGTAAGTGAGGAGTTGATGGGTGCAGCAAACCTACATGGCACATGTATACCTATGTAACAAACCTGCACATTGTGCACGTGTATCCTAGAACTTAAAGTATACAAAAATAAAAATAAGAAATCATATATCACCTTCAGCCTTCTTGACCAGGATCATTTCTCAAAATTCGTAAGTCATTAGTCCAAATGTGGATTTCAAGACAAGACCCTGGAAGTCATACACCTTTGACCAAGTGCATGGAAGAGTGCAATTACTTTCCAAGCACTATCAAGGTCAGGCAAACTCAAATCATTTTAACCTATGTGTCCCTTGGAGGATCTTTTTACAATTGACAGTTAAAAATGAATTCAATGTATTGCAAAATTATAGAGAATGAGTATAACCTCTCCAAATATTTCTTTAATGTCCTTTGTCTTAGAATTAAGGTCAGGAAAAATAACTATGACCCTCAAGATGCAGAATGGGATCTCGAGCACAGTGAAAACCATCACCATAAATCTTACCTAGACTTTTACAAATGCCTTCTCTGTTTTCAATCAAATTTTACCATTAATATGAGGGTAAGAGCTTCCAAATCGGATTTTGAACATGTCTTTTCCCCATCCTGCTTAAGTATTCTACCATCTCAATTATCATGTATTATCACAGAGTCTAAAACCTGCGTACCATGTTTTAAAATTTTGCTATATCCTGAAAGTATTTTCTACTAATTGGGAAAAGCTCATCTATTATGGTGTAAACATGTGCCAATCATCATCCTCAAATCCAAATACTATATTGAAAAAAATGCATGTAATTATCAGGGTCTGATGAATGGTATACAAATATCATTTTAAGCTTTCCCATGTGTCTCATTATAACTCTTTTGGGAAACTTGACATGATTTAATGCAAAAAAACAACTATTGTATTTACAAATTAATGAACATCAGTTTATATTTGAGATATTGAATTGTAACCATAAATAAGTGCACTTACCAGGTTTTACAGCATCACCCAGGAAATGTAATGACCTTATTCAAAATAATGTTATGAGGTCAGAAAAACCTAGGCCCTGAGTCCAAGAAAGCTGATGCTGCATTCTTTCTCTATCAATCATTAACTCTGTTACCTTAACTGTTGCTTTTTCCCATTTTTAACATTCTCAACTGTATAATGTCATAAATATATTGTATATGGACATATCATTAAGATTAAAAATAACACAAATTTTAATTTTAAATACAATTTGTATTTAATATTTTAAACACAATTTTAAATAAAATTGCATGTAAAGTACAATTTTTTCTAATGTCTGTTACCAGAAAGTAAAATATAGGATGTGATTAATATAGCTTCCCAGCTCAAACCTAGAAGCTGTTTTCCCGAAGCTGTACAAAATTCCCTACTGCTATCATTGCTCTACCACATAGTTCCTCCAGAGTGGAATGTACATCCTAACTATAGAGCCCACAGAGTAAACTCTCCTGAAGATTCTAACAGCAGGCTTTTGAATACCAGAAGCTGGTGAATTGACAGAAACACACCTGCCCCAAGAACTTCATATCAAAGCCATAATCTTAGCATCATCATTATACTACAACAAACCTATAACAGCTGCATGTGAGAAGTAAGCCATAAAACTCCCATCAGGATTAAATAACTCACTGAGCTCTTTGCCATTTTACTGCCAATCTCCATATTATAGCATGTATCAACCACATCAGATGTTCATCATGAGACACTTTCTGAAACCACTATTTGGCAGATGTACTTCAAGAAACATCGGAGTCTCACTTCAAAATGCTTGAACAATTTTCAATTGTTTTGATAAAATAATGACTATGAAAGTTGGTATTTTAAGTAAACTGAATTGGGAACAATATAGATAAAATTTTGTGAGTTCTTTGATTTTAAGAGTCAGGTGTAAATGATCTTGTTTAGCGAGTGATTACAGCTGTTAGTGTGGAAATGTGCTTCTGGCTAAATGGATTTGTTTATTAACTCTTATTTGTTTAAAGGAGCCCAGGTGCTCCAGGAATACATGACAAAATATGTTTCAGATGAATAAATACATGAATTCTAATGCAACAAGCTGCATACACTAGAGATAATTAAATTTAAACCAGGAAATGTGTTATAGCGAGTAAATCAATGCAGACACAGCACTTAATTCATGAGACAAATGGTGTGGTCAATGGAATCTAACAGTGCAGGAAGCTGCCCGTAACAACAGGAAAACAGTTTCCCTGCCATATACCCACATAGGTGTTGAGCCAGCCAAATAAAAAGGCTTTAAGGAACTTCTGCCTTGAGTGAAATTTAAGTTGAAAACATAGATGGATGATATTTTGATGGCAACCTCATTTGAATTGCAACCTAATAAAATTGATGGTTATACAAGGGACAGTTATCAAGAATGAATGTTTTAGACAGACCTGGGTTTGTTGCTATATACTGAATTGTGATGGTACTTTGTTATATATCATCTAGTCATTGTTAAGCTAAGAAGATTCTTGGACCGAAACAACTTTATTAAATAATAATGATTAATGACGTGCATGTGAAAAATATTAAAATATAAATAATATTTAGATGTGAGCTTTTAAAAGAACAATGCTTATTTTAAAATAAGTGAATAAAGCATTGCATCACTGTTGGTAACATACATTAAAAAACTTGTATTTCGGGGTTTCTTTTTTAATCAGCTCTGAAATGAAAAGAGTGTGGACATCATTAATCCTATTCTTACAACGGGAAACAACTAAACAAAATAAAAGTCAATGACTTTCCTTGGACTGATCAACAAACCGAGCTCACAGGACCAACTACCACCCAGAACTTTGGAGCAACAGGCTAATCCAGAGAGTCACAGCTGACATCAGCTTAGTTAGAACAGAAGCCACTAGGAGGAACACTTAAATACTGATTTTGTGTAATAATAATTTTGACAAATTGCTGGAGGCTGAGTGGCACTGGCATGATTCAAAAACTCCTAGGGCATCATTCTTCAGGGCCCTCAACATTTTTGTGGTTTTAACCTTGAGGAATCCCACTAGGGGTTTTGTAGTAAAGCACTGAGAAATATCATCCTAAGGATTTTGATTGGGAGAGGAACAGTAATCATTATGAAATAGGACCAGAGAGTGCTTCATATAAAATCCCTACACTTAAGGAGTAAAGGCCTTATCAGAGCATTATTCTACCTGTGTGAAAGGCAACTCTTGTACCCTAGCTCCTACTTTTTGTTTCACTTACGGGGTGGGGGAAGGACTGAGAAAGCTCCATAAAGGTAAAGGACAGGCCCATTACAAAAAAAAATTTAATTAAATTTTAAGATTATAGAAAAAGTATTCTCCTCTCTACATTAATACCAAATAAACAGACTTCAGCATAATAGCAATAGATTACAGCTGAAAGGGGTTCATGGTGCATAATATTTAAGAAGAAATACTTAGAGAAACTCAAAGTCAACAGATGAGACAAAAATTATACTACAGAAATTTGAAATCTCTGTTATGTATAGCTATAGCAAACTTTAAATACAGCCTAACATCTAGCCAGAATAACATAAAACTTTACACTAAAGACAAATTTACCACCATTCCTGTCACTCAATAATCATGTCCAGCTCTTAACAAAAACTTACAAAACATGCTAAAAAAAACAAGTGAAAATCACAGTCTGAAAACGTAGAGCAAACATCAAAACCAGATTCATATATGGTGCAAATGCTGTAATTCAGGAATTTAAGGTAAACCTGATTAATATGTTAAAGGCTTTAATGGAAAAGGTAGACAACATGCAAGAATACATGGGTAATATAAAGAGAGAGATGCAAGAATCAAAAGGAAATGCAAAAACAGTAAAAAAAAATGTCTTTGATATGTTCATTAACTTACTAGAAACTGATGAAGAAATAATTACTAAGCTTGAACATAGGTTGACAGAAATTTACCAAACTGAAATCTAAAAGACAAAAGAATGACCAAAATAAAAACTGTAATAGAACTTCAGGAAAATTTCAAAATGTGTAATAGATACATAATTGTAATACTAGAGAAGAAGAAAGATGTGGTAGAAATATTTGAATTAGTAATAGCCAGTAAATTTCCAAATTAATAAAGGACAAGAAGGTACTGTAAGTTCAGAGAACACTGTACAAAATAATTGCCCAAAAAGCCACATGTTGGCATGTCATATTTAAATTACTGAATACCAAAGACAGGAAAGTATTTTAAAAAATAATAAAGAAAAAGATACAGCATAACTTTAGAGAAAAAAGATAAGAATTATGATTAAGTTCTTATTAGTTACCACACAAAAAATTAGGAAGTAGAGCAGAATATTTTAAATGTTTTTAAAAAGCCTAAATTATATATACAGTAAAATAATTCTTGAAAAATAAAGAAAAAACTTCTCAGGCAAACAAAAGTTAAGGAAATCTATAGAAAGCCTACTTGCCCTGAAAAAAAAAATGTTAAAAGAAGTTCTTCAGGGAGAAGAAAGATTATATTGGTTAGCAACTCTAATCTCCAAAAAGAAATAAAGAACATTACAGAAGAAATACATAAAAGCAAATTTTTTTCTTAACTGGTTTAAATGATATTTTCTTGTTTAAACAATAGTAGTAACAATGTATACAGAAAAAAATTAATGATAATAATTTTATAAAAAATGGAAGGGAGAAATTGGGAATATTCTGTTATAATGTACTCGTGCCCAGATGAAGAGGTGTACTGTTATTTGAAAGTAAACTTAAAGTATTTAATAATAAATATCGTCGACACTAGGGCAACCTGTAAACTTTTCAAATGCATGGTTGAGATGTAAGACAGAAGACAAAAGGTAACATAAAATGTCCAATTAAAGCTAAGGGAAAAAGCTAACAGAAATAAAAATGCGCAAATAGAAAATATGACCAATATGACAGATATTAACCTAACTAAATCAATGATAACATTTAATGTGAATTATCTAAATACATCAATTAAAAGACAGAGACTATCACAGTGGATATAATAACAAGGCCCAACTATATGTTGTCTATTTGACATTCACTCTATAGATAAAGATTCAGATAGGTTAAAATAAAGGGATGCAGAAAGATATATGATGTTAACCCTAAGTAAAAGAAAAGTGGAGTGACATATTAATTTCAGACAAAACAGACTTCAGATCAAGAAAATTTATGAGACAAAGAGATACATTATATATTGATAACATGGTTATCCCAAAAAAGACTAACAACCCTAAACATGTATACAACTAAAAAGGGACCATAAAAATATATGCATCAAAAACTCACAGGATGACATCAAACAATAGACAAATCCACTATTTGGGTAGTTCAACTCCAATCTTTCATTAATTGATAAACCAAGAAGGCAGAAAATCAATAAGGATAAAGCTGATCTCAATACCAGCCACCTTGATCTAATGACATTTACAGAATACTTTAATCCAACAACAGCAGTATACTCATTCTTCTTAAGGTTTCATGGAATAGTCACCAAAAAATATAAATATGAATAGTCTGGAAAATGAACTTTAAAATTTTAAAAGTACAAAAAACATACAAAGACTATTACCAGAAAAAATGGGATTAGACTAGAAAACAATAACAGAAAGATGGCTGAAAAATCCCCAAATATATGCAGATTAAAAAAGTCACGGGTAAACATAGGTAAATGAAGAGGTTTCAAGAGAAAGTTTAAACATATTCAAACTAAATGAAAATGAAAATATAACTTGTTAAGTTTGTGTCATGCAATGGAAACAGTGCTTAAAGTGAAATTTATAGCATTAAATGCCCATGTTAGAAAGGAAGATTTAAAATAGAAAAACTAAATTTTATATATAGGAAGCAAGAACAAGATAAACAATATAAACTACAAGTGTAAGTGATTAAAATTGGAACAGAAATTAACAACATTGAAAACAGGAAAACAATAGAGAAAAATCATAACAAACAAACAAACAAAAGAATAATTAAATAGATTAACACCTATCCAGGCTCACCAAGAAAGAAAGAGAGAAGACACAAAGTACTAATACGAAAGAGAGGCCATCACTACTGAGGGACATTAATGTTTCAAGAGAATTTAAAAGTTTCTAAAGGAACAATAACAATGCTATGTTCACAAATTTGATATCTTAGATGAAATGGACACATTCTTTAAAAGATATGGACTACCAATACTCACACAAAAAATATATATAATATGAATAGTTCTATATACATTAAAGAAATTGAATCAATAATGAGTACCATTCCAAAAACAGAAATATCATATCCAGATGGTTTCATTGATGAATTCTACCATCCATTTGTGGAAGGAATAATGTCAATTCTTCACAATTACCTTTAGAAATTCAAAGCAGAGCAAACATTTTCTAACTTATTCTGTGAGATCAACATTATCCTAATACCAAAACCAGTTAAAGACATTACAAGAAAGGAAAACTGCTGACCAATATCTCTCATGAACATAGATGCAAAATCCTCAGCAGAATATTAGCAAATAAAATCCCACAATGTATAAATCATGACCAAATGAGATTTATAACAGGTATGTAAGACTAGGTTGACATTTACAAAGTCAATATAATACCACACAACAATAAACTAGAAACGTCAAATGATTATATCAATTGATGCAGGAGAAGTATATGATAAACTCTAACACCCATTCATGATAAAAATACCCCATTTAGCCTGATGTGAATATTATGCATTTCATGCCTGTATCAAAATATCTCATGTACCCATATATATACATACATACATGTATATATATACCTACTATGTACACACAAAAATTAAAAATTAATTTTGATAGTTACTTATAATGTTAGTGTTTCTAACATTTCTACTCTTGTAAACAAACTAGGAGTAGAAGAGAACTTTCTCACTTTGAGAAAATATCTACAAAAAACTACAGCTAACATTATGTTTAATAGTGAAAACCCGGACATTTTCCCCTAAGATAAGGAACAATGAATGGATGTTCTCTCTCACCACTCCTATTGAATATCATATTGGAATTCCTAGCTAGTGCAATAAGAAAAGAAGAGAAAATTAAAACATATACAGATTGGGGTAGAAGAATTAAACTGTTTGCAAATGTCATGATTATTTATGTAAAATCCAAAAGTCTGTCACAAATACTCCTCGAACTAATAACTAGTGTATTGAGGTAACATGATGAAAGTTACCTATAAAAATCAGTTGATGCCCCATATTCTAGCAGTAATGAGAATTTAAAATTTTAGGAAATATCCAACATCCAATATCATTTAAAATAGTAACAACAGGGCCGGGCGCGGTGGCTCACGCCTGTAATCCCAGCACTTTGGAAGGCCGAGGCGGGTGGATCATGAGGTCAGGAGATCGAGACCATCCTGGCTAACAAGGTGAAACCCCGTCTCTACTAAAAATACAAAAAAAAAAATTAGCCGGGCGCGGTGGCGGGCGCCTGTAGTCCCAGCTACTCGGGAGGCTGAGGCAGGAGAATGGCGTGAACCCGGGAAGCGGAGCTTGCAGTAAGCCGAGATTGCGCCACTGCAGTCCACAGTCCGGCCTGGGCGACAGAGCGAGACTCCGTCTCAAAAAAAAAAAAAAAAAAAAAAAAAATAGTAACATAAA
The DNA here is from genome assembly GCF_000001405.40 of Homo sapiens. Lineage (NCBI taxonomy): Eukaryota > Metazoa > Chordata > Mammalia > Primates > Hominidae > Homo > Homo sapiens. The sequence goes on from NC_000004.12 coordinate 60,170,099, forward strand.
AATGATAATCTATCAAAATATATGCAGGATCCATATATGCAGAAAACTATAAAACTCTGATGAAATAAATCAAAGAATATTGAAATAGATAGATATTCCATGTTCACAGGTTGAAACATTTAAGATTGGTAAAATGCTATTTTTTTCTAAATTAATCTATAGATTAAATGTGATATCAATCAAAATCCATGCAATCTACTTTGCAGATAATGGCAAAAATTGATTCTAAAGTTTATGCTCAAAGGCAAAAGACTTAGAAGAGCACTCACAATATTAGAGATAAAGTTGGAGGACTCAACTTTTTTAAAGTTAGATGTTACCTTTTAGAGAAGTTTTAGTTTAACAGCAAAATTGAGAGGAATGCAAAGAGATTCCCCATATACCCTCTCCCTCCACACATGAATAGCCTTCTCCACTGTCACTACCTACCTCCCACCAGAATTGTATATTTGTCACAATTGACAAGCCTTCATTGAATGTTCAAACTTAAACTGTTTGCTTTGACATGTCCTGTGCCATTTTCCAAAATTTTTGTAAGTGTGGTCTCTTGAAGTTCACATTTTAGAATATTCTGAACTTTGGTAATAGCATTAGAAAGGTAATGGCTGGAAATGCTAAAAATATTGATACTGTCAAATGTAGAAAAATTCAAATTGTATTTCTGAAAATAACAAACATTTATCTTTATATGGATTACTTACTTTTGTATATGGAAAGAGACCTATTTTTATCTAAGAAACATAAGTTATGTCATAAATGTTATGAAATGCTCATGTAGAAAATTTGCTCATTTTTGCTGTGCTAAATGCAAATAAGAAACACTAACTTTACCATATAACTTATTTTAGTGGAGATTGACATCAACATATTTGAGAAAGAAGAGATAGTAAGGATCGTAGCTTCTTGCTATATTTTCTTACTTAAACTCTAACACTTGGCAAAAACATTTTTATCTCATTTAAGAGAAACAGACATATGAATTGAAAATAAAAAATAAGTGAGAGTAAAAGTAGTTTTGACTTTTTTTTTACTTTTTATTACTTTTTTGGATAACTAGAAATATTATTGTAAGTTTACTCAAGTAAGATGTATCTTAATAAAGCTGATAGTATACACAAAAATTCATTGGGAAAAAATTACAAAATATTAAAAGACTATGGCTAACCTATGCTTTGGATAAAAGAACTATTTGGGATGTTAGTATCTTGTCCTCCTTCCATAGAATTGTTGAACTTTAGCAGCAAATGACATTCAAATCTTGTTGCCATAGATATATTAAAGCT